>NC_000020.11:59399122-60016002 GCF_000001405.40 Homo sapiens | reverse complement strand
GGTACTATAAAAACAGACACATCAATAAATGAAACAGAATACAGACTCAAGCAATTAATACACATATCTTTAGCCAACTGATTTTTGACAAAAAGACTACGAACATTCATTGAGGAAAAGATAGTCTTTCCAACAAATGGTGCTGGGGAAAGTAGGTATCTATATGCAGAAGAATGAAACTAGACTCCCCTCTCTCACCCTATACAGAAATCAACTCAAAGTGGATCAAAGACCTAAATGTGAGACCCAAAACTATAAGACTATTGGAAGAAAATCTAGGGAAAATGCTTCAGGAAATTGGTCTTGTAAAAAAACTTATGAGTAAGACCTCGAAAGCATAGACAACAAAAGCAAAAATAATCAAATAGGATTATATCAAACGAAAAATTTTCTGCACAGCAAAGGAAACTACAGAGTGAAAAGTTAACGTACAAAATGGGAGAAAATATCTGCAAACTATTTATCCAATAAGGGGTTATTATCTGGAATACACGAGGAGCTCAAATATCTCAACAGCAAAATAAAAAGAATCCAATTTTAAAATGGGTAAATGATCTGAACAGATGTTTCTCAAAAGACATAAAATGGCCAAAAAATATATGAAAAACTGCTTAACATCATGAATGGTCAGGAAAAGGCACATCAAACCCACAATGAGGTATTATCTCATCCCAGTTAGGATAGCTACTATCAAAGAGTCAAAAATAGCCAATGCTGGGCCAGATGCAGTGGCTCACACCTTTAATCCCAGCACTTTGGTAGGCTGAGGTGGGCGGATCACCTGAGGTCAGTAGATAGAGACCAGCCTGGCCAACATGGCAAAACCCCATCTCTACTAAAAATACAAAAAATTAACTGGGCGTGGTGGCTCATGCCTGAAGTCCCAGCTACTTGGGAGGCTGAGACAGGAGAATTGCTTCAACCCAGGAAGTGGAGAGGTTGCAGTGAGCTGAGATTGCACTACTGCACTCCAGCCTGGGCAATAAAGTGAGACTTTGTCTCAAACAAAATTTTTAATTAAATTAAATAAAGAAAAGAAAGCAAATGCTGGTGAGGTTGCTGAGTAAAGGGAACCCATACGCTGTTGGTAGGAATGTAAATTAGTACAGGCACTTTGGAGAAGAGTATGGAGGTTCCTCAAAAACTCTACAAATAGAACTACAATATAATTCAAAAATCCTACTACTGGGCATTTGTCCAGAGGAAAGGAAATCTGTATTTTGAAGAGACATCTGCACCTCATGTTTATTACACCACTATTCACAATAGCCAAGATGTGGAATCAACCTAGCTGTCCAAAGGCAGATGAATGCATGAAGAAAGCATGGTATATATACACAATGAAATATTATTCAGCCACTAAAATAAAAAAATTCTGTCATTTATGGCAACATGGATGAAGCTGGAGGACATTATGTTAAGAGAAATAAGCCAGCTGCAGAAAGTTGAAAATCACATGTCCTCACACATATGTGGAAGCTAAAACCAAGTTTATCTCGGAAGTAGAAGGTAGAACAGAGGACACAGCAGCTGGGAAGGGTGGGGGGAAAGAGGGATAGGGAGAGATTTATTAAAGGATACAAAATTACAGCAAATTATTCCTAGGAGGAATACGTTCTAGCACTCTATACCATTATATGTTGCCTATAGTTAACAATAATACATAGTTTTAGATAGCTAGAAGGGGGATGGATATTGAATGCTCCGTACCAATACAAAGAAATGAAAAATGTTTGAGCCAATGATTACGTTAACCACCCTGATCTGATCACTGTAAATGTATTGAAACATGACTATGTACCCCCTAAATATGTACAATTATTATATGTCAATTATTTAAAATGAAATAATAAAGTTTTAAAATGAGATAATTTTTTAAAAATCTACAGGGGACAGAATGAAAGAGGCAAGTATAAGGAGGCAATCGAATAAACTAATGTTTACTTTGTTTTGTTGTCCAAAAACATGTATTTTTCTTAAAAAAAAAAATACTTTTATCCTGAATTACCCAGAAAATGCCCTAGACTGTCCTCTGAGTCATGCTAGGATCAGTACAGCTGTTCTACACATTCAAGCGTCCCATTCAGACATTCCAGTGCTTTAAATGTGATTTTTCTTCTTTTTCAGCTTCCCAAAGCAGAGGAAGACTGAGGTAACCAGGTAGGAAAAGGCCAGATCTCCTTAAAAAGAAGTATTTGCACAGCTTCTTCAAAAAGAAGGAGAAAGTTTTAACTCTGAGCTGTAACTCACTGTTTAACATAATGCTTCACTGATTCACCAGCAAACATGTTTCTACTGATTTATTTTAGGGCATGAGAGACGGCATTTGCTCATTAATTATATAAAATTTTTATATGGCTGTAGACTTTTAGATATCCAATATGTGCATTAAAGTGTCCAAATAGCATTTTAAACTTTGCTTAGTCAGTCTCTTATCTATTACTCAGACTAGAAAACTGACTATTTTTAGGGCATATGTCCCCTATTAAGATTTTTAAAAGAAACCATTTCTTCCCCTGAAACTGACACTAGCAGTAAGTGGACAAGTAAAAACCAATTAAATTTTGTGGTTTTGTTTAAAGATAAAATCTAATCAGAACTTACTCATTCAAAGGCTCCTAACTCTTTTACTTACATAATACATACAAGTTAAATTATGTCAGCTCTTCATTTTTTAAAGAGTATACTGTTTATAAAGCTTTCAGCATAATCATTTTTCTCAAGATAACATATTTTATCTATTTATCTAATCAAAAAGTGAACAGGGACCAATACTTATTTTTTAAAAAATCACTTCAAATACTGACTACAAATGTTATAGAAAAAATTTCTCTATTTACCTAAGTTTTCCCTTAAATGGAAGCAGAATCATAATCATAGAAATGTAAGTAACGTTTTCAAAATCTATTTTTATTTTTCTTCAGTATTACCTGCTGTTCCCAAGTGGCTGGGTAATCTATGGGTTATATTTTCATTTACCCTCAAAGCTAGGCTGCCAGTGGAAGCTAAGAATAACACAATTAAATTCAAGTTTCTCTAGAAAATATGACAAATCAAATTTTAAGAAAGTGTAACTTGTGGTTTTGCTTTGGTTCAAGATGGCTGATCTGAGAATATCAAAGCATTTAATTCAAACTAATAGTGTGTCCTCATCCTAGGACTAGAAGGTAATTTTTCTTTTAAGGAGGGAAAAGAAGAGCAAAGGGGAAAAATCCCTGAATAGTGATTCCCTTCCATGAATTATTTCAATTCTCCAAAATAGACTTTTTTTTTTAGGAAGGAACACCTGACTCTGAATATATTTCCTCAAACGGAGTCGCTTTTGAACCCAAAGAGTCCAGCAAATCAGGTTGCAACTCCTGTTCCAAGCTGGCCAGAGAGCTGAGGGATGGGGCCCCTCCACACTCCCCTTCCTCGCTGTAGACGTGAGGTAGGTAGCCGGGGTCATCTTCCAGCACATTGGCAACATGGAGTTTCTGGGGAAAAGTGGGGGAAAGAGAAGGTAAATGCCATGTGCTTCCATACCCAGCTCATTTCTCTAGGTTTGATTCGAGGAACACATCAATGCAGTAGTAACAGCACTCAGGCCCCGTGTCCTCAGCTGACACAGGAGTTCGTACAGTTCCAGAAGTGGCAGCCATGCTGAGGGGAGACATCCCACCTTACAGTCTGAGAGGGAACTGTGACACAGTGGTGGCCGCCCCAGGAGTATGACAGGAGCCCCCAGGAGGACCTCCCACCTGCTCCCACCCTCTTGCAGATTCATTCCTTGAGGCTCGCCCTTCCCTGTCCTGTGCCCTGGACACCTCCCCTTCCATGACCCCCCGGCCCTCGTTTGGACAACTGTCCCCTCTCTCTTCATCTTTACCTGGCCTCTTGCTGTGGGCTCCTTTCTCCCGACCCACAAATGTGCTCAGGTCTATCCTTCAATCTGCTCATACTTCACAGCCTCCCTGCAAGAAAGGGCGGCCACCACTTCCTGCCACCCCTTTCTCACCCATGTGGCTCCTCAAACCACTGCCCTCCAGTCTCCCCATTCATGCTCAGGCCATGGCTTCATCCATCCCTAACCAATGGTGATGTCCCCGTCACCATCTCTCTCTGTGACACTCCCTACAGTCACATCCAGAGCCAGAATTCCAACCAGACAGCTCCACAAGGACATCCACAGAGACCTCAGACTCAACATCCTGGAAACCACTGTGGTTTTGCCCACAACCTACATCTCCTCCTCCCACGTCCCTCCCTCAATGCTCGCCAAGTGCAGTGCGCACCCCCTGTTACAGGGGCTAGCCGGCTACAAGCCAGGGGATAATCCAGCACACCACCTGTTGTTGTAAATTAAGTTCTACTGGAGCACGGCCAAGACCGTTTATTTGTGTATCATCTGTGGCTGCTTTCACGGAACAATGGCAGGGCTGAGCTGTGGGAACTGGCCTTCAAATCCTACAGGATTTACTATCTGGCCCTTTATAGGAAGTTCACTGACCCCTGCATCATTAGATGATTTCGATGGTATCAGAACACATATTTATTTGAGTGAATGGCCATTTTATCGTATATTTCAAAACACAATAACAAGCACGCCAAATCCATGATTTCACACTAGCTGATTGTAAAGCCAAAAGCTAATTAACATGTGAGCTGATTTACAGAAATGCATTAAATACATCATAGTGAGTGGGTTAAACACAAGCGTGACAGTAGTGACAGAATGACCAAAGTTCATGAAACTCTAGCCTGACTTAAGTCAGGACATCCCCTACAGCCCAGCTGCTCAACCTTGAAACCTAGAGTCATCACCAACTCTCCCCTGCCCCATCCTCTCAAATGCTCGGCAGTATTTCTAGTTCTGTCCCCTCTCCTCCAGCCCCATGGCCAATGCCTGAGGATAGGTCCCTATCTCCACTCATTGGGGCGAGAGTGGCAAGTTCACTAAACTCATTTCTTGTTCTTCTGGTCACCCGGCAAGATCACATTTCCTGCCTCTCTGCTAGATGTGGCTACGTGACTGATGAAATAGGGATGTCAGGGACACGTACCTGGCCATGAAAGCCTCCCCAAGAGCCTCTGTTCTTTCTCTGTCCTCCAGCCCCATTTCCAGTTCTGAGTGGTGGCAGAGCCACAGAGTGGGAGGACCCTGGGCAGGCTCCGGCTCGACACCCACCCTGATGTGTGACGTGAGCCAGAGGTGCCTGCTCTGCGCATTAAGCCACCCTGCTCTGGGGTTGCCATGGCTTTCTCCCTCCAAACAGCCCTCTTCTCACCATCTCCTCCTCTCCCCAACCTCTCCTGCCTTAGGTCCACCCTCTGCACAAACCCCAGAAACATTTCCTAGGCTTCATATCTGCTCATTCCTGTCTGCCTAGAATCCTAGACAGCCCTCCTCTGCCAATCTCCAACCCAGCAAACTCCAGCTCAGCATTCAGGACCCAAGTCATCTCTCTGTGAAGACTTTTCTGGCCTGAGTGATTCAATAAATAGGGGAGTGGAGGGGAGGGGAGGGGAGAGGGACTTTAGCCTATTTACCTTCTAATACCTCTAGAGGGTGCTATCTGAACCCAGCGCCAGTTCTACAGACCTTGGCAGGAATGGGTTTAGTGGGAGCCTGTCTAATCCGTCACTGCTGATAGTAATTCTGAGAGGGTGAGCTCATGTAGGGCATGAAAACAGTCAGAATCCTGGGGCTCAAGCCCAAGGTGGGAGGTGGGGAGGGCCTGGAAAGGGCAGCTCTGGGGCCCCAGGGACCCCATGCGTGTCCCCATTCTGATGGGACCCCTGGGCTTCCAAGCTCTTAACTATGCCCCCCGCCCCGCCCCACCCAGTGACTGCAACAAGCTGTCTCCAGCTTCCTCTGGTTCTCAGGAGCCCTGCCTGGGCCCTTGTTTAGTGGGAAATGCTGTCTCCCCGCCCCAGTCTACTGCTATGTCAGGCTTGGTGCCCACGAGAAGCGCGGGAATGCTCACCTGCACATCTGGCCCATTGACTGGGTCTGCTTACTCAGGGACTGTGGTCACTGTCTGACCATATGGCATGGGGGAGCTGGGGGCAGGGGGAGGAAAGAAAGTTTTTACGGCAAAACCAGCAGATACACAAGCTCTGGCCTACGTGTTAGGAGTCGGTTCACGTCCTTGCAGTGAAGCTGAATAGATAATTAGCGACAGACCTGGTGTGTGCAGAGCAAAACAGAATCTGCAGTGGGGGCTGTGCTGGGTGGATTCAACTTCAAAACCCCCAGGCTGACAGCAGAGCAGTGGATGTCTGCACCCTGATTCAGCAACTTTGGAGGCCTCATCAGATCAATAATTCATCATACACCACCATCCAAGTTAGAGGGCTCACAAGGAAAGAACAGGGCCCTCTAATCTGGTGTTCCCTCCTCTCACACCACCAAGCAGAGCTTCGAGCTTCCATTGAATAAAGCTGCCTCCCTGCCCCGCAGAGGGAGGAGGGGGGCCCGCGGCTGGAACACGTCCCTCTCCTGCTCAGCCAGGCAGGACCTGCGATACTGTCCACACAGTCCACTTGGCATGAGCGGTATGTGTGCATGTGCATGCGTTCACGTGTGTGTGCGCAAATGTGAAAATGGGTAAGCTGGATACTACGTGATGATCACCACATGCTACGTTTTCTGTAGAGACATGATCTGGTCTGCACAGAGCTTCACCCGAGAGTGTAGCAGAGCTGCCCCAACTCTCCTTTGTAGATGAGAAATTAAGGCTCAGAGAGGAGACTTCCCTGACCCTGCTTAATGATCAGGTGGGCCCGTCTGTAGTCGGCCACTCTGTGCCCCATTTCTGGCTCTGTCCCTCGTGCCTTTACCATTGGAGCAACTTGTCTGAGCCTCCATTTTTGGATTCATCTACCACATTGGGTTATAGTGAAAATGGTTCTTTCATTGCTTCTTCAGTGACCCCTGTGTCATGCACCAGTAATGACACAGCCTGGCCCTCAGGGAGGTTACAGTCGGCTCGGGAGAGACACATGGAAATTTCCCCGCAGCTCATCCTTCATCTTCCTCACCAGCAGTCAGGACCTGGGGAAGGGCCCTGCAGCCCTGAGTCTGTGGGTACACAGCCCCCTTCTGCAGGAGCCTGGCTTGCCTGCTTTTAGGCAAAGCTTCTAGGCCCGGAGAAGATGTCTGTGTTGTCTTGAAGCAGGTGCCAGGCAGCACCCATTCTGCAGGGCTAAGGAGTGGGAGTGAGAAGGGGCCAAGCCTACAGCACCTTTGGGGCTGTCACTGGGGCACAGAGCTGGAGCTCCCACCTGGGGACTGTGACAGGAACCAGAGGAAGCAACATTGGGGAAACCCCAGACAGTGACTCTACATCCAGACACAGTCTGGGCTCACTTCCTCAGGCCACAGTGTTCACAGCCCTGTCTGTCATCCACTCTGACAACCACAGCAGGAGACGTCCAGGCTCACCAATGGGTTTCACAAAACAGGATCCCAGGACCTCAAGTCAGAGGCTCAGATGCGCACCCCAGACCCACTACAGCAGGGTCCACAGAGTTGGTACTGGGGATTGCTGCTTTTTAATGAGCCCCCTAAGTGCCTAGACCCTGGAGCCCAGTTGCCTGTATTTGAGCCCCAAATCTACTGCTTTCTGTGGCTGTGACCTTGGACACATTACCCAACTTCTTTGTTCCTGGGTTTCCACATGTTATAAAAAGGCATATGACAGCACCTCCCCCAATAGGCTGATGTGCAGACTAAGAGTTAACATCTTTCAAGTCCTCAGAACAGAGTCTACAACAAAGTGAGTATTATACACGTGTTTGCCAAAAAAATAAGTCTGGCCTGACAGAGACTGTCTACATTTATGTCTTCCTTTGTGCTTATCATTCCATAGGCCTGAGTTCCCACTGCCCTGCAACAGGAGGAGCTGCTTAGAGTCAGAATGGCCTGGGCAGCTTCTTGGTACCTCCTTCCCCAAGCAGGGGGCATGCAGAGCCTCCATGACACGAGCATGTGGACTGGCTCTGCCCTATCCATGTAAACCTGCCCATGGGTTTGCCCAGCTCCCAAGCTGCTTTCTAATCTTCCCAGGAGTACGCAGTGGCTGTGTTGATGGACCTTTCAGGATGTACCCAAAATCAGAATCTCACATAATAGACCCCTTCAGCGCAGTCAAACTACATCTTTCACAATTTTGCAGGAAAAGACCCTTCATTCTGAGGTAGGAGGCCAGCAGGTCTTGTTTTCTGGTCACAACCCTGCTGACCAAAACAGGATCTGGTCCAGATGGGATGAAGTTAAAAAAAAAAAACCAGCAGAAACCAGCAGATGAGACGAAAGTGAACCCTGGATGCCCTCATTGCTCACTGGTGCAAGAGACTCACACCAGTGCCAGGACAGCTTACAAATGCCATGGCAGTGACCCAGAAGTTATCACTGCTGTCCTAGAAAGTTCTAAATAACCAGCCCCTCCGTTTGCATCAACCTGCTGCTTAATTTGCATGTAATTGAAAGTGGGTTTTAGTGGGTATAAATACAGTTGCCAACAGCCCATACATTTCTGACTCTGAGTGTACTGCCTATGAGTTAGCCCTGCCTTGCAAGGAGCAGTAATGTTGAATAGAAGACTGCTGTCTAACACCTCCACCTCACCTTTGAATTATTTCCCAAAACCCTCCTGGGCTAATCCCCAGTTTTGGGGCTTGCCTGTGCTGTGTCAATTCTGTCTTCAGTTGGGTTCTGCAAAGCAGCACTGGATGGAGGATTTCCATGAAAGTGATTGCTATGGACTTAATTGTGTTCCCTCTCCAAATCCATATGTTCAGGCCCTAACCCCAATGTGATGGCATTTGAAGACGGAGCCTTTGGGAGACAATTAGGTTTAGATGAGCTCATGAGGGTAGAGTCCTCATGATGGAATTAGTTCCCTAATAAGAAGAGATACCAGGGAGCTTGGTATCTCTCTCTCCATCCCATGTGAGGACACGGCGGGAAAGTGGCCATCTGCCAGCTAGCAAGAGAGCTCTCACCAGAACCCAACCATGCTGGAACCCTGACCTTGGACTTCTAGCCTGCAGAAACATGAGGCAATATATTTCTGTTATTTAAGCCACCAGTCAGGCTATGGTATTTTATTATGGCAGCCTTAGCTGACTAATGCAGTGATTTAGGAGGAAGTGTCCCCAAATCAAGCCTGGAGCACAGTGGGGATGCAAAACCCATAGCTAGTGCACAGCACAAGGGGAGCTCTCCCTACCTGATTCAATGTCTCTGCCATCCTTCCTTCCACCGGAGCCAGGAGTTGTCTGTGCATTGTGGCATCTGGGTAAGCCTGCAAGCAAACCAGTAGAGCTTCATACCACAGCAGAGCCCTTGTCCTACCCCCCAACCCCTGTGTGTCAGTGGCCCCAGCATAGATGGGGCACACTGAGCACCGTTCTCTTGGAGGTGAAGAGCCAGGCCCAGGGTAGTTTGCTCACGTTTCCTCTCTTTGTGTTGGGGGAGAGAGGGAGGCCCTGCAAGCTCTCATGGCTAGACTTTCCAATGCCTGGGCTGAAACAAACTTTCAGTGAGGAAGGAACCCAAGTGAGCCCGGCCAGGAGGGTTGTTCCTGCTGACACCCTCACTCATGCCTTGCACCCCCTCAACTACACTGCCCCTCCTCGCTCATTTTGGCTTCTCTTCCTCTGAACCTGCCCATTGTTTCCCATGATGGGCTGCTGGCAGTCTCCTGCTCATCTGGCCCATGTCTGTGGATCTGGGTCTCTGTGCTATCTAAGGGCAGAGGATACAGTGGTAGGAAACAGGCTTGGCATCTACTGGAAGGAGTGGCTATCTGGGGGCTCACAAATCCCACCACTAAATCATGTGAGTCAGGCTGGCCTGGAGGCAAGCAAAGCACCTGGGGCCTCACTGTCGAGCTCACGCAGGTGCAAGGCAAGCACCCAAGAGTGGCGGTAAATGTAAGACTGATCACCAAGGGAAGGTTTAAGAGGGGATCTCACCCAGTTGAGAGCAGGGAGTTCTCAGGAGGAGGAAGTTGTAGGGCCATGGAACAGAAGGGAATTCCAATGAGAAGAAACAGCACAGGCCCTAAGCAGGGAGGGAACTTGGCGTGTTCTGTGGCTGGAGCCCAAAGAGGTGGGGTGCTGGGATGGTTAGGGAGGTGGGGGGAGGCTCAGAGCAAGTTGAAGCCATACGTGAGCAAAGGCCATGTGATAGAGGGTCTCACAGGACATTAAAGACATAGGTCTGTCTTAGGCTGGGTTCTGCAAAGCAGCCCTGGAGGGAGGATCCCCTTAAGGTCATAAGGTTGTAGACTTTATCCCAGGTGCAATGGCAAGCCAACAGGAAGTCTTAAATTGGAGAGTGACATACAATTTGTGTTTTTAATCACTGGTGGCCTTTATGGCTGAGATGACTTCTGATCTTACCTGGGTTTAGGGATACTTATTGGGTTCCAGAAGACATATGTAAAATATGATAAAGCCTGGGGCAATTATGTATGTCCATGAGGCTATATATACACATACATACATACATACATACATACATACATACATACAGATATATACACATGCACATATACAGACAAACATACACATGTTCATATATGCATACTCATGCCTCTGTACATGTACATGCTTCTATACATATACATATAGACATATAGACATATACATATACAGTTGACCCTTGAACAATGTGGGGGTTAGGGGTGCTGACCCTGCACAGTTGAAAACATGCCTATAACTTTTGATTCCCCGAAAACTCAACTAACAGTCTACTGTTGACTGGAAGCTTTTCCAATAATATAAACAGTCAATTAATGCACATTTTGTATGTCATATGTATTATATACTATATTATAACAAAGTAAGCTAGAAGAAAGAAAATGTCATTAAGGAAAATATATTCACTATTCATTAAGTAGAAGTGGATTATCATAAAGGTCTTCATCTTCATTGTCTTCTCTCTGAGTAGAATGAAGAGGAGGAGGGAGAAGAAGGGTTGGTCTTGCTGTCTCGGGGGTGGCAGAGGCAGAAGAAAACCCACATATAAGTGCACCCACACAGTTCAAACTCCTATTGTTCAAGGGTCAACTGAATACACATATCTATCTATATACACATGCATACATACAGTTATGCACGGCATAACATTTCAATGACAGGCCGTATATATAAAGCTGGTCCCATAAGACTGTAATGCTGTATTTTTACTGTACCTTTTCTATGTGTAGGTGTTTTTTTCTTTTCTTTTTTTTTTTTTTTTTTTTGAGATGGAGTCTCGCTCTGTCACCCAGGCTGGAGTGCAGTGGCGCGATCTTGGCTCACTGCAAGCGCCGCCTCCCAGGTTCATGCCATTCTCCTGCCTCAGCCTCCCAAGTAGCTGGGGCTACAGGCGCCCGCCACCACGTCCAGTTAATTTTTTGTATTTTTAGTAAAGACAGGGTTTCACCATGTTAGCCAGGATGGTCTCTATCTCCTGATCTCGTGATACGCCTGCCTCGGCCTCCCAAAGTGCTGGGATTACAGACGTGAGCCACGGCGCCCTGGCCTGTGTAGGTAGATACACAAACACCATTGTGTTCCAATTGCCTACAGTATTCAGTACAGTCACATGCTGTACGGGTTTGTAGCCTAGAAGCAACAGGCTACACCAAGAGGTCTAGGTGTGTAGTAGGCTACACCATTTAGGTTTGTGTAAAACACTTTATGAAGTTTACACAGTGATGAAATCACCTAACAACACATTTCTCAGAACGTATCCCCATCATTAAGCCAGACATGACTGTACATATACACATGTGTGTACACATAGTGAAGCCACATCATACCAAGGTAAGCTGAACCAAACATACTAAGCCAAAGAGGCAAGGTGTGGACCACTACAAGCAGCCCTAGGGACCCTGCTGCCTGGTTCCCAGTGCTGGGAGCACTTGACTGGAGATGCTGTGCCCTCAGTCTGTTTAGCCCCAGGGGCCTCTCAGAGGAGGACCCTTAAGATGTGGGCTATGTACAAAGTACCCTTGCACCAGATGCTCACTGACCAAGCATGGGGCTCATCCAGGACCAGAGGAAGACGCCGTGTCAGTTTCCAGCCTGGCTCCTTCCCGAGGTAGACTTGGGGTGATTTTGCCTCAAGCCAGCTTCAGGTCCTAACCCCACACTATGTATGGCTGCACTGTGGCTGAGAGAGCACTATCTCTCCTCTCTGGGCTTCTGTGGACTTAGCCACTGGTTTAACTCTATCCCCAGGGCCTACGACTCCTCAAAGATACTTCAGCTAGAGTATTTGAAATTTATTTTCATTATTTACAAATTATTTCAATAACAATATTGAATATTATTTTTATAATATAACAGAAAGTGGTTTACATCTTTTTTAGTCTCCCACACCAACATGTAAATTTGGGATGCCATGTTAATTAGCTTTTATGCAACTCAAATGAAGCTTTTGGTCCCATGTTTCATTAATCAAAGAGAATCCTAACATTGTAAACTGAGCTATTCAAAAACCATTAAGATTTGAAACTGCTTGTTGGTATATATCAAAATTTTCTTGATACTTTAAAAACCAGTTTATAATAATGCGAGGCAATGAATTAGGTGTTAAGTTAACATAATTTTGCAAACTATATCCACAACATTCAACTTCCTTCTGTTTACATCAGAATCATTATTTTTATTGGCTATTTTGGTAATAGGTATATGTCATTAATGTCAATGCATACAAAATTAGTACTTAGATGTTTTATTTACAATGGAGTTATTTGTAGGATCTCATTTGAAAAGAAGAATTCTGGTGCAAAACATATTTAGAAAAAAAAATTGACTAGATGATGTCTAAGACCCCCTTAGCTCAAAATTTCTATAGGTCTGTGACAAAGCACAGCAGAAAACTCAGCCTATGACTGAGGTCTTAGCAACTCAACAGCAAAAGAAATTTGCCAGGGACTGAAAAGCTCTTATGCCCTCGAGTCACGGGATAAATGTGCCTTAACTACTTCCAACCTCTCTTCACGTTCGCTTCTCCTTCAGTTTGCTTGGATGTTGGGCATATTTTTTTTTATCACCTCTTTCCTTCCAAATTTCCAATTTTCAGGGATTTGCACAGCTTTTAGGCAGAACAATAAGGTAAATTTGTTCACGGTAACACCTACATCTATACTTACAGGAGTAGAGTGTATGTTTTTCACACTTCTTGGCTCAAAGGGCTTGCCATAACCCTTAAAGAAAGATGAAATATTTACTGATTTCAAATAAATTACCAAAGGATGCAAATACATAACTAGAAATTCTTGCAGTCATATTGCCTTTCATTTTTGTACTAAAGGTATAGTAATTCTAAAGAGTGTAGATATTCATAGCAGAAATTCATGAACAAGTTTCACAGTTGCTTTGTGAAGAAGGAACATGAGAATATTAGATTTGCAAGCTCTATCTTGGGTCCATTAACACCCAGTAAGATTTCCTTTTGCCATGGCCATGCCCTGAATACAAACAAATGACACACATCCACTCCTAGGACCCAGGCCTAGCGGCACAACTCTCAGGGCTCAGTGCAAGATGAAAGTTGGGGGCCCTTTGTTCAAAAATTAAGAATTTCAAGATGGTGACAGTAGAATATTAAACCAAGCAGAGGTTCTTTAGAGTGGGAGGCCCTGTGCCATGGTGGGTGTTCCATGTCCATGCAGCTGGCCCGAACAGGACCAGAAGGATCAGCTGCAAGGACATGGAACCCAACATTCATCAATGCGGGAGCCCTTCAGTGATGGATTTGTGGCATCATCTTTGTGCAAAGAAGAACATCATGTTTTCATCTTTGCTCAGATACTGCCTGTGCAAAGATATGAAATTATAGAGATCTTGAATTTATTTTAGAAGCTTTCCCTCATAAAAATTGGATATGATTCTATGGCTCTTTAGACCCTGAATACCTCTTTTAATTCTATATCAGAAAAGTACATTTTGGTTAAATAATGGCTAGTTAAACTGGTGAGGTCCAAATAAGGTCTGTGACTGAGAACTGTACTCACAGTGTTGTGCCAAAGCCCATTTTCTGATTTGATCATGGAGTAGGGTTACATAAGATGGTATATTTGGGGGACCCCCAAGAACTCTCCAAACTATTTTTGCAACTTCTATTTAGTCTAAAATTATTTCAGAAAAAGTCATTTCACAAAGCAATAGTCCTGGAATTTGTATGTAGAGTACAAGAAGACACAACACAGATGGGAAGTCAGGCCTCCCTTTCGCTGGAAGCATGCAGTCACTGGGCTGGAATTTAGTCAGGGCCAAAGTGCTGTGCTTTTAACTTTATAGATGATCTCTGGTGCCCTTAGAAGGACATGAGAAAATGTATCTATTTGTGGATGCTCTAAAAAGTGTCATATTTGATCAGGATTATCAAACAACTCTAAAAACAGCAGCCATCACCAATAATAATACCTAGTTCTATAGATGGAAATAGAGTCGGGTGGAAAAAGCCCAGCTTCTCAGATTTTCATTGACTATGTGCCTTTTTCTGACAGTATCACCGAATCTTCTACAACGGCCCTCTCTCAGGGGGACCAACTGTTAGTCACTAGTGAGATGGCCGTAGCAGGGAGCAACCTTCTGGAACTCACCCAGCTCCCCAGAGCACAGCGTGCTTGGGCTGACTGACTCGCTGCAGATGGAGGCACTTCCTCGAGATCCTAGAGGGAAAATGCTGATTTACTCAAAAGAGAATGGATTTCTCTCCAGCTGGAAACAAAGTGGGCATGCGTGACCTCTCACCACTTCCCCTTGCTCATATATTCATAGGCAAACACAAATTAACACGATGAGAGGGAGGGCGCGGTGGGAGGAAAAGGAAAATGAAGAGAGGCAGGGAATGCAGGGATAAAAGGGCAGGCACAATGGAACCGCATGGCAGGAGGAGGTTTGAACATGAAGACGCTAATGTTCTTTCCATGACACAGACACCTGAAAACTGCATAGACACGCAGATGACATCTAGAAGGTGACACTCACAGGTGAAACTGTTTAGATTCAGGGATGGGATTGTGGGCATTTTCTGCCTTGGGTTTCTGTTATTTTAATAGTGACGCTTCAATAATGAAGTTATATTTCAAAGAAAATAAAGCAGGCAATGGACCTTGACAATGGTCTCATTGACGCTATTTCACACTATCCAGCAGATTTTAAAGTATCAGGTTACCCCATAAATCATAAGTGACGGCTTCACTTAGAGAAAGTGTGTGAATGGCAGTTTATTTAAGCAGTCACCAGAGATGTACTTACTACAATATTTGCAGGACACTGAAGGGAACCCAGAGATACACCAAAACCTAGAAGGTGGAGGCTTTGGTTCCCTCCCCTGTAAAATAGGGAAGCAAGATTGCCCCTACCACACACACGCCCCTATGGGTTCTGGTGAAAATTCAATAAGATGAGGCATGCAAAGTGCATAGTGTGCCCCTCAGGGCAACACCTAGACCTCTAGAAGTTTGCAGACTGGCTCAGAGGAAGGAAAGAGAAGGCTCTCGCCAGCCCAGGAGGCAAGTTTGTAGGAACTAGAAAAGGGCAGCCCTTCCCCCAGGAGCACAGACTAGTGGTCAGAATGCACGGCGAACCCAGCCCTCCTCACTGCCCTGGCCAGGCACATGCTCATTTATGGCAATCCTGGGTCAACTTTGTTTTCAAAGTAGGGGACACCTACTAGTTATAGAATGGAAGATTTAGCTACTTGGGAAACAATTTTAAATAACACTGATTTGCACGGTGAGAAAATTATTCCCTTTCTAATTCTGTTTCCACACCCTTATGACATCCAGGAGGAAGTGTCACTCTGGTGCTAGCCTGGCTTCCACGCTCTGCCTTCCTTGCAGAGGGGCCCCGGGCCTTTGGCAGTGCCATCGTCCACCCAGTCATTGTGCCCTACTTCTTTCATGGCTATCTTCACACTTGCCTGCTCTTTATACAAGTAAAACTGTTTTCATTTACAGTTGAAATATAAAATTTCCTACTTAAATAAATGTACTTAATGTGGACACAAGCCCATTTTAAGAAAAAAGTGTCTTAAGAAATACACTAGTCCAAGTGCCATATGCATATGGCAAAAAATCACCATATGGCACTGGACACAGTGATATTTGGAAGCACAGGGTCATCTGACACCGCAGCAAAGTAGAAAGAACTTGGCCACTGAAAGACAAGGGTGTTTTAGGCTAAGGGAACCATGGGGCTTTGCAAGTAGGGGCTGGGGTTGCTGACTTGAAGAAGAACCTCCCTGGATGTGGCACTGGGAGGAGCATCCCAGGTGTTCCTTGTCAGGGAAACCACCAGGAAAGTCACTTCTCTGAAATCCAGAAGCAAGTAAGGGGCATGTTACCTTAACTCCCTGCGTGGGTCCTGCTGCAGCTGTGCAGATGAGCAGAGCCGGCCTCTGGCCTTCAACATCTGACCATGTCTGTAGAACACAGAGAAAGAAATATGACAAGGGCTGAAATCACAGATAGCAGAAATAAAAACAGAAGGAAAGGAATGACATTTTCTCCAAAACACATTGTATCTATGCCATCACAGAAGAAGTCCAGACTGTAAAAAATACACCTCTCCTGTAAATCTGGATGACTTATGTGGGAAAAGAATGTTATTTCTGTTTGCCTTTTGTAATTGCTCGCTGGGAGGTTGAGCTTCTCATGGTTCAGGGTTCCATGTAAACTGATGGTAAAAGGCTCATTTCAGGAGCTCTCAGAATTGAAAAGCTTGTCTTTTCCTAGGGCTCATGGTGATGGCTCTTGGGGTCACCAGCATTGCATGGTATTCTGTGCATTGTCCCATTCATTTATCACTCAACATATATGTTCACTGAGGGACTCAGGTTGATGGGTGCTGGATTTCTGTTGGCCAAGGGCTCATTAGCTTCCCCACATGCAGGGAAGGCATCTATGCATTTCTGTAGATCATCACCATCAGATGGCATCCCTATAGTTTAGTAGTAGAATGTGACAACATGTGTGCAGCTAGTGACGATATCTTGCATGGAGTTTTCCCAAGAGCACAGAATGTTCCTGGTGAGTGGATGTGCAAGGTAAGCTGGTATATTCATGTAAGATGGACAGAGGGATAAGTGCACCTAGAGATGGCCTTATTTACCAAGGTTACAGAGATATAATCAGTAATTACTGCTAATAATGCTAATATTGGCGGCCACCCTTTATTGCATGACTCTTAGTGCTGAAAATTTTACATGTGTTATTTGATTAGAGTCCAAAAAACTTAAGAGACAGAAGACTATCAAGCTCACTTTATATATGAAAGTCAGATTCAGTTAGATTATGTAACTGATCAATCACAGATTTGGAATCTACACCCAGGTCTGTTGAATTCCACTTCTCAGAGCCCTAAGATACTGAAGCAGGAATGGAGATGTGCCTTTAGCTGTGAATGGGAAACAAGAGAAAGATTTGTTGGTACAAGAAGAGAACAGAGCCCCTTGCCCAGCATGAGGTTCTCTTGTCCCACTGGCATAGCTGGTCTTTGACCAGTGCCACCATGTCATTAAGCCCCCTCCAACCCTCCTGGTCTTAGCATCACAAGGGCCAAGGTTCCTTTCCACCCACACTGCTTCCATAGCTGCTTCCTCTTTTCCAAGAGACAATCACAAAGCTGCTGGGAAAGAAGGGTAACCAGGGCATCCCCACTGTCCCTTCCACCTCAGCTACAACCTGAACTCAGGTTGTGTGACATTCCTGCCAGTCTCCTCCAAGCTCAGCAGCTTTCACTCTCTCCCTCCAAGGAGGAGACTGAGGCACAGCTCCTGGGACTGGGAACCATTTCTGTTTCCCTTCATGGTTGAGCCTCTGAGCCACTGGAACTGTCCAAGGCAAGAAATTCTACTGTTACACAAAGACTGCTGTTTGTCCAGATGGTTTTCTTCTTAAAATTACACAACAAATCAAGTTTACTGCTGCTCTCACATTTGGGATGCGGAGATTCCTTCCAGGGGACTTCACAATCTGGAGAGTTTGGATCTTGCTCCTGTTTCCCCACCCAGGAAGGGCTCACAGGAGGGTGCACAGGCACATACCTGCCAGAGGAGCCTAAGTGGCTGCTCCCTTCCCTCCTTCATGCCGCAGGGAAGACAAAATTCAAAGAACCCTGGGAGCCTTGGGCGAGCACCAGCTTCTTCAATCAAATATTTTTGAGAAACTCTCTAATTACAGGAGCATCATATCAAGTTCATTGGAATATCTTTTCCCTAAATGTCTGACTTCATTCAATAAGTCTCTCCCTTCCAGGAAAAAAACATTGGTGGAGGTGTAAGATGGGGTGACCGAATCCTCTGTGTGTGTTTCCTTTTGACATTTCTTTTGTGTTCATTTTCTAAATCAACCACTTAATTCTAGATGAAGACAAACAGGAGAGCTCACAATGCTTTCATCTCTTTGTCTGTCTAACCCCAGCCCAGGGTTGCTGCAAGGATGACTAAGATAATGTAGGGCCCATTTCAGAAGCAGCCAGTTTGAAAAACCAGTGGCCATTGGCCAATTACTTTATATGGCTCTGCCTTGTGTTAGGTGCCTTCATAGGCATCCTCTCTGATCCACAACCTATCTAAGAATTTGACTTTATCATCCCAGTTCACAGATGAGGATGTAGGGTTAAATGATGAAGCTAATGAGATGCAAAAGCAGAAACAGAGCCTAGGCCTTGTACCTCCAAGGGCAGTGAGCTTTCTGGTTGGCCTTTGCCGGACAATGGTAGAAGAGCAGGTTCTGCCATGATCTACTGAAAGCCATGGCCAAGAAGCCAGCTCAGACTCATTTAACTAGTGAGCCTAACACAATCCCATTTAGGGAACGTCTACTTAATAAAAAACACTATTTCCCTAAGCACAGTTTCTCAAACTCAGCACTTAGGAAACTGGGGCAGATAATTCTCTGTGGTAGAGGCTGTCTTGTGCGTTGTAGGCTGTTTAGCAGCATCTCTGACCTCAACGCACTAGATGCCAGTAGCACTCCTAACTGTGACCATCAAAACTGTCTCCAGGCATTGATGAATATCTCCTATGGGGCAAAATTGCTCATGGTTGAGAACCATTGATCTAAAAGAATAAATTCATTTATCTGAGTTAGATAGTATTTGCAAGAATTTTTTCCCACTTGCTACTGAAACACGGGTAAGAGTGAAGAATTAAGAGGTGGCACAATGGGGGGAAAAATACATGCTATATGTCTGTGTATTAGTGAATTCCTTGCCATAAGACACAAAGCATGACATTCCACTACCTGGGCTGAAGTGCCTTTGCTCTCCGCATTATACATGACCAGTGTTTGGTGGCCTTCATCATTGGATACAGAGCATCCATGCCTCTTAGGTTCAAGCACAAAATAGCATCGCAACAGAAAAAGCAGAGCCACTGTTATAAGACAAAGGGGAAAAACAGATTAGACAAGCTCACCCATATCAGAGGTTTCATGAGGATCTTGTTCTGTTCATGTATAACTCAGTCATGAACTGGCAAGGCCAAATTGCGTCTTAGTCATCTGTGTAGCTATAAAGTTCAGCACAGTTCCAGGGTACCAGTAGATGCTACATAACTGTTTGTTGAATTAATCAATAATACTATCTGGCCAGTAATATTGTATTGTTTCTTGGAAAAGCTGCTTTCTTATTAGCCTTGCCAAGTCCAGGAGCCTGAATATCTGTACATTGCTGTCTCCATGGTTATTACAAACAAAGGGCCACTCCTTGACTATATTTACCAGTGGATTCCATTGTGAGTAGAAGCTGCTTTTGCTGGCCAGGGATCTTGCCTGGCCAGCATGGCAACCTCTGATCTACATCTAGGAGCCTGAGTACACCCAGAAGTCATTCTCAAAGCCATTCCACCAATCCTGCCACCGCTGTCCCCTACCCCAGCAAGCCCCTTACCCCTGGCCTATTGCCTGGGGAGAGGAGCCACAGTCCCAGGACACCCCTACAGACCACTGACCTGCCAGAGCCACAAATGCTGCACAGACAGGGAACAGGGCCCCCACATGAAGCCCCACTTCTGCATCTGCAAGCTCCACACATGTGAGCCCACTGGCACAGGGGCAGATCCTTACATGGACAGTTTGCTTCTGGGAAAGTCCCTGTTTGTCTCCAATGAAGAGTGGCACCAAGTAATTACCACGTGGCAGGCTTCTCAAGGTTAAAAGTTCAACTGATTGACCTGCAAAGGGAAAAAGAACATGGCATGCATTGACTCACTCATCTGCTCATCTGCTCAACACACGCTTACTGAACGCCCTGCACGGGCCAAGCTCTGTATGAAAGTAAGCCAACTGCAGAGTTAGAGGGAGGGGTCCTCAAGGGTACCCTCACTTCTGACATCAACTGCAAGTTCACGGATTCCTAAGACCACCCTCAGGTTCAACAATTCTCTAGAAAGACTCACAGAACACACTGAAAGTTGTTACAGTGATGGTGCCGTTTTTTACAGGGAAAAGATACAGACGTAAATCACACAAGGAAAGAGGCACCTAGGGCAGAGTCCAGAAAAGCACCAGTAGCAGAGCTTCTCATCATCCACTCCCGAGAAGCCAGGTCAGCATCGATGAGGGACAGCACACATGGGATGCTGCAGTCAGGGACGTTCACCTGAGCCTCAGGCTCCAGTGTCCTCCTGGGGCTTGGTCAGGCAACCTGGTGGGCCTCCCAGGTGGGCGGCCTCAGTCTCCAGCCTCTCTGGTAATAGACTGATACTATGTGACCAGAAGTCCCCAGTGTAAATCACATTGCCCCTATCCGGCTCAGCCCAAGACACCCCAGGTAAAGAGACACTGGTGTCAGACATGATACCCCAATAGAGATCACCCAGACCCCAAGGACAAAGACCAGACCTCTCTTTGGGCAAGGCGAAGTGCTTTACCACACACTCCAGGTCTGAGAACTACAAACTTGAGCACACAGTTTCAGCTGAAACCGTGCCACAGTCTACAGACGCCACGGCTAGAGGCACAGAAGAGAGTGTTGACAGTGGATGCCAGTTGCTTTTAACCTGCTCAGCATGTTCATCTTCTGGTAACAGTGCCCCAGTGTTTCCTTAGGGAAGCCCACACTTCCTGAATTCTCAGTATGAATCAGGAGAGGGTGAGCCCAGATCCCAACAAGGTCCAGGTGTGGGCTGGGAACCAGCCAATCAGCACATCCGCCCTCCCAAGTCCCACCCACAGTGATTGACAGGGCAGCTGACCCAGGCCAAACAGTGACGTCAATCCTGGAGCTTCCCTGGAAACACCCTTCTTGCCAGATGCAAGAATATGTCTCAGGGACTCCCAGCAGCCTCCTACCCCCTGATGAGGAGAGTTTCCTAAAAAAGAAGGAACCTAGAGAAAGGCAGACCATGTGTGGGAAGGATATCCAGGGATATCCTTTGAGCACCTAGAGCCAGCTCTGCCAGAACGCAGACCTCTCCGGTTTTTTAAGCTAATAAAGTCCTTTTTTGCCTAAATCTGTTTGAATTGGATATCTGGCATTTTCCACTCTTTGCCCGTAACCAATACAAAAACTCACCCCAATTTCTCCCCAACTTCCATGTGTCCTCCGCATTTCCCCAGGTATTGTCCAATTCAAATGTAAATGGGTCAGAGAACGGCTCCAGGTCCGGATCCTCTGCCTCGATGTGGAGGGGCTCATGCACAGCAGACTCACAGACCTCCATGTAGCGGGAACGTGGCCGGAGAGTCGGGACGTTGTCATTGATGTCAGACAGGAAGAGCATTAGGGTCCCTGTAGCAGTCTGCGGTGGGAAGCCTTGTATGGGGAGGAAGTTTCAGGAGTTGTTTATCTCGTGCACACACAGCTCTGGAGAATGAGCACTCTCCGTCTCTCAGAAAAAAAATATTCCTGAAATACTGGAACTGTTTCCCTTTCAACGTCATAAGCTCTCCTGGCATGCACGTGATCTGTTTTCCTGCTTTTATGAGCATTCAGAATATTTGGGTAAGCTAATAAAGCACTTACCACCTCAAATCACTTGTAGAACAAGGTAGAATGTGGCTTCATTAAAAAAACAAAAGGTCAATCAATGGTGCCAGGCATCAAGGATGGGTGGGGTGGAGGAAAATGGGTGTGACTAAAGAAGGGCACCATGGGGGTCCCCAAGGGGAGGCAAATGCGCTGCGTCTCCGCGTTGATGTACTGGTTACAAGGTTACACTGTAGTCCTGCAAGGTGTTGCCCCTGGGGAAAACTGGCAAAGGATACTCAGGATCCACTAGATTATTTCTTAAAACTGCAAGTGAATCTACAATTATCTAAAACGACTTTTTCTAATTCAAAAAAGTGGCAATCATCACTTCATAACTGCAAATATATGGAGCCAACCTAAATGCCCATCGACCAATGAGTGGATAAAGAAAATGTGGCATATGTATACTATGGAATACTACTCAGCCATAAAAAAGAATGAAATCATGTTTTTTTGCAGACACTTGAATAGAGCTGGAGGCCATTCTTCTAAGTGAATAACTCAGGAATAGAAAATCAAATACTGTATGTTCTCACTTATAAGTGGGAGCTAAGCTATGGATACACAAAGGCATGAGTGATATCATGAACTCTGGAGACCCAGAAGCAGGGGAGGAGGGAGCCAAGGGCTAAGAAATCTCACATTGGATACAAGGTACTCTACTCAGGTGACCAGTGCACTAAAATCTTAGACTTCACCACTGCATAATTCATCTACGTAACCAAAAACCACTTGTACCCCAAAAGCTTTTGAAATACAAAAAGCAAAAAATAAAGGAAAAAAAAAGTACCAATCATAAAATCATCCATAACAGAATGACGGAACCCTGAAACACTGGCCCCATTTTTTCTCCTCCCTTAATGCTGATTAGGAACACGTGTTTCATATCTCCATTGCCCCCCGCCAACATTCCACTAGTTAATTACAGAATGGAACGTATAGTGATATATCACTTGGAGCTTGGGTTTTAGTTCACAGACTTTCTTAAATACAATTTTAAAGTTATTTGAACATTTTTATTTCTTCAACTCTGCTTTGGTGTGTTTAAAGTTTCAGCCTTAGGAGAGTGTAGAGAAAAATGCTGAAACAGGCTTATAAAACCACCCATTCTGGTTTATGACAAATGTGTCCCTTACAGTCCCATTTATCTGAGCTCGTATGCCATCCCAAGCACAGGGAAGCTGTGCTAAATATTTATCACACATCATTGGCTTTGACAAAGAGCTAAAGAGTTAGCTCATGAACAGATGAAAAAGATGCTGGGTTTGATTGCAGCCTCCTTGCTGGTTTAATTGTCTCTTCTGAATGAATACTGCCCTCTTTCGATGGTATTGGTCCCTTGTTTACCATTTTAAGAATTATTACCAAAAATAATCACCAGCATGGATGCAGAGTGATAACAAGGTTTATTTTATCCTTTTCTCTGCTGTGCTGAAAGACGCTCACCAGGGTTATTTTCCCGCAGGAAGCAAGAATGAGCATTTTATTTTTCCAATTTTGGGTAAACACTCACCATCATCAACAGCGTGAATGATGATTACATAAAAACTGTTATTTACATGAGGGGATTCTCGGTCAATTGGCTCCACGGTGATGACCACTCCGGAGTTTTTGTCGACGCTGACCCAATTTGCTGGGTCATGAACCAGTTCATATCTTGTAGAAGGAAAACGGACAGCAATTTTTAAAATTAAAAACTTACATTAAAAGATAAAAAAGTTGCATAAAAAAACAAAATATGTCATAGAAACACTATTTCTACCACAAGTAATTTGAGAAATTCTAAGAGCAATTAAACTACGAGAGTGTTTAATTCACGAAAGGAATGGAAGCACAGGGAGGACAGCCTAAAGACTCTCCTAGGTCTGTGGAATTGACATTCACCAGAAGACCAAGCGTCCCCCTCCTTGTTGGACTGAACATAGTTTTGTCTGCCTTGGGGAGATGATTCATCCTGGAAAGGAACCCATCTTCAGTGGCCTGTAGATGATGTTAGCTTAGTGTGAAAAACCAACCTGCCCTTGCAACAGAAACCTAGGACTTTACCCCTGGTGTGTTCCCTTTGCAGCAGAGCCCTGGCAGTTCACAGTTGGGTAACCCTATTCCTCAAAGTGGTCTTCTACATCCCCCTCACCTATGTGAACCTGACACCACTGTAAGGGGTGGGCCACGCCAAGCCCTCCAGCATTCCTGAGAGCTGTCAGCCATTGGATTGCATCCTTTGCAACCTTGCCAGGTTGCCACCCCAGCTACCTGTTGAGGGCACCGCAGCAGGAACCTCCTGGACTCAGGCAAACAACAACAACAACAAAAAGTGCAGGTCCCAGAAAGGTGCGGAGAGGGGCAGTTTCTCCTTATGCTTTTCCTTCATCTTCTGGGCAAATGTTTTTCAAAGGGTCAGCAAGGATCCCTCTCTCATGTTGCGTGGGTCACAGTTTTTAAAGGGATTGAAGCTTTTTGTGCACTGCTTCACCTCTTAGGGAAAGTTCCAGAAGTTCCTTAGAAGCACTGTGATTTTGCAATGTTTACAAACGAGGGGAAGAAACTCAGAGTTCCTCTGTGGATTATCTCAGGCCAAAAGGCAGCTCCCTCAGCTAATGCAGATGAAGCAGAACTAGAGGAAACCAAAGCTGCCCCCAACCCAGATCATGCCTCCACCCTGTCACAAAAGACACTCATCCTGCCTCCTGGAAAAAGCCATATTGAGGCTAAAATGATGGACTGTTAGTTCTTGATTTCAGCACAGTCCAAACATTTCCTGAGACCTAAGTATGAGCCAACCATCCTCAAGAGACAGGAAGACAGCAATGAATTAGGAAAGGCTCCTGTTGGTGGTGCCTAAAGGGATCCCCAGCCAGCATCATGGGCACCCTTGGGAGCTTCTTAGAAATGCAAATCTCAGTCCTGACCCCAGACCTCTCAATCAAATTCTATGGGTGGGTTGGAAACCAGCCTGGCCAACATGGCAAAACCCCGTCTCTACTAAAATTACAAAAATTAGCCAGACGTGGCAGCATGTGCCTGTAGTCCCAGCTACTCAGGAGGCTGAGGCAGGAGAATCACAAGAACCTGGGAGGTGGAGGTTGCAGTGAGTCAAGATTATGCCACTGCACTCCAGCGTGGGTGAAAGAGAGAGACTCCATCTCAAAAAAAAGAAAAAAAAAAAAGAAAAGAAATTGTAGGGGTGGGGCCCAGCAATCTGCATTTTAACAAGTTCCCCCAGAGACTGATACACACTATAGTTTGACAGCTACTTCTTAAGAGCCTTGCTAACTCAAGGTGCACCACTGTGCACCAGAAGGGGTCTGTGAGCTGTTGGTTGGCTGCTCACAATGAGATAACTGCAAAAATGAAGAGCAAGTGTTGAGAAGCCCTTAGAGTCATCAGCATTGTCATGTCCACCTAGTGCATGAAAATTTTTCTAGTAATTCCATTTCATTATATTTTGCAAACTTATCACTCCATAATGAATTGTAAATTTTTAAAAAATCTAGCCATTCCCAACAGATAAGTTGAGAAGTGTTGCTGTAAGGAGAGGAATCTCACACTGAAGTGTGGACCAAGGCCAAGTAAGCACGAGAAATGAGTGAAGCTGGTGGAATGGGGTCTGGGGCCAACTGCTGAGCTCAGCCTGGAGAGAGAAGGGGCATGACTCATGACCCCTTTCTGTCCCCATGATCATGGTCTCATGGAACATAGACCCAAAAATGCCAATTTCTTCCATTTCTTCAAGAACATCAAGAGATTCAGGCCATATGCCACCCAAGTGCCCATCGATGGATGAGTGGGTAAACAAAAATGTGTCAATACCACATATGCATATTCAGCATCAGAAGGAAGGACATTCTGATACATGCTAAACGTGCATGAACTTTGAGGACATTATGCAAAGTGAAATAAGCCAGTCACCTAAAGACAAATGTTGTATGATTCTGCTTTGATGACCTGGAGTCATCAAACTCAGAGAGACAAAAAGTCAAATGGTGGAGGCCAGGAGCTGGAGAAGGGGGAATGAGTGGTTAATGGAGACAGAGTTTCTGTTTTGCCAGATGAAAAGAGTTCTGGAGATGGAGGGAGGTGATGGTGCACAACGATGTGAATGCACTTAATGCCACTGACCCGTACCCTTACAAATGGATAAAATGGTAAATTTTATGTATATTTTACCACAATTTACAAAAAAAACCCTCACTTTTCTTGCCCAGAAGCAAGAGAGGTACTGGTTTATAACTTCTGGTACAGAGGGGGAGACAGAAAAATGTAACGGATTATTCTAACACAAAGGAAAGAATACAAAAGGAACACATGGAAGATGCAAAGGAAAACCAACAAGTGAGTTCTTCTGCTGGGGTCAGAAAAACCTATGGATAGAAGACGACATTTAACTCAGGTCAGTGGTCATGCACTGTGGCTTCTTGTATTTTCATCACGGAGACTGAGGCAACCTCGTGAACACGTCCAAGGAGCTGGTTTTCTTTTCTTTTTTTTTTTTTTTTTTTGAGACGGAGTCTCGCTCTGTCGCCCAGGCCGGACTGCGGACTGCAGTGGCGCAATCTCGGCTCACTGCAAGCTCCGCTTCCCGGGTTCACGCCATTCTCCTGCCTCAGCCTCCCGAGTAGCTGGGACTACAGGCGCCCGCCACCGCGCCCGGCTAATTTTTTGTATTTTTAGTAGAGACGGGGTTTCACCTTGTTAGCCAGGATGGTCTCGATCTCTTGACCTCATGATCCACCCGCCTCGGCCTCCCAAAGCGCTGGGATTACAGGCGTGAGCCACCGCGCCCGGCCGAGCTGGTTTTCTAACAGGAGCCCTCTTGGTTATGTGGCTATTTCCACTTAAACAACCGCCCTTCTTGGCCCTCTCTTCTCACCTTATCTGGCTGTCTGGATCCATGGCATTAAAAGTTCCCAACAGGGTCCCAGGCCTGGCGCCCTCCTCTTTATTGACAATGAAGCTCTGGGGGTGAAAGGCTGGTGGGTCGTTGGCGTCTGTCACCTGCACACTCACAGTGGCGCTGGCTGCTGCCTTCCTTGGCGGCTGAAGCTTTCCTCTCTCACAGAAGACGAGCCTCTCCTCATTCTCCACGACAATGATGAGGCTTTGCGCTGGGCGAGTCTCATAATCCAAAGGCTGGAACCCCAGAGAGAGGATTTCATTAGCACCTGCTGCTCCTCTGGCCAGAGGAAGCCCAGCGCCGAGTCATCATTGCAAACTCAGAGCTTGTGGCTTTTGCACTTCATTTATTATTTACGTTGTCTTTGATAATGATCAAAAGACAGTCTACAGCTCATTTTCAAATCATTTATGGAGTTCTTTTCTCTTTTATTTTTTCCCTCCTCCTCTGCTGGTTGAAAAGAGCCACCATCCTTCAGAGGGTAATGAAAAATGCAACAAAAACCATAGCCTAATGAAACATTAATGAGACAACCATGCAGCAAAAAAATCAGGGGAACTTAGGGAAATATAGATATTAATGATCATAGTTATTCAGGGTACAAAGTGGTCAGTTGACTTAAAAGGATTGAAAGCCTGGGAATATTTTGAAAATTCAACCCCAGGCATCTGGTGCAGCGTCTACAGAGCCTTGCTATTCATAGCACGGTCCGCAGGCCATCAGCATCCCCTGGGAGCTGGTCAAATGGGCAGGCGAATCTTGGGCTCTGTGCCAGACCTGCTGACTCAGGTCTGCCTTGTCGCCAGGTGACTCACCTGCCCTGCACTGCACTAGAGGCCCTGGTCACTCTAGGGCTGGTTGTGAGCAATGAAGACTAGAGGCACTGGGGTCAGACTGCCCCAGTGGGATCCTCCACTCCACCCCTCAAGCTGTGTGGCTTTGTGTAAAGGACCTAACCCCTCTGGGCTTTGGTTTCCTAATCAGTAAATGAGATGGTAATATTAATACTTTCTTCCAGGCCAGCTTCTCCATTAGGCACAGTGCCAGGGGCTCTCCATACTCTTGGAGCCACACAGATGCACTCCCATTTGTTTTAAACTTTAAAAGTCTTAAACATTGAAAACTCAGATGAAAAGAAAGAACTTTTAGTGTTGAAGAAAATGTTTTCATTTTTTAATCACATCTGAAAAAGAATAATCATTTTAAGGCCTATGTAAATCTATTACATTTTGCCTACAACAACAAAAAATTAAATGGTGAAGTATTTAGTCATATCAAAATAAGTTTTATTATTGATATCATTTTGGTAGGAGGAGTCCTCAGCCCACACACAGAAGTGGCACTGAGACCCTGCCTTCCTTGCCTGGTGACGTGTGGTACGTAATGGGCTCAGCACCCAGCATCCACGGACGTTAGCTCCCTGGTTCATTGTGAGTGATCCTACAGAAGAGGCCTCAGCGTCTGCCACTAACTGGTTGGTATGTCACCGGTATGGTGTTACCTTGATAACATTTAATATCCCTTCGTTGGTCTCAGGGTCAGTCGAAATGTCAAAATGCCCCTCTTCATTGCCATGCAATATGTTGAATTTTGCTCTCCAAGCTGATGTAAATGGAGAATCTCGATCTTGAACCAGGAGACGCAACACGCCCTGGCTGGCTCGGCCTTCAGGAATCTGAACCTTATACTGAAAGAAGCAATCATCATGTCCATGTCATGGAAACAAAAACACAATTGAAAAGGAAAGCAGAGAGGAAGGAGGGAGAGAAGCAGAGAGAGAGCAAGAGAGAGAAGGAGAAAGAATGTTGCTCCTCATCACAACACCCTGGATATTCCTCATGCTGCTAAACCTGCCCTAAGGGATTTGCAACTCCGTCTGTTACAGCAGAAGGTGCATCCGTTGGAATATCTGCCCCCTCCTACCTGTGACTCGCTAAATAATTCTTAAAGTACTCTTAAATCCAACTCAATGCCCTATTTTTTCTAAGAATTTTAAAAATAATAATACACAATCCTAGTTTATGCTCTCTAAAAATCCTAGCTCTTCCCCTAAAATAGGACACTTGTGGTTATTCAGATTAAGGTGATCATTTTTCTAACACATGTAGATCTTCAAAATAGCTTGTTATTCAATACTTTTGGAGGCAATGTTTCTAGACAAGCACTTCAAAATAAGAGGGTATATTTTTTTTCCAGCCATATTTTTGAGAGCATTGCTTTTTACCAAGCCAGGAAAAGATTTTGAAACAAGGTTCAAGCATAATATTATTTTGTAGTTATTATATACTTCTGGTGAGGTGCTTTGGTTTGCAAACATTTCACTTTGGTTTATACAGGTTTTTTTTCTAATTAAACGACACCTTTTAAAAATAATTGTTTGCATCATTTATTCAACAACAGCTTCTATGTGCCACATTCCATTTCAGATGCCATGAACAAGACAGGCAAAAATTCCGTCCTTGATGGAGCTGAGAGCTGAGTGTGTGTGTGTGTGTGTGTGTGTGTGTGTGTGTGTGTGTGTGTAGGGGGATTTATAAAATAAATAAAACTGATTAAGTAGAACACTACTAAGCAGAAGAAAGCACAAAGGAGCTACAGTGTGTCCCAGGAAAGAAGAGGGAGGGTTTTAACTCAGTAGTCAAGAAAGAGAGTCAGGAGAAAGGAAATATGGTGGATATTTACTTTTTTAAAAATACATATAGAATAGTAAAAAATAAAATATTGGAAATAGATCTTGAGTGATTCTTATTTTATCTCTTAGCCATCTCACATGCCTTAGGTGGGGCACCCATCCCAAACCATCTTACACAGCGGTTTTCAATGCTTTCTTAAAGGCTGGGAGTCTTGCAGCCTGGGAAATCCCATGTGGACCCTGACATACAATGTTTTTAAATGATCACTGCAGTTACTTCTGTACTTGGATAAGGTAAGGTATGGAAGGCGAGGCCAAAGCCTACCTGCTCACCTTCCCTCTAGAATCCTGAACACGGTGTGAAAACCTCAGGTGCAGACTTCTCACCCAAGGGTGATTCTTCTCCCTGAGGGACATTTGGCAATGTCTGGTGACACTTTTGGTTGTCACAGCTGAGGGGTGCTACTGACATCTACTGGGCGGAGGCCAGGGATGCTGGTGAATATCCCACAGCACACAGAGTAGCCCCCACTCCAAATAATCATCTGGCCCAGTGTCAGTTGGGCTGAGCATAGGAACCCCTGACTCCAAGTAAACAGGAATTCCCTGTCTTCCCCTAGACCTCAGTTTTCCCATCTGTAAAACAGAAATCGTGTTGTAGTTTCAATAATCAAAAATGAAAAAAATGCATGTAAAAGTTCTTAGCATAGTTTCTGGCATACAGCAGTCAAAAATGTAAGCTCATGTGACCATTATGAACTGCTTCTATGTCAATATGATTTGGCTTCTTGATTCTAGCTTAAGTCACTTTGGAGAATTGCACATATCTTGGGTGACTGCGCGATATAGATTGGAGATCTGTCCCCGCCCAAATCTCATGCTGAAATGTGATCCCCAGTGTTGGAGGTGGGGCCTGGTGGGAAGTGTTTGGATCGTGGGGCAGATCCCTCATAAATAGCTCCGGCCATCCCCTTGGTGATAAGGAAGCTCTGGCCCTGAGTTCACATGAGATCTGGTCATTTAAAAGTGTGTGGCCCCTCTTACCTCTCTCGTTCCTCATTCTTCCCCACCCACCTCCCGTGTCTTGCATGCTCTTGTTGTCACCGAGTGACATGCCTGCTCCCCCCGTCCTTCCGCCATGATCATAGGCGTCCTGAGGCCTCCCTAGAAGCTGAGCCGGTGCCAGCCCCAGGCTTCCTGTAAAGCCTGCAGAACCATGAGCCAATTAAACCTCTTTTCTTTATAAATTACCCAGTCTGAGGTATTTCTTCACAGCAATATGATAACAGCCTAACACCCTCTCTGAGAAAAACTGAGCCTAGGACCCAAGGGCTACTTGTTTTGGGGCTTAGACGTTGGGGCGGCCCAGGAGCCTCACGTTCTCCTGGGTAAATGCAGGCCTGTGGTTGTTGCCTTCTTGCACATCCACGTGAACGGTGGTCGTGGATGACAGTGACGGTTCTCCACAGTCCCTGGCTCTGATTAGCAGTGTAAACTGAGGAGCGGTCTATGTGGGAGGAAAAGGAAAGTTAAGCCCCTCAAATACAGGAAAGGAAAATATTAATAAAGAAATATTCTGTTTAGGAATTTCAATAGCAAATCTAGCCACAGAGGGTTCCCCACTACAAATGTAGAATCTAAGCCTGGGGCTCAAGGATGGGCCACACATTTCATTTAAAAAAAATAATAAAATCCACATAACCTCATAATCTAAGCAGCCAGAGAGTCGTATTTCTCCACTAAGGCGATCAACCCGGAAACCACTTTCTTTCAGTAATGGTGTTTGAGAAATGAGGAAGTAAAGGACTTGAGAATTTGGAGTGTTTTCTTCATCCAAATCGACTGCTAACATCTGAAAAATAGGTTGCCCTAGAAAGAATTTTTAAAAATTGTTACTATCAGATAAAGGTAGCCTATCAAACCAGTAAGAGGATGAATTATTTGCTAAATGGCATTGGGGCATATACCAAAATGAGTGGAATGTTTAAATATAAAATAAACTATGGACATACTAGAAAAGATAAGGATGAATATTTAATTAGTTATAAGATCAAGAACTTTCTAATCATGACTGCCAATGCAGAAGACTTACATTGGTGGATCAGATTACACTTTTAATTTCTGGCAAAAAACTGTGGACAAAATTTAAAAGAAAATGATAAAGCAGGAAAATATATCTGAAACATACATGGCAGGCAGATATTCTTAATATAGACTGCAGAGGTTAAAATCAAGAAAAATGACAAACACACTAACAGAAAAATGAAGAAAAGAAAGGAAAAAGCAACTGATAGAACATGGAAATGGTGAAGAAACATAGCAAAATGTTCAAGCACATAGTTATCAAAGACCAACAACACACCAAGCATCTTCGTGGACTGGGGGCAGGTCAGCAAATGAGGACCCCTACATTGTATGCACAGTGCAAACCAGCAAGTCTACATCTCTGAATTCATGCTAAGTAAATAATGCTTGATTGGGACACAGATTTAGCTTAAATTTTATCATTGAAATATATTTTATGAAAATAACAGAAAGTGGCAAAAAAACATAAATGTTCAACCATAGGAGATCGGTCAAATACTTTAAAGCACATCCATAAAATATTACACAACAGGGTATTTTAGAAAAATATCAGGTTACAAACAGTAAAATTGCACCTTTAGAGAGGAAATTTATAAATATGCACCTGTGAAAAAGCACACCAAATATGTGTAAATATTTACCATATACGCATATACAATGTGTACTATGATAAAGATGAAAAAATGTATGTATATACAAATATGCATTTGTAATTATACATAAAAATGTGTGAATGCATACACATATATAATTTTAACACACAGCATGTGTATACACACACACAGAAAATGCACACAAAAATGCTGAAAGAATACAAACTGAAACACTAATGGTTGTTATCTCTCATGGGTAACATTAAAGATGCTTTCTTTTTCAGTCTTTTCATTTCTTGGAATTTTTTGGAGAGATGATTACACAAAAAAATGATTTTTGTTATTAAAATAAATCCACATTCTAGTAAGAGTCGGTTGGGTTTAAGAATGCACAGTATCTGTAACTCGGAGGCTATAGATGTGATCGTGTTGCCATTTTACAGACAAAAAATGTGCAGAGATATGCAGAAGCTCATCACCCAGCTCTTTCTCCCTCACTGCATGTGGCTTTATTTTTAGAATGGCATTTACATATCAACCCTTCCCACTGATGTAATTCCCACATCATTTTATTGCCGATACAAAATGAGGCTTACGGACCTCAAAGCATTTCGCTCAGATCCAAGGCCTGCGATCTTTGAGATGTGAACAGTAAAAACTCTCCCTGAAGATGACTAGGATCAAGCTCCTCATCAATATTAATGAAAAGGAACAGAGCAGAGACAGAAGGAAGCCCGGCAGCCCCCCAGCCGCACACACCTGCAGATTGGTTTTCTTGCACAGTGATGTTAAATTCCTTCTCTGGAAACTGGGGTGCATGATCATTCACATCACTGATCCTAATGTTGAAAATCAAGGATGTATCCACAATTTTTCCTGTTGAGCGCTCCACAACATCAAAATAAACCTAGGAAGCAGAGAGCTGTAAAAATCCTGCAGAACCATTTACTCGATGACACTCTAATAAAATAACTGTTATCCTAATTATGTGTTACGTCTGTCTCCTCCTCTAGACTGAGAGTTCCGGAGGGCAGGAATCAGACTGCCCTCATTTACCAAGTACCCCAGAGAGCAAGAACAGTACTGGCACAGATTAGGTGCTCAGCAAATGTGTAGAACAAGCCAATGCTCTGGCTTGGAAAAAAATGATCAGTTATTATTAGGTTCAAATCTCAGTCTCTCCACTGGGCAAACACATGCAAGTTGCTAGTGAGCCTCCGTTTCTACAACCTATCAGTGTTGTCATGAGAAATAAATATATTAACTGAATATTACTGAAACATCACAGAGAGCAGACAGTTAAAGATTTTTGGGAAAGTGAACATTTATAGTAACTAGCACAGCTACTGACATGCTATATTTTTAAATGGCCACTGCAGTTACTTCTGTACTTGGATAAGAAAAGTCAGTCCACGTCAAATATGCATGTGTGAAATCTTTCACTTCAAATGGTCTCAAATCAATTGTTTAAGCTTCCACCTTAAGAAATTTTAAAAAGACATCATAATAAATCCAAACAAACAGAAAGCAATAGTAAAGGTAAGAGCACATATCAATAAAATGGAAAACAACAAAACAATAGAGAAAGTAACCAACGTAATCGCATGTAACCAAAAGCGATTCTTTGAAATGATCAATAAAATGAATAAACCTCTAGGGGGACTGATGAGGGAAAATAAGGAAGCGGAGAGAATTATCAATAACGAGAATGAAAGAAAGGATATCACTAGAGATTCTACATATATTAGAAGAAGAATAAGGACTAGTATGACCAAGTTTATGCCAATGAATTCAGCAACTTAAATGAAATGGACCAAATTCTTAATAAAGAAAAACTACGAAAACTTTCTCAAGAAGAAACAGAAAACCTGTATAGTCCTATATATTTTTTTAAAGTGAAATTTATAGTTTAAAATCTTTCAAGAAATAAAAACAAAAAACTCCAGGCCCAGATGACTTCAATGATAAATTCTAGCAAAATATGAAAGAAGAAAGACCAATTCAACAGTCTCTTCCAAAAAATATAAAAGGTAGAAAAACTTCTCAACTGATTATATGAGACTAATATTACCATAATACAAAGTCAAATTTTTGTAAATTACAGGGAAAACTACAGAACAATATCTCTCATGAATCTAGAGTTAAAAGTTCTCAACAAAATACTAACAAATAGTACCCAGAAATATATTAAAAGGATAGTACATTATGACCAAATGAGGTTTATCCTGAGAATTTTAGGCTGATTCAACTTTCGAAAATCAATTTCAGCAATGTCACAAGATATAAAGTTAATCTATAAAAATCAGCTATATTTCTATAAACCAGCAATGCATAATTAGAAATAAAAATTTTAAAACAGCTCCATTTACAAATCTAAAATACGTATAGGATCTATTTAGTGAAAATGTTAAAACACTGATGAAAGAAATCAAAGAAGACCTAATTGAATGAAAAGATATACTGTGTTTACAGACTGAAAGACTCAGTATTGCCAAGATGACAGTTCTTTCCAAATTGACCTATAAAGTCAGCATGATCCCAATCAAAAGACTAGCAGAATATTTTAGAGATATCAACAAGCTGATCTGAAAATTATATAGAAAGGCAAAGAAATTTGAATACGCAAAATCATTTTGAAAAAGAAACACAAAGTTAGAGGACTCACACTATATAATTTCAAGATTTATTATAAAAATACAGTAATCCAGAGAGTATAGTATTGATGAAAAGATAAATATATACATCACTGAAACAGAATAGAGAGTTTAGAAATAGGCCCACACAAGTATGGTTGATTGATTTTTGAGAATAATACAAAGGCTAGCCTTTTCAACACATGATTCTGAAACAATTAGATGTTCATAAGCAAAAAAAAATAAACCTGGGTCTATATCTCACACTTTAGACAAAAATTAATTCAAAATGGATCACAGACATACATGTAAAACATAAAACTATAAAACTTTTAGTAAAAAAAGGAGAAAATCTTGATGACAATGTGTTAGATAACACCACCAAAAACATGATCCAGAAGAGAAAATATTGATGAATTGGATTTTATCAAAATGTAATAACTTTTGCTCTGTAAGAAATGCTGTTAAAAGAATGAAAAGACAAAGGTAAGAATGAGAAGACAAAAATGAAAAGACAATTGCCTGAGAGAAAATACTTCCATTTCATATGCTGACAAAGGATTTGTATTCAAAACTCAATAAGAAAACAAACAATATATGGCCGGGTGTGGTGGCTCATGCCTGTAATCCCAGCACTTTGGGAGGCCTAGCCGGGTGGATTACCTGAGGTCAGGAGTTTAAGACCAGCCTGGCCAACATGGCAAAACCCAGTGTCTACTAAAAAAAATACAAAAATTAGCCAGGCATGGTGGCAGGCAACTGTAATCCCAGCTACTCGGGAGGCTGAGGCAGGAGAATTGCTTGCACCCAGAAGGTGGAGGTTGCAGTGAACTGAGATTGCGCCATTGCACTCCAGCCTGGGAGACAAGAAAGAAACTCCATCTCAAAAAAAAAAAGACAAAAACAATACAATTTTAAAATGGGCAAAGGGTTTGAACAGACACCTCTCCAAAAAAAGAGATACAGATAGTAAATAAGTCATCATTTGTCACTAGGGAAATCCACATTAAAACTGCAATGAGATATCGCTACACACCTTTTAGAACAGCTAAACTGAAAAAACCTGACAATACTAAGTGCAGCCAAAGATGCAGAGCAATCAGAATTCTTATACGTTTCTAATGAGAATGCAAAATTGTTCAGTTATTCTGAGAAATCGTTTGGGAATTGCTTATCGAGTTAAACATACACTTATGTGATCCAACTAAGCCACTCCTAGGTATCTACCTACAATAAATGAAAACTGACTTTCACATAAAAGCCATATGTGGGCTGGGTATGGTTGCTCACACCTGTAATCCCAGCACTTTGGGAGGCTGAGGCAGGTGGATCACGTGAGGTCAGGAGTTCATGACCAGCCTGGCCAACATGGTGAAACCCCGACTCTACTAAAAATATAAAAATTAGCCAGGTGTGGTGGTGGGTGCCTGTAATCCCAGCTGCTCAGGAGACTAAGGCAGGAGAATCGCTTGAACCCAGGAGGCCAAGATTGCAATAAGCTGAGATCGCACCATTGCTCTCCAGCCTGGGCGACAACAGTGAAACTCTATCTAAAAAAAAAAAAAAAAAAAAAAAAAAAAAAAAAAAAAAAAAAAGTGCATAGCAGCTTTATCTCACCACAATTGAAAAGAGTCCAAGCACCCTTTAGTTTTATAAAGTGAGAAGCAAGATACTACTCAGCGATAAAACAGAACAAACTCGGCTGGGCACGGCGGCTCACGCCTGTAATCCCAGCACTTTGGTAGGCCCAGGTGGGCAGATCACAAGGCCAGGAGGTCAAGGCCATTCTGACCAACATGGTGAAACCCTATCTCTACTAAAACACAAAAAATTAGCCTTGCATGGTGGCAGGCGCCTGTAGTCCCAGGTACTCAGTAGACTGAGGCAGGAGAATTGCTTGAACCTGGGAGATGGAGGTTGCAGTGAGCAAAGATTGCACCACTGCATTCCAGCCTGGCGACAGAACAAGACTCCGTCTCAAAAAAAAAAAAAAAAAAATAGAAGAAGAAGAAACTCTTGATGCACACAATGACATCGATGAATATAAGATTCATTATGTGAGGTGAAAAAAATCTAGACTTAAAAAGCCATGTATTGTGTGACTCCGTCTCTATGATGTTCTAAACAAGGTAAATGTATTGGGAGGGAGAAGAAATGAGTGGTTTCCAGGGGTTAAGGGTTGAAGGAGGGTTTGTCAAAACTCTTAGAACTATACATCAAGAGATACAAATTTTACCGTACACAAGTTTTGAAAATAAATTTTTAAAAGTAAAATACATATAAATTTGGAAGGAATAAAGGCAGTTGAGGGTTCTCAGGTCATTATATTGTCAAAGAAGTTATTAAAAACTTCATATCAAATCTAATAAGTGAAGAGTGAATGTTATATTTTCTCTGTAATTATTTTCTCCTTCTGTGGAATTAGACCAGAGAGAAAAGTTGTGGGTGGGGTGAGATTTTTCATATATTGTACAAAATTTTGTAAGAAGCCCTATTAATTTTATATGTAAAAAGTAAATATAAGATCGGGCGTGGTGGCTCACACCTGTAATCCCAGCACTTTGGGAGGCCGAGGTGGGGGGACCACCTGAGGTCAGGAGTTCAAGACCAGCCTGGCCAACGTAGTGAAACCCCACCTTTACAAAAAGGCAAAAATTAGCCAGGCATGATGGTGGGTGCCTGTAATCCCACTACTCGGGAGGCTGAGGTGGAAGAATCACTTGAACCCAGGAGGCAGAGGTTGCAGTGAGCCGAGATCACCCCATTGCACTCCAGCCTGGGTGACAGAGCAAGACTTCATCTCAAAAAAAAAAAAAAAGTAAGTATAAATAATAGGAACTCTCATTTATTGCTGGGGAGAATGCAAAATGGTGCAGCCACTTTGGGGGACAGTTTGGCAGTTTCTTACAAAACTAAATGTACTCTTGCTACACAATCCAACTATCAGCCTTCCAAATGTGTTGAATATGTATGTGCACCTGACAACCTGCACACACATGTTTATAGCTTTATTCATGATTGTCAAACTCTGGAAGCTACCAAGATGTTTCTCAGTAGGTGAATAGGTAAATAAGCTGTGTCCATCCACACAATAGAATATTATACAATGAAAAAAAGGCATGGAGGAACTTTGAATGGATATTGCCAAGTGAAAGAAGCCAGTCTGAAAAGGCTACATAGTGTATGATTCCAACTATATAACCTTCTGGAAAAGGCAAAAGTGGGGAGACAGTAAAAAGACCAGTGGTTGCCAGGGGTTCTGGGGGTAGGGAGGGGTGAATGGGCAGAGCCCAGAGAGTTTTAGAGCAGTGAAACTATTCTATACGACACTGTCATGGTGGACACATTTGTCGAAACCCATAAAACGTAAGATGCCAAGAGTGAAGCCTAATGTAAACTATGGGTTTTGGTTAATAGTCATGTAAAATACTGGCTCAACAATTATAGCAAATGTAGCACATACATTATAGCAAATGCACACACTACTGCAAAATGTTCATAATAGGGGAATCTGAAGGGAGGGGGTAGGGGGAGGGGAGGATGGGAACTGTGCTTTCTGTTCTGTGCTTCTGTCAATCTAAAACTGCTCTAAAAAATAAAGTCCATTAATTTGAAAAAATGATGTCCCTACTTACAAAATAAATATATATATTAATAAAATATAATAAATATGAACTATAAGAAAATATACATGTGTATTTTAAATAAATATACATATTTTTAAAAGCAAGTCGAATCAGGCTTGCTCCTGAATCTCTCATTGCTCTAGTATAAAGGGTGCTTTTGTTTGTTGAAGGCTGAAAAGGCTGTGGGCAAAGGCAGGAGTTCAGAGTCGCAGAAAAGGGAGTGGGAAAGGGCACGGATCCTGGCACGAGGGTGGTCCAGGCAGAGGCCTGTTCTGCAGTCAGACCACTGGATTCTCAAGGGTCAACTGGTCGCCAGGTACAGTATCCTGCTTGGGGTAAAAAGGTTTATTGCAGAAGCCTGGCTGCCAGCTTCAGCCAGGCCCAGGGCGGACTCACCAGCACCAGCCCTTCCCGTAGATGGCCTCTGCTCATCCCCGCGGAAGCCCTGGAGGAAGGCACCCTTGCTGTCCAGCTCTGCACCATGGAGAGACTAAGTGACTATTTCACCTTCAGCTTGGAAGTAGAGTAGCCCAGATTCAAGTCCAGTCAGGGATCAAGACTGCACCTTCCGCCGATTCTTCCTCACTTCACTCTATGGCTACTCAGTGCCCAGGGTCGGTGGCCCTCCCAGGGGGCCTCTAAGGGCCTTGAAAGCTTTAGGCAACACTCTCTCCATCCCCTTCCTCAGGGGCCTAAATGTCTTTCCCTCTGTACTGTTTCGCATGACTGCCTGAGCCCCCTTTCCCTGCAGACTTGTGGCTCATTCCTCTGCTTCCATCACCGTGGTCCCACCAGGTATCCTAGCACAGCAGCCCCTACGTCTAGCGCAGGTCAGTGCTCCTCCTCCCCCACAGCAGGACTGAGGGAGGCTTCAGGGCTTCTACCACTGAGCTAGTCCGCTGCAGGGACTCCAGCATACATTTTTAAATTTTTGTGCAAATAAATTGGCTTTCTCACTCACCATCTCTACATTCTCCTCCATAATGTATGACTGTGCTGGCAACTCTTTGCTCCTTAATCACCCTGACTTCTGGCTGTAAAACTGTGCCAACTGTACTCCTTCCATTTAAAAAAAGAACCACTTGTGTGTTTTATGTTTATTATTTTATATTTCATTTATTATCCTAAAGCTACGTATGAGACCTTTAGTTCCATAAGATGCCTGAGAAACATGAGTGCTGTTTATTCTTTGGCAAGATGCTAAGAATTTCTAGGGATTCGGGTTACAATGGAGAAAAGAAATGTCATGGACATTTTCTGCACTTGGAAAGTGTTTCCAGCCTTTGGTTATAGCCTCAAGATTTATACCTTTGGATAAACAAACCATGGTGCATTAACTTGATACATCACATGGCTGTTTGAAATTACAGGCACAAGATCTGCGGCCTTACATGCAAATGAGCACATAGGAACACCTTCAGCGCCAAATGCACAACACAAAATCGCTACTGCATAGGTTAGACTGTGTGGTGAAAAAAATTAACAAATAATTATTTTGAGAAATATAAAAAGATGGGTTTTGGGGTAGCTTTGTATTCTACAAAAATGAGCATATTTTGATATAAATAGATAAGGTCCATACACAGAAAAAAATTGAAACTTTTTCTGTTGCTGTCCTCTGTCTCAAATCTTACAGTAATTCTCAACCAGGGCTACTGCTTTCTTGTACATGCATGGAGTTAATAAATGTTAGCCTCCCCCACACCACCCCCTGAACACAATTTTTCTTTTGGCTGGTTTTAGAGACCCCATCAGGATGCTCAAGAGTAAAGAAGTGCTACTAGAATGTCTTTTTGCCACTACATTAGGCTTACTTGATTTTTAATAATGTACTATCTTGATGGACTGCCAAAGCCAACAATAAACGCTCTCTTACAGGAGCAGATGGTTAAGCTAGGATGCTCAATTTGTGTAGTGTTTAGGACACGTCCTAATTTATAGGACATGTCTTATGCCACCCTTCCTTGTTGGTAATCCTTCTCATTGGACCATTTCATATGCTCCTAAATAGTGTGTAAGCCCCTGGCTGTTAGTTTCCTGTGGCTGTTGTAACAAAATACCATAGACCCCCATGGCTTACACTAGGAACTTATTCTCTCACAGCTCTGTAGGCTAGAGCTGAAATGGAGGAGTCAGCAGGGTTGGTTCTTCTGGAGGCTCCGAAGGAGAGACTCTTCCGGGCCTCTCCTGGCTTCGGGTGGTTGCTAGCAAACCTCAGTGTTCCTTGGCATCACTCTAATCTCTGCCTCCACCTTCACCTGGCATTCTCCTCTGCGTCTGTCTCTGTGTCAAAGATTCTCTCTTCTTCTAAAAATACTGGTCACTGGGTTATGGCCCACCCTAATCCAGTATGACCTCATTTTAACTTGATTACACCTACAAAGACCCTATATCCAAATAAGGTCACAGGGGTAGGTACCATGAATTAGGACTTGAACATGTATTTTTGGGAGACACAATTCAACTCACAACACCCAGCAAGGCCGAGGCTACATTTTACTCTGCTTGTTCATTCATTTACTCCTTCATCTAACATGATTAAGGGAGAACCTATTATGTGAGGAGCCCTGATCTTGACCCTGGGGCAATGGCAGACTTTCCCCAAAGTCAACAATAAGGCAGAGTCTCTCCCCTCTTAGAACTACATTCTAAGAGGGGAGATCAGCATTCTAATGGAGGAGATCAACTATCAACAGATAATTAAACACAAAATTCACATTTCAGGTGATGAGTGGTGTTGAGGAGAAAATAAAACAGGGTAATGAGACGGAGAGTGACAGGCAAGGTTGGGGCATGCCTCAGAATCCCCACCCTGTATCTTTCCTTGTGGAAGTCTGTAGTTAAATGACAGGGCCACGGATCAAATAAGTACCTAAATCAATATTAAAAGACAACTGTGGTCAATGTTTGGGGGATCAGAACATGGGTTTGGCCTAGCCAGGGAGCTCCAAGCATAGGGCCCTGAAAACCTGACATAACAGAATTAATGGGGATGCCATGTGTTTCCCCCCACCCCACACTGTCACTCTTTGCTCTAAATGGTGCCTAGGATCTATCTGTGATGCACCAAGCATTTCCAACTCAACTTCGAGTTTCAGGAAATGCTGTTAGATATTTGGCTTTAGCATTATCAGCTTTTAGACACAAAGTCCCATTTTAGACATTATGAATGCCAACCCTTAATACATCATTTAAAATGTTAAAAGCATCGTTCACAAAAATGTTCTCCCATTCTGCAGGTTGTCTGTTTACTCTGTTGATAGTTTCTTTTGCATCTGAAAGATTTAATATCTAGCATCTATAAGGAACTTAAAATTACAAGAAAAAAAACCCCATTAAAAAGTGGACAAAAGACATAAACAGACACTTTTCAAAAGAAGATATACTTGTGGCCAGTAAGCATATGAAAAAAAGCTCAACATCACTGATTATTAGAAAAATGAAAATTAAAACCACAATGAGATACCATCTCACACCAGTCAGAATGGCTATTATTAAAAAGTCAAAAAACAACAGATGCTGGTGAGGTTGCAGAATAAAAAGGAGCATGTATATACTGTTGGTGGGAGTGTAAATTACTTCAACCATTGTGGAAGACAGTGTGGTGATTCCTCAAAGAGCTAAAAACAGAAATATTATTCAACCCAGCAATCCCATTACTGGGTATATACCCAAAGGAATTTAAATCATTCTATCATAAAGACATATGCATGGGTATGTTCATTGCAGCAGGATTCACAGTAGCAAAGACATGAAATCAACCTAAATGCCTATCAATGGTAGAATGGATAAAGCAAATATGGTACATGTACACCATGGAATACTATGCAGCCATAAAAAAGAATGGGATTATGTCCTTTGCAGGAACATGGATGGAGCTGGAGGCCATTATCCTTAGCAAACTAACACAGGAACAGAAAACCAATACTGCATGTTCTCACTTATAGATAGGAGCTAAATGATGAGAACACATGGACACACAGAAGGAAACAGACACTGGAGTCTCTCAGAGGGTGAAGGGTGGGAGGAGGGAGAGGATCAGGAAAACTAACTAGTGGGTACTAGGCTTAATACCTGGATGATGAAATAACCTGTACACTAAACCCTCATTATACAAGTTTACCTATATAACAAACCTGTACATGAACTTAAAATGAAAGTTAAAAATAATAATAATAATAAAAGGAAAGGAAAAAATAAAATATTGAAAGCAAACAAGCAACAACAACAAGTGAGCACTGAATGTTTGGTTCCATCCTTGCACAGACCATGATCATCACTAGGTCCTCCCTACTCAATGTGTGGAAGCCCGAGGAACAGCAGCATGGGCATCACCTGGAGCTTGCTAGACATGCAGGCTTTCAGGCTTCACCCTGACCTACTAAAACAGAATCTGCATTTTTACCAAGATCCCTAGGTGATCTGTTTGCTCATGAAAGATTGAGAAGTGCTATCTCAGGGTCTCCTTATGACTACTCTTCTTTTTAACAGGCACTGTTAAAAGTCCTTCTTTTTAACAGACACTGTGAATTCTGCACAGAAGGGAGGCATGCATTCATACAGATAAGGAAGACCTAGAGAGTCATCTTTGCATGTTCATTGGAGTTTTAGAACAATTTTCACCGATTTAAAAATTAGAGATTCAGAGCCTATCAGTGAGTTAAGGGTATATCTTTTATTGTGTATATAAGTACTTTGAGATCACTGGAGAAAAGCTTCAACTATTACTTTTCTTGAATGTTAATCAACATCTTTCCACCCTGAAAGAGTTAATGAACAAATGTACAGCCAAGCACGCCTGAGAACCAAGCCCAGTTCCCAGCAGCTCCATTCCACTGAAGTCAAAATAGAACAAAGTTTGACTACCTAAGGACTTCCTATGATGTTAGGTGAGTAATGTGATACATGGTTCAGGGCTTTTTTCTTTATAATTTCCTTTCCTAGTTTACAACCTGAATTTCAACTTCATAGTAAACCACAGTGTTGCAGTGATGAAATCGTAAAGAACACCTGCACTCACAATAAGACATTGTCAACAGGTATGCAACTGCTCATGCATCAGTTATTGGGCAACCCATTGGGTCTGTTATGGCTTGTCTCCATATTTCAGAAGTCACTCATCAAAAAATAAATTAGCCCATTTTATAAACATTCTGTGACCCTATACCCAAATGCTTTCTGATATCCCGATCATGCTAGGACACTGGTCATTAGAATAAAGACCTATAGCAGCTCACATCGATTGCAGAAATCATTACAAAGCCAAAGTCCACAACTCTAAAAGAAGATTACAAAAGTCTCAGGCATACTCGTAAAGCTTGTCACAAGGCATAATTTCTCAATCTCCCGGAACCTGGCACATAGTCAGCTTAAATAATGCTTACCAAATACAACAGTCTTGCAAGAGCTTTTAAATCCGAGCTTAGAATATATCAAGTTTTAGATACCGTGAAAGATGGTGTCATTTCTCGATCGACAGGGCGGTGAACATATATCCTTCCGTTCTCATGATCTTCTAGAGAAAACAAACCAATCTCTGGATATTCATCCACACCAGGTCCACTGATTAGATACATTAGTGACATGTTATAAGACATATTATTGAACAGCTGGAAGGAGGAAAAATGGAAAGAAGAAAAAAGGAGGATGAGAATAAGCCACTATGATAATCAAGTATCAAGGCTAAGAATCAATGGCATCTTTAAGAAATTATACCCAGCAATGGCACATCTGCCAAAGAAATAAACAGATGGGCTGAGATGCAGGAACAATGATGTTGAACTGTTAGCTTCAGTTTGGTCTGTAACAGTGAAAATTTGGAAATAGCATAAATGTTCATCAACATGAAAAAAATAATATAATGATACTTCCTTCACATAGCATGGGATACTCTGTAGCCTTTAAAGATGTATTTACACTGCCACGGAATGACTAGCAGGACACATCACTAAACAAGAAAGGCAAGCAGAACAACACACCAAGTGTGATCTCATTTCTTGGATGCAGATTCACATCAGAAAATCTGTAGAGAAATATCTGGAACCACACATACCAATTTATTAATATCAATTATCCCTTGAAGGAAAGAGAAGTAGTGATCACACAACTAACATTTAGAAAGAGCTTAGAATGAGTGGGCCTACAATATGCCTTGCTTGCCTTAACCTATTTAATCTTTAAAACATCTCTGAAATGTAGGCAATATCATTGACCGCATTGTACAGATGAGGACACGTTAAAAATCTCTAACTTACCCAGCAAGGAGGTGGTGCAGTAGGAATATGAACCCACTCACTCCCCCTGACTCTTAGGCATATACACTTTTAACCACTGAGACTTGAAAACTTTCTGTACTCTTTATGTTTGTTTTTAACAGTAGGCGTGCACTATTTCCTTCTTCTAAGAATCATAGAATGCCACAGCTATAGCAGAACTTAATCAGCACTTAATTCAAAGGCCCATTGGTACTAGGAAGGTAGTGGAAATAAACAACATGAGCCTGGTGTAAAGATTCTGCTATTCCAATACCATGTGACTTCTTCAAGGCAGTGCTCACCCTCAGCATGAGGGAGGCAATAGGGAGGGGTGGAAACTGGTATTCTGAGTAACTCAAGCCCCGCCTAATTGTTGTAATGTGGGAATGTGGGTTCCTTGTGGCCAGAACTTTCCATTTTTAAAAGTCTTTAGAAGGGCAAAATTTTTAAGACAATCTCCCTTATTTATTTATTTATTTATTTATTTATTTATTTATTTATTTATTTTTGAGACAGAGTCTCGCTGTCGCCCAGGCTGGAGTGCAGTGGTGCGATCTTGGCTCACTGCAAGCTCCGCCTCCTGGGTTCATGCCATTCTCCTGCCTCAGCCTCCCGAGCAGCTGGGACTACAGGCACCTGCAACCATGCCTGGTTAATTTTTTGTATTTTTAGTAGAGACAAGATTTCACCATGTTGGCCAGGATGGGCTCGATCTCCTGATCTCCTGATCCGCCCGCCTCGGCCTCCCAAAGTGCTGGGATTACAGGCGTGAGCCACCGCGCCTGGCCGACAATCTCCCTGTTTTTAAATAATATTTAAAAAAAAAAAAAGCCTCTGCATGGGCCAAATAAAGCAGACCTGTCAGTTGGAATTAACCACCCTGTTGCTGTATGAGATTCTCATCAGACACTCACATGGAGAAGTGACTCGTTCAAACTCACATAACCAGGTAGAGTTAGAGTGAGTTCTAGAACCCAGGCTTCCTGAACCCCAGGCCAGTGCTCCTTCTGCTCTACTTCACTCCCTGGCCTCACTAGCACATAACCTTTCAAGACTTAATCTTCCTGGCCAAAGGGGCGTGCTTACTTAGAGGGCATGATGGGGTCATTCCTTAAGAGTAGGCACCTTACCTCACCAATGAGTTTGGGAAAGGGTCCCGGGTCTTCCTCCTCCAGCTCCAAGGTGGTGATAACCCATCTTCTCTTGGATCGCCGTAGAGGCTGGTAGATCTTTTCCTGGAACTTATAGTGACACTGGTGACAATGAGGATGGCAGTGATGCTCACAGCCAGGATTTATCACACCCTTACTTCATGTAAAGGCCCTGTGCTGACACCTGGCCTGCATTCTCTCATCGCCAGAACAGCCACCTAAGCTTGGAAAACCCAAGTGCCTGTCTTCTTAATAGCTGTAGAGTCATCTCTAACCACGGGGTGGATGCTGTCCGATGATTTGACGTGGTTCTTGAGATAATTTCAGGAGCTATCCAGACATAGCATTAAAGATGACTGTCTGCTATGTGCCAATGGCTGTCCTATAGTAGACATGCAAACGGTTGTTGAGAAAGTTTTCCCACTTCCATTTATCTCTCAGTCTTCCTGAAATTATTGATGATTAGGTGCTGACAGACCTTTAATGCCTCTCTGTCTATGACTATCCCTTTTAACAAATGTGCAGACATGTACACAAAGAGAAAGAGAGTGACTTAGACTCAGATCTTGGGCTCAGATATTTGTCAGGTAAGAGAATATATGAAATTTAAAGCATTGTTTTGTTTGCATTATATATTTTCACAGTTACCATCTATTATAAGTGAAGTTGGTTTCTAGCCACATTAATTTTATCAACAAAAATGTAAGTTCTTTTTTAAAAAAATTACTTAATGATAGAGTGAATTGACCAAGAGAACAATACCAAGTAAATAATCACAACGTGGCATGAGGATATGGCAAAACTTCACAGTGGTAGGTGCATGACTGCTGCAATGGAAAATATGAAGTTCAATATATTTTAATTCCATAAAGAATAAAATGATGTGGACAAACCTCCATGCTTATGGTGTACAGTTGAATTTTGATGTTCACAGGCTGCTCACATTCTAATTAGACATAAAAGCATCACCTGCAACTCTCTGGCAGTCCCTCAAGATTCTAAAAGGCCACATGAAGTTACTATTTTATTTTCTGCAAACCAAACATTGGCAGGGCACTAAAGAACTCCAAACTGCAATTCTGTCTCTAAGTCAAGTGTAGAGACTGATTTTATATATTAAGAAACTGACTTCCAAACCTCACCTTTGTTTGCTTAGTAAGATCATCTGTTTCCTGTTGAACACTGTCAATGATACTGACCTTAAAAATAAAAATAATATTAATTAGTAGAGAATATTCTTACCAGAATCACATGGAAACCACCTGGAGTTGCACAAATCTAGAATTAGAAATGATGAAAACAGAACTTCTGTAGTTAGTTTTGGTAAATAGAATTTCTTATCCTCTACATCTTAATTCATGATTGCCACTTATCTTCTCTAACTATAGGAGAAATAATGAAAAGAATTCTGATTTATTATTACCAATGGTGGGGAGACGTTTAAAATCATAAAATACTACTGTTAGTTAACAAAGCAGGAAGTAGAACTTGTTTATTCAGGATGAGCACAGCTGTATTTATATGTACACATGTAAAATAACACCAAATATTAATTGGTGATGAGGTTTAAGTGGGCTTTTCTTTTGTTTTTTTTGCCCCTTATTTCTAAGACATTATTTACAATAATTAATAAAATAATAGACATGGCACTTTACATTTACATAATGACTTAGAGTGATAATACTTATTTATAATTTATATCTCAACAATCCTTTCCCTTCCTCCAAAAAATACATGTACAAGACTGTTGAAATAGAAAGAGATAAGTCAGCCAGGAGCGGTGGCTCACGCGTGTAATCCTAGCACTTTGGGAGGCCAAGGCAGGTGGATGACCTGAGGTCAGGAGTTCGAGAGCAACTAACCAATATGATGAAACCCCATCTCTACTGAAAATACAAAAATTAGCCGGCCATGGTGGCACGCGCCTGTAATCCCAGTTACTTGGGAGGCTGAGACAAGAGAATCGCTTGAACCTGGGAGGCGGAGGTTGCAGTGAGATTTGATTGCACCACTGCACTCCAGCCTGGGCGACAGAGCAAGACTCCATCTGAGAAGAAAGAAAGAAGGAAAGAAGGAAAGAAAGAAAGAGAGGGAGAGAGAGAGAGAGAGAGACAGAGAGAGAGAGAGAGAGAGAGAGAGACAGAGAGAAAGGAAGAAAGAAAGAAAGAAAGAAAGAAAGAAAGAAAGAAAGAAAGAAAGAAAGAAAGATAGAAAGAAAGAAAGAAAGAAAGGGAAAGGAAAGGAAAGGAAAGGAAAGGAAGGAAGGAAGGAAGGAAGGAAGGAAGGAAGAAAGAAAGAAAGAAAGAAAGAAAGAAAGAAAGAAAGAAAGAAAGAAAGAAAGAAAGAAAGAAATGAGGGAGGGAGGGAGGGAGGGAAGGAAGGAAGGAGGGAGGGAAGGGGAAGGGGAAGGGGAAGGGAAGGGAGGAAGGAAAGAAAGAAAGAAAGAGAGAGAATGGTCCTGCAATGTATGATTAGAACCAGCAGCAAACGAAAGGGTGGGAGTGGGGAGGGAGAGAGACAGTGTGCACGCAGGATGACTAGAATAAAGCAAATGGGGCAAAAAGTATAAACAACTGGTAAATTTTCACACGGGGTATTTTGGAATTCTTTGTATTTTCCTTAAATCTTATAAGTTTTATACCAAAACAAAAACTTATCAAAAAAGACAATTTCAGGAACTAAGATTGGGTATTCAATTTAGCACTAAGATTCTTGCCAGTTATAATAAAAAGGGAAAGTCTGTCTTTAAAAATGAAACATTTTTAATAAAACCTTTTCTTGTTATACAGTCTTCCTATTTAAAAGAAAATTTGATAGCAAAATGCTTTGAGCATACAGAAAGAAATAGAGAATGACATAATGATGCCCATCACCTAGTTCTCTCAAACCTTCATACTTTTACCCTATTTGCTTCGAAGTGTTGAGATGTAAATCGTTACAGATAAAATTGAAACTTCCTGTGTACCCCTCCCTCATCTCACTTTTTCCTCAGAAGTAACTCTCATCCTAAATTATACTTAGCATTTCAATGCATGTTTTTAAACCTTCACTATATGTATCTGTGTGCATAGATATGGCTATATATTCATAACAATGTGTAATTTTTATGGTTTTGGATTGGACTTTTAAATAATGGTTCACAGTAATCATCATCCCATAACATTATTATTTTTTTTTTTACTTATCATTGATTTTTCATTTTGGGGGAGGATGTGTGTGTTAACACCTACAGTTCTAGTTCATTCATTTTTATTGCTGTAGAACATTTCACTATATGAATAGGTAATAATCTATTTATCCATTCTCCTAGTGATGGTCATTTAGGTTGGTTCCAGTTTTTCATTACCAAAAATGCTATGGTAATAAACATCCATGTATATATGAAAAGTTTCTCTGTAGCAGCAATTTTCAAAGTATGGTTTCCACAGCCCTGTAAGAGAGTCCACAAGGCCAAACTCTTTCATAAGAACACTAAGGCATTGTTTGCCTATTTTGCTGTCTGACATTTGCACTGATGGTGCAAAACAATAACGTTGGTGAGTGGAATTGCTGATGCCTCAGCACAAATGAAGGCAGTGGTACCAAACTCCCCATTGTATTCTTCACCACCATGCACTTGCTCACGCACTTGCAGGAAAAACCAAAAAGAAACACAAAGAAAACTAGTTTCATTTAAGAATGAAATAATTGGTGAATTTACTCAATTACTGTAATCGCTTGAGAACTCATGAAGTAGTAAAAAATATTAATTGTTTTAAATTGCAACACTTGAGTGTACATCTTTTAAACACTCTTCGTGAGTGGATGGGAAGTATGTACAAGGCACTGCTGCTGTACATCAAGGCAGAAGGTTTATCTCAAAGAAAAGTACTTGCGTGATTGCTTCAGTTTCCAGCTGAACAGGCCACTTTTTTTTTTTTTTTTTTTTTTTTTTAATGCAACACCATTTTACTTGAAAGAACAACCAAGAAACTGTGATGATTCACGCCAGGGTATCTGATATACGGTTCCTTGATGATGAACAAAGTGAGCTTTCACTTCGAGAAAATCAATCAATGCACAGTATCTGTTCCCACTGATAAATGTAATCTTTCAAGCAAAAATCAGAATTTTAGAAAACTTGTGTCTGCCAATATAAGCATGAAAGCTTCCTAATAATTAAAGATTTTTACTATAATAGCAATAGTTTCTTTTTAATTTTATAGGCTGAAATATGTCCACACAGGAAATACCTGCATAACTCAATAGCCAATGGCTTCCTAATGATCAACACATCATGTTCTAAAATCATGTGCAGGCAAAAGAGTCATCCAGAGTGCAAGAGAGACCAGTGGATTTTAATGGAACGGAGTAGGGAAAATTCAGTGATATGGTTTCAGATTCCACCCAGTAAATAACTGTTAAGACATTACAGTGTATTGAGTTTTGGTGTAATATCAAAGAAAAATATCCACAATTATCTGTTCCAGGTTATTAAAATATTCCTCCCTTTTCAAATATCTGCTCGAGGCCAGAATTTCTTCATATACTCCAACCAAACAAATTCACAACAGACTGAATACAGAAGCAGAGAGGAGACTCCCGCTGTTTTCTTTAAAGCCGGACATTCAAAATATTTGCAAAAAATATATAGATAGTGGCACTTTTTCCACTAAATGGAATTTTGAAAAATATGGATAGTTTCCAAAATATGTGCTATTTTTATTAACATAGAATGGGTTTATTATGGTTATGTCCAATGAATTGAGAAATATGTTTAAAATTTCCCTGTTTTAATAGCTATCATGGTATCAGCAAATATAACCCACATAAGCTAAATCTCTAGGACTGATACCTAAATCACCAGGGACAGAGCCTCCACTCTGGTTGGCTCGTCCGCGTCAGAATCTATCATTATTTATCCTTATTCACATTACAATACAAGAGGCCATGGTGGGTGGTGGGTGGGTGATGTTATTGGGTTGTATTGTCAGCATCAGGGCTAACGATAATATTTGTTTCCTGGCCAGGTTATATTTCTGTCTATTTACCTGAAGGAAAAGAATGTTTAAACTCTGAGTTTAAGTCTGAAATCTCAAACTGATTTTTTTAGACAATGGATGCTTCTTGATTAATGTCAGTAGTTTTAAATTAAGGGCCTACCCAGGTGTATAATTTTTAAATGGAGAAAATTGTAGTTCTTGCAAAAGATAAAGAAATTAATTCCGTTTCTGAAACAGGTGTATTTCCAGGTGGCCAAGGTTATTAACAAGGAATATATTGAGGTTTCTTGTTCCCTCTGGGCCTCAGTTTCCCCTTCTGTAAATTGAGGGTATGAGACAAGGTGTCTTTAAGGGCTCTTTCAACACTAAAGCTCTGTAAATTCATTTTATTATGATAAGACATAAACGGCACAGTTGACAGTCATGTAAGAGCTGGCTGAAGTGTTCAAAAAGAGGTTTGAAATGGTGGATGTTTATACTTTGCCAGAGATGCCTTAAATTTCACATTGTTGTGTGTGTTTCATTTCTCCTCTCTTTATGCATGTCTTAGAAATTAACTTGAGATCTCTCATCTGGGTGATGCAGGAAGACTGGAAATTGTTATATTTTCTGTAATGATTTTGTAAGTGCTCTCATTATATTTCTCATCTGTGCCAAATTTAGGCAGTCTGTCCAAAGAGGAAATCTTTCAAAAGATTTACATAATGCTTTCTATAATGCGGTGGTGTGGGCCTGGGGTCGGGGGCGGGGGGTTCTTTCTAGATGCTTGTTCCCTCAGCTACCATGTCCACCAAACCACTTTATCAGAGGGGGCCAGGCAGACATATGATTGCATGGTCCGCCCTGCACATGATTTGACAGATGGCTCTGGACCTGGGGCATGTAACCAATATCATTCAGGCTGGCCTGGCTGGGCAGCCATGGCATCTTTTGGGAGAAAATTCTCTGAATGAATGAAGATGTAATCTGTGACTATACAGGATACTAAAGAGCTAAGAGGCCTATATAGAAATCATTCTCTCCCAAAATGCTTGGAAGTATTTCATTTTTAAATGCAAGTTTTTATTTAAGCAGAATTCGAGTCCTAAAAATCAGCAGAATTTGGATCAAGGACTCTGTTCTGCAGGTTTATGTCTTTGTTCCAGATTCAGTGACAAGTAATGACTAGCCATAGGAAAGGAGTCTTTCTCCCCTCTTCAGTCATTTCCAGTTCTGAGAGCCGACGAGTCCTCAGCTTGGGTCTGTGGCAGGCTTGAAAGACCATGGAGGAGAGAGGTTTTAAGATAATGAAATTGGACAGTGAGGAAAGCCTCTTTTTTTTTTTTATTTTTGGATGATGAGGAAAGCCTCTTAAGCTTTCATTCAGGGAGAATTTGGACCCTAGAAATCACAGAATTTCCTATGAGAGATTCCTCTAGAGATTCTTTTAATCCGTACCCAATATCTCTCTTCTGGGCTCTAGACCAGGGCAGTCCTAGGAAAATCTCTGTGAAGATGAGAATGTCCCTGCTGTCCTGGCCAGTGTGGTAGCCCCTAGCCACATGTGGCTAATTGGGCCCCTAAAATGTGGCTAGTGCTAGTATAGGACTGAATTTTAAATTTTGCTTAATTTTAATTAACTTAAATTGCCACATGTGACTAGAGGCCAATGCAGATAGTATAAAGTATTGGTTAAGCATGTGGATTTATAAGTTTAGAAGACCTGAGTTTAAATCCTGTTCTATGGGCAATATGGCAAAAACCTGTCTCTACAAAATATATAAAAATTAGCCAGGCATGGTGGCCCATGCCTGTAGTTCCAGCTACTTGGGAGGCTGAGGTGGAAGGATCGCATGAGTCTGGGAGGCGGAGGTTGCAGTGAGTTGAGATCATACCACTGCACTCCAGCCTGGGCAGCAGAGTGAGACCCTGCCAAAAAAAAAAAAAAAAAATCCTTATCTACCCCTCACCAGCTATGTGATGTCGGGCAGGTAATTTATGCTCTGGAGTCTGCATTTCCTCATCTGTGCACACACATGCACAACCCCCACATACGTACATGTATAAGTGTTTGTATGTATTTGATCCTCACAACAGCCCAATCATGAAGGTACTATTATTATTCCTTTTTAACATACAACACTCACACACAAAGTGCTCAGGATGGCAAGGGCTACGTAAGTATCTCCTCTTTTTCCTATTCAAGTCTCTAGGCAACATTTCCACTGGCATCTCCCACAAGCAACTCAAATCCTACATGTCCCAGACTGATAGCATAGCTTGTATTCTCACAATCCTGCCCATCCTGGGGGCTCTCTAACCACAAAAGACACTTACCTACTCATTCCAAAGGTCATCCTTGATGCCTCTGCTTCTCTCATCCCCATGTCCAAGTTCTGTCAAGTTCACTTCCTAAGGCCAGCTCTTCTCTGCCTCCACCCCAAACAGCTAAAGTTTCCACCACCTCGGGAACCCACAGGATTGGTCTCTCCCATTCATTCCATCCTTCTGTGGTGGGTTGAATTGTGTCCCTAAAAGCGTATATTGAAGACTTAATTCCCAGTACCTGTGAACGGGACCTTATTTGGAAATAGGCTATTTGCAGATGTAATTCTTAACTGAATTACAGTTAAGATGAAGTCACACTGGGTTAGAGTGGGCCCTAATCTAGTGAGCAGTGTCTCGATAGGAAAACACAGACACAAAGGGATGATGCCATGTCATGACAGGGGCAGAGACTGGAGTGACGTAGCTGCAAGCCAAGAAACAGCTGGGATTGCCAGCAACCCACCAGAAGCTGGGGAGAGGCCAGGGAGGGTCCTCCCAGTCTCAGACGGATTTTGGCCCTGCTGACGCCTTGGTTTCAGACTTCTGACTTCTAGAACTGCAAGAGAGTACATTTCTCCTATTTTAAGCCGACGTACCAGTTTGTGGTTCATTGTTTCAGCAGTCTGAGGACACTAATATATGTTCCTAACACATTCTCTGCACAGAGGCTTGAGTGATCTTTAAAAGCACAGATCTCACACCCCTTTCCCCCCAGTGTTTTTACTTCTCTTAGGACAGAATCCAACCTGCTCTGTCCCCTGCTGACCCTCTCAGCTTCACCTCTGACCACACTATCCCCACCTTCTGCAACCCATCACTCTGTTGGTCTTAAATGAAGGGCTGAAAGAGTAATTCAGTCAGAGCATAAATGCTAACAATTTATTAAAATGTAACTCAATTCAGAATTTCCCAGATTGGTAACAACGCCACCACCACCAACAACAAAAAATCATAAGTGGCTTTTCTCATTGTACAGTTTCATTCTCTTAAAACTTCCCTCTTCTCTGGTCTTTGAAGCCTGCCACAGCCCCAAGGTGAGGACATATGAGCTCAGAGGCCTGGAAATGACAAAAGGGGAGAAAACTCCTCTTCCTTGGCTTGTCATTACTTGTCACTGAACCTGGAACAAAGACATAAACCTGCAGAACAGAATCCTGACTTGGTGATTTGGCTTCATGGCCAAATGACAAAGAAAGGGTGTGGGGATTTCAGAGGAAAACTATTGTGGACACAATAGCTCTCCAGCAGAAATGGTATCAGCTTGTAAATATGGAGATCTGAACAGGGGGAAGTAGGTATCTGTCATAGATGTCACAGATGGCAATAAGCCAATTCAGGGGGCGGGGATGTAAAGGAATGGAACGGAATGTTACTCATAGCCAATTTGACAATTATTGAGCACCTGCCAGGTGTAAAGCTCTTTAAGAGTTAAAGGTCCAGCATTCTGATTGCTAAAAACTTCTTACATCTATTGAATCATGTTCTCTTCATCTGTCTTGATTCCCTGGAATCTACATAAAGCTGCTGTCATCAATCACTGAAGTACAATCCACAGACCCATTCCCACTGCCCACCCCCACCCAACCACCCTCAGAAGTCAATTAATTTGCTTTGGCACTGCACTAATACGCCAGAGGGAAGAGAATTCAGGTCTGTTTCCTGATCAGACTCATTGTGGGTAGGAGCAGGAGTGAGGGAAGGATGGGGACAGGATTTGATCTGGACTATATTCAAATCCATGCAAACATGGGCTACTAAAAAGGACTTCTGTGAAGTATTGGAGATCAAATTAATGTGCTGTCTGACTAAGGAAACTCGTAACTCTTGATATGGCAAAATGTGACCAAGAAAATTCTCCAAACCTCAAGCAACTGGTACCAAACAAGTTATCCACTTTCAGACAGGGTTTTCCCCCTATTATGTTTATTGGTGTATTCCCAGTGCCTGGCCCAAAGCAGGTATCCAGTAAATAGTTTTAGCATGAGCTCTGAATGAATATTGCCAACCATTTTCACTGTGATTAGAAAAACGGCTGGGTCGTTACTGAACTGTGAACCTAATAGTAGACAGAGGCTCTCTAAGAGAAGATGACGTTTGTCTGGGCAAGGACATATCCATGGGAATATGTGTGCCATGGTAAACGATGTGCAGAGTCAGGGAGGTAAAGGGAGATAAAGGTTTTCAAAGGAAAAAATGAGAAGGATTATATCATTGTTTTGAAATAATTATCTTTGGCTACAAAGATCAATAAGAAGGGTGACACTGGTCTGAGTTTGCACAAAAAGTTGCTGGGAAGATTTCTTCGAAAAAGTATTTTTTGTGTAAGGTTTTAACGGCCTTTGTGCAAAGTTGTTATTTTTGCAGAGCTTTTGTGATAGTTTTAGTTATCAAGCCTACAAATGTGAGAACCCCCTTTTCATAACCTTCTTTGTGTCTATATATCAGGCTTTGTGCCTGTGTGTGTGTGTGTGTGTGTGTGTGTTTTAACATAAGGAACTCCATTCTGATTCTGACAACTTTCGCAGTACCAAGGGCTTTTACGCATTTCCTCATTCACTGGTACAACCACTGGCTCAGATAAATTCAGTTACTAGCTCCATTTTCAGGTGAAGAAAAATAGGCTTAACAAGGTTATGTTAAAACCAGTGCACTGACACCCAGTGCACTCCCAGGTCAGCTCAACCTGAACCTTTGGGGGCAAAACCCAGGCACTGAGATCCCTTGAAGCTCCCTAGGTAAGTTCAACTTGATCCAAGGTAAGGAACAAAGTTAAGCTGGCCTAGGTCCCCAGCGGGCTGTGAAGGAGCCTAGGTCAGGACGCCAAGCAGCCCAGTCCAGAGCTCACAGTTACCAGCCACTGGGCTGCTTCCCACCCTCAGCTGGTATTCAAAGGAAGAAATGATTCCCTCTCCCTACCTACAGAAAGCCAACGAAGCAGATCATAACCAACAAGCGCATGCAACATTACCTCTGTCCACTCTAAGTACAAACAGAGCAAGCCCATGTGTTTCGAATCCTGACTCCACTAGTTTGTATTCCCATTTAAACAGTGGCAGTTGGGGGCAATGGATTTAGCCATTCCATCCCCATGGGTTTGCTCAAATTGCCTTGGATCCAGACAACTGAGATTTCCTCAATCTTATGTAAAGTGTGAACAGAAGTATCATTATAAAACTTGGCAGGGCGCAGTGTCTCAAGCCTGTCATCCTAACACTTTGGGAGGCTGAGGCAGGCAGATCACTTGAGGTCAGGAGTTTGAGACCAGCCTGGCCAACATGGTGAAACCCTGTCTCTAATAAAAATACAAAAACTAGCCGGGCATGGTGGCGTGCACCTGTAGTCCCAGTACTCGGGAGGCTGAGCCAGGAGGTTGCTTGAACCCAGTAGGAGGAGGTTGCGGTGCACTGAGATGTCACCACGCACTGTAGCCTGGATGACGAGACCCTGTCTCAAAAAAAAAAAAAAATTGTGTGTGTTGGCTGGGTGAGGTGGCTCATGCCTGTAAACCCAACACTTCGGAAGGGCAAGGCGAATAAATCACTTGAGCTTAGGAGTTCGAGACCAGCCTGGGCAACATGGTGAAAATCCATCTCTATAAAAAATACAGAAATTAGCCAGCGTGGTGGTAAGTTACTGTAGTCCCAGCTACTCTTGAGGCTGAGGTGGAAGGATCACCTGAGCCTGGGAGGTTAAAGCTGCAGTGAGCCTTGATCATGCCACTGCACTCCAGCCTGGATGATGAAGCCAGACCCTGTCTCAACAAAAGGAGAAAGAAACAAAGAAAGAAAACACGTGTGTGTTGATGTAATCTCACTAAAAATAGTGTGAACTATATAAATTAGTTTTAAACAGGTCCCTTAGCCTGCTCCCACTGTTGCCCCAAACAGACTGGGACCCTTAACTTCCCTTTATATAAATCCAGAGCCCCTGCTACCTAAGCCATTCTCAAGACAGCCAGCCCTGGGTCCCAGCAGGTCACACTCAGTCCCTCTCCCCTCCCTTAGCCTAGAAGGGGCAGGGCCAGCTTGTGCTTTGCTTTCAGTTCCCTGCACCTGAGCACTAGGCTGCAGGCTCAGCTTACCTGCAGCAGCCACAGCAGCAGCACTAGAAGCAGCAGCAGCGAGGGGTGCCTCCCGGATCTCATGGCCATATGGGAATACCCAAGACAGACCCAGAACGTGCAGCTGATGACCAGTCCTCCAAGCTGGTGGTCTCACCGGAGCCACACACCTCCTTCTCAGCCAGCAGCTTCTTCTCTAAAGGTTTTCAGGTCACTTTGGCCCAGATGCTTTCATCCCATCTTGCTCCTCCCTTTTCAGCTTTTCTTGCATTTATCAGAGTGGGGTGGGCTGACTTGTAAGCTTGAACATACGTTTGCCACAAGTAGAGTTCCTAGGAAGGGTGGGGTAGAAACTAAAGCCACCATGGTCCTGCACGTACACAAAAGACTGGCTGGGGTCTGACCTCAGGAACAACAGCTCAGCCAGCGGAAGTAAAACCAGCACCTATCGGAAAGCAGAATTATTTGTTTCTTTGTTTCCTTGTTTGTTCTGGTTTCCAAATAGAAGGTCCAATCATCTCTTTCTATAGCAGGATATGTTAGTGACTATTTTCTATAATCTTATCCTCTTGAACCAAACAAAAAAAACTAGAAAATGACAAGAATGATAACTTTATTAAGGGGGAAGGGATGGGGAAGAATGAAAGAAAAGAAAAATCAACTTTTACTTTCCAAAGCACTAAAAATCGTTATTCCAACAATATCCCAGGGCTCTGGGGTTTTCAAATTATTTCTACTAAAACCTTTTTTAAGCTTAGATTAATCTGCCTTTTTGAGTTTGGAATTAAAGTGGGAGGGAGGAGAGATGGGAAAGAGCCTCCCTATGGACAGGGATCTCTGTGGCAACCCGGGAGTCTTTGCATGAGAATTCTGAAAGAGACAATTTGAGATTATATTATACCAATACTTAAGGTTGCAGTAAGCAAGTTTTAAAACACAATCTGTGATACATTAACCCTGATTACCTTAACATGACCTTTTTATCACATTACCTTGTTTAAAGTAGTAAACAGATAAAATAAAAGGTAAACTTTCTTTGCTTGTTCTAGATATTGGCTTAGGCAAGGATTTCATGACCAAGAACCAAAAAGCAAATGCAATAAAATCAAAGATAAATAGCTGGGACCTAATTAAACTAAAGAGCTTTTGCACTGCAAAAGGAACAGTCAGCAGAGTAAACAGACAACCCACAGAGTGGGAGAAAATCTTCACAATCTATACATCTGACAAAGGATTAATATCCAGAATCCACAATGAACTCCAACAAATCAGTAAGAAAAAAACAATCCCATCAAAAAGTGGGATAAGGACATGAATAGACAATTCTCAAAAGAAGATATACAAATGGTCAACAAGCATATGAAAAAATGCTCAACATCACCAATGATCAGCAAAACGCAAATCAAAACCGCAGTGCGATACCACCTTACTCCTGCAAGAATGACCATAATCAAAAAATCAAAAAACAGTAGACGTTGGTGTGGATGTGACAATCAGGGAACACTTCTACACTGCTGGGGGGAATATAACATAGTACAGCTGCTATGGAAAACAGTGTGGAGATTCCTTAAAGAACAAAAGTAGAACTACCATTTGATCCAGCAATCCCACTACTGGGTATCTTCCCAGAGGAAAAGAAGTCATTATTCGAAAAAGATACTTGCACATGCACGTTTATAGCAGCAAAATTCACAATTGCAAAATCGTGGAACCAACCCAAATGCCCATCAATCAACTAGTGGATAAAGAAAATGTGTATATGCGTATCTATATGTATATATACACATATATGCGTGTATATATGTGTATGTACATATATACACATATATGTGTGTATATATGTGTATGTACATATATACACGCATATATGTATATATACACATATATGTGTATATATGTGTATGTACATATATACACATATATACATACATATATACACACATATATGTATATATATACATACACATATATACACACATATATGTATATATATACATACACATATATATACACATATATATGTATATATATGTGTATATACAGATATATATGATGGAATACTACTCAGCCATAAAAAGGAATGAATTAACAGCATTTGCAGTGACCTGGATGAGATTGGAGACTATTATTCTAAATGAAGTAACTCAGGAATGGAAAATCAAACATTGTATATTCTCACTGATTTGTGGGAGCTAAGCTATGAGGACACAAAGGCATAAGAATCATACAATGGACTTTGGGGAATTGGGGGGAAGAGTGGGAAGAGGGTGAGGGATAAAAGACAACAAATATGGTGCAGTGTATACTGCTTGGGTGATGGGTGCACCAGGATCTCACAAATCTCCACTGAAAAACTTACTCATGTAACCAATATGCCACCTGTACCCCAATAACTTATGGAAAAATAAAATTAAAAAATAAAAATAAAAAAGAACTCATCAAAAATAAAATATAAAATAAAAATCTCCCAATTAAAAAAAAAAAACTTTCTTTGCTTAACTGAACATTCATAGCTCTGAGATGCTGCTGAATATTTTAATTTGAATAGTTTATTTTTATTGAAATTAATAGCTTATTATTGAAAAGAATAATAAATACAACTTTAAAGTCTATAGATATTTCCTGTGCATAAAGAGAAACTGAATACCTTGTGCCTATTTTCAAAGTGGATATTTCTATAATGATAGCCTATTTTTAAAAAACTGATTAAGTTAGAATCACTAATTTAGAATATATAAGTCAGGTGAGCTAAACCATGTTAAATATATGTGAAAAAACCACGTCAGTTGAGCACTCCCTGCTGCTAGAATAGCGCTGGGGACTAAAATATTGTTGCTAGAAAGGCATTAGCCTCACAATGTTCTAGTCTGGGCGGAGCTGGGGGACAACAGTGAAGGATTCCACTTTCACATTCGTTTTAAGTTTAAAAGAAATTGGTATTTTAAAATTAGCCGGGCATGGTGGCACACACCTGTAATCCCAACTACTCCGGAGGCTGAGGCAGGGGAATCCCTTGAACCCGGGAGGCGGAGGTTGCAGTGAGCTGAGATCACATCATTGCACTCCAGCCTTAGGCAACAAGAGTGAAACTCCATCTCAAAACAAAACAAAACAAAAAACACCATAGGAACTGGTATTTTAATATATTAGAAACAAACAAGTTTTCAACATTCTCAAGCGTTTAAAATAACTAAGCAGAATGCCAGTTCCCCACACGGCAACCCTACTTGGGTAGGCCACGGGGCCTGGAACTCAGCTGGTGATTCTGGGCATCACCTGCTGCACATCTTGGGTGAGCCTGAGCTTGAAGATGTCCCCACTCCCTTTCTATTCTGAGCATGTGATCATAGTGACAATAGTCTAGCGCTCCTTTCTGTGTCCTTGGAAGTACAGTAATACTTTATAGCCACATGGTGGCAGCTCCCAGCTCCCTGTAAGCTGACAAGTGAAGAAATGAGATTGCTCATGAGATAAAAGTTACTTGATTGCAAGGGAGGTATGAGCTACAATTACCTACCCAGGGTCAACCTTCTCATGTTTTTGAGGAGTGCCCCCAGCCACCTCCAGTTCTCACTGTTCTTTTTTTAGTAATGATGATTGCATCATGAGGCATCCCCACCCGGCTTGGATTTCTGCGTGGACAGTGGTCTGGCTGGCCAGGCCTCATGCCCAGCTGAAAGGAGGGGAACTTAGGTGGACAGTGGGACTGAGGGAAGATGACAAATGCACCTGACTCTGCCTACCTTTGGCATTTTCCATATGGATCAAGTAAACACCAGAGAAGTAAAGCGCTAGGCTCAAGCCTTCTTTCCTGGCTGGGGAGGTGAGAAGGCTGGCATTCGATGCCTCCTCTGCAGAGGTGAGCCAGCCGCAGTGAAAGGCTGGGAGAGTGGCCTGTTACAGAGGACAGGCCTTAGGCTTTCCCTTAGTCTCTCTTTCTGTCACCAACGCTAGGGGAGGCAGAGCCTGGAAGAGGGAGGGAGCAGAGGTGTCCCAACAGCAAAGCACCACCATGCCTTAGGATCTCAGTGCTGGGTTGGAAGGTGAGGAGGGGCTGCCCAAGCCTCCCCTGCCCACACACCCACCTGGGAGTCCAGCCCACCCAGGGTGGATGGAAGAGATTAGATTTCCATCAAGGCTGACATCGAAGTTTTAAGCTGGGCTGGTTTTACTGACTGACGTGACTGGGTAATGATGAGCCCCAGTTGTAACTGAGGGATTGAAATGGTTTGGTTGAAGGCTCAGATTAAGGAAGAATAAAATGGCTCATGCTTATATGTCCCCTGAGTCAAGACCTTTCTATATTCACTAACACAAAAATAATTTTCCAGCCAATACTTCTGAATTCAATTCCCGTTTCTTCATAGTCACAAGAAAAGTTTAATTTCTCAGAACACTCTTGAGAAGGGTTTTTAAAATAATCAGGGAAGAGTTCTGCTTCCAGTAGTGGTGAAGTAGGTTCAACTCTGCCATAGACATAGCAGCTATTAACATAATATAAAACAGGGCTGGGCGCAGTGGCTCATGTCTATAATCCCAGCACTTTGGGAGGCTGAGGCAGGTGGATCACCTGAGGTCAGGAGTTTGAGACCAGCCTGGCCAACATGGTGAACCCCTGTCTCTACTAAAAATACAAAAAAATTAGCCAGGTGTGGTGACACATGGCCAGCTACTTGGGAGGCTGAGGCAGGAGAATCGCTGAGGTGGAGGTTGCAGTGAGCCGAAATCAAGCCATCGCACTCCATCCTGGGCAACAAGAGTGAAACTCTGTCTCTTTCTCTCTCTCTCTCTCTCTCTCTCTCTCTCTCTCTCTCTCTCTCTCTCTCTCTCTCTCTATATATATATATATATATATATATATATATATATATATATATATATATATATATATATAGTATAAAACAGCTACCCACAGTGGAGGCCCTGGAGGGTGAGCATGGCAGGCAGAAGCTGGAAGGATACTGATGCCTGGAATAGGCCACAGCTGGGACTGCTAGGTGGCTAGACGGATGGACAGAGTAGACACAGCCAGGTGGCAACTGTCTGGTTATGAGAGTAAGCATGCGGGTATTCACTGTGAAGCTCTTTCCACTTTCGTATATGTTTGATTTTTTTTTTTTTTTTTTGAGACAGAATCTCACTCTGTCACCTAGGCTGGAGTGCAATGGCATAATCTCGGCTCACTGCAACCTTTGCCTTCCGGGTTCAAGCGATTCTCCTGCCTCAGCCTCCTGAGTAGCTGGGATTACAGGCATGTGCCATCATGCCCAGTTAATTTTTGTATTTTTGGTAGAGATGGGGTTTCACCATGTTGGCCAGGCTGGTCTCAAACCCCTGACCTGAGGTGATCCACCTGTCTCGGCCTCCCAAAGTGCTGGGATTACAGGTGTAAGCCACCGTGCCTGGCCTGAAAAAATTTATAATGCAATATTGGGAAAAAACCAGAAGGTGAATTTGACTCCATCAAGGAAAACTCCATCAGCACTTTACTTCTCTGTTGTTTACTTGATCCATATGGGAAATGCCAAATGCAGGTAGAGTCCAGTGTGTTTGTCATCTTCCCTCAGTCCTGCTGTCCACCTCGGTTCTCTTCCTTTCAGCTGGGCATGGGGCCTGACCAGCCAGACCACTGTCCAAGCAGAAGCCCAAGCCAGGCGGGGATGCCCTCATGATGCATTCATCATTATTAAGTGTAGTTTTACCCAATACCTGATAGTGTATCTCTAGTTGTACCCCAATATCTTGTCACATATATTAAGAGCTGAAGTTCATTAGATTTCATATTAGAATAAAATAATCCATCATTTGTGTTTCTGGATTTTTTTCAAGGACTAAGAATTTTTTCAATTCTGATTACTAATCACATGGGTTGATTTGAGCGTGCATACTGAAACTTAGGTTTTGGTATCTTGTCAGCCACTAAGAGCTGGCCAGAAAATTATCTTGGAGAGATTTTAATCTCTTGCCCCAATTTTTTTAACTAATATGTAGTTGCAGATATGCAATTAGAAAAACAAACAAAAACGCTGCCAGATATAACTTATTGAAGGCATTTTCACTTTTTGCAAGTATATTCCAATGCTAATCATACTAGTGGTATGAATCGCCATGCTCTTTCTTCTATCATTTATGTTTGTAAATCAAGCTTGTTCAACCTGTGGCCCAGGACAGCTTTGAAAGCGGCCCAACATAAATTCATAAAATTTCTTAAAACATTATAATTTTTTTTGCATTTTTTGTTTTAGCTTAACAGCTATTGTTAGTGTTAGTGTACTTTATGTGTGGCCCAAGACAATTATTCTTCCAGTATGGCCCAGGGAAGCCAAAAGAATGGACACCCCTGACATAAATTGTTTATGCTTCTTTAGGAAAGGAGAAAATGAAGGAAAGGAAAGTAAAGGGGAAGATTTAAACAGCTGTTTTTATCTTCCTGCATCAAAAACTGTTCTGTTAAGGTGAACATATATACTTTAAAAAATCAGAACATCTTCAATTAAACTTGTTAAGCTATTTCAATATTATATAAATTCTACAAATAAAAAGCATTTCATTCCAGCATTTAGAAAACTGAAAACACCACGCGAGAAAAGCAAAGACTTCCTTTTCTTTCTCCTTGCTTTATTTAGGCAGAGTATCTCAAGAGATGGGTTTAGAGGAAAAGCTTGCTGACAGATGGTGAACACTCTTCTAATCCTGGACAAAATGACCAAGTGAGTGAAAGGAAAGAGACAAGGGAAGTCGAGTGAGTGTTCCACACCTGGAGTTTGAAAATCTAGGAGTCTGAATGTAAGGAAAATCAGATGAGGTGGTTAGGTGATCTAAGAAGCCCGAACGCTTATATTTTAAGTCTTTGATCCATCCTGAGTTGGTTTTTGTATAAGGTGACAGATAGGGATCCAGTTTCGTTCCTTTACATGTGGCTTGCCAGTTTCCTGAAACAATAAAAATTCTAGAAGACAACATTGGAAAAATTCTTCTAGACGCTGGCTTAGGCAAAGAATTCATGACTAAGACCCAAAAAGCAAATGCAACAAAAATAAAAATAAATAAATGGAACCTAATTGAACTAAAAAGCTTCTGCACAGCAAAAGAAATAATCAGCAGAGTAAACAGACAACCCCAGAATGGGAGGAAATATTTGCAAACTACACATCTGACAAAAGGAATAGTATGTAGAATCTACAAGTAACACAAACAAATCAGCAAGAAAAAACTAAGTAATCTCATTAAGAAGTAGGCAAAGGACATGAGTAGACAGTTCTCAAAAGAAGATACACAAATGGCCAAGAAAAACGTGAAAAAAGTGCTGAACATCACCAATCATCAGGGAAATGCAAACTAAAACCACAGTGAGATACCACCTTAATTCTGTAAAACTGACCATTATTAAAAACTCAAGAAACAATAGATATTGACATGGATGTGGGGAAAAAAGAATGCTTGTACACTGCGGATGGGAATGTAAATCAGTACAACCTCTATGGAAAACATATGGAGATTCCTTAAGGAGCTAAAAGTAGATCTACCATTTGATCCAGCAATCCCACTATTGGGTATCTGCCCTGGTACAGTTTGGCTGTGCCCCCAGCCAAATCTCATCTTGAATTATAGTCCCCATAATCCCCACATGTCATGGGAGGGACCTCTTGGGAGGTGATTAGATCATGGGGGTGGTTCGCATGCTGTTCTCCTGATAGTGAGTGAGTTCTCCTGAGATCTGATGGTTTTATAAGGGGCTTCCCCCTTCACTCAGCTCTCATTCTCCCTCCTGCCGCCCTGTGAAGCGGTGCCCTCCGCCATGATTGTAAGGTTCCTGAGGCCTCCTCAGTCATGTGGAACTGTGAGTCAGTTAAACCTCTTTTCTTTATAAATTACCCAGGCTTGGGTATTTCTTTATAGCAGCATGAGAACAGACTAACACATACCCAAAGGAAAAAGAAGTCATTATATGAAAAAGACACTTGCACACGTATATTTATAGCAGCACAATTCGCAATTGTAAAGATGTGGAACCAACCTAAGTGCCCATCAACTGAGTGGATAAAGAAAATGTGATATATATGTACACACACTCACACACGCACATATATATAGTATACTGTGGAATACTACTCAGCCATTAAAGGGAGCTAAACAATGTCTTTTGCAAAACCTTGGATGGAGCTGGAGGTCATTATTATTATTATTATTATTATTTGAGACAGAGTCTTGCTCTGTCACCCAGGCTGGAGTGCAGTGGCACGATCTCAGCTCACTGCAGCCTCTGCATCCCGGGTTCCAGGATTCTCCTGCCTCAGCCTCCTGGGTAGCTGGGATTACAGGCGCATGCTACCATGCCTGGCTAATTTTTGCACTTTTGGTAGAGACAGGGTTTCGCCTTGTTGGCCAGGCTTGTCTCGAACTCCTGACCTCATTATTCTAACTGAAGTAACATAGGAGTGGTAAACCCAAATCTTTATGTTTTCACTTAGAAGTGGGAGCTAAGCTATGAATATGCAAGGGCATACAGAGTGACATATGGACTTTAGAGACTCAGTAGGGGAAAGTTGGGAGGGAGGCTGGCGATAAAAAACTGCACATGACGTACAATGTACACTACTCGGGTGACAGGTGCACTAACATCTCAGAATTCATCTCTATATAATTTATCCATGTAACAAAAAACCGCTTGTACCCTAAAAGCTATTGAAAAAAATAAATAAATAAACTTCAACTCCTTAGCATTCACTTGTGGAGCAGATTTTATCAGAGGCCGTGAATCATTCATTTAGGCAACCTGTTAGGTAAGCAGCCAGCCCAGTGCCTTTAAACTACGGAGAAAATAGGGCTAGATAAGCAAATGGCTTGCTTGAGGGGGAGAGGGCCTACCAGCTACTCACCCACCATAAAGGTAGTCACTCAAACTTGCAGACTTAAGTACCAGGAAAGCAGATTTCTCAAACTTTAATGTGCCAAGGATTTTGTTAAAATGCAGACTTTGACTCAGTAGGTCTAGGGAGGAGCTCACATGAAATTGTCCTCGCTTAATGTAATCTAAAGTTAAATATGTGTTATTTGTTTGCTCTAAAATCTCATTTAAGCTAGGGCAATTATTTATGACTATTCCATTTTTAATTCCATATATATTTTCCAGTATTATTACAGTAATTCCTTATACATTAAATTGCTGAAGACAAAAATATTCAAATTGCATTTTATGAAACAGGGATCTCTGTGAAGATTTTTATAAATTGATGATTTATGTTACTTCATTGAGGACGATTCTATGCTGGATACAGTGTTTTATGATGTGAGACTGTTCAATGAATCAAAGAGAATCCTCCACAGCACCTAACTGCATATGATAAACCACTGTATTCTCTGATGGCAGAGTGAAGTTAAATAAAGAACATGCTTTGGGCCTGAAGTCAAAAAGTCTTTTTCTCTCCATTTCTTTTTGATTCCAGTAAAAACCTTTTTATTTGACTAGAAGGTACTCACAGGCCAAATTCACTGCTATCTGAAAGGGTTTGGTCGCCACCTTGTGGATAATAAAACAGCAACAGCCCAAAATAATACATTTCCTGTACAAAAAAAAAAAAAAAAAAGATTTTAAACCTCCAGCGTGGTTAATTTTCAAAACATATCCAAAAACTTACTTTTTAAGCCACTGAACATTACTGCCACAATTTGGTAGACTCAAAAGAATGCACCCTATTGTCAGAGTGAAGTTAGAAAGAAGAGCAAAGGGCTTTTGAGAATGTTTGCAGCTGGAGCTGCTCAAAACTGCTATCTCCTAACCAGGCCACTTCCTTGAAAGAGATGGTACTCGTTTCCGGATATGTACATAAAGGTGCAAGTTCATTACATCACAGGTTACCTTAATTTATGCTTACTGAATTTGCATCCTGCTACCCTAATTAATCCTCAACATGGAGTAGTAAGTGGAAGAGCGACTCAAGAAATGTACTGCAATGCTTCTCTGATATATCCGGTAATGTTAACCTGTGCTTTGGCCACCCATGTCGCTTAGTGTTAAGACAGGAGTTGTAACAGCATTTCATCCTGGGCAATTCCTTTAAATAACCAGGGAGAAAATAAAGGCAAGCTTCAGAAGAGAACTGCATGAAAAGCAAAACAAAACAATACCAGAAAAATCCAGACAATATTTTTCTGCTGTTTAATTGATCTCAAGGAAGGAGAAATTCAAGTCCACAAAAACTTACATCAATTCTGTTTATCACATACAAAACTAAACATACAATATAACAGCAAATAACAAACATGCTGAATATTTTCAAGCCATTTTGAATGGTGTCCTGTACATGTACATAAATAATACATACTGCTTCTGAATTACCTTAAAATACAGTACCACCAAGAGTTATATTTCTATGTAACTACTCCATAAGTGAGCATAAAGGAATGAGGAAGTAGACGATATCCATATCAGATAAAGTAGAAAGTCTTATGTCCTTCTGAAAAGCAACACAGTAGGCCCAAGAACAACTACAAACCATTTTCCTTTTAGCTAGGAGGTATATGGCAAGACCAATGATATTCTCTTCCCCATCCTTTTTGTCACAGGGTATGAAGTCTATCCTATTCAAGTTAGTTACAAGTCTTCAGCCCATTTAGTCATCTAAGAAGTTGAGAAAGTCTAAACCTAAGTAATCACAGCAAATACTGCAAATACTGATATACTTTTAGTTCATTTTTGTACTTTTTTACATTTTTTCCATTAGATAATTCTAAGCCTAAAATATTTTTCTTTTTCTTTTTCTTTTTCTTTTTTTTTTTAAAGAAACTTGGATTGTTTTAATTGGTTTAAATGCAGGGTATATGTAAACAACTCCCCAGAAATGAGAGGCACTTCTCGGAAATACAATAACCCATGTCACTAGACTAGCAAAACACTCAGTGCTTTTGACTTGATGAATTGAATGAGTTCATGATTCAACTTTCTAATGTTGTCTACTTGAAAAATAGCAAGATTCTTATCTGCAGCATTTAATGCATTAAGATGTATTAGATAGGCATATCAGATATCATAAAATTAAAATTGTGCTTATGTTAATTCTGTAATAGACCTAACTTTAAAACACCTCATGTTATTCACTAGGAGCTATGATCTAGTCGTGACAATATTGGTTAAAATAGTCAATCTGAGGCAGAAAGTAAACAAGCAAAGTCACTTTTGCAGGCTTTTTAAACTGTATAACACATGAAATTATGACTATTCCCCAGATTATGCAACCAGCTTCAATTTAAAAAGCTGGGAACAAATATTATGAGGCGTTACTTCTCAATTTCTTTCTTTTTCTTTTTTTTTTGAAACGGAGTTTCCCTCTTGTTGCCCAGGCTGGAGTGCAATGGCACGATCTTGGCTCACCACAACCTCCGCCTCCCGGGTTCAAGAGATTCTCGTCTCAAACTTCCGAGTAGCTGGGATTACAGGCATGCACCACCACACCCGGCTAATTTTGTATTTTTAGTGGAGACAGGGTTTCTCCATGTTGGTCAGGCTGGTCTTGAACTCCCGACCTCAGGTGATCCGCCTGCCTCGGCCTCCCAAAGTGCTGGGATTACAGGCGTGAGCCACCACGCCCAGCCACCTCTAAATTTCTTAATCACGATTGTTTTCAGCTCAGACATACACAAGGCAAGTAGAATTACTAATAAATCACTTTACCCTCAACCATTCAAGGTCTCTAAGAGCATGCACATGGATACATGACGGGGAAAGGCAGCAACTCAGCATAAACACTTTAGTATTAACATAAGGAGTATATATACATATACACATATGTATAGAATATCTTGCTTTTGAATATCTATGGGCCATGAAACTTCATAGAGAGCTGCATAAAAATCTAGCAGAGAAAGGATCATAAGTGAAGTGCCAGCCATGGATAACAGACTAATCTGTGCTCACAAAAAAGGGCAGGCAAGGAACACACAGACATCACTCAGGAACTACAGGAAAACTAAGCGTAGTGCTGTTTTCCAAATATAAAACATATACTAAGTACAAAAGTTATAGTAAATTTGAGGACTACGGAAGTAATACTTACTATATGTACATCTTTTGTTCACATAAAAAGCTTAAAGTAAGATCTTAGCATAAAAGTATGCTTTCTCCAGTAGGATGGTGTGAGAGGGAAAGAATGTAAGAAGGAACTTGTACAAGTCTGAAAATTAAGTCTTGAAAGTAAAAGGCTACCATAAAAAATATTATGTCATTTGGTATGATCAAAATCAGATTTTAAAAGACCTTAAAATATAACCCTTGCACATTGTTTTTTATAATTATATACGTATAATTAGAGCTACATAATCTTGTCTTTATGCTGTTTTTGATATTTTTTCAGACATTTACTGCTGTCTGAAAAGTTTACAAGCTATTATATGTTCCCAAATGAAAAATGCCAAGTTTTTCATTTGCCCCCAAGGTGAAAAAATTGAAACCTCTACGTCAAAAACAAATACAGTAATTGTTTAAAGGGATAAAATCAACTATAATGACATGGGCCGTATTAAAATACACTGCGCAAATATGAACAGAAAACTCACAGCACAACTATAGGAACAAGAAGATGTTATTTAACTGCAGTGAAATAAGAAGGCTTGGAGAGAGTTGGGAAGCCTGAAGACCAGATAAGCGAGTTTAGAATTCATTCAGCAACCTTACTCATATTCCACTCTCCCGCCCCTCACCCCAAGCAAAATAATAAAATCCTGCTCTTGCAAACTGAAACAGATCATTATTTTTGACTAAGGACCACAGGGTGTGGAACCCAAATCAGTAACTTTGTAACTATTACACTGAATGTAGGTCCATGTGTTTTGATCCTTTTACAGGCCCTTCCTTTACAAATTGTAAAGAGTGATTTCCCTGGGGTGCCTCTCTGGAGAAGCTTTACATGCCAGCAATTCCAGAATGTCAAATATTTCATTCTCAGCCCCACCAAACAGCAGTAATCATGCTAAGCCCATTGACTTTGGAAAATTCTGCAAGTTATTTTAACCTCAGTTCGGAGAACTCAAAAGTAGGTTTTACCACCACCTCTAAGTTTAAAATGCCCCTCAAAAAAGAAAAAAAAAACCATGTCAGAGAAAATGTATTAAAGTACTAGATTCCACTGTCTCTCTAGAAAGCAACCAGCTTAGTGAGAAATGACTACTCAAAATACAAACTCACTACTCCCTGACTTGAGGAAGAACTAAAGCTTCTCCTAAGGGTAAAATGAACAGAAATTTTGCTTGAGGAGTTTATAAAAAAGTAAGCGAGGGAGTGGGCAAGAAGGACCTTATTTTAAACATTTAGGATTCCACACCATTTGAAACAGTCTGCACTATTTCATATACTTACGTGCATGTGAAAATGGGGAGGTAACACCACTAGCTGCTCTACACAGACCGGCTACTGTAGCTGAGGTTTCACTGACACTTTCCCTGGAGAGGTGCCATTTTATTCCTTTATATGGCACATATTTTACATAATTTTTATCTAAAGGGCTCTCATTTGCCTAAGACTGACAATACAAAGAAAGGCTTATTGAAAGACACTTCCCTTTGAAAATAACCCCACTCAGGGTAGAAATAAAGGTGGACAAAAATGCCAGTCAACTACTTAAATGTCAGTATTTGTAAAATTCCTTAAAATTCACAGTATTTTGACTTTTGGAAGCGCTCTAACATTGAGGTACCTGCAGGTCTTGGCAATTCAGCATTTTAGATATTTATTTTAGTTTATATGTGTTTTGCTTTACTCCGTTTGTTTTCAGTTTTTTCTCACTCGATACAGTGGCATGACCACAGCTCTCTGCCTTTCCCTTTTTCCTAGGATGTGCATGTGCTTGTGTTTTGGAGGCCTTACAGGAATCTGCTGAGTCCAGAATCACAGCTGCCTGTTTGGGAACTCGAATGTGACCGCTGGTTTCCACCTTAGAGCTGCTTCCACTGCCGGACAGATCCCAGCGCTGCAGCTTCGTACTCTTACTTGATTTCTTTTTCTTTTCTTCTGTCCTCATTTCAAGGGTTTGCCTCTGAGAACAAAACCTGGTACCACCAAGCACATCAATGGGTCTAGGGGAAGTCTCAAATGCATAATGTGATGGGTGGATTTCTTCATGGTGAAAAGCTTTCTTTCGGGAAGGGCCTGACTTTGAAGCCCCTTCCTGGTGAGGTAGTGGCTTGGACAGAGCACTAGCAATTAGCTTACTTCTCCCAGGGCTTTTCAGTGCCCCTGAGGTCCCAGGGGCAGTGGGGGGCCTTGCTTTGCCCCCCTTTGCTTTTTCACACTGTACAGTCTGGACTTGCAGCCACTCAAGCTGAATAAGTCTATCGATATACTTCCCAAGAAGTCCTCCCACTCGGGGCACGGCTTCCGTTTTGTTCTCTGCGTTCAGAAGCAGGGCCATATCTCGTAGGTCCCAGGAGCTGAAAGGGGATGGAAGGAAATTAGGATAATAGTATTCAGGTTTTGTATGGCCCTGACCAGGGTGAAGATCAAAGTAAACTGGATCAATTTCTTCAGCTCGAAGATTGAGATCTGGAGGTGTGAGGGGAGAAGGAGGAATGGGAATTCTTTCCGAATCAGAGAGATCACTTGCACTGTCCTCATCAGCATTCTCTTTAATAATTTTCATTGACTGAAAATCAAGAAACAGTTTATTCCCTGAGGCCCCCTGACACCTGGAACCGAGTGGATTCCTTTTGCGTCTTGCTTCCGGGGAAATGCTTTCTTTAAGTTTTTCTTCAGTAGGCTGGGTGACAGCTGTGAGGCTGCTTCTCGGCTGGGAAGAAGCGTGGGGTACTTGGGATTTACTCTGCCTTTTTCCTGAAGAATTCTTTGAATGTTGCACTTTATTCCAAGATGGGCCAGCATTCATATTGCTGTGAGAAAATAAAACTGCAATTCTTACCACATATGACAAAAAATGGTCTGGCTATAATTAAACAAACAAAAAGAATCTTCTAGTTGTACTTTTTTTTGTCTCAGCTATTAGTAGGCATTAGAAAATGTCAGCTTCCAAACTCCTTAAAGCATAAGTAATTTTACAGAACATTTTCCCATATAATACTCTATTTGAGATACATTATATAATGCATGTGACAAAAGAGAATGCACAGTTTCCATTTTATATCAAATATTAGCATTTAGGAAAAACATTAACATTTCTCAAAGTGCTTGTTTCATACTTTCGTGTGTACTTTAAAAAAAAAACATTAGTTTGGAAAAAATCAGTCGTAGAACTCTGGAATTGTTACCATCAAAAGCATTTAATAACATTCAGAAGTAAAAACAGTTTTATTTTATACACCTATTTTAAATTAAGTGTAAATATCAAATAAACATGCAAGTTTTGCAGTTTAATCACTGATTGGTGGCGATTCTGAGCTGAGTGAAATTTTAATATATAAAAGTATTGCACATACAAACCTGTACCTTAAATCAAAAGCTTGTTACAATGTTTTCAAACAGAAAACACATTTGGGAAAATTGTGTTTAAAGAACAGAAATAAAATCATATGGTGCCCTGTAACACATATGAATGAAAACACAGGGTCTTAGTGTTACCTTGTGAATAGCAGGTAAAGGGAATAATGAATACTGTGTGCATTATGAGTATAGAAACTAATTCTCTCTGGCATAATTTATTCTGATGCTGAATCTCACATCAGAGTTGAAAATATCCTCTTTTCAATTTATTTACCAAGAACGTGGCATTTAAGATTAATAATACTTCTCTGTAATATAAGTCAGATAGAATGAATAGAAATGGGTGGTAAACATGCTTTCTGGAAACTTCAGAGGTTCATTTGCCCAGTGGTTTCAAACAACCTAAGCAACTATTTGAATACGTGCTACATTTTAATTAATAAATATGCAGGACATTAAATCATTGCCAATAGTACAACGTGTGCTCAATAAATGTTGAATAAATGAAGAAATGAAGGAATCTCCATTATTCAGAATTCATAACACTGTTAAAACATTTTGTTCCTGCCTGTCAGTATGCATCCATAAAAATTAATTATTGTCACTATCCTTTTATATAAAAGGAAACTAACATAGAAAAGTGATTAAAGGACTTACTCAAAATTATAATTCTGCTAACAACTGCCAGAATTATGACCGTTGGAATCCTTATCCACTATTATGCTTAAACCACTTTTCTATTCATTTCTGCTAGAAAAAAATTATAAATGTATATTTCTTATCTATAGACATACTTTTTTCCCCACTCCACATATTCAATCTGGACAACAGAGATAATGAGTCTTTTGCAAGATAAAGCAATTATACTAAAACTATTTACCTGCTTTTCTGATGAGATTCATTCACCCTATTCCTCTTCTTGAAAAAATCACGTGGCTGATCATCATCTCGGGTTTGATGGACTGTCTAAAAACAGGGATGCAGTAATAAACACTGTGAACATGTACACAAGAAACAAGCAAGCAAACAAACAAAAATCCCAGAATAAATCTAAGTCAGATTTTTCTTCTAAGTTTACATTACCTTTCCTGTAGTGCTCAAAATATTCTTGCTCAATCTGCTGGAAGATGATGACAGCTGGGGAGGTGACTTCTTTATTCCTCTTATATTTGGAAAGGTCTCCTCACCACCGGAACTAGAAGCAACAGAATACTGTCAGTAACTATTGATTGCAAATGGTCCTACCACCAGTATCGGGTTGGTTTTTCACTTGTTTTTTAATACTTGTATAATATTGAAATATTAAGGCTGTGATCATATAGTGGTTTGCACTCTAGGTTATGAAATACTGGGGAAGGGAGACATTGTCTTATGCTTACAGCTTTGTCTTTTCTGCTTATTACAGTAGATATTAGAGACAGGATCACAGGATCACACTACTATAAATACTGTGAATGGATTCCATCTCTCTCTCTCTCTCCCTGTTCACACACAGGTATAATCTTCCTTGGAAATAATATGTTGAAGAAATCTGGAAGGCTAAATAAGGTCAGGTCTTATTACAGCGTTCAATCATTGCATTGCCCAATCATTCATTCATGCAACAAATAATTACAGGAGTACCCAGAAAAATGGCAATGATTATGCACGTCCCTGTTCAGAAGGAGCTTAAACTCTAGGAGGAACGTTCCCATTCAATTTTTCGGCCTTCTCTATCACATCAATCCATTATAAGACTTTCCATATATTCATACATATTACATATTATATATCATCTCTTTATGAAGCATTGTTGACCTATACCACATATTGCTGTTATTCCCCTCTCATTTTGAGTGGCCTATTAAAAGTGCACTGAATGGAAATTGGATACTTCTCTTTCCCGTATCACCTGTCTCTGTAAAATAAAAGAGATGATTATAGAAGATTTTTATTTTCTTCCTGAAACTTTCCTGTATTTTTCCCACATTAATCATGTAAGCCTTTTTAGTTAGCTTACATCCAATGATAAATAAAATCATTCTCTCACATTTCATGAATTATACCACAATCAACAGCCTTGACTCATTTTAGATGCAACGAATGTTCTTGAATCAACCCCCTTTCATTAGTCTGGTTTTCTTTCTGCTTTGTCCCTCTGGACAATAAAAAGGAACCTTCTTAATGGAATGGCTGGCCCCAAACTGCTCTCTGGAAAGTGCACTTGCATCTTTTCTACTTCATTTCACCTGGTATGCTTTACACCAAAGGCTGTGGGGTTTTGTGCTCAAAGCTACCGGGTGAGAGACACGAATGCCTGCAGGGTTCTAAATAGGCAGAAAACAAGCTCCAGGCCTTGCTGGTGTTTCTGGCTTGCTTGGAAACAAAGCTAAAAGTCGGAGATTCTGGCTACAAATATGCTCCCCAAGCGCCAGAGGCTGATTAAGGGCAGCTGCAGAAGTCATCAGCGGGTAATAACTCTTGTTCCCCTGTCTTCCTCTCTGGCGCGGAGTCCAGGAAGACAACAGCAGCACCTCCCCTCCCCACCCTCAAGGGAATCTGCTGGCCATTCGGTGCGGCAAAGCATTCTGGGTGATGTGGACATGACGCTGCTCCTCTACGCAGTGAGGCTCCCTCGGTCTGACCAAGGGTCCAGGTTGCAGTGAACCTGTCCAAAGTGTGGGCTGGCCTCGATGTTTAAAATTAGCCTGAGACCAGCTCCTGGCAAGGCCGGTTTTTGCACCACCGCTCCCCCCATCCACAACCCAGAAATCTAAGGACACGCAGCATGCATTTTCCTTGTCCTCCGTTTGTGCAGACAAAGTCTATGATCGATAGGCGCGCAATCCAGGCAGACGTAAACAGAAATTGATCAGACCTGTTTCGCGACTGCAGCGGACACGTGACGAGGCTGCCAGCCTTCCTTCCTCTCCGGCGCCCGCGCGGGGACGCCCGGCTGCGGCGCGCTGCGGCAGGGGAGCTGGAGGCGGAGGCGCGCAGCTCCGCTGAGCTCCCTGGCTGAGCTGAGGCCGGCGGGGGCCCGCCTGCAGGCGGCGTCACGAGGGGCGGGGCGGAGGCTCGCTAGGAAGTTGCACCCGGTCAAGTTGCAGCCTTGTAAGTAACGCCGCGGACCGGGAAAGTGGGAGGGGCCGCTCCCGGAACGCAGCCTTCTTGTAAGAACCTCCAAGGAAGCAAGAAGAAAAAAGAGGCGCTACCCTGCGCTCCCGGGAGGCCTCTGAAAGCTTCCACTAGAGAAAAACTCCCCACTCTTACAATTTCTTTAACCGCAAGAAGCGGAGGACCTGGACAAGGACTCGAGGAGCAAGGTGGCGAACCAAGGGTAGGGCGCACCGGGCCCGAGAGGTCCCCCGCAGGTTGCAGATACGGTGGACTCTCTGCGGCTTCTGAGCACGGAGGGAGCTGTCGCGGGGTCGGGAGGTCGTCTCTCATCCCTGCCTCATCTTCCGACGGCCGGCGGGGCCATGTCCAGAGGCCCGAGCTCCGCGGTCCTGCCTAGCGCCCTGGGATCCCGGAAGCTCGGCCCCCGGAGCCTCAGCTGCCTGTCGGACCTGGACGGCGGCGTGGCCCTGGAGCCGCGGGCCTGTAGGCCCCCTGGGAGCCCGGGCCGCGCGCCGCCGCCAACGCCAGCGCCGTCGGGCTGCGACCCCCGCCTGCGGCCCATCATCCTGCGGCGGGCGCGCTCACTGCCCAGCTCCCCCGAGCGCCGCCAGAAGGCCGCGGGCGCGCCGGGCGCTGCGTGTCGGCCGGGCTGCAGCCAGAAGCTCCGCGTGCGCTTCGCCGACGCCCTGGGCTTGGAGCTGGCACAGGTCAAGGTGTTCAACGCGGGAGACGACCCGTCCGTGCCGCTGCACGTGCTGTCGCGGCTCGCAATCAACTCGGACCTGTGCTGCAGCAGCCAGGACCTGGAGTTCACCCTGCATTGCCTGGTGCCCGATTTCCCGCCGCCCGTCGAGGCCGCCGACTTTGGCGAGCGCCTGCAGCGGCAGCTCGTGTGCCTGGAGCGTGTCACTTGCTCGGACCTTGGCATCAGCGGTACGGTGCGCGTGTGCAACGTGGCCTTCGAGAAGCAGGTGGCTGTGCGCTACACTTTCTCGGGCTGGCGCAGTACCCACGAGGCGGTGGCGCGGTGGCGCGGGCCCGCAGGCCCCGAGGGCACGGAGGACGTTTTCACCTTCGGCTTTCCAGTACCGCCCTTCCTGCTGGAGCTCGGCTCCCGCGTGCACTTCGCGGTGCGCTACCAAGTGGCGGGTGCCGAGTACTGGGACAACAACGACCACCGAGACTACAGCCTCACATGTCGCAACCACGCGCTGCACATGCCTCGCGGGGAGTGCGAAGAGAGCTGGATCCACTTCATCTGAGCCGCGCGGGGACCGGCCACCTGGAGCCTCCACACCTAAGCTGCGCCTCCTGTCATTTCCCTGCTGGGCTCTCACATCTATCTGGTTGTTCTTCACCACCCTCCAAGTCCTCTGACCTAATTTTCTGCTGCAAGGTCCCCTGGCAGTGGCCCATCCTGTCTTCTACTTGAAACGTCTGAGTCACTTGGTCTAAAAAGTAGCCTCAGGTGGCCAGAAGGCCGAGTTGTGTAATGAGTTGGGGCAGGGTGGTGGGGTAGGTGCATGGGAGGGTGGGCCCTCTGGGGAGGCCCAAGCAGCTTGTTTTGCAAAGGCCCAAGTCCTCCTGCTAGGAAAAGCTTTTGCATGTGTCCTGAATGTGTCTCTGTAAACATAGCTGTTATTTATTATTGTGATGTTGGGACCTTTAGCCCATAGCGGATGCCTCCTCAGGAATATTCTCGATTTAATAAGCTAAAAAAAAAAAGTTCTGTGTTTGTGCCCACAGTAAACAGAATGTACAGTGTGACCCACATCGTGGTCCCTCCAGGCATTCCTGCCCCAGGATAAGGAAAACCTGAGCCCACATCTGATTGCCAACGGCTGTAGCCTTCTAACAGTGGGAAACTATTAATAGGCAAGAAATTTCTGCTTTATCAGTCATCACACAACCATTCCTGGGCATTGAGACTGTCCTGGTTAGGCTGTGTGTCTCCTACATTAACAGCTGGGGAGGAGGGAAAAGCTTCAGACTTTTAAACTAGCAAAACAGTTATTTCTCTGCATTCACAATTCTGATTTCATGTATTTCTCTGTACATGTTTGATCATTATCAGGCCATTCTGTTTAAGTTTGAAACTAAGCATTTTAAGAAGTCTTGCCTCAGTTATTTCAGTTTTCAGGTGACTAGAGAATTTCAGGCAACAGTGCCCTTTGCAATTACCTTTTTGATGATTAAGGTGACTATTTTTATTTCTTGTTAAGCATCAGAAGATGTCAGCATTCATCTTTTGGGAGTCCAGTTACAAGGTGGAACTAGAAGGTGTTTTCAGCAATAGCCAGAGCACTGGAGGAAAAATAATTGACAAATATTTATACTTTTAAATTGTTTTGAACTGTATTTACATACATCATGTTTTATCAGGTACCCACCAACTTTATACTTTCTGCCTTCAGATAGAGTTTCTAACATTTTCTAGTTTGTCAGTTTTAAAATATAAAATTCTTTTATGTTTTTAAACCGTCAACCAAGAAGTCAAGACCACTGTCCCCTGCTGAGTTAGGCAATCACTTAAAACTCCAAAGAACTCCAGGCTGAGGAGTTCTTTTGGTGCTGAACAGTGGTCTGACAACAGGTGCTAGAATTAAGGTGTGGGAAAAAAAAAAAAACAGCCAGGAAGGACAAGATCTCCAATTTGTGAAGCTTATGATACAGCTGAAACCAGTCTGATCAATTTTATGCTACCTGTCACCAAGAAATTAACTCTAAATTTTTGAATGCTTGTTGGCATCTGTCAAATCAATACTGAAAGGATGCATTTCGGCTTTTAACCAGTTTGGTTCTGATCATTGCAACCTCTGTGCTTTTATAATTCAAAGAACAAGGATAGCTTTCTTCGGTATCTTTTAATATAAGAACACTGAATTTTGGCTTGAAATATTGTGACTAAATTGCACAATCTCTGGCTATTAGCACTGTTCACTACATTAACATGCAAGAGAGAGAGAAGCCTTGTTACATTTCCTGCTATTTAACAAACTGTCCAATTAGGTCAGCAAGCCTGTTAGGGCCTTCACTGCTACGCCCCTGGCCCCAAAACAGAGAGCAAGACAGTTGTCCAGAGAATTTAGATATGAGTTAAGAGCTGCCAGATTTATTTTAAGGCATGTAGAGAATCTCATAATCTATGTGAAAGTCACTTGCCAAAAAGGTTTTGGTTATGAAAGTGAATGTTATATATTTAATATTAAGTGAACCTCCCGTGCCTTTTAAAAAATACCAACATTATGAAATTTAAAAGCTTAAATATATTTGCCTAGTTGATAAAGAGGCTGTGGAACAACTGAAGGAGAACTTTCAGACCCTAAAACAGTTATATTACTTAGATGTTAAAATTTTCTAGTGGGCTGTGCAATTGCTGGGTTGTCCCCCCAAACATATTTTAATATGTTATTTAAAATGATTTTACCCAAGCCTAAGTATTAAAGTATATGTGCAAAAACAGTTGTGAGCCATTCTATTATGCTTCAGTATGTTTTTCTTGTGGCCTAATTACAGAAGACCAAGCTTTAGAAACTTCTTGTCTAAATCATTTCACATGCAAGTCTTATCCTTTCTACAACACTGATAAACGTAGAGCCTTGGCAAAAATAAATTTTGTCATTGTGCCTCAGCGTCAGTAGCAGAGTTGTTGTATGTGTCTTTGAGAAAAGGAAATGCAATTTTATATGCCAGGTCAGCATGAGGTATGAAGAAAGCTCTAGGGGAATACAGGGAATGTGATCATTAATGTACTTCTCTTACAACAGTTAATGACACTGTGCAGGCAGTAATGAGTGTCTGTCTGTCTGCCTTCCGGATCGTGACCCTCACCTAAGTACAAAGTCTTGCACATGGGGGAAGAAAACTTACATTTATTTTGTCTTCCCTTATTTGCTTGGCCACAGTGCTAAGTGCTTTAAATATGTGATTTCATTTAATTCTGAATGTTATGCTACCTGGTAGACAATATCCCCTTTTTCTTAGCTGAAAATAAAGCTCAGAGTGGTGTAAGTACAGCCATAGGCCACATAACATTTCACTCAACAGGGTAACTGTATATATGACGTGGATCCATGGAATTATACCAGATTTTTTTCCGTATCTTTTCTGTGTTTAGATACACAAATACCCTTGTGTTACAGTTGTCTACCGTATTCACTGCAGTAACATGCTGTATACAGGTTTGCAGCCTTGAAGCAATAGACTGTACTATATATACCTGAGGTGTGTAGTAGGCTATACCATCTAGGTTTTTGTAAGTAAACGCTAAGATATTCACACAATAACAAAATTGCTTGAGGAGGACACCTTTCTCAGAACTTACCCCTATCATTAAGCAATACATAACTGTAATTCACCTAAAGTCCCATAGCTGGTAAGTAACAAATTGAACATTGAAACCTGTTTCAAAGTCAATGCTCTCTCTACCTGTTATATGACATATAGAATATTGCAAATAAATGCTTGTTGATTCAGAAAGCTAAATTAATTGAACGCCACATTATGATATTTCTCTTTTTTGAGAGAAGGTCTTGCCTTGTCACCAACGTTGGAGTGCAGTGGTGCAATCATAGCTCACTGCAGCCTCCAGCTCCTGGGCTCAAGCAGAATTCTCCTACCTCAGCCTCCGGCGTAGAGCAGCTAGGTGCACAGGCACATGCCACCACGCCTGGCTAATTTTGTTTTTTTGTAGAGATAGGGCCTAGCTATGTTGCCCAGGCTAGTTTCAAATTCCTGGCCTCAAGCAATCCCATCAACTCAGCCTCCCAAAGTGCAGGGAGTATATGTGTGAACCACGGCACATAGTTTCCAAATTTTGATTATAATTGAGAAGGTTTTTCATGAAATGCCACGGTCTAAAACCTTTAAAAAAAATTAACAGTAAAATTAATGATATCCTTTTTTTCTTCCATGTTGTAGTTTACGGATGTTTACTAAATAATCCGCAGGCTTCCTGAACACATGAAGCAATAAAAAAGACTAACATTTTTCTTCAACTAAAAAGCGGCAAGGTAAAAAATCATCACTATTAATTTTTGAAGTGTATTAGGAAAATTTCTGTGCGTTCGCAACTCCACCATGAAGGATCTTAGATCTATTGGCGGAAAACTAGGTATGAAAATAATTATGCAAAATTGCCAGGTCACAATTTTGAAGCACTCTTCGATCTTCTTACATTTTGTGTTATACATTATTAGTACTTAAACGTATAATTCAAAAGCATTGAAAGCTTTGAACATATAAAATCCCCTCAAATCCCTGCGTACACCTGTGTACCTTAGATTGCATATGTAATCTGTCAGCTCTGAATTAAAAAACTAAGATATCAAAATTAAGTTCAATGGGGGTAGTTACAAAGTTGTCAAGAAGTTGGTAATTCTAGCTAAGCAGAATATTTAAAACACCTCTGAGAGCTTATTTACTGTGATTTGATCTGCTCTGGTCCACAACTGAGCTTTGATTCTATTACCTTGTGTTTATTTTTTTCAGGTGCTTTCCACCGCACATTTAAATCTTAATCCCATATTTTTAAACAATTAGTGCCTTTTAGATAAGAAATTAAAATGTTATTAAAATATAATTTTAAATTTTGATTTGAAGATACCTATAAAAGTTTAACTACACATACAATTCAACTTTTAAAAATTGATCCGACACAAATATTAATCCAAAGGTGGTTTGCTGCAGTATTATTTGTAATAGAAGTGTAGGCTCATCAGTGGAGGATTGAATTCCTCGGATGAAGTTAATCCACATGATTAAATAATTACGAAGCTGTTAGAAAGACCGAGCTGCATCTCAGTGCACGTGGAACAGTTTCCATCTCAGAACGCGAGCACGGGGAAAACACGCAGAAGACTGAGCGCCGAACACCGACGCCCTCTGCGAGCCAAGGGGCAAGGAGACCCTTTCGCGGCTGTGCCTGTCTCAGAAGGGCCTGCGATTTTTTACACAAGCACCCGCTGGCTGCATAAGTTAAACGGATCTCTTAAATGGAAGCGTCTGAAAGAGCCTAGGAATACACAGTTGGGTACCCAGCTCAGCACCCCGTCTCCGGACCTGCGGTCTCTCCCGCCCTCCGGCACCCGCACCCAGGAGCCCAGGCGGCCCTGCGCCCCCTGCCGGCAGGAGCCAGGCCTCACCCAGGAGTCGTCGGCCCGGCGCCCTGGTCCCCCGGTCCAGCTCGCCCCTGCAGGGCTGGCTGGAGCCGCGGGTCCCAGTGGCTCTGGGGACGCATAGCGCGGGGATGGGCTTCTCCTGGTCCCGCCCGCGCTTCCGTCCCTTCCATCCCTTCCTGCTCGCCTGTCCCGGGACCAGGGCCCCAGTCAAGGCAGCGAGTCTCCTCGCTGGCGGGGGTGACTCCGCTCGCGGGGCGTTCATCAGGAGAGCATAGCGCGAGAGGACGGGCCGAAGCGCGGGGACAGCGGGGACCCACTAACCTGAGGGCCTGGCCTGAGCCGCGCCCACAGCGTCCCCCTTGGCTCAGGCCTCGGGCGACCCCGGCGAGCGTTGGCGGGGGTGGGGGGGATGGGGGGGGCGGGACCTGGCTGGCGGCGACGCCGATTGGACGCACTATCGACCGCACCTGGCGCGGATTGGACGGGCGCTTCCCGCCTTCCGCCGTTCGCCGGAGGCGCTGCGGCGGTCCCTGAGGCGCAGAGTTGCGACGCTCGGCGGCATAGGGGGCGGCTCCACCGACACTACGCGGACGCCTCCTGCCGCAGGCAGGTTGAGCAGAGTGCCTGGGTGGGCTTCCCCCACGGCGGGGCGCGGAGGGAGGGTGGGGCTTCGGCTTGGCCTTTCAAGCCGGCAGGCGAGAAGCTTCCGACGGTTGAGGCGGAGCCGTTGTGGAAGCTGCCGAGGGGGAGGGGGTGCGGTTCTGCGGCAGTGGGCGGAGGGGAGGCGCCGAGGCTGGGCCAGGGCGTGGGCTGTGCAGAGTTCGCGGCGAGGGTGGCTCGCGCAGGCGCGAGGCTCCCCATCAGCACCTGCCTGGCCAGCCTCGGCCTCGGGGATGGGAAATGGGCGCTCGGAGCCGCCCCCGCGCGTGGGCGACTCGGTCAAGGTGGCTGAGGCGCGGGGCGGTGCGCTTGGCGAGCGGGGAGCAGGCCTGGGGCTGCGCGCGTCGCCGGCCCGAGGAGGCTGAGGGGTGCGGGAGAAGCGGTGGCGACGGGAGCCCTGGGGACCGCTGCTCGCCTGTCTCCGGGACATCTGAAGGGGGGTTGGCGCTGCGGCCTGGGGCGCATCTCGGGTGTGTGTGTGCTTTGTTGGTTCGGGGGTGACCCTGGGAAAAGGGTCACCGTGCCGGCGGTGGGAGCAGGGACTTCGCCTTCGGCCTCGTTGTTGCCACTGCCGGTTCCACTTAGGGAAGAAGGGAGTGCGCGCAAAACCTTCCTCCTGCTCGGCGCCTTCAGTCCCTTCTCTCCCTCCCGCCGTCCCCACCTGCGGCCTCTCCTTGCGGTTGAGGCCGCCAGCCCCTCCGCGCAGCTGGGCCTGATGCGTCCCGCGGCGGCTCAATGCGCGACACGTGGCTCCACGTGCGGCCTTTTCTGGACCGGGCTCCAGGCTGGCCGAGCATCTGCGAATACGGCAGCGTGGTTTTTTTTTGTTGTTTTTTTTCCCGAGACGGAGTCTCGCTCTGTCACCCAGGCTGGAGTTTAGTGGTGCGATCTCGCGTCACTGCAACCTCCATCTTCCGGGTTCCAGCGATTCTCCTGCTTCAGCCTCCGGAGTAACTGGGACTACTTGGCGCGCCACCACGCCCAGCTAATTTTGTATTTTTAGTAGAGACGGGTTTTCTCCATGTTGGCCCGGCTGGTCTCGAACTCCTGACCTCAGGTGATCCACCTGCCTCGGCTTCCCAAAGTGCTGGGATTACAGGTGTGAGCCACCTCGCCCGGCCTACATTTTTTAGTAATGATGGGAGGAGGAGGACGCCTTCCCTCCCCTTCATTCACCTTTAATGTCTTTTTGGACACCTTAGCTATGTTAGTTACCAGGGCAGAGGGGACTTTGAATTATCTACTGCTGCTTGCATTCATTCAGCAGTTTTTCCTTTGGGGGAAAATCTTTGCCTCCCCCATCTGCCAAATTGTTTTCTTTGTTGTTGTTTTTATCCGTAACGCTTTTATCTGCCTGCAGATACACAATCATCATCTTACTAGTTCTCTGTGTTGCTCGCTAACCAGTCCCCCAGTTCAGTAGACTGGAGCCCAGAGCCTGCTTACTTGTCAGGTAAATCCACGCTTCTCTTGAAACATTATTATTCTGTTCTCGGTTTCCGAAGTCGTTCTGTTACATAGTAGTAGTTCCTAAAGATCTTTTAAATTGTTTCCTTATGAGGCTGGAAAAAATAAGTGTATAACTTTTGTTTCTTTTTAGAGTTAGCCTTCTCTTTCACTTGCAAATGTTAACTTGTTTGATGTTGTGGATAGTGCTGTGCTTTTGACTCTATTGTGGCCTGTATGCATTCAGCTTTGAGGCATGCGTGTGTGTGTGTGTGTAACCTGATTATTCAGTTTGCTTTCCTTGGTTTGTTTTTCCCCAACTGACTTCGTGCAAAAGTAGATTAGAAACTAAAACCATCTTGTTAGCTTTATGTGCCTCTTTGGCTGTACTTTTTTCTGTGCTGTAATTAATGTCTCAGGGCATTTTGTAAAATACACTGTTTCAAATTGCTTTAGTTCTGAAAACAGATAAAGCATAGCTAATGGGCAAGCCTGCCTCAACAGTTGCTGGCCCTAGGGTAAGAGTATAAATGGAGCCCCCACAACATATTTTAAGTATTTAAAGTTTTAAATCAAGTTTTCACATTGTAAAATAAAATAGTCTCAAATTTCACAAATACACCTTCACTGCATCAAAACAGAAAACTACATGTATGGCTATGATGATTATTATTGAGACAGGGTCTTGCTCTGCCGCCGAGGTGGGAGTGCAGTAGCGTGAACATGGCTCACTGAAACCTGGACCTCACTTCAGCCTCCTGATTAGCTAGACCACAGCTGCGATCCACCAGGCCAGGCTAACTTTTATTTTTGTAGAAATAGGATCTCACCATGTTGCCCATGCTGGTCTGGAGCTCCTGGGCTCAAGCAGTCCTCTTGCCTGGGCCTCCCACAGTGCTAGCCACCAGCATTACAGACATAAGCCACCAGCCAAGGCTATTATTTTTATGACTGAATCCTGAAAAGTACCAAAGATAACTGAATGCATTTATTATGGATATCTGATGATGGACTGGTAATCTTTGAATAAGTGATAAAATACTTACATAATTCATAAGTTACTATATATAGTTCATTTTTATTTTAAAAATCATGTTATAATGAAGACTTTTACTTATTTACTATTGACAGCCATGATCTAAGGGTTAAAACTGTAATTACTCAAAATGTGTTATACTCAAAATGTATCAAATTTGGGTTTATATCACAAACATAAAATAGGTGTAAAAAGTATTTTTCTTTAAAAAATTCTTAAATATTAAAATTATTGTAGAATTGTAATTGTTTCCTTAAAAAATTTTAATAACACCGGAATTGCTTATTTTTGAATAATTGCATATTATTAAATATTATAACAATACATTTATTCACTATTTTAGTGTTTGCTTACTGTCTAAAGAGTCCATATCATGTTCACGTAGTTCATGTCTAGATCTACATATATATTAATATAGATTGCTTACTACTACAGAATGTTCCTCAGCCACCATGTGCTACTGTTGCAAATACTGTGCACTAATTTGCTAGTATTTCTAGAGTCACAAATTGGAGTAAAAAGAGAAGGAAGAAGATGGGCATTTGGCACTGTTAAGAAGTAGTATCTTGTCATGCAAGAATCATCTGTGTTCTTGCTTTGCAGGGGAAGGATTTGACAATATCTCTTTTCTCTTACCTAAGCACTTGCTCACATGCTATCTTTGTTCTGAAGCAGAGACTAAAATGTTAGCATTAGCACAATCTGAAACCTTCTCTGTATTCAATTGTGGCTTCACACTCCCCGACTTCTTTAAGCATTTTTTTTTTATTATTATGGAAAATTCGGACATACGTAAAGTAAGCAGAATAGTGTAATTAATTGCAGTCCTCTTCTTTCATAGGCATAGGCAAAGGAAGTTCAGGGGCCTGAAAGATAGAGTTATGAGAATGAATAATGTGTTCATGGTTATAGACTTTCTGGGGGTAGGGCTGAGTCCTGGATTTTGAGCTAATAGAGATGCCTGTGTGCTCAGTAATAAGAGATAGTGAGAAAGAGATTACACTATATAGAGCGCATAGCAGGGGCCCCTTTTGCTCTGTCCTAATGGTTGTGGTGATTGAAAGGGTATATATGAGTGTATGTTGAACCTTAGGAAACAGAATTAAGTTAATTTAATCAATTGTATTCTCAGTCTAGACACCATGCTTTACTACACTCCTCTAAATAAATAATTAAAATTCTCTTTTTTTTTTTGTCTTTTGGTCCATTTTATTCCCTATCCCTAGGGTTATTTTCTTTACCTGTGCAAATCATCCAATGTTCATATGCCCAGTATTTGTATCCTTCTTTAATAAAGTATCCTCTGGTGTTACACAGATATACACATATCAATAACAGTGCATATAAGCCTTTATTAAGTATACTTTAGATTTTACATAAAGAATTTCTATTATCTCATTCTGCATTTTTTATGCTTTATATTGTGTTTGAGATGCACCATATTCTGAGATACAGATCTTCTTCATTATATTCAGCTACTGAATTCAGTTGCATCACTCACCACATTTCATGTTTACCTCCTCACCCAACACACTGACAGAGGCAGTTTTCAGTTTCTTGATATTAGAAGAAATGCTTCAGTAAATATTTTTATATTCCCTTTGTGCTTCTGAGTTTCTCTAAAGTGTAAAATTAGAAGTGGAACTACTGTGTCATATGGTATTCAAGTTTACATTTTTACCCAATGCTATCAAACTCTTTTTCAAAGTGCAGTTATTTGCTTCCCACCAGGAGTACATACATGATTTCCAATTTCCTTTATTCCCACTGTGACTTCGTAGTATCAGTCTCTTTAGTTTTTGCCAATATGGTGGATGGTGGAGAGGGGACTGGTTATTGTTTTACTAGCATTCTGATTACCATGGAGGTAGCATTTTCATTTCTTTATTAGCCAGTTGAGTTTTACTTTCTGAATGACCTCTTCTTCTTTTCCATTTTTGCTGTTGGGTTATTGCTTTTTTTTCCTCCTTGATTTGTTAAGTTCTTCATAATAATACTTTTTATGTTAATCCTTAGTCTCTTATTCCATTGCAAATGTCTTCCTAGTATGCTGCCTCTCTTTTACAAACAGTGATGCACAAAAAGTTAAAATCTATTACTTTTTATGTTTTGTGCATTTGTTTTAAATTCTTTCCTCTTGGAACATCTTAGTGATAGCCTCCTGAATTTTCTGCTAATAGTTTATAAACATTTACTTTTTACATTCATGTAGTTAATTTATCTAGACCTTATTTTTTTATGGCAAAATAGATTTCTAATGTTATTTTTTCCACATGCCAAGTCACTTTTCCCAGACCATTTATTGACCAGTTTACCTTTCCCGATTTGCGAAACCATCTGACTCAAATATGAACTTCCAATATATGCTTATGTGTTTGAATTCTGTTTTGTTTTATTGATCCATTTGTTTTCCATTCTTAATACTTCACTGTTTATAGTTATTTCTTGTGACTTTGTAATATGTTTTAATATCAAATAAGGTGATTTTTCTTCTCTAATATTTTAAAAGTTATTTTAGTATTAGAGCAGCATTATTCCTCCATACATGTTTTAAAAGAATTAGCCAAATCTCTCAAATTATTATTTTGTGATTTTTACTGGAATTGCTTTGGAGTTTAGAAATTCAGATGTTTATTTTAGTGAAGCATTGATGGTTTTATAATGTTAAGTCCTTCCATTAATGAATAGGAACAACTCCATGTATTCATATCTCTTGTTAAGATCTTTTTGTTAGATTTATTCATTTTAGTTATTTATATTAAAAAATGCAATTGTCTGATTATTGCTAATATAAAAAGGAACACTGTAGATATTTATGTTGAGCCTCGCTGGAATCTCTCAAAGGTCCTCTGATAAACAGCATTCCTCTTTCTTCCTGGGTTCTGACAGAGTAGGAAAAGAAACGTAACCTTCATTAGTCCTATATTGGCTAGGTTCATGGGTGTGAGTTTAGGTTGTTGGCCTAGTGAATTTGCTAATACTGAGCTCCAGAATTGAGCAAACTTACTGCCCAAGGCACTGCAAGGTAATTGAGTTAGACCTTTCCAGCCCTGCATTTTTCACCTTCCACCCTGGAAGAGAAAGCTTACTGTATTGACTCCAGAAAAAAAGGACAGAACAAAATACTGACTTTCTCACAGGGGCAGAGCTTCCAGAAGGAACAAAACTGAAAACAACATGAAACTCCTCTTTCAGTTTTCATGTAAACAAAAGGGTGAGCCTGAGCTGAGCCTGGCTCATTTTCCTTCCCAAATTTACCAATCAAATATTTCCAGCTCCTCAGTGGTGATGTAAATTAAAGAAATAGAGAGAGGCCGATGGTATACTCAGTCTTTCTCACGGAAGCTAGGAGTAGGGAAAAGGTATTTCTCTCTAACATTTCCTAGCTTTTTGTTCACTTAATTATTAACCTGTTTTTTGGAGGAGATTTATCTGGATGGTTCTTTTCCTTTCTTCATGAGGCCATTACCTTCTTTTGGGTATTCTCTTTGGATTGTGGAAGAACTTTAGATGTTGACCCTGGAAGAAGATTCTACTTTGGGTTAGAACAGAAAATTGAAACCTAATGCCACTCTATATCTGAGGCAGAAATGTCACTGTTTTACTTCCCATTCCAAATTATCTCTAGATATATGGTAGAGCCTTTGATGTACTATACTGAACAAAGGTATTTGGCAATACATAAAGATGTTTCAGCAGTAAAATGCCAACAAATTTGAATGTAAAGATTTTCTGTTTTGAACATCTCAGGGAACATTAAGGTTGCAAGATTAAAACCCTTTACAAGTTAAAGACCAAGGACTGAAAGATTTAAGTGTCCAGAATCCTTTTTTTGTGCTTCTGAATTTAAAAGTCTAAAGGCCAAAACTTTTAAGTCCCAAAGACACATTCTCAACAAATCTCATTACGTTCAAGTGCAGTCAGATTCTTTGGTGGAGTTGGAGTTCTTTCATCAGCTGTAGCTTCAGCTGTTTTCCATGGAAAGGAAGTACCAGTTATATGTTCTCAGAAACTGTTTGTCCAATGCCAAAGTTCTGGTATATATTTCCAGTAGACCAGTCTCTGTCAGTTATCCAGAATCTGACTTGTTTCACTTTAATTGAAATGGAGAAAATATTTCAGCAAGAGGCTAATTTTGGCACTACATTTGAGGAAAATTTCTATAATTATGTCACCCTGTAATGGCATTGCTGCCTTATGTGCAAGGGGGTAACCCAGGCTGCCCTGGTTACTAGCTCTTATATGACATGTTTTCCTTCCCCACCCAGTACATTCAAAACCTCAACTTTTATTTCTTCTTTGAATCCCATGTTTTTGGCATTCCAATATTAAGTTTGGGCTTTATGTAGTGACTGTTATGGGTTGAATTGTGTTCCCCTAAAAAGATATGTGAGATTCTAATTCCCAGTATCTCAGAATGTGACCTTTTCTGGAAATAGGGTCTTTTGCATTTAACCAAGTTAAGTTATTAACTTATTATTTAAGTTATTAGGGTGGGCCCTAACCCAATATATATTTATAAAAAGGGGAAATTTGGATACAGATATGCATAGAAGACAATGTGAAAAGTAAAAGGAAGAATACCATGTGATAAAGGAGGCAGAGAGTGGATTTATACTGCCACAAGTCAAAGAATGTCGGCAGCTACCAGAAGCTTAAAGATCCTTCTTCCAGCACTTTCAGAGGGAGTATGATCCTACTGACCCCTTTACTTTAGACGTCTTGCCTCCACACTGAGATAATTTCTGCTGTTCTAAGCCATCCAGTTTGTGGCACTTTGTTAAGGCAACCCTAGGAAATTAATACAGTGAGAGTCCACACATAGCTGTGAGCAAACATTTTTCTTCTTGTTACAGAGGCAGTTGGCACAATTCCATCCCTTATGGAATTTATTGGATTTATGAAACCTGTCTTACAGGAGAAGGTTCCTCCTTCAATCCATATTTGTTTTGGCTGGAGACTGTCTCCCAGCAGATTCCTGAATGGAAGCTGCTTTTGTTACTTCTAAAGTTTGTTTCCTTAATACTAGGAGGTGGGGTTAGGAAGAATTCTGAGCCTATAGACAAACATAAATTCAGAGCTATTATTTCCACAGTTCTCTGTGAGGTTTTGACAAACTAGTGAGGTTTTAAAGCAGGCAGTATTGTTCTGCTTCACTTCATCTAAATGAACACTCATGAACTTCTGGTTTTCTTAAAAAAAGAAATCTAACAGATTGATAATAAATTATAGTACCTACATGCATTTGGGAGCAGTAGTAGTCCCAGTAATCCTCTGTTTGATGAGGAAATCTTCCCTCTATTTAAAACATTTAGGAATCAAAGATGTCAATTATAACCTTGTTACCAGGGCAATACGTTAACAAGTGAGGCAACTGGTCAGAGTTATAGACTCTTTTGAAGGTGGAAGGTCAGAGGCTATGACATTAAATAGGCTGAGGTGCCAAAATAGGACCCTTTTATTCAGTTCATGTTTCCAAGAGTATGTTTACATTAACTGATAACCAGATAACTTAGTAACAGTTGTGAATATTCACACATGTGAATAATGTACAAGAGAAAAATACTTTCATCTGTGTGGCCTGCCTTGTTCTCTCAATGATGTTTTCCAACAGAGTTCTTTCTTTTGTTAAATCCTATGCTCATGGATTGAGAAAATCAATAGGTTATTTTAAGTTCTGGGCTACATGTGCAAGATGTGCAGGTTTGTTGCATAGGAAAATGTGTGTCATGGTGGTTTGCTGCACCTATCAACCTGTAAGTATTAAACTAAGCATGCATTAGCCATTTTTCCTAATGCTCTCCCTCCTGCTGCCCCACCAGGCACCAGTGTGTGTTGTTCCCCTCCCTGTATCCATGTGTTCTCATTGAACAAGAGTTTCTGATTTTAAGGTTGTCCAACTTATCAGTTGTCTTTTATGGTTAGAGCTTTTTATAATCTTGCTTATTGCTTATTGCAGGTCATGAAGATGTTCTAATATATTATGTTCTAGAAACTTAATTGTTCTCAATTTTCATTCCACCTGGAAATGGTGTTTGCATATGGTATGAGATGGTATGAAGTAGTGAGGTTTTGTTATATTTCTTATGAACATCCAGTTGAACAGTATAGATTAATTGAAAAGATTATCTTACCCTTTCCTTACTGCTTTATGTTCTACCTTGATCATAAGTCAAGTCATGTGTATAGGTCTGTTTCTGGATTCTCTTTTCAGTACCATCTGTGTTGGACTTTTATGGTAAATCCAACAGTAATATAGTTTTATTAGCTTTCTTTTGTTTGTGTGGTAGCTATCTTTTCTTTTTATTTCCAACTGTTTTGTAGCCCTTTATTTAAGGTATATCTCTTAAAATATAATATTTTTGGACAGCATATAGTTTTAAAAATGATTAACCTACCCGACAATCCAACTTTTTTCTTTTTAATTTTTGTGGGTACATAGTAGGTGTCAATGGAGTATGTAAGATGTTTTGATACAGGCACGCAATGTTAAATGAGCACATTATGGAGAATGGGGTATCCATCCCTCAAGCACTGATCCTTTGAGGACAATCTGCCTTTTAATTGGAGTTGTAGGGGAGGCAAAACTTTACCTCTTCCCTTTTAGAGTTAAATTGACATAGACAGATCAACTGGAGAAAAACACACAAATTTCTTTAATACATGTTTTACATGACACAGGATCCCTCATAAGAACATGAAGACCCAAAGAAGTAGTTAGGGTCAGTTATATACTGAATTGGACAAAGAATAGTAAGTTGTGAACTAAGATAAGGCAAAGAGGCCTTAGGCTAGGGTAGTTAATTGGGTGGAGAAATGACTAGGAAGATAGGAGTGGGTTTAACAAAGTTTGGTTGTACAGATTTTCTTAATTTTAACTTCCCCTCCTTAATTATAAGATTACTTCTCTTTTGGTATAGAGAGGACATCTTTCACATGGGAATTTCATTTCCTGCTTTTAGGAAACAGAATGAAGGTGGGAGTGATCTTGTACCTGCTGTTTTTTGTTGAGTGCCTTTAATTTAAAATAGTCAATATGTCAGAGCAGCATATTGGGAGGGTGACATTCTTACTTCTTCAGAGTATTTAATATATTTTACTTTCAATGTAATTATTGATATGTAACTTTTAATCTATCACCTTACTTTGTGTTGTCTGTTTTTCTTTCTTCTTCTGGGTCTCTTTCTGTTTCTCTCTCTCTCTCTGGATTGATTAAAATGAAAACATTACAGCCTCCCTCCTCACACTTAGCTTAGTAGTTACGTATTCTTTCACTACTCATTTAGTGGTTACCTTAGAAATGATGACATGCATTCTTTTTGTTTATTTTAGAGACAGAGTCTCCCTCTCTTGACTAGGCTAGAGTACAGTGTTGTAGTCATAGCTCACTGTAACCTTCAACTTCTAGGCTCAAGCAATTTCTCACCCCAGCCTCCAGAGTAGCTGGGATTACAGGCACACACCACTATACCCAGCTAATTAAAAAAAAATTTTTTTGTAGACATGGAGTTTTGTAACATACAATATTTAAAAAAAAAATTCCCATAATTATTAAAATGAGATGGTAAGAAACATAATCATCAGACTTTATTATTTATAAATGAATAATACTATCAGGCACATGGTTCCTCTCAGAATAACCTTAGTACTTTGTTCCAAAAAAGACAGGCAAATAATTATGCATATTCTACAAAACACAATAGGGATACAGAGCTTTGAGGAAGACTACAGCAATGATTTGCATTTTCTTGACCAAAATAATGTTAATTCCTTAGGTGTTCATGGCAGGGAGAATCAATGACGTTTATCTTTGATCTTTGTCAGAAACACACAAGATAGGATTGTTTGAAGTGATTTAATCTATTTTTGGTCCTGTTTTCATAAGCATGGAATCTCTCTTTAGAACCTGGTGGATATTTTCTATTAGCCATATTGCAATATATTAATTTGTGGCAGTTATTTGTATTTGCATCCCATGGTCTTTAAGGACCCAGATAACTTTGGGAAAGTGAGGTCCTCACCTTAATTTCAGCATTCAACCAGAAACTGGGAGTTCTTTCTTTCCTGAACACTCTTGTGGACATATGAAATGCATTTGAGTTATCTTTTCCTCACTCCTTTCCTTGCATATTTTGATCCTGTTCATTGTTAGTATATCTGCATATTCCTCCTTTCTTGAATATTAATAGCCCAAATTTCATTTGCACATTAATTCAAGAGTTTTTTTTTTTCCTTGTTCTCAGAGGTGGAACAAGTATAGCAGGGAATCACTGGAAAGGGAGATCCAGGTTATTCTTTCACTAACTAGCTTTGTGACCTTTTGGCAGGATATTTGACATTAATTTAAGTAATCTATAAAAAGGAAGAGCTTGACTAAATGATCTTCAGGCTTTTCTCTAGAAACTTATTTGATCATATTCAAATGTGTAATTTAATAAACAGGTGTTTAGTGAGGAAGTTAATGTTGCCTTTGGTATAAATAACAAATGCATATTTATGTGTGTAAGATATTTAAACTGATAAACACATGAAACAGATTGTGAGATACAGAAAATATATGTTTTCTTTTATAGGTGTTTATTTTGTCTTGCTTTTTTTTTTTTTTTAAATGAAGTCAAAATGCCAATAAGACCAGATCTCCAGGTATGTAGTCCTAGACCAAAAGTAAGTATTTTCATTCTGAAAATCACTTTTTGTTTACTTATAGGTATTCAGTGCTATGTTTTTAGCAATGATAAAGCTTACATGTTTTTATGAAATGGTCAAGAATAGTTTAAATAAAGTGTCCTTTCATGTATTCATTAGATGTTTGCAAAAGCTATGTTAAGAATATTTATAAAGTATTAAAAATGCTGATTCTTTATACCTACCTTTTACATTGAAAAGAATTATGCACTGATTCATGCATAATTTATGCTTGGATATTTTTGTATTAAGTTTTAGAGGTTAAGATATTGTGTATTTAGGTAAAGTGTAAGTGTTAATAATCTATTCAACATGTATGCAGTTCACAGCCAAACCTGTTTAGTGATCAGGTTGTAGTATGAACATTTGTTATTAATGAAGTTGTACTTTAATAGCAAGGATGGCAGATTTTAATAATGTTATAAATATTATATAATGGTAATGCTTAATTTATGTTAGTTGGCATAATTTCTAAAAGGTGCTTTTGCCTGTCTTTATGTATTTTTTTCTTTACTATTTCAACCCCGTTAAGAGATTAGTAGTCAGGTATGCTAGGCTTTTATTCTTGGTTTAAGTGTTCGTTACTTTAAAATTTTTTTGCTTTTTTCATCAAGTTTCTGTTGAGGTTGACATAAAGATGACCTTAGTAATAAAAGATATGAATTGGAAATATTAATAAAATATTTTTTTCTAATCATATTATCAAAGAAATGTAATTTCTAATTCAGTTGTTCCAAATTTAATAGTGGCCATATTTTTAAAAAATACGTGAATTAATATTTTATGAGTTCATTTGAGAGTTTTCATGTGAAAACGGTTCTCAAATTACTAGATTGCATAAGGTAATTAATTTTGGTTTTGATACAGTATGTGCCATTAAATATATTTCTCTAGCAGTTGGAAAAATGCATTGATGATGCTTTAAGAAAAAATGATTTCAAACCTTTGAAAACACTTTTGCAAATTGATATTTGTGAAGATGTGAAGATTAAATGCAGCAAACAGTTTTTCCACAAGGTGGACAACCTTATATGCAGGGTAAATATTCATTTTTGCTGAATGATTGTTACAATTATTAGATAGAACTCTAGTTTTAGAAGGAAGTACTCCATTAGAAAAAAATGAATAGGCTTGGGCAAGCTCAGTCATAATTATATAAATAAATGCTTATTTCACCATTTGCTTATTATTGTTTGTTTGTTTGAGGAATCTCAACACATTGGAATGTCATTTCCCAAATAAAATATACAAAAATATGTGTTCACAAGGGCTTTACTATTAACTGTGGCTGAAACTGGGGAAAAAATACTTTAGCTCTTTGAAGTTTAAACAAGTTCATAGATTTTTAAAAAAAACCTATCAGTGTATACTTGATGTTACATAGGCAATGCCTACTTCTGTCAAAACTAAAACATAGAAAAATCACCCCAAACTTTGAATTTAATCATATTTAAGGCATTTTCATACATGAGAAAAGGTGATTATTGATAATCCCCTTACCCCAGTATCTGAGATTCATTATGAATCCAAGAAATTGAATAAAAATTTCTTGTTTCTGTTAGTTAAATACATGGAGCTTTTTAGAATGGAAAGTTGCTGATTCATTGTATCATAGTATAAAGTTTCTTGGATTTATACAGATTTCCATTTTTGTCCTGAGTTTGTCATTCCCTGACTGTATGGCTTTGGGCAGGTCACATTCTTAAACCACATTTTCATCTGTTGCAATATAGAGATGATTAAAATGACCATCTTTCAGGATTTGTGAAGATTAAAATATATGTGTAACACTCCTTGTACAATGTCTATTTCATACTGTTTTGTGTTTACAGAAATTTTAATGTATACCTTTTATTTCAGGAACTTAATAAAGAGGATATCCACAATGTTTCAGCCATTTTGGTTTCTGTTGGAAGATGTGGCAAAAATATCAGTGTATTGGGGCAAGCTGGACTTCTAACGATGATAAAACAAGGACTAATACAAAAGATAAGTATAGAATATGTAACATATTCATGTGAATGAAATATTATAAAAGATATGCTTTCTAGTAAGAAATTATCCAAATTGTTGAAAATAAATTTAGGAACTTTATGTACAATTTTGGGAATAAAACATTTCTATAACTTGTGATATATGTTACAAATATAAAGATCACAAACTGTACAAAGACAGACTCCTTGGTAATCATGTGAGTTTAAGCTCCCTAAGGCCTTGACTTGCTTTATTGTCTCTTTAACTCTTATTATCTAACTTCATTTTTTGTTTTTATATTGTTTGTCTGTCTCCCATGCTAGCATGTAGGGTATTGATTTTTGTCTCTTTGGTTCATTGCTACATTATTGGCACCTAGAATAGTATCTGAGATGTATGTACTCAAATATCTAAATTAAGGTAAAATAATATGAAAACTTTTCATATAGTAACAATATCAAAATGGTCTAAATTGTGATGATAATTTACTTCCTTCTATTATAATAAACGTACCCTAACTAGGAATTTGAAGGAGAAATAAGGATCTTCTACATGGAATCAAAATTAACTTCATCTATTCCCATTTTAAACAATGGGAAAAGATAGTTAAAAAAAAACAAGGAAGATCTTTAAAAACATGAATTTATTTTGATACAACACTAAAATTTTAATTTTGATGTGTCTTTATTCCTAGGTTTACTGTTTATGCAAAGATAGATAAGTACATTCTTAAAATTATTAAAATGGAACTCTAATAAGTTCATTCCTTTTTTTACATGGTTGCCTGGTTTGAAAAATCCAAGGACATTATTCAGAGTCAAGGAAATTCAAAAGATGAAGCTGTTCTAAATATGATAGAAGACTTAGTTGATCTTCTGCTGGTAAAAATCACATTGATTACACTGATATTTATAAAGCATGTGTTTATTTAAAAAACAATTTGTGTTCTCTGTGCCCTGAGCCTAAAAGTCACTAACAGATTGGTTGGTGACTTGGTTGGATTGGTCTGTTCAGATTGTATAAAGCATTTATTCTGGTAAATATAATTAAATGGTTAGTTAATAAAAAGTAATTATGCTCTGAGTTAAAATGTAATCTGTCATTTCAATACCATTTGTAATGGTTTATAATATTGTAATGGTTTGTAATATATAGTAACTTGTAAATTAAATATTATTCACTTTTTTTCAGGTCATACATGATGTCAGTGATGAAGGTATAATAAACACTTATTTTCTATTGGAACAATAAATTTTACTGTTAGAGTTTTAGTATAATTTTACAATTCCCATTGTGTTGTCCTAGTATTAAGAACTCATTATCTGATTCAAGGATCAACAAACTTTTACTGTAAAGGGCCAGATAATAAATATTTTAGACTTTGTAGTCCAAGAGAAAAACAATTAAGAATATTATGTAGGGTACTTGTATAACAAGAAAGAAAAACAAATTTCTATGAATAATTTATTGATGCCATTGAAAATATAATAGTTGTACAATTTTTTGTAATATAGGTCTACTAATAATGAAACTTGCATTCTTTTTGCGAGAGAATAACATTTCATTTAATTAGGGTTCAGAGTTAGTGTTCTGTTTTCAAAATTGATTGTAAATGTTCATTTGTTAATCCCTGTCTATAATGAGGTTTTATGTATGTCACATTAGAAAATGGCTTTTCATGCAGACAATGCCAAATACTGATATCAGTGCATAAGCATGCTTTTAATTGAGCGTGTTCATCACTTGAAAGGCATTAATAGAATTGTTAGGTTCTTAACATTTGCATTTTAGAATGTCATTGCATTGCAAATTAATCACTTCCAATTGAAGGTTATGTGGAAGCTTCCCAGTTGCACAATTAAATGGATTTTGAAATGTGGAAATTTCCTTTGTACTTACAACAAAGCCCAAAAACACTGCTAGACCTGTAGTTGGAGTTTGGAAAAAATATATTCCCTGCAAATTTGTGTGGAAATGGAGATGTTGCTTCCTGTTTTGACAGTCTGTGAAGTGTATAAAGCAGCATAGCATTGCTTGCCTTTCAGATCACCTTAGTTATCAGAATGACTTCACTGCAGTGTTAAGTTCATGATGCAAGCATAATTTTATCTTGTAATTTTGTGCCCAGTTCATTTAGAAACATTGTCAACTCTGCAGCCAGTGCTAATTACCAAAGCCATTCAGTATTCAGCAATAAAGGTTGAGGACAGCTCTTGTTCAGAAAAATTTCAGTCTTGGTGCTGGATATCAAAAAGTCACAATAAAACCCCACTGCCATTGGACTGCTGTGTGGTAGGGAAAGTCAGAATACTCAGCTTCTGCTTCTGACAAAAATTCAAAGAACTGACCATGGGTAAACTGACAAGAGTGAATGATGTTCACCTTTGACACTACTGTTTTAATAAAACATGATAGATTCAAATAGTTTTCACAGAGCACTTGCTGGTGAGTAATACAGTCATGCAAAAACTGGCAGTGAGTTGCATTTAGTTCGTGGGCCATAGTTTGCCAACCTTTGATCTAATGGAACAAATTTTCAATAGTAAATTGAGAATACAGAATATGTTCCTACTCATTCTTTGACTTGTGGCCTGCTTGTGCCAAGCAATCAGATCCAACTTATTTTAGCTCTGTGTTGATTGAAGAAGACTTACCTAGGATTGGTCAATGAGGCTGGTGAATTATTTATAAATAAAGGTACTTGTTGTCTTCAGAGCCAAAAAGTTTTAAACAGATTGCCATTGATTTAAATAATAATTAATCCTACCTCTTCGTTGATTGTTTTTGCTACATAACAATGTAGTCTAAATTTTTAAGTTTTTAGGGAAAAAATCCTAAAGCACCAGCAATTGTAAAGTGATCCACCTGATTTTTAAAGTAAATAATTGTATCTTTTCATCTGAGTACTTTTTTCTTTTTATGCAGTCACTTTGGAAAACTGTACATTTGTTGTTACAGTATTTCCATTGTTTAAAGTTATTTTTAAAATTTGCATTATGAAACAGCATGTACACATTCCTCTGAATATACTTAGTATTGATAAAGCCTCATCTTTCAAAAATGCGTTAACGTAAAAGGGGCTCACATCATTTAGAACTTCATTGGGGTTAAGATGTGTTGGTCTTTATGGGTATAAAAATTTTTGATGTATAACTAAAAATTAATGAGGTCAGTTTTGGTAAAAGCCTTAGAATTGAAGTTTTCAATTTTGAACTATATTTACTTAATCTAAAAAAAAAAATAAATACCTCCTTATGTGCCTGCAGTTAGAAACTAGATCTAGAGTTGTCCCTTGACAGTATTAAAATCAGTCACATTTGTTGAGTGGTGTTTTTTGCAAGGCCAAGTAGAATTAGGACTTAATTTCATTCTTTCTCATCCCCAAGCCCTGGTGGGCCTTCTTCTGAACTGCAGTAGTATATCCTTTCCACTAACTCTTTATTTATTTTTATTTTTTGAGACAGGGTCTCACTCTCACCCAGGCTGGAGTACAGTGGCACGATCACGGCTCACTGCAGCTTTGACCTCCTGGGCTCAGGTGATTCTCCCACCTCAGCCTCCCATGTAGCTGGGATTACAGGTGCCCGGCTAATTTTTGTACAGACAGGATTTTGCCATGTTGCCCAGGCTGGTCTCAAACTCCTGGGCTCAAGCAGTCTACCTATCTGGGCCTTCCAAAGTGCTAGGATTATAGGCCTGAGTTACCATGCCTGGCCCCTTTCCACTAACTCTTATAAGAAAAGACTGACAGTTAAGAGGATTTGAAATGAACATTTATCAATAATTTAACACTTTTATTCAGGTAAAAAACAAGTAGTGGAAAGTTTCGTACCTCGCATTTGTTCCCTGGTTATTGACTCAAGAGTGAATATTTGTATTCAGCAAGAGGTAAAGTCATTTATTTGTGTTTTAAAAACTAAAAATGAGAACGTGAAGAAAATCAATAGCAATTAAATTGACAATTTATTTCATGTAGGACAAAATTACTTAGCTTGGAGTATATTTCTATCATAATCTATTGCCTGACATATTTCCGAAATACTTACTGAAAATTTATAACCATATGGGTTTATGTGTGCATATAGCTCAAGTGGAAATAAATTATACCAACCAGATTTTTGGGGTGCTTAAGTATTTAAATGCTAAAAATAATCTGTATTAGTATATGTATGTGTGTACATGTACTATAATCATAAGAACAAAATAAAGTAACATTTTTTGGCTTCCTCAGATCTTATAATGGAGTTAAAATAAATACAAGTTTTATTGCAAAAAGTACAAGTGCTTTAAGTATCGGAGTCATGTTATATTCTATTTTTGATATTCTATAGTTTATGTTGTTTTTATATTCATTATTTTATACTTTATTATTTTTATTTTTTTGAGAGAGTCTTGCTCTATCTGCCTAGGCTGGAGTGCAGTGGCGCAATCTCAGCTCACTGCAACCTCTGCCTCCCAGGTTCAAGCGCTTCTCCTGCCTCCCTTCCGAGTAGCTGGGATTACAGGCACGTGTTACCATGCCCAGCTAATTTTTGTATTTTTGGTAGAGACGGGGTTTCACTATGTTGGCCAGGCTGATCTCGAACTCCTGACATCAAGTGATCCGCCCGCCTTGGCCTCCCAAAGTGCTGGTATTATAGTGAGCCACCATGCCTGGCCTATTTTATACTTTATATATTCTTTCCTCCATCCTACTCCATTCCCATAATAAAACTCAGTGATTAAGAAAAAATTAGGCTTCTAAGTTTATGTGCCTAGAATATTTCTCTTAATAGTGTTTCACTGAATGTAAAGTTAATGCATTATCTTTTTTTCTTTTCTAGATTATAAAAAAAATGAATGCTATGCTTGACAAAATGCCTCAAGATGCCCGGAAAATACTCTCTAACCAAGAAATGTTAATTCTCATGTAATAATCTGTACTTATATGGTTTTTATTCTTAAAATCCATAAGAATGTTTTATAAGACAGACAACTATGAGTTTGCATTAATAATGAAACTGATAAACTGTTGCAGCTTTTTAATATAATTTAGTGTATGCATATAATTTCTGCAAAAGTCGATGATATTAGCCAATTGTAAATTTTTGTGAAGTTTCTTTTCCTCCTAAACATGTGGACTTCCTATTTAATTGATACTGGTCTATTTTGTAATCTGTTATTTTAATTCACAGGAGTAGTATGGGAGAAAGGATTTTAGATGCTGGAGGTAAGTATGTCTTTTCCAAATCTAAAATTATTCCATATTTATGAATAGCAGATAGTATCTTTTTAATTTAAATATTAGCATAGCAATGTGAGACTGAGGGAATTATAAACATTATGTACAATTAAGCAATTTTTAATAAATATACATGAAATTTGTCTGGGACAAAAATAATTTATGACAGTAGGCGTTAGATACATACAATTTGTGCCTAATGGTAGACTTATGAATAATATAGCTTAATAGCTTAAATTAATAGCTTAATTTAATAGCTTAATATAATAGCTTAATTAATAAAGCTTAAATTAATAGATTAATATAATAGCTTAATATAATGGCTTAATTTTTCAGTAGACCTGAACTACTTGTGCTAAGAAATTCCTCAGATTTTTTTATGAAATTAGGGTGTCTAATATTCTTCATATTGATGGATTTGTTTTTAAACAATGTGTTTATTAAAATAACTTAAAATTTATTTTCTAAGCTTTTTGTGAATGAATTTTAATATGGTGATTTACATGTAGAATAAATCATGGTTTAAAGTACTCTGGGATAACTGTAAACATGTTACACAAGAGGAAAACAGACTTTGTAACTTACAGACAACTGTGTGGGTTACTTTGCATTTTATATCTCTAATAATAATGAAATGGCAGTGTCTTTGAATATTTAGAAGTCTCAACATTTTTTTAAATTTTACTTATTTCTTCTGTTGGCACACTTGTTATTTGGGCTGTGTTAATTCCTCAAATGATGAGATATTTCTAATCCATATGAAGAAAATATTAATAGATTAATCAATTACATTAATATATTCTTATTTCTCTTGCTTATTCTAATACCTTGTAAAATATATGGTCTTTTATAAACTTAATTTTCATAATTGTAAATCAAACATTAACTATTTTTTTAATAGATTATGACTTACAGGTAGGCATTGTAGAAGCTTTGTGTAGAATGACCACAGAAAAACAAAGACAAGAACTGGCACATCAGTGGTTTTCAATGGATTTTATTGCTAAGGCATTTAAAAGAATTAAGGACTCTGAATTTGAAACAGTAAGTTGTATAACAATAACAGAAATTCGTGAATTTTTAAAAATTATTATGATTTTTAAAAGTATTTCTCTTTAAAATTAGGATTGCAGGATATTTCTCAACCTTGTAAATGGCATGCTTGGAGACAAAAGAAGGTAAACTTAATGCAAGATACAACCATTTACTGTCAAATAAATAGAGCTCAAGAGTGAGCACCCAGTGTTGCATCTTTATACATTTAACTTTATTCTTGTTCTCTACACTATGTTGGAGTGTAGAATGTGCATAGATAATTTAAAACAATAACATGATTTTAGCAAATTACTACACCAGTAATCTGAAATAATTCTGCACTGGCCTTGTTTTATTTTGTACTTTTTAGAGGGAAAAGTTCATTTCTGTTTAATTCATATTAATTAATAACTTTAGATGTTCAAAATTGGCTTACTATACTTCTGAGTTGCATATCCATTATTATTTAATGTTTGAGGGATAATAAAAATCTAGACATATTTATTACTTGAATCATCTCCTTCATCCACATACTGGAATGTAAATATATAGCAAACAAATCATCTTCCTTTATAATTAACATACAGTAAGTAGGATCTTTCTGAGGGGCATGAAAGGATGTGTAATATAAATTTTAATCTTTTTTTTATAACGACAGAAAAACAGAATTTGCAATGCCTAGCACCTCATAGATGTTCAACATAATTATTGGATGAATGAGTTCACATTTATTTTACTTACTAAAGAAATTAACGGTATTGTAAGGGTTGTGCAAGGAGTCATATTACCTGATTTGAATCATAAGTTCCTCTCTTCCTGTTCTAATATTGGGCAAATTATTTAACCTTACATGCCTCAGTTTCCTTAGCTGTTATATTAATAACTACCTCATATGTTTGTGATATAGATTAAAATGAGATAATATGCTAACTATGTAAAATAGTATCTAAGAAAGAATTCTGTGAATTTAACCATTTTTAATGTAATTATTCACTTGTATTCTTATTTAAGTTCTATGGAAACAATAAGCTAAGTTAGGAAACTCTGCTCATATTTGATAGCACACTGTATTAGTCTGTTTTAATACTGCTGATAAAGACATACTGGAGACTGAGACATTTAAAAAAGAAAGAGATTTAATTGGACTTAAAGTTCCATGTGGCTGGGGAAGCCTCACTATCATGGCAGAAGGCAAGGAGGAGCAAGTCCCATCTTACGTGGATAGCAGCAGGCAAAGAAAGAATGAGGAAGATGCAAAAGGGGAAACCCCTGATAAAACCATCAGATCTCGTGAGAGTTACTCACTACCGCAAGAACAGTGTGGGAGAAACTGCCCTCATGATTCTGTTATCTCCTACCAGGTCCCTCACACAACACATGGGAATTATGACAGTACCATTCAAGACGAGATTTGGGTGGGGACACAGAACCAAACCATATCACACACAAAAACATTTGGTGCAATCATTTTAGTCAGAATGGTAGATTGAGTAGTATTGTCAAAGTAATATGATTTTCTCTACATAAATGTCCACTAAACATGTATTTTGAAAAGTATTAAAGAGGGAAATATGATTTTATTTCAATTATTATGACCACTGCCTGATTTCCTTTTGATTCTAGGCATGATTTCTATTACTGGACAAGATTATGCTGTGAAAGCTTATTTATTTTTTTCTTAAACTACTTTTTATTTCAGGGTCTTTACATTTCCTTGTTTATCAGCATTTCTTGATAAATATGAGGTAAAATTTTAATTTAACACATTATTTTAGTTATTGCATGAATTTTGATAGTCAAGTGAATTATGAGTTAAAAATGAATAAGAACACTAAAAATAGTTGTAATTAGATCATGAATGTAGCTGGTCTAGTATTCTGTATCTGACAGTGAAACCAGGAGAAGTTTTATGGAACAGCATATTCATTGCCAAGAATAACTGAAAAATAAAGGCTGTAGTCCAGTTTTTCTCGTGTTTCCTTAAGACCATTATTGATTTATCATGTATGAATCTATTCAAACTAGTACTTTCAACCTTTATTAGCACTTGGAATATTCATAATTTCTTGGAGCTAGTTGATTTTTTATAAAATATTAAAGTAGCATTTCATTTGATTGTTTTTAAATTTATCTAAATATTATACTTGTCTGTTCTTTCTCTTCTCTCTCCTTCTAGCTTTGTTTTCTTGCTTTAGCCATGAATATAACATCATAATTGTCTGTTATTTCTAAAATCATTGTATATTCCAGTTTTGTATGTTTATTTTATTAGCTGCAAATACCATCAGATGAAAAACTTGAGGAATTTTGGATTGATTTTAATCTTGGGAGTCAGACTCTCTCATTCTACATTGCTGGAGATAATGATGTAAGTTTAATTTGGTTGGTATTATTCTTTATGTATATGCATATATAAGATTTTTACTTACTTTAAGAATGTGGATTTCTTTATATGTTCTAGCCAGTCTTTACCTAGATTTTAATATTAGCTCTAGTAGTTTGATTAGCATAGCAACCTACCAAGCTAATTATAAATGAAAACTACTTCTGATGTTTTATTGTATAAGAAAAAATAATGCTGAGTTTTAATGCTCATTTTTTAACATAAGCTTTTAAAAAATAAATGTTAATTTATGACAGTTAAAATTTTGTATTCACATAAACAAAGTGAATTGACTTTAGAAAAGGGAAGTTACTCAAATACAGTGGCATTCTATTGAAAATATTAACAGACAGTGACAAGTGGACCTAACTTAATCATTCATAAAACCTTCTCTTTGGAAATAGGACTTGAGTGGGAGTTAATTTTAGTTTTTTTCTTCCTATGCTTTATCATAGCTGTGCTCAGATCTTCCAAATAGGTGGCATATTTTCTGCTGACCTGCATATTTTTTACCTGAGGAAAATCCTTGAGCCATTATTTCATAATAGCTACCACCTCGTATTTGATACATTTGCATACATTTAGCTCAAATTATGCAGTCCGTTTGCCAAAATCTGAGTAAGAGTTGATCAGCATTTACTAATCTGGTTGTGGCTGGTGATATTATAATAAGGCTTTAGTCTTTTTAGTCTGTTTCTTATAGAATCCTGCCATTTGTTCCAGGTAAACATTTTATAGATGAACATTAATCAAATGCCTTTTAGGATTTCCACATGCCTTTATTGCTTTTTATTTTAAAGTACCTTCTTAGAATGCTTAAAATTGAGTTCCAATGACTAGCACTGCTTCTCAGGGGCACTGACAGTTTCCATTAGTATATTTCTCCTGCAGGATTTGTAGGAGTGTTTTAAGCTGATTTTTTTTCGAGGAGCTACTTAGGCAGGTGCAAAAGTAATTGCGGTTCTTGCCATTACTTTCAGTGGCAGAAACTGCAATTACTTTTGCACCAGCCTAATAGAATTTCGTTTTGGGAGAAGAGAAAAGTATTGTTATTAAATAGCAGTAACTACTATAAAGGAAATAAATAGGGCAGTGTTCCTTTATTCAGTTTGGTCTAATGGATTATTGAGATAAGAAAATAAGCAGTTAAACATGGTGAAACCCCGCCTCTACTAAAAATACAAAAATAAGCTGGGCGTGGTGGCAGGCGCCTGTAGTCCCAGCTGCTCGGGAGGTTGAGGCAGGAGAATGGCGTGAACCCAGGAAGCGGAGCTTGCAGTGAGCCGAGATCGGGCCACTGCACTCCAGCCTGGGCGACAGTGGGAGACTGTCTCAAAAAAAAAAAAAAAAAAAAAAAAAATAAGCAATTACACTATAGCAGTATACATGATAGGGAAAGTATAAAATGCATTTATAAGTATTTAATGCCTAGTGTGTTCCAGACACTGATCAAGATGCTGGGGGACTCTTCTTTCCAAAACTATATTTAGAATCCTCTCTCTTCTGAATTTCCGTAGCTGTAGTATGTTATCCCTTTATTCTCTCTTGTTCTCCATAAAAGCCATTCTCCACAGTGGCTCCTTGAATCCTTCTTCTGTCTCTCTGACATGGCATACAAGGCTTTTTGTGGCCTGGTCTCTGGCTGTTTCTCTGATATTTCATATATTTTCTATGATGACTGTGTTCCAGTCACATTTATTTTTCTATTTCTCTAACACAGATTATGCCCATCTTAGGTCTTTCTTAGTTCTTCTGCATAGACCTCTTCCTCCAGGTCCTTGCATCTTAGTTCTTCCCATTTAGATTTAAGCACAAATGTTGCCTTCTCATAGAGTATTCTCAGGTTACTCAATATAAAGTAGCCTCACAACCACATTATTCCACATTGTCTTATTTCCTTTATAGTAGTTATTATTTAAAATCATTTTGTTTATTTGTTGTTTGTTGTCTGCTTTCCCGCATAGAGTATAAGATTAGTTTATAGCTATTCAGTGGCTCATGTTTGTTGGAAGAATGAGTAAACGGAACATTGAAAGAATTGAAAGATGTACAGAGGGCATAGGGGATTGCAAAAATATAGGAAGTGTGGAGCCAAAGGAGGATTTTAAGTAGGAGGTAACATCAGTTCAATGAATATCTATTGAGAACTATGTGTCACGTATGTACTAGGCACTGGAGAACACATTTGTGTAAAAGATCCCCCCTGGTAGGGGAAATGGATAAAAATAGACTGGGGAGAATGGATAAAAAGAAAAAACACTAGAGGCAGTTAGGAGGCTTTTGCAATAATCCAGGTGAGAAATAATTGTGGGATGGTTTTGAGATATAACGATGGGCATGGATGGAAATTGATAGAATCCAGAAAGACTTGAGAGGAGACAGAACTGAGCAAACTTGGTGATTTGTTTGTAATTTTTTAAAAAGAAGGATTACTAAAATTTGGGTAGCTGGATGGAAGTTGAGCTGTAAGTAGAGATATAGAAGCTATCTGTATATAAATGACAGAACCATGGGTTTTAATGAGTGCCTATATGAAAGAACTATGAAAAACAAATTTCTACAGGATAAGTAGAAGAGATTTTAGCCAGAAGGATACTTGAAGAATCGGCCAAAAGGGAACAAATTAAAAGGGTATAGTGTTACGGACGACAAAGGAAAGGAGGTTTTATGAGAGGAAATGATCAACACAGTGAAATATTCCTGAGAGGGGAGGTTAAATAAAAACTGGTAACCCATGAAAGAGCAGTTTCACTTACATGGTGAAGAGTTTAGGCATTCCTAGAAAGTTAAAATATCGGTTAAGGAAGTAAAGACATCAAGTTAAGGAAAGAGCGTGACATGTGGATTCAATGTAGGGGTTTTTTTGGGTATATTAAGGATAAGAGCTTTCATAAATTGATGGTGAAGGGCAGATAGGGAGAGGTTGAAGGAAAAAATTGAGGTCAGGAGGAAGGAGTATAATGGAGAGTGGGAGGTGAAAATGGAACAAAATTGCTACAACATACTGATAACTGTTGAATCTGGGTAAGGGCATATTTTGGGTTTATAATACTATGATTTCTGATTAAAAATCTGTTTGAAAATTGCCATTATGTGTGTTTTTTTAAAAAGTGAACTAAGTGCCTTGATATATAAGGAAGAATCAGTTTTAAGTTGGTAGATGATAACAATTATTGGGAATAGAGTATGCCAACTGAGATATTCCTCAAAGGAGCAAGTTTTTTACACACAGAAATAGGAGGCTGCTCAAAGCCTTGGGGAAAACTTAGAATACTGTCCCTTTCCTCCTGATCCTGAGGTTTTGAGGTAAGGGAAAAAGGTGGTGATGTCATCAGGGTGTGACTGGTTTCAATTAAGGTATAGGAGAGAAGGGAATTGGTGAAAATAGTAAGGATTTAGAGGAAGTTCTCGGGAATGAGTTGTCCTTAAATAACAAAAGTATTTAGTTTTTTTTCGTTTTGTTTTGTGTTTTGTTCTGTTTTGTTTGAGATGGAGTCTCCCTCTGTTGCCCAGGCTGGAGAGCAGTGGTGCGATCTTGGCTCACTGCAAGCTCCGCCTCCCGGGTTCACGCCATTCTCCTGCCTCAGCCTCCTGAGTAGCTGGAACTACAGGCGCCCACCACCACGCCCGGCTAATTTTTTTTTGTATTTTTAGTAGAGACGGGGTTTCACCGTGTTAGCCAGGATGTTCTCCATCTCCTGACCTCGTGATCCGCCTGCCTTGGCCTCCCAAAGTCCCGGGATTACAGGCGTGAGCCACCGTGCCTGGCCAGGAATGGTATTTAATTTTTACTATAACTTTGTGAATTCAGTATCATTCAGTTATACACATTTTCAGTGAAAATACTTGGGGCAAACATTTTAGGTTATTATTCATGCGCATTCATATTTAAATCAAAGGACAATCAGTTAATGAGTATTGTGGTTACAGGACCTGGGATAGGTAGTAGGAGTGGGAATTGAGGAATGAGTATGACTTCATAAAATATTTCAAAGAAAACATAAAAAGACTTGGTAACATTTTTAAAAAGGGTATCCTCTAATAAATATAATATTAACAGTCATTCTTTTTTTTGGTTAAGAATAGAAAATTGTCAAAATCATCATTTCGTTTTAATAATGAACAAATACATTAAATATAACATGTGTAATATGTAGTTAATTGGTGGAGCAAGAAAGGTGTTATATAAACTAGTTACTTAGTGACTAGCAAAAAGAATTCATAGTTCCTGTAACTTGAAATTTGATGTTTAAAGAAACTGTAAATCAGAAATAAATTATTTATGGCCAAAACCTGCTTTTAAATTTAAGGATCATCAATGGGAAGCAGTTACTGTGCCAGAGGAAAAAGTACAAATATACAGCATTGAAGGTATTAAACTTGTTTTTTTCTAATAATTTTCTTAATTCTTACCATATGGAACAAATGTTACATCCTTTCTGGGTTAACAAAACAGACTAATGAAAGCAAAATCAATATTTTCAGAGGTTCACATTCAGAAATTCATCAAACACCTTGATCCCATGTTTCCCTACTAATCTCCCAGCTCTACCCCTGTACTTACCTCCTTCCCTGTCTAGTCTAAAACCAGTGATCCAGTTTGTCATTCTGGTCTCTATGTTTAAGGCTCCTGACCTTCCATCCCATTTGCTTGATTAAATCTGAATATCTGGTTTCTCCAATCCTATAACTGGAACTGCATAATGCTAGTGGACAAAATCAGACTAGTACTATTACAAATTTAGATATTAAGACATATTTTATCATTTCAATAGACATGTAATAATATCTCATGTTTTTTATTTGCATTTTTCCAATGACTAGTGATGCTGAGCACTTTTTCATGTGCTTTCTGGCCATTCATATATTTTCCTTTGTAAAGTATATATTTTAAATATTTTGTTCATTTTTTATTGGACTATCTAGTTCTTAGGTATCCTAGATTCCACTCCTTTGACATATATATGTTCTATGTTTTCTCCAAAATTGTATCTTGCTTATTCATTTTCTTAATGATATCTGGTGAGCAGTTTTAAATTTTGAAATCTACTTGATCTATTTTTATGGTTATTGCTTTCCGTGACCCAAAAAATTTTTGTCGACTCTTAAATCACTAAGATGTTCTATTATTTTTCCACAAAAATTTTATAGTTTTAGCTTTTATGTTTAGGAGTATTATAATCTCAAATTAATATTTGATTAAGGTATGATGCAGAGATTGGAGGTTCATTTTTTCATATAGATATGCAGTTATTACGGGATTATTTGCTGTAAAGGCTTTTCTTTTCCATTGGATTTCTTTGGTTTCTTTGTTGAAAATCATGACTCTGTAATAGTGTGTCTATTTCTTGGTCCTCCAATCTGTTCTATTTATCATAGGTCTACTTTTCTTTATGTCAGTACCACACTGTTTTGATTATGGTAGATTTGTGGTTAGTCTTGAAGTCAGTCAGTATAAGTCTTCCAACATTGTGGTTTTTTAAAATATTGTTTTGGAAATTATAGGCCTTTTGAGCTTCTATATAAATTTTAGAATTGGTTTATCAATTGCTTGCTGGAATTATGACTCAGGTTTTAGATCAATATGGGGAGAAATAACATGTTAACAGTCATAACTAGTTTATAAACATGGTGTATCTCTCCATTTGTTTAGGTCTTTGATTTCTCTCAACAGCGTTTCATAGTTTTCATTGTATAAGTCTTTTGATGAATTTGTTCCCAAGTATTCAGTCTATATGTTTATAAATAGAATTGATCTTTAATTTTACCAGTCATGGGATCTGCAAAAGAGGTAGTTTTACTACTTTCTTTCTGATCCTTATGCACTCCCTCCCTCCTTTCCTTTTGTTGCTTTATTGCAATGTATAGAACCTCCAGTGCAATGTTGAATAGAAGCGATAAAAGTGGACATCTTTGCCTACTTCCCAATCTTTGCTTAGGAAAGAACATTCAGTATTTTACCATTAAGTATAATGTTAGCCAAAAGTCTTTTGTAGAGATAACCTTCATCAGATTAAGGACGTTGATAACTCTTCATATTTGTCTATGCACATGAAACCATCATGGCAATTAAGTTAATAAACATATCACCCCCAAAATTTCTTTGTACTTCTTTTAATCTATCCATCCTTGTACTCTACCCCCAGGCAATTACTGATGTTTTCTTTGATACATTTACATTTTCTAGAGTTTATATAAATGGAATCATACAGTACGTAGCAATTTTTGTCCAGCTTCTTTCTTTTAGAACACTTTTTTAAAAAAAGATTCAAGCATGTTGCATGTATCAGTAGTTTATTCTTTTTATTGCTGAGTGTTAGTCCATTGTATAGATATACTTCAACTGGTTTCTGTAGTCACCTGTTAGTGAGCATTTGTAATGTTCCCAGTTTTTAGCTATTATGAAATGCTGCTGTAAATATTCATTTATAATTAATTACTTCTGAAAATATGTTTTTATTTCTCAGGTAAATACTAAGAAGTTCAGTGGTTAGTTCAGACCCATAGGCATATGATTAGCTTTTGAAGAAACTTCTAAAGTGTTGTCCAAAGTGATTTTACCGTTTTATATTTTCACTATCAGTTTATAAGACTTCCATTTGTTCTACATCCTTTCTAACACTTCTTATGGTCAGTCCCTCCTACCATCTTGCCTTGTTGCACTGGCTATATAATTTTCAGTACAATGTTAGTAGAAATTAAAAGAGCAGACATATTTGCTTAGTTTATGATGTTGGTGTTGAGGGTGAAGGGGATTATTTTTTCTTCTATAATTATTTCATGGTGACAATTTCTCTTGTTAATTCAGGTAAGCTAGTTATTTATATGGCACTTTCCCATCTCTCTCTTGCTCCCTCTCTTGCCATGTGATATGCCTACTCCCCTTTTGCCTTCTGCAATGATTAAAAGCTTCCTGAGTCCCTCATCAGAGGCAAATACTGGCACCATGCTTCCTGTACAGCCTGCAGAACTATGAGCCAAATAAATCTTTTTTTATAAGTTTCCCACCCTCAGGTGTTCCATTATAGCAGACTAATACAGACTAATATAGTCTTCTTCTAAAAAGATCTGTTGTTTCCTCTCTCGATCAGTCATATGTTGTTGCCTCTATGGATGTCAAGTAATTTTATGATAGATAATGCATATACAGGAACAATAGATGCTCCAGATAATCCTTCCACCAGAAGAGTTTCTTTTTTCTTCTTAGGCAGAGGGGCTGAAGGACTGATCCAGTCATGGATGTTGGTCTGTGTTTAGTTCTAGTTTTAAATTTACTCTTTGTCTTGTTTGCCTCTATTACTCAGGTGTGGCCATCCCAGTCTGTTGATGATGAGCCTATTAGATTTGTGTCTTCTGAACCTGAGAGACTGTGGAAGATACAGTTCTGCCTCTTAGAGGTTTCCAGCTCAGCTCTCGAGCCGTTCACTCTACTCAGTCCAAAATCTGGCAGATATTTTGAACGGAACACTGAGTATATGCCTGAGGATGATACCTGTATCAGGCAGTACATTGATTCCAAGCCCATGAGACTATAAGAGAGTTAACTGCCTTTTATCAGGTTTGGTCCAGCTCCTTGTGCTGCCCCAGAATGAAGGGAAAATTAGTTATGCCTTTAAAGCTTTTAAGTGTCCTATTTGTTACTCCAGGCATTACTGCTCACTAAATACTTGCTTGTCTTCTTTTCTCCAGCAGAGGTTCTCTTCTTAAGCCTACAAACAGAATTAGCAAATTTCCTTAGAGAAAAAAAGGCCAGAGATCTTGTTACATGTACAGCTCTCTGACACCTTTAAACATATGATATTTTAATCCTTCTGATTTTTTAAAACAGGATATTAGCCTGCCACAATATCCTACATTTTCCCCAGAAGTGGAAGTCTCCAGCTTCCAACTTTGGACTCTCACTGCTACTTGGCAGTCTTCCATGTCCATAGTTGCCATCCCTCTCCAGTTGTCTAACAGCTGCTATTTAAATTTTTAAGTTATCCTTAACCTTGCCTTTTTTGCTTTCACTATGATGTGGTAATTCAGAAGAACATGAATTTTTCAGGTAAGAATACTTACACATTTTGACCCTCCGTCTCCAAACATCTTTGTATCTGTATCCTCCTTTATCTCTCCTGTAAACAGAAGATATTTGTCTACTCTTGTTGAAGGGTAATTTCTCCAAGTTCTCCACACACATTCTCCAAGTCTTTGCTCCATCAGTTCATATTTTTTGTATCTTCCTCCTCTCTCTCAGTACCTCTTTTCTCTCAGTATATCAATGGGCTCAAATGTCTACATCATAAAACAAAAAGCCTACTTTTATCCTATGTCTTCCTGAAGCTATCTTTTTCTCCCCATTCATAGCTAATTTTGAGAGAATAGTTTTTACTCTTTCCTTCTCTTCCTATTCATTCTTATGTTATAAAATCTTGACATATTGATATCCATAAATACTTGGATTTTATAGCAAGCAACAAAACAAAGTTTTCTTGTATCTCAGTAACACTAACTAATTAAAAAGGAAACCAAGCCATTATATAGTCCAGACAGAGCAAATATCAGGAATTTCAACAAAGCAATCATTAAAATATAACAAATATTCATAAATTTCTATGTAAGTAGCCATAACATAGGTAGACAAATTTTTGTACAAATAGGCACAAAGCATTCAGCAAAATAATAAATTTGAAGTAGTTCTAATACCATGTGCAAGCAAGGAGTTAAAGCAAATATTACATTTAATATAATTTACAGTAAGCTATAGAAAAAAAGTCAAAAGCATATCAGAGGAATAAAACAATCAGCAGCAATAGACCTAAGAATTACAAATGTTTTAATTTTCATCAAAACATGAAACATCATTTTTAAAGCCACCTAAATTTGCATCTCTGAAACCTGAAAACTTGTCACTGTTTAACTTTTAAAAAACTACTAGCGCTCTTTGAGTTTGAAACTATGGTTACCACTTTCAAGCAATTGTTAATTCTTAGTACCTTCAAAGGTCATTACTGTGAAAGTTTTATGAGCATATATTTGCAAAAGCAAATAAAACATTTTCTGCTTGGGCAGGCCTCATAAGAATCAGGACATTTCATAGCCTATAGGACATTTGTCCCTTAGGCCACATCATGGCGTGGCCTGCAGAGCTTTTTCAGATGTAGAGATAAATTTCCCTACTTTGTGTGATCCTGCTCCTTCAGAGTGTTTTTCTCTTGCCCGAAAGTACATTGTGGGCAGGGTTGGAGACTTTTCATTCAGCAATAGAATTCCTGCCACAAGTAGGACACGAGCATGGTGGCCTCTGGTCTATAATACAGGTGCATTTATTAGGGGCCAGGTAATTTTTTGGTAACTTTTGTAGGGAGGGAGAGTGTGACTATTTCTTATAAGCTGGTACTTGCTGTATTCTCTGTTTACTGGATTGGTAAGTTCATTGAGGCCAAGTGCTAGATCCTTCTCACCTCACAATCTCCTGACACTTAATTTTTGTCAAATGTTGTTTATTGTCAGCATGTTATAACAACTGTGGATTTAATAGAAATGTTTATATGTGTATGTCTAGAAATATGGTAATTATATGGAATTAAAGTTATTGTTTTTGTTTGCCTTTTTTTAAATTAAGAAAATAGTATTCTCAGATGTGTTCAAGGAATATTTTATTAAGAATTTGTTAGAGTCCAGAATGTATTTAGGATTCTATCTTATTAGTTATAGCCATATCCTGTATTTTATAGATAAGAACACTGAGACTAGGAAAGCTAAATTGACTTGATTGATTTACATAGGTAAGTAGTGCCAGAATTGATTAATTTAAACACTGTTCAATATTGAGAATTTGAATTTTGATTCAATTAATCTGCTACATCCATGTCTTATTTATAGTATACTTGCAGAGTAGTATCATAGAAACGTAAACTAATCAGTGTTGTTTCTATACAGTGAGAGAATCAAAGAAGCTACTGACAATAATTCTGAAAAATACAGTAAAAATTAGCAAAAGAGAAGGGAAAGAATTGCTTTTGTATTTTGACGCATCACTAGAAATCACTAATGTAACTCAAAAAATTTTTGGTGCAACTAAACATAGGGTAAGTCTTTAAACTTAATAAATATTTACTATTTTCATAATTCTGGAAACAGTTTGGCGTTATAAGTTTTATTGCGTTTTTTCCTTTCTAGAATTCTTAAAATGTAGATTTTAGTTCTTTAAATTTGTACTGTTGAAGAGTCATCAGCTTGTTAGTCATATCTATTGAGATACCCATTACAAAGTATCTCAGATGACAAAATTAGCAGCAGCTGCTCAAAACATTTAATGAATTTCTGCCAGGTGTTTAAAAAGTAAAATGAGAGAAAACACTGTTTTCAAGATCTTAAACATCGTGAGAATTACACACATGATACATCAGAAGAAGTAAATAATGGCATAGGGAACATGAGTTGTAGACATTGAAGAAAGAGAATGCTCATAAAGAGTCAGGTTTGGAGGTTAGCATTGTTATGGATATGGGACTTGAAATGGCCTTTGAAGTTGAAGGAAAGCATTTAGATAAAATACTTTCCAGGCATGTGGAAGACATTATGAGCCAAATATTGTTTAACTGAGAATCTAAGGTGACAATTCATGTGATGTTTTGGGGAGATATTCAATTGACAAATTTGAATAGTGCAAAAGATTTATGTTGCATAATATTAGATGTATTTGTGAGGAACCCTTGTTCCTCACAAATGACAAGCTAAGGTGACTGGTTAAAGGGGAGTAATTGAAGTGTTCTGAGAAGGTATTCATATATGCAAAGTAATAATTTGGGATATTTGGCAATTTTGGAAGAAAACAGGAAATAATTACATTAAATGGAAATAAAATGACATATGAAAAAGTGGAAAGAAAATGAAGAAAATGTCATCACTGTGAATTGATTTAATTTTAGGAATCTATCAGAAAACAAGGTATTTCAGTTGCCAAAACGTCGCTGCATATACTTTTTGACGCAAGTGGATCACAGGTATGTCTCAGACTTACTTGATTTTTATCACTGGGCTAAGTTTAACCATAACTAATGGAACAGTAATAAAGGTGTTGTTGGAGGGTGAATATATAGAAAACAAATGGTCTCAATATAAACAGTACCCCAATAAAATGTATATGATGTTTAAACATGTTATTAATGATAATTTTAGTGTAAAGAGTAGGGTTATTAATAAATATCAGTTTAGTAACTTTAAAACTTTAAAAAAGCAGTAAATGTCCTTCCATTAATGTCAAGCTTCTTTTATGTCTATTAGAGTTTGAAAAAATGGATACTTTTTATTGGATCACTTTGTAAAAATTATAACAGCACATGGATAGAAAAGGGAAATAATTGAATATGTGAGATGAGTAGGAGCTTAAGACATCCAGTGATTGTTGATTACTTTCTGTGGTTTGCAGTTTTAAATACTTTTTTTTTCATATTCTCCAACAGATTCTAGTGCCAGAAAGTCAAATCTCACCAGTCGGAGAAGAGCTCGTTAGTTTAAAGGAAAAATCAAAGTCCCCAAAGGAATTTGCTAAACCTTCAAAATATATCAAAAACAGTGACAAAGGGAATAGAAATAATAGTCAGCTTGAGGTAAAGATGGTGTCAAAATACTGGCTTATAAAACTACCATTGATCAAATCACTGTTATATATGAGTACTGAAAGAAGCATCTAGAATTTATATATTATTGGCCTTGATCAATCACATTTCAGAGTGTTTCTCCTACCTTTGACAAATGCAAACAAAAGATAGTGTGTGTCTTAGCAAATTGTGTACATGTATAGGGGTTAGAACAAGACATACTTTACAGTTGTAAATTGCAGATTAGAGATAGATAAGATAACCTTCTTGAATGTATCCTTTTTGTTCTATAATTGCATTTGGCTATAATGTAGAATAGAAATGTATAATGTTCTGTTTATTTGCATGAGGAAAAAAAAAAGTATGAGGTTCTTTCTTTTACTCCTTTTCTTTTCCATTGAAGGACCTCCTCTAGGTCACATCCAAGAGAATAATTTCTCATAAATGGAACCCCTACCACCATACCTTGCTGTGACACTTGACATTGTCGATAGCCCCCTGTTTCTTAAGGTCCGCTCCTTCAGCTTCCATTGTATACCACGGTTCCCTTTCTGCTTCTATTACTACATTAGAAAAACTTTCTCTCCATACCTCTTGGTAGGTTTGCTCTAAACCCAAAACCTTGATATCCAGCTTTTGGAACATCTTGTTGCCTTCTTTCTTAGAGAGCTTCCTTCATGTTCATAATGTGAGCTCTTAAAATGTAGCAGACTTTTCTTCAAAATTCTATAGCTGCATCTCTACTTGTTTTTCTGTATTTCCATTTGTATGTCTCTCCAAGACCTTTCCTGAAGTCTAAGCTCAAACATTTTATCTTTTGACTAAAATCTGCATCTGTCTGTATTTCAGTAATACTACTGTTCATTTTTTTTGGCAATATGCTTTATTTCAGCCTCTTCTCCCCTTATATCTGGAACCAAGGTGCTTGTGATTATTCTTTCATAGTATCTGTGTCTCACATCCATTCTTTCTTGTTTCATCTGCCATTACTCATCTCAGCACACTTAGGTTAATACAGTAGCCTCCTCGTAGGACTTTGTCACCACTGTTTTATCCTATGAGATACCTGAAAAATCAGCGATTTTCCTTAAATATCAGTATCTTGATAGCATTCTTCTACTCCAAAAGTTTTGTGATTTCTGTGTTCATCCCACTGACTGAATAAATTTTGGCTCAGTTCTGAGACTTTCTATAATTTAATTTTACCTTTTCTATTAAAACTGTAGTATGTATTCTCCCCTTTTGTAAGGTAGTTTGCTTTACTGTCTCTTTGCATGCCATGTTCATTCATGCCTCTAGATCTTCATTAACATTATTTATTTTTTTACCTTTACCCATCTAAAGCATACTTAGATTTGCAAGTCTTGTTCATTTTCACTTTCTCTTTTTTTGCTTTCCTTTTTAAAACATTTTACATATCTTTTTTTTGTAGGAAGTCTTTTATTTAAGTTCTGGGATACATGTGCAGAACATGCAAGTTTGTTACATAGGTATACACGTGCCAGGGTGGTTTGCTGCACCCATCAACCTGTCATCTACATTAGGTATTTCTCCTAATGTTATCCCTCCCCTAGGCCCCCACCCCGCAACAGGTCCCAGTGTGTGATGTTCTTCTCCCTGTGTTCATGTGTTCTTAACTCCCACTTATGAGTGAGAACATGGGGTGTTTGGTTTTCTGTTCTTGTGTTAGTTTGCTGAGAATGATGGTTTCCAGCTTCATCCATGTGCCAGCAAAAGACATGAACTCATCCTTTTTATGGCTGCATAGTATTCCATGATGTATATGTGCCACATTTTCTTTATCCAGTCTATCATTGATGGGCATTTGGGTTGGTTCTAAGTCTTTGCTATTGTGAATAATGCTGCAATAAACATACCTGTGCATGTGTCTTTATGTTAGAATGATTTATAATCCTTTCGGTATATACCCAGTAATGGGATTTGCTGAGTCAAATGGTATTTCTGGTTCTAGATCCTTGAGGAATCACCACACTGTCTTCCACTTTCTTTCTTTTTATTTAATTTTTGAGATGGAGTCTCGTTCTGTCACACAGGCTGGAGTGCAGTGGTGCAATCTCGGCTCACTGCAACCTCCGCCTCCCAGAACCTCTGCTTCTTGGGTTCAAGTGATTCTCCTGCCTCAGATTCCCAAGGAGCTGGGATTATAGGCACCTGCCACCACACCTGGCTAATTTTTGTTTTTGTTTTTGTTTGTTGTTGTTGTTTTAGTAGAGACAGGGTTTCCTTGTTAGCCAGGCTGGTCTCGAACTCCTGACCTCAGGTGATCTGCCCTTCTCGGCCTCCCAAAGTGCTGGGATTACAGGCATGAGCCACTGCACCCGGCCCATTTTTTGATTTCTTCGTGGAGCTTTGCCTGATTATTTCAGTTTTTACTAATCTCTCACCTTTACGTAACTATAACTCTCACAGGCACTTCCATATATTTTGGCATGTTTATGTTACTATTTTGTTTTTTAGTCTTTTGTTCTCAATTAAAAGTGTCATTTATTTCCCCGAGATAATTAGCACATGAAAGCTATTTTTGGTGTCTTTATATCAGAATCATGTTGGGTGCTTATTAACAATGCTGATTCTTAGCCCCACCTTAAATCTGTTGAATCTTAAACTCTTGGAAAGGTCTTAAGCACACCAAAGTTCGAAAAACACCATACTACTGTTAAATACCTGTGCTCTGTTTTCAATAAGGATGAACTGTTTGAGGCATTTATATGAATAAGTAACTGTTCAGGTTCCATTCACTATGCCACTAAAAACTTAATTTCTCTAAGAAAAATCTGTTGGCTCAGAAGCTTGTTTTCTAGTTAATCTTAGAATTTTCTTTTATCTTATCCTTTCCATCCTTCCCTCACGTTTCATATACATACCCACTCACAACTGTATCATTTTTTCCCCTGTTCTAGGGACAGGTGCCTTAAAACCAGCTCTTTTATGCCTCTATGCAGTATGTCACCATCTACTTCTTAATATGGCATCCTCTGAAACTCCTGTCTCTTGTAGTCCCTGCCTCTGCTTATCTACTTCTGTCCCTCTTATAAATTAGTGTGAGATGATATGGGAGAAAACAAATCTTTATTGGAACCACTAGATTATGTGCCACTGAATCTATGAATTCCTGCAGCTACTTCACTCCAGTTTAGTCTTCACAGATTATTAGTACAATTTTCAAAAATGTGTGAATGTTTTGAAGAAAGCTTAACATGAAAGCACTCAAAATAATTTCATATAAATATGTAATCCAAACATTATCCTCATGATATAGAATAGGAAATTGCAAGCTATGGTTAACTAGATAAACTCAATATTGATAAAATATTTTCAGCTAGCATATAAAGGTACTGTACTTCATAGGCATGGATATTCTATAAATATTCTTTAAAACAATGTTCCTTACTTGTTTTAGCTACTTATTTAATACCAAACATGAAGATGAACCTTTCATATCAGCCTAAAACATGGAAATTTATGAATATTGTGTTGTTTATTTAAAAAACATATATCTTTGGCATGTATCAAGGCAAAATGTTATAAGTAAAATTGTAGGATATTTAATTTCAAAAAGACTGTGTTTACAGTGGTTGTTTTTCATCGTGGTTTCAGAAAACTACTCCTAGCAAAAGAAAAATGTCTGAAGCATCAATGATTGTTTCTGGTGCAGATAGATACACTATGAGAAGTCCAGTGCTTTTCAGCAACACATGTAAGTTTTATAGTTTTAAAAGATTTCTAACAATTATTTTAAAGGAGGCATTTTTTAATTTAAGGCAATTCTGAACATAATTTACATAAAGGATAAGTTTGGTGTATAAAAATTGATAAAATATGAACCACAAATGTCTTCTAATGGGAAGAAAAGTATAATGCTAACATATGAACAGAACAGTGTTGAAAATACTAATATTCGACATTAATAATTTATTATAATTTAAGCAGGACACAGCATATCTTACTGGTTAAAACACTGAATTAACCAGGCCAGGTGGACTTAGCTCCCCACTTCCAGCTGTGTACTTTGTACAGATATCCTCTAGCTAAATTTAGAACCAGTTTTTTTTTCTATAAGTGGCACTTAAGTATCTATCTTATCAAGTTGTTTAGAGGATTAAATAAAAATCACTCATTTAATAAGTTACCTAGTGAAACTTTAAACAGTGCCTGATACATACTAAGAGCTAAATAAAAGTTTTAAAAAACCTGATACTGTGTACTAGTTAAAGTCTTAGTCTATATGACAACTTAACATTGACCTTCTGTTCTAAAAATCTTGTTGCCTACTGGCCAATTGCTTAGTATCTGACAGGCTCCCCAAATGTAATAGGTCCAAAATTAAATTAATCTTTCCACCCTTCCTGCAAATTTTTCCTTCACTTATTATCTTGGTAGATGGCATCTATATTCACTTAATTATCTAAGCCAGAAACCTGGGAACCATCTAAGAATGTTCGTTTCTTACCTTTCTCATTGGAAAAGTACCTCAATAATAGCAATAGGTAAAAAAAGAAAAATCTGCAATCCTTGTCCTCCTTTTTAGCAATACCACCACGAAGAAGAAGAATTAAACCACCACTGCAAATGACGAGCTCTGCAGAGAAACCTAGTGTTTCTCAAACATCAGAAAATAGAGTGGATAATGCTGCATCACTGAAATCTAGATCATCAGAAGGAAGACATAGAAGAGATAATATAGACAAAGTAACTTTACCTTGAAAGTATTTTAAAAATATTTTTTCAAGTAATTGTGGAAATATGTATTGAGCTAACTCCTTTTGCAAGCTGCAAGTGTCTCATTTTGTTTAAAGCATTACCTTTTTTCCCCTAAATATTTATTGCCCTTGAAAGTAGGGTCCTTCTGGCATATGACTCATTTACTGTGCTTACAATAAAAGTTATGAATATTAATTCACTATAACTTGATTTACACATTTGGGAGCATAAATGAACCTGCCATAATTATTTAGTTGATTATACAAATTGGTGACTACTATGGGGAAGACTCTGGTATAGGAATGCGAAGTACAAGTGGACTGTGTCCTTAAGTTTCTCAAAATTTAGCATGAAAATTAGATACTAAGTTACATAAGCATTCTCAGATTTACACATATAGGATGCAGTAGGAACCAAGTTAGAGGGTCAAGTGCCTAACCCCATAGCTAGAGGTGAGGGTGAAGATCAGGAGATGCTTTTTAAGAAAATATGGAGAATGAATTGACTTTTGAAAGGTCAATAAAGAGTCAAATGGATATTGAGGAGAAGGGCATTTGTTCCAGGTAGTTGAAAAGACAAAGCAGGAATGGATAAGAGAGAATAGTTTCTTGGAGAAACAGGAGGTGATCAGCGATGCAGATAAGCTTGTAAAGGAGGAACATCTAATAGCTTTTGTTTTTTCTGAAGTGTGAAGATGGTGAGTTTCTCCTGGAGATCTGTTGAAGTACAGGGTTCAGGGACATGTAAAGCTATGTGCAAGGTAATGGAGAGGCCTAAGAATAAGTGTTAGACAATGTTGACCCAGTTTAAATATGACTATGAATTTTATAGCATAAATATGTTCATAAATATGTACAATTTTCTCAAAGCTTAGTAGTCTTGGTGTTAATAGTAAGATGAGAACAGATGATGGATTCTATTTTTTTAATTTAAATGGGTATGTGGTAGAAAGATAAAGGGTATGAGAGTTGAAGATATTAAAAGAAAATAGTCAAAGTAATGGTTCAAGTTGTCTAAGTGTTTCTTAATAAGGGGATTATTTTTCAGTTGTGCGACATGGTCCTAAATGTTGTAGGATGATAAGCATCCTAGCTAGGATTGTGCTTACCTATTGTCAGGAGAACCCCTCTGTCATTGTGACAACCCAAACCACACCTGCATATTTCCATAATGTTCCCCTCCTAGTGTGGAGAATCACTGGCTAGAGTAAGAAGGAAAGGCAGCCAGGATGAGGCAAAATAGCTTAGACTAAAGGGAATATTTTTCTGATAATAGTGGCAGATTTGTATTTGATCTGGATTAAGTGTTATCTTTGGCTATGGAAATAGGGAAGCTTGCTGTAGGAAAGAAGTTACCTGGGTAATGCAATAGATATTGTTATAAATAAAAAACTTAGCTAAACAAAAATCGTCCTCTTCGATATCTGATGATAATTCTGAAGAAACAGGAAAAGTGAAATATAAGAAAGAAAGAATGGACCATATCAAAATAGATAAAGCAGGCTATGTAATCAACAGCAGCAGGAGAGATTCCTCATGGAGAGTCTAGAAATTGTCAGTTACAGATGAAAACTGAATTATTATGCTAGCTATGGATGTGATCAGAAAATTTATGCAATATTCTGCCTCGTCTGCAGTGACAGTTTTCTTCTTGTGTTTCAGGATAGGGAATATTCAAAAACGGGCATAACGTTTATGAAATATATAAAAATAGTATCCAACTTTTCATATCAAGGCAGATTTGTTTTAAAAGACTCAAACCTTAATACTGTAACATTTAGGTTTTCATATAACATCTTAAGTTTACGTTAACCTGTTTCCTGTGTTTACAGCATATCAAAACTGCTAAGTGTGTAGAAAACACAGAAAATAAGAATGTTGAATTCCCAAACCAAAATTTTAGTAAGTACCTTGTGGTTTAATTTAGTCATTTTTTTAAGAAAATGTATATACTTCTCCCTGTATTACCATTTAACCCCACTGGCTTTCATTGATTTGAAAAAGATTTACAAAGAATTTGTTTGACTTTGTGCAAGGAATTTTTGAGGTTACAAGGAAATATACCACCTTTGTTCCCCAGAAGTTTGGGTTTAAGAGAGAGGATGCAAAATCGATCAATCCGTTCATCCCAATATGTGAACCTTTATAGATTTCTATACTAACCTCCCTATCCCCCTGCCAACTGCATGAAAAAAATGAAAATATTATAATATTTGTTTTATTTAGGTGAACTCCAGGATGTTATACCAGATTCACAGGCAGCGGAAAAAAGAGATCATACTATGTAAGTATGAGAAAACCATCAAATCATTTAGTCTATACTAATGCTGTTTTCAGTGAATGTAACAGATTTGGAGGAAAAGGACTGTATATGATTAGAATTAGTATTAATCATCTCTCAAGTGTTATGACAGCACAATGGGGAATTATGTATATGGTTTTTTCCCCATGTGGTCCAATATAACTCTTTTCAAGTGGAGAGACTTAAAATGAATGAGATTTTTAAAATGTATAAACAATGAATGTGTAGAAATATAACAATATGTAGAAATTAATTAATGTGTAGAAATATAAATATACAGTAGAACTGTAAGATAAGATAAATTTCCACATAATTTTCACATAAGTAATCGCTTTCAGTAAACGTTGACTACATTAAAAATCAAGGTCTTAAAGTCACAGGCTAATGTTTTGTAACATTAAGCAAATTAATTTATTTTCTAGATTACCTGGTGTTTTAGACAACATCTGTGGAAATAAAATACACAGCAAATGGGCATGTTGGACACCTGTAACAAACATTGAACTATGTAATAACCAAAGAGCAAGTACTTCGTCAGGAGACACATTGAATCAAGGTGAAACTTAGTTTTATCTATATGTAATAGTTCAGTGTTAATTTCCTCAAATGTCTAACAAGTATTAAAACAAATTTAACAAATTTTACATATGTCAACTTATTAATTTAAAAAGAATTAATTTCTCATTTTCCCCAATAGATATTGTTATAAATAAAAAACTTACTAAACAAAAATCATCCTCTTCAATATCTGATCATAATTCTGAAGGAACAGGAAAAGTGAAATATAAGAAAGAACAAACCGACCATATCAAAATAGATAAAGCAGAAGTAGAAGTTTGCAAGAAACACAATCAGCAACAAAATCATCCTAAATATTCAGGGCAGAAAAATACTGAAAATGCCAAGCAGAGTGATTGGCCTGTTGAATCTGAAACTACTTTTAAATCGGTTCTCCTAAATAAGACAATTGAAGAATCGCTGATATATAGGAAGAAATACATATTGTCAAAAGATGTGAATACTGCTACTTGCGATAAAAATCCATCTGCTAGCAAAAATGTGCAAAGTCATAGAAAAGCAGAGAAAGAATTGACTTCTGAGCTTAATTCCTGGGATTCGAAACAAAAAAAAATGGTGAGCTTTCAATGTGTTTTGATTTCTGCATATCCATAAGATGCCTACTTGATAACATAAGAAAGAAAGAAACTTGATTAATTGCTACACATTTAACATGTGTAATACCTTGTTTAATTCAGTGCCCAGACTCTCAGAATTCCTCACTCACCTCTCCCTTGTCGTAGCTCTGATAGAACAGTACTAGGTGCATATCAGACATGTAAATATGTGTAGAATTAATGAACCATGCAGTTCCTGTCTCTTCTTTTTAGGTTCCTCCCACTCTTTCCTTTTGACTTGGATATAGAACTGTTTGTACATTTCTTATAATTCCTACCTTTCTTTTTAATAAATGGTTTTTTTTTCTCTCTTTGACTGTAACCATAGACTGTTTTATTCAACATTTGTTTTCCTGCATGTCCTAGCACAGCCTTTATACACAGTAGCATCTCAAACATTTTTTGGATGAATGCATTTAACCTTGACAAGGTTTTGCAAGAAAGTATGTGAATGGGTTAGAAGAGACTGTCTTCTATTGTAACTGTTACTCATCATTATTAGAGCTCCCACTTTCTTTTTCAGATTAATCATCTCTGGAGAACATCTCTAAGACATTTTTAGCTACTTTGCCACCAGACTTCCAGGGAAGAAAATATTACTTTTTTGTAACAGTTACGGGTAAATCATTTTTTCTTAACTATCAAAATGCAGATTAAGAAAAATTTTTTAATTAGAATACATTTCCACTGCAGGTAATGCAATCTGCTTTTTGATATTTCTGAAATAATCCAGGTTTTATAGGCTTTTATTTTCATTTATCTTCTGTAGTAATGCTGATACCTGGGAAGCCAAATTTCTAGAGTCAATGTAAAATGTTCACACAATGTAACCTCTCAATGTGCAAATTATATTTAAAAGATAATTTGCAATTGTATATAATTAGGCATTATTTAATTTGTCTTGACCAGCCTCCTTTAAAATATTTTTTACACCTGCAGCTCACTTTTTGTGCCTAATTTGGCTGTTTTCTTCTTTAATCATATTCTTTTGGGTCCCTTTTTTTCTTGGGTCCTAATATGTTATTTTCTCTTTCTCATCTTAGCTGCTATTTACTTCCCTCAGTCCCAGGGGAAATAAGGTTCTTTTTGTCCGAACAAAGATCTGTCTTTAAATTTAAATTTTAAATTGCTTTCTTTGGTATTTAGAATAATTTCACATAATTTCCCTGAGCTAGTCATTTTTTTTTTCTGGGAGCACAAAACCTAATAATCTTTTCTAAGCTGTGCTCTGATTTTTAAAAAAATCAACTTCCTGTTTTCAGAAATTGTCTTCAGTCCTTCATAGAGTCACTACCTGTATCCTATTTAGAATTTCCCACCAGTTCATGAATCACTGTCTCTACCTACCTACCTACCTACCTACCTACTTACCTACCTACCTATCTACCTATTTATTTATTTATTATACTTTAAGTTCTGGGGTACATGTGCAGAACGTGCAGTTTTGTTACATAGGTATACATGTGCCATGGTGGTTTGCAGCACCCATCAACCCATCATCTACATTAGGTATTTCTCCTAATGCTATCCCTCCCCTAGGCCTCCACCCCCCAACAGGCCCCAGTGTGTGATGTTCACCTCCCTGTGTCCATGTGTTCTTATTATTCAACTCCCACTTATGAGTGAGAACATGTGGTGTTTGATTTTCTGTTCTTGTGTTAGTTTGCTGAGAATGATGGTTTCCAGCTTCATCTATGTGCCAGCAAAGGACATGAACTCATCCTTTTTTATGGCTGCATAGTATTCCATGGTGTATAATGCCACGTTTTCTTTATCCAGTCTATCATTGATGGGCATTTGGGTTGGTTCTAAGTCTTTGCTATTGTGAATAGTGCCGCAGTAAACATACATGTGCATGTGTCTTTATAGTAGAATGATTTATAATCCTTTGGGTATATACCCAGTAATGGGATTGCTGGGCCAAATGGTATTTCTGGTTCTAGATCCTTGAGGAATCACTGTCTTCCACAACGGTTGAACAAATTTACACTCCCAACAGTGTAAAAGCATTCCTATTTCTCCACATCCTCTCCAGCATTTGTTGTTTCCTTACTTTTTAATGATCATCATTCTAACTGGTGCTAGATGATAACTGTCTTCTAAGGTAGCCATCTGTCTGATACTGTCTTTCTACTTATTGGATCACCCCAGAGCAACCTTGGTAGTTCAGTGGCACAGATTTCCCAGGCTGGCTCCAATTATACTGGAATTTCTGAAATCATACAGTATTTTGGAGAAGGTTCATTTTTGGTACATTTCTATCAAGACAAGTAAACCACTCCGATAATCTTAAGGGGACATTAATAACTTAGTACCTATTATATATAAGAACATATGGACTTAAAAATGGTTAAAATAGTAAATTTTGTGTTTACTAGATTTTTGTGTATATTACTACAACTAAAAAACCTATATATGCCTGATAACCAGAGAAAAGTAAATATAAAATCAGGAGACCTCATATCTTTAAGAATACTATTGGACTTTATTAAAACTAAGTTATCTAAATTATGCTGAGAATAATTCTTATTTTGTAGTCCTTTTACTTTTAAAAAAAATCATTTTTGGAGCAATTTTAGTCCCAAAAATGAGTAGAAAGTATACAGACTCCTCGTATACCCATTTACCCATTCCCCTATTATTAACATCTTGCATCACTGTGGTACATTTGGTAGAATTGATGAGTCATTATTGATACATAATGATTATTAACTCAAGTGCTTAGTTTACATTAGGCTTCATGCTTTGTTGTACATTCTGTGTGTTTTGACAAATATGTAGTGAAGTGACATATCTACCATTACAGTATTGCACAGAATAGCTTCAGTGCCATACCATTCCCCTGTGCTCCACTTGTTTGTTCTTTCAACTAGGAATGTATTAAATTTATAGATCGTTAGGAAGAACTGACATCTTGACAATATTGAGCTTTCTATCCATATATGTGGAATATCTCTTCATTTATTTAGATCTCCTTTGATTTCTTTCATCAGACTTTTGTAGTTTTTCTCTCGTACATGTTTTGTTAGATATACATCTAAGTATTTCTTTCGGCAGTGCTAATGTAAATTATATTGTGTTTTTGATTACACTTGTTCATTGTTGGTTTATAAGAAAGTGGTTGACTTTTGTATATTAACCTTGTAATTTGCAATCTTGCTACAATTGCTTATTACTTCCAGTAGTTTTGTTGCTAATTCTTTGAGATTTTCTACAGACAGGTCATTTGTGAACAAAGAGTTTTATTTCTTCTTTCCCAATCAATATACCTGTTATTTCCTTTTTCTGTCTTATTGCATTAGCTAAGAATTCCAGAACAATGTTAAAAAGAAGCAATGAGAGGGGACATTTTTGCTTTGTTTCTGATTTTAGTAGGAAAAGCATCTCGTTTCTCACCATTAAGTGTGATGTTAGCTGTAACTGTTTTTGTAGATGCTCTTTATCAAGCTGAGAAAGTTTCCATTTATTCCTAGTTTGCTAAGGGTTTTTTATCGTGAATCTGTGTTGGATTTTGTTAGATGTTTTTTGTGTATCAATTTATATTGATTGATTGATTATTTTAAATTAGCCTGTTATGATGGAGTACATTAATTTTCAAATGTTGAATCATTCTTGCATACCTAGAATAAAATCCACTTGGTAATAGTTGCATAATTCTTTTTATACATTGTAGGATTTGATTTGCTGATATTGCTGATGTTGCGGATTTTTGTGTATGTGTTTATGGGAGATACTGGTTTGTACTTGTTTGTAGTGTCTTTGGTTTTGGTATTAAGGGGACATTGGCCTCATAGACTAAGTTAGGAAGTAGTTCCTACTCTTCTATCTTGTAGAAGATTGTGGAGAATTGGCATAATTTCTTCCTTAAATGTTTGATAGAGTTCACAAGTGAACTCTTTCTGGTGTTTTGGTAGGATATCAAGTATTCATTCCATTTCTTTAATAGATATAGGCCTAGTCAGATGATCTGTTTCTGTTTACATAGGTTTTGGTAGATTGTGTCTTTCAAGGAATTGGTCCATTTCATCTAGCCTATCACATTTGCGGGCATGGAATTCATAATATTGACTTATTTTTATGTCTATGTGATCAGCAGTGATGGCCCTTCTTTCATTTCTGATAGTAATTTCTGTTTTTTTTTTCTCTTTCTTCTTAGTTAACCTGACTAAAGGTTTATCAATTTTATTGATCTTTTCAAAGAAATGGTTTCTCCTTTTTTCAGTTTTTTATTCTTATGGGCAGAAACATTTTTTAAAATGTCTGCAAAGCACTCTGTACAGTTCTGTTAACAGGTGCTGGAGAGGATGTGGAGAAATAGGAACACTTTTACACTGTTGGTGGGACTGTAAACTCGTTCAACCATTGTGGAAGACAGTGTGGCAATTCCTCAAGGATCTAGAACTAGAAATACCATTTGACCCAGCCATCCCATTACTGGGTATATACCCAAAGGATTATAAATAATGCTGCTATAAAGACACATGCACACGTATGTTCATTGTGGCACTATTCACGATAGCAAAGACTTGGAACCCACCCAAATGTCCCTCAATGATAGACTGGATTAAGAAAATGTGGCACAAATACACCATGGAATACTATGCAGTCATAAAAAAGGATGAGTTCATGTCCTTTGTAGGGACATGGATGAAGCTGGAAACCATCATTCTCAGCAAACTATTGCAAGGACAAAAAAACACCGCATGTTCTCACTTGTAGGTGGGAATTGAACGATGAGAACACTTGGACACAGGAAGGGGAACATCACACACTGGGGCCTGTCGTGGGGTAGGGGAAGGGGGGAGGGATAGCATTAGGAGATATACCTAATGTAAATGACGAGTTAATGGGTGCAGCACACTGGCATGGCACATGTATACATGTGTAACAAATCTGCATGTTGTACACATGTACCCTAGAACTTAAAGTATAATAAAAAAAATTATCTTATTTTAATGCCTAACAAAGCTCAAACTTACTAAACAGTTGACTCTCTTTATTTCTCTCCGCAGGTATAAATAGAACCAGATTTATCTTAAAAGTTTTTTTCAGCCTTTATTTTTCCTTTAAAGATTAACTGGTAGAGTTTAAAAGTAACTTACAATTTTTTTCAGAGAGAAAAGTCAAAAGGGAAAGAATTTACCAATGTAGCAGAATCCTTGATAAGCCAAATCAATAAAAGATACAAAACAAAAGATGACATCAAGTCTACAAGAAAATTAAAGGAGTCTTTGATTAACAGGTATGTTCTTAAATTTCAGACATGAATATTTTTCTGACAGATACAACTATATTACACAATTTTAAAAAGGTTAATTTTAAACATAGGTTCAGATAATGTAACTTTTCAGTAGAAAACACATGGTTACTTAATACTTTTATAAATAGTAGGTGTTTAAATTACACAAGAAGGGAACTAAATTTGAAATTTGTCATTCTATTGTCTAGTTACATTTTATATAGGATCAAAAAACACATCAATACAACATACCATTTTAAAAATCTTTAGGATGTAGACATTGTACTTACTGAATCTAATAATGAATAAATATATTTAAATACATTGCTTAATGAAATACAGAATTTAACCAGATATGAGTTTTTTTGTAGTAAATAGTACATTCTTTGCAGTCTTTCCAAAGATTGTTTATTACAAAATGTCTATTTATAGTCTATTAGGTGGTTAATTCAAGTTTACGTTAATTCTGGCCTTACTATAGGTCATGAATAAATGATTCTTATGGTGGAATCATTCATTTTAAATTCACACTTTCTGCTGCATTAATGATTCAGCTTCGAATGCTCTATTATAAGTGCTGTTTACTGTGAGTGAAGTAGCAAAACTATCAGACTATTACTGTTACATTTTGGTTATTTTTAACATTGAATATAAATTTAGTGACAAACATGGTTTATCTTAAAATGACTTTTATGATATTGATACTGATTTGCTTTTTCAATTTTGACAAAATCTTTTTTTACAGTGGTTTTTCAAACAAACCTGTTGTACAACTCAGTAAGGTAGGTGTTATTTACTTAACTTCACCAAATCTATAGTCAAACTCAATATTTGACCATAAACACTAAAATAGCATAGTGGTAAAATGGAATTTGATACGATGTTTTCAGAATATTGCTAAATGAATGATAACCACTGACAGGTTTAATAGCAAGTACTCAAAATAGCCCTCCAACCTTCTGTTTTTCAAATAAAAAGCTTCTTTTACACATATGAGCATAATATTTTTACTTTTTGGTATATGATTCAGTATATCCTTATCGCGCGTGCGCGCGTGTGTGTGTGTGTGTATTTTTTTAATAGCCAATCCCATTTCTCCTAACAATTAGATCCTACTGAAGTTCCAATTTTGTTTAAAAAAAACCTTTACTCTTTATCCAGGCTTATAATATAAATTATCTTTTTTCTAATTCCTCACAGTTGCTCTCTGTGTCCACTTAATATTTCAAGTTTTGAAGTTCACCCTCTGTAAGTTCTTCTTGAATGTTTTCTCCCCTGTCGAGGCCAACTCCTATTAGCCCAGTTTCGGTTCTGATTTCTAATCTCTGGATTGTTACAATAGGTTTTATGTGTTAACAATTTTCTTTGCCTCTAGCATTTCTCTGTGGCAATCCTTACATCACATTCACTACCAGCTTTTTTTCTTTCTAAGGCACACAGCTCCAATCATGCCACTTACTTGTTCAGAAACCTTTTTTTGGTCCCTGTTGCTTATTGAATTAAATGGAAACATAGACTGGCTCACTTTTCCCTTTAAAAGATTGTCTTGTTTCTTAATTTTCTAGGCATGTCATGTTTAACTGAAACATAACTTGAGGTTTCCTGAAGTAAGTCTTTCCTAAGTATTCTCTTTTTCTTCTCCCTTTGCAATGAACTTTAAACTGAGTCAGTAGGCTCTCTCACCCTCTTATCTGATTATTAAAATATTTCTCTTTGTACCTTCCTTATGAAAACTTTCCAAGATGCCCTGACTCAAAAACCCATTTGGCAAGAATTCTGAATCTGTACAATAGAGTGTTTTGGTACCTTTTAAATTTTTATTTATTTTTGCTATTTTACTCATGGGTTTTTTCTTCTGTTTTTTCACTATATTTTGAATCATCTTTGTATTTTCTGTAATATTTTTGTGCTCATCTTTGTATTCTCTATAATACCATTGCTGCCTTTTGCTTACCTTCTTTAACATCTTTGCTCATTTTTACATATTCTGTAACAGCACACAAACGATGCAACAGGTGAATGAACATATGTATGCAAGCACTGGTAAAAATCATACTGGGAAGGATAAGTCAGATAAATGATCAGAGGAGTAATATATTGAGAGATAACCTTTTTAAAATAATGCAAATACGTCTATATAAAATAACGGAAAGAAATTGAAGATGAATCACAACATAAAATTAATATTTTAGGTTTTAATATTTCTAACTTACTAATTATTTCTGATCAGTAATCAATTATTTAGTGATATTTAATCATAGTACATTTCTTTAATACAGTATATTACAATTAATTTATTAAATGTTATTTAACTTCTTTTTTTGCCCTCACTACTTTGAGATCTGGTTGAATATATTTTTAGTTGTGGGCTGTATAAATAATTTAACACATATTTTTTTCCTAACAATACTAGTTAATTGATAGCTTTTTGACTCTTTTACATGAGATTTTACATAAACCTTAGCCTCTCTCAAAGTTTTCTATTTAAGAGTTTAAAGCAAATGAGAGTCCAAAACAAAGGAAAAGCATGCTTGGTTTGTGGTGATGGCATCACCAAAATTTAGCTTATAGAATTCCAGTAAGGAGGTCATTTATTTACGTACAACAATGTCAGTAAGTATTAAGGTTAAAGGATTTTATTAGATTTACAATATTTTCTATTGTATTTTTACTATTTAAGTCTTCGATATTTAAAGAAGTGTTTTTTTATTGTATGTATTTAAGGTGTATAACATGATATACATAGTGAAATGGTTACTATAATCAAATTAATGTATTCAGCTTTGTGTGTGTGTGGCAAGAACGCATAAAATCTACTCTTAGCAAATATCCCAAATATAATAGGTTGGTGCAACAAACTATTATATAATACAATACTGTATTATATATAGTTGGTGTACTATACAATACTATTAATAGTCCTCATGTTCTGCATTATATCTCTAGACTTATTCATCCTACATATCTGCAACTTTGTATCCTTTGATCTCCCTTTTTCCTTCCCTCCTGCCATCCTCTGGTGACCACTGTTTTATTATCTTATGTCTATAGATTTGACATTTTTTTTTTTTTAAGATTCCACATATAAGGGAGATCATGCAGTATTTTTCTTTCTGTCTGGTTCTTTCACTTAGCATAATGTCCTCTTGTCTTGGTTCATCCATGTTATAGCAAATTTCAGGATATACTATTTTTAAGGCTGAATAGTATTTCTTCATATATATACACGCACCACAATTTCTTTATCCATTCATATGTCAGTGAATACTTACTTTGTTTCCATGTTTTGATTATTATAAATACTACTGCAATGAACATAGGAATGTAGATACCTTTGTTTGTTTGTTTGTTTGTTTGTTTGGAGACAGAGTCTTGCTCTGTCCCCCAGGCTGGAGTGCAGTGGCGTGATCTTGGCTCACTGCAACCTCCGCCTCCCTGGTTCAAGCAATTCTCCTGTCTCAGCCTCCTGAGTAGCTGGGACTACAGGTGCATGCCACCATGCTCAGCTAATTTTTGTATTTTCAGTAGAGACAGGGTTTCACCATATTGGTCAGGCTGGTCTTGAACTCCTGACCTCAGGTGACCCACCCACCTTGGCCTCCCAAAGTGCTGGGGTTACAGGTGTAAGCCACTGTGCCCAGCCCTAGGAATGCAATTATATATATGGGTGGTGATTTAATTTATTTTGCATATATTTTTATTCAGTTTAAGGAGAATGTTACAAATGTAAGATTTATGTTAGTGGAAGCACATCTAGAAAAATATTTAAAAATGCACATTATTTGTTTGCCACACAGAGTAATGTACAAGTTTTTTTGTTGAGGTAAAATATACATATAAAATTTACCATCTTTATCATTTTTAAGTGTACATTTCACTGGTAATATATATATTTTTTAATCCCTTAGTTCCCCCCCTACTCCTTCCTACTCTTCCTGGCCTCTGATAATCACCGTTCTACGCTCTATCTCCATAAGATTCACTTTTTTAGCTCCCACTTATGAGTGAAAACATGCGGTATTTGTCTTTCTGTGTTTGGCTTATTTCACTTTACTTTGGCCTCCAGTTACATCCATGTTGCTACAAGTGACAGGATTTCATTCTTTTTTTATTGCTGAATAATATTTCGTTGTATATACACATACTACATTTTCTTTATGCATTTATCCACTGGTGGACACTTAGGTTTCAATAATGCTGCAGTAACCATGGGTGTGCAGATACCTCTTTGGTATATTGATTTCCTTTCTTTTGGATATATACTCAGTAACTTGCTGGATCATACTGTAGTTCTATTTTTAGTTTTTTGAGGAAACTTCACACTGTTATTCACAGTGGTTGTACCACCATTTGCGTTCCACCAACAGTGTATGAGGCCCACATCCTCACTAGCATCTGTTATTGCCTGTCTTTTTGGTACAAGCCATTTTAACTGAGGTGAGATGACATCTCATTTTTTGATTTGCATTTCTGATTAGTGCTGTTGAGCATTTTTTCATATACCTGTTAGCCATTTAATGATTTTTTTATAACCCTCTTTTCAGGAAAAAGTTCAGAAAAAAAGCTACAGAAAACTGAAGACTACCTTTGTTAATGTTACTTCTGAATGCCCAGTGTAAGTATTTTTTGTAATATTTTTCATTTTCTTCATATTTGAAGAGACTACACATATTTAAGTGGAGCTAATATTGCTCTTCATTTTCACAGGAATGATGTTTACAATTTTAATTTGAATGGAGCTGATGACCCTATCATAAAACTTGGAGTAAGCTAAAATACCAAGATACTTTGTATTTACTCAGAAGTTACATTGCATTTACCATGCAGTTATTACATAGAATGTTTTTAATGTGCATCCTCATATGCTTTAAAATTTTTAAGAAATATATAATAATATTTTGGATAACCAGCCTACGTATATTTAGGTGGCTTTTTTTTTTTTTAAATTTTTGTTTAGGAATAAGGTAGAGAAAAACAAGCAATTGTGGGGTAGAAAGCCTTCACTACCAAGAAAATCACCTTTCTTATTGATGAAAAAAAAAACTATTCTATTTTTAGTGTATTGTATTTTCTTTTCAAATACAAATATTGTAGTAAAGTTAATTTTATGTCAAATCTTATGATTTTGTGAAGCAAAACTAGATTTTATGTTTATTCCTTTTAATCTTTTTTATTTTGACACTGACACCTCTTTTTTTTTGTTTATTTACAATATAGATCCAAGAGTTTCAAGCTACAGCTAAAGAAGCTTGTGCGGATAGGTCAATTAGATTGTAGGTATTTTTATTAGATTAAAATATTCTGATCTTTTTTTTTCTCTTAAATATCTCCTCCCAGTCTTAGAGTTTTTTAACAAATGAGAAGAGTGAATAAAAATGCTAGTCATTATTACTCTCATTATGATTCTGTTACTTCAACATTTACTCTTTAAATTAATATGCAAATTATCACTTTGAATATTAGTTGTATATCCTAGATCATAAAGCTAAAAAGACTTAGTAGTTCTTTAATCCAATATAGTTATTTTATAACTGAGGTCAGAGAGGATAAGTGGCTTGGCCAGAATAATATAGCTAATTAGTGAAAAAGTTAAGACTGAAAACTCAGGTCTAATTGTCCATTGTGTATTACCTTAAGAAAACAAGTATGAAGGGTATTTTTTAATTAATACATATTTTTGTTTAAGGGTAGGTCCAAGGAATCATGATGAACTTAAATCTTCTGTCAAAACAAAAGATAAAAAAGTAAGTTATAATATCTCAATATGTCTATTAGAAGTAGTATTTCTCTTAATTTTTAATGTTAAAGATTATCAAAAACAAGAAAACAAAAACATTTTGATTGTTTTATTTATGCAACTATCCACCTTCCTATTATGAATTTTCTTATGGTCTTTCAGCTATTTGTAATCATCTAATAAAAGAAATGCCACGTTTAGTTTTTTTAATATGTATACTATTAGGTTATACCTCTCTGGAAATAAGTTGTTTTGATTTAACTTTGAATTAACAACATCAACACCAAAATACAAATATCATTATCTGATCTGGTTTTCCAAGTGACTTTCTTGGATAGGTTATTAATGCCATCCTAAATTAGGATGTTAAGAAATGACAAGTTAGTTTTCCTGTTTTGGGTTTTGTTTTTTTTTGTTGTTGTTGTTGTTTTGGTTTAACTTACCTTGCATGACATAATGAGATGTAGTATTTCTTCATGCATTTCAAACTTTTTTTTATAGATTATAACAAATCATCAAAAGAAAAATCTGTTTAGTGATACTGAAACAGAGTACAGATGTGATGACAGCAAGACTGATATTAGCTGGCTAAGAGAACCGAAATCAAAACCACAGCTAATAGACTATAGCAGAAATAAAAATGTGAAGAATCATAAAAGTGGAAAATCAAGTAAGAAATTATCTTTTGGATAAATGTTGCAAATGATTTTGCAGTTTATTTCAATTATTGAAAATGCTTTATATAAGCTTATTGTATTTAGACTGTTCATTACTACATACTTTCATGGATAGGACAAAACACTAGTTTTTATGTTTTTTGTTTTATTTTAGTAATACGGTTATATTTATTTTTAATAGGACCTTAGGGACACAAATTATGACTTATCATTATCCTTGGCTCATGATTTTCGTCACTTGTCTACTCATGGCCCAGTATTATCCAGTTATTTAGCTAATTATTGTGAATAATATACCAAGTACTCATGAACCCAACACCTTTAAGACCAAGGCTTGAACTTTGACACTAATCTATATATATTTACATGTATTTACATTTGTGTGTGTGTGTATAAAATAAATATATTTATATGTTTGTGTGTGTGTGTGTGTATATATATATATATATATATATATATATATATATATATATTTATTTATATTTACTAAATATCCCATCTTCTTGCTGCACCCAACACGCATCCTTTTTTAGGAATTTATATAGACACAAAAAATATATCAAAAGGAAAACAATTTTCTTCCAGATTTTTTTTTTTGGGTCTAAGTTTTCCACAAAGTATTTTCCTAGAAAGTGGCTTCTGCTTTCTCTGTGATAGTGAATCTCCTGAAGCAGTTGGTAAGAGTTTCAGGTATAAGTTTTGGCTAGAGAGAATTACCATTTTCATAGCTGAACATCAATTTCAATGTTTGCTAAAACAAAGATTTTATATGTTGCATTTTTAAAAGAAGACTTAACTCTGTGCTTTTCAACTAAATGTATATTTATTTTAAGGGCATCAGCTTTCATTTTATTTCAGGATTAAAAATAACCAGTAGTTACCTAAAAATAGAAGTGAATTTTGGCATGTGTTTAGAAATGAAGCTGAATCTTGAAATTTAGGTGAGAGGTCACCAGATACATGAGGAAGTAAAGCAGCAGGATTATCATATATAAAAGGGAGAGAAGTATGGAATAGCATAGTATATTCAGGGAATGCAGTATTGAAGTATTTGGTACATAGATCATATTTATGGGAAAATGGTGAAAGGTGAGGCTAGATTGCATCATAGTCTGAACCTTGAAGCAGCCAAAGATAAATATAGTAAGATTCACATGCCCTCAGGGAGCTTACAGTCTAGTGGGAAGATGTACAAATAAAAACATTTATAACATAAAGTAGAAGATTAGAGATCTCACGAAGATGTTAGAGGTTAGTGTCATCACTAAATATTTATAAAATTTAACTTACGAAATTGAAATTCTGTATGAATTCTTTTGTTTAAATTATTGAATAACTACAAGTTAATGTGTTTGAGTTGACTTATTGCCAAGATTAGAGGACCTCTCTTCCAAAACAGCTTTGCTTCCTTTGCTTGGATAATCTTATTTCTTAGGTTTCAGAGACTATTTGGAAAGATAACATTATGCTTGAAAGGCAAAAAGAAGTGAGACTAAATCTGCTATCAATAATATGGGTAAATCTTATTAACATTGTGATGTATGGAAAATAAATCGTAGGATATTATACAGGACATGATATTTTATAAATCTCATTATATTGTTTAGAGATTTATATCTATGTAATAAAACTTGTTTTTAAAGCAAGTAACTAAGACCTGCAGATTTCAGGACAGTAATTACCTTTTAGCAGAAGGGACACGGAGGATGGTATAAGAGAGCATACGTAAGTAGATTCAGCATTATACACAATCTGGTTCTTAAATTGAGTGGTAGATTTATAGGTGTTAACTTTTTAACTTATGCTGACATATTCTCTTATATGTTTAAAAAGTTCTATAAAATAAAGGAGAGGGAGGAAAACTGGCAATTCATATCATAAGAAACACTTTACAGTAAAAGTTATCAATTCTTGAAAATTACATTTTTGAATGAGTTTAAAAATGGTGCCAATCAGAGATGTGGTACAATTGGGCTACTAAAAAGTTCTGGGAAAGGAAAAGCTTCCAAAATAGTGTATTGTGAGGCCAGATTCTTCAGCAGAAGAGGTGAGAAGATTACGGTGTCAGGAGGGCTGGTATCCTGGTGGCCTGAGGCCACATGGAGGTTCACTTATTAAATGCTAACACATGCTTTAAAAACTTACTACTTTTTATTATTTTAATTTAAATATGCTGAAATGATGTTCTAATAAATTTAATGCCTATTCTTATTTACTGTGAAAATTTAACCTTATTTTTCTGAATTACAGGATCATCCTTGGAAAAGGGACAGCCAAGCTCTAAAATGGTAAGCCAAGAAGTTTGTGTTCAAACATCCCTTTAAAATTATTTTTTCTTGCCATATAAAAATAATTCATCATCTCATAATTTTATCCTTGTTATCAGTTATGTGTTTTATGTACCTCTTCCTTCTTTTGCACACTTTCTCCTGTTTCTTTTTAAATCATACTGGCCTTTGACTCCATTTTATTCTGTGCTTTTAGGTATTTTTAAAATCTTTTACTTCAGTTAGATAGTATATATCAGGCTTCTCAGGGACTTAATGGTAGGGATACAGAGATGGTAAAGATGATAACTGGAATGGGAAGATAAAATCCATTAATTTAAAGTATGTTAATCAAGAATCATTCTTACAAATATTTTATGTAAAACTTGTCACAGTGCCAATTTTATAGCAAATTGCTTGTATTTCTTGTACCTCAAATATTGATCTAATATTCAGGAATTTTTCTCCTAAAGACACCCAGTAAAAATATCACAAAAAAGATGGACAAGACAATTCCGGAAGGAAGAATCAGACTTCCACGAAAAGCAACCAAAACAAAAAAAAACTATAAAGATCTCTCAAATTCAGAATCAGAGTGTGAACAAGAATTTTCACATTCATTTAAAGAGAACATACCAGTAAAGGTAAATAGATACAGTTCAGATTAATTTCTAAAAGCCTCTTAAAATACTAAATATATATTTTTGTAAAAAATGTCAAATTTATCCTGTTACTTCTTAAGAGTTAACTTCTTTTATGACAAAACTTAAATAATAATTCTAGAAATTTGCCCTTAGGCAATATAATGCTAAATTTTGTAATAAGTTGGCATTTTTTTTACAAAACAGATGTCTGAATCTAGTGAAATTATAACTTGATGATAGTATCTTTGAAAGGGAGAAGTACTTAATCTTCTAAAATTAGGCTTTAATAAAGTATAGCATGGAGAAGCTGTGTGTCTGTTGAGTGAAAGCAAAATATTGGTGTCTGAGGTTCTTCCCACACACTGGCCCACCTGTCACCATCCCTGACTTCTTCCTTATGTCTCATAATGTCCAGAAACATTCCCAGTCACCTGTTTTTGAAAGCAAAGTTAAATATTTATTTATTTGTCTGGCAGTCTACCATCTATAGAAGTAATGAGATGTCAGTATAATTTCATTTTTTGTTTACTTGAATATTCAATAGTTTTCTATAACTCCAATTATGGGAAAAATATATATACTTATATTACTATTTTAGTATAGTGTATGTGTATAGTATATAAATATATGTAGTGCTTACAATGTGTCAACTGCTATATTAAGCACTTTACAGATTTAATGTCTAAAAATCTCATAAGTACTATAGGTAATTAGTACTATTAGTGTCATCCCATTTTACAACTGAGAAAATTGAGGCTCAGAGAGAAGGAATTTGCTCAAGGTCACACAACTAGGAAGTGGTAGGTCTAGGATTTGAAACCAGAGAGTCTGGCACTGAAGATAGGTTTCTGAACAGTACAGTGTGCTGATTTGACATCATAAACTTCCATCTCTTCTTGTTTGCAATCTTATCTCTTACCCAAAATGCTTTAAAGACTTCCTAACTTAGGTCTACATTTTCTATCACTTCTTCTTTTTTTTTTTTTTTTTTTTTTTTTTTTTTTTTTTTTTTTTTGAGACACAGCCTCGCTTTGTCACCAGGCTGGAGTGCAGTGGTGTCATCTTGGTTCACTGCAACCTCCGCCTCCAGTGTTCAAACGATTGTCCTGCCTCAGCCTGCCTAGTAGCTGGGACTACAGGCGCACGCCACCACGCCCAGCTAATTTTTGTATTTTTAGTAGAGACTGGGTTTCACCATGTTGGTCAGGATGGTCTCGATCTCTTGACCTCATGATCTGCCCGCCTCGGCCTCCCAAAGTGCTGGGATTACAGGCATGAGCCACCGTGCCCAGCCTTCTGTCACTTCTTAAAGGAAGTTTACCATACAAATAGTCACATGCCTTCTCAAGCCACCTCTCATCTTATCCCTCTTCAAAGGAAGACCCTAAAAATATCTCTATTGTCAGATATTCAGAGCATCAAAATGCCATTCCAAGCTTTTTTCTACCCTTCTCCAGTGTATGCCCAGAACTGTGAAATGGTCAGATAGTATAACCTGTGACTCCCAAAAAAGACCTGTGCCTCTCAACTCCCTCTGTTCTTGCGAAGTCTTCTCTATTCGCAGTATGTCTTCCCCTTTCTACCTTCTTTCACAAACTCCTTAGTATCTCAAATACTATGAAATTTAGGAATGCTTTCTAATTTTCCTAAACTGGATATAATCTTTGAACCCTCAAAGAAGGCTATTTGTATCTCTTAAGATATTTATTATAGTAAATGTATTATATTCTCCTGTGAATTTGTCTTATGGCTTCTAGTATATTAGAAAGTCTTTCACTACTCATGTCTAGGTCCTTGTTATGCCTGTATGTGGTAATATACAACATTTAATAAATATTTGAATATAATTTGTTTTATGTGTCCAAGTGTAAATATTTGTACTTGAGTATAATTTGAAAGTTATTGATACATTTAGGAGGAGAATATCCATTCCAGAATGAAAACGGTAAAGCTACCAAAGAAACAACAGAAAGTCTTCTGTGCTGAAACAGAAAAGGAACTATCAAAACAATGGAAAAACTCATCTCTACTAAAAGATGCTATACGAGATAATTGCCTTGACTTATCTCCCAGATCTTTATCTGGCAGTCCATCATCTATAGAAGTAACGAGATGTCAGTATAACTTTGTTTTTTCTTTACTTGAATATTCAATAGTTTTCTATAACTCTAATTATGGGAAAATACAATTTTAAGACTAATTTTGAGGGGTATTTATAATTATAGTAGTTAAAACTTCATTGTTAAGCTAATTAATGCTAGTAACTTGACTTTTGATAACATGGGAACAATGCTACTAGGATACTGATGTTTTTCATGTTAGGAAGTTAAAGATCAAATGCTTTAATATGGAAAATAATATATATTCACAAATTATAACTTAATCTTAAAAAAGTACTTAATTTTAATGTGCTTTTTTTTAGCTCAATATATATTTAATAACATGAGAATTTTTGGAGAATTCTGTTTTTTCTATTTACATTTCATTAACAAAAGTCCAAAGAATATCTTGCTCATTCTGTGGACCCACAGTGGATTAATACCGTATACAGTTGAGGTTATGCTTTTATTTTTAAATGATTGCTAAAGAAAAATTCATATTCTTTGGAGCTCTGGTATATGTGTATGCCTTTCTAGTATAGAAAGTATAAGTTTGCCCTTTTTATACCATTTTTGTTTCCTTGTAAGGACATTTTAAAGCATTTCTAAATGCTAATCATTTCAGTTAAAATACAAGACTTAAATCAGTTAGTATACTTCTGCTTCCTCTAAAGTAGCTATTGTGTTCTCAGTACTAAGGACCACTATGAAATTTCACATAAGCGCATACTCAGGAGATAGATGTACATGCCCTGATTCGATCTGAAAATTGTCTGAGGATTTATTTATATTAAGATTTATTCCAGCAGTAAATTTTCTAATTTTTATGTGAAAGATGTAGAGCAGATGATTTCTCAAGCCTTTTTCAATCATAAAATTTTGTGATGTGTATATATAACACAATCAGCTATGATGTCAGAATACTCAAGATAATACTTAGGTTGATCCTTATATTTCAGGTCATACTGTAGATATTTTTGTTGGAAAATGTTTTGAAAGTTCTTGTGGTTACAAGTACATTTTAAATTCAGCCATTTTGTTTTTCAGTCTTACAAATATTTTAAATATAACTTGGTCTTAATATTTTTAAAGCTATCCTTTTTTATAGCTAAGATTTGAAGATCTGACAAATTCTTAGAATTTAAATTAATCGTGCTATTTCTAAAGCAGACATCAATGATAACGCTTGCCATCTATTTTCTTTTTTATTTTGATGCAATATAGGTATAGAGAAAATAACAGAAAAGGATTTTACTCAGGATTATGACTGCATAACAAAATCTATATCACCTTATCCAAAAACTTCATCACTTGAATCCTTAAATAGTAACAGTGGAGTTGGAGGTACAATAAAGTCACCCAAAAACAATGAGAAAAACTTCCTGTGTGCAAGTGAAAGTTGTTCACCAATTCCACGACCACTGTTTTTGGTGAGAATGTATATATATTTTTCTCTTTATCAGATATATCTGAAGGTAGTAAGTTATTTTCCCTATCATCTTAATCAGATACACATTGCTTGTCTATTTAAGGTTTTGGGTTTGGTCTAGGGTCTTGGGGGAGAGGGACATAATGACAAGAGAGAGATACTTGCCAGTCTTGATGAACCTAACAGACAAATAAATGTATAGCTATACAGGAGGAAGAATGTGGTAGCAGGAGAGTACAGTAGTTTCTCATTATTTGTGGTTTCACTTTTTGAGGTTTCAGTTACCTACAGTCAACTGTGGTCTGATAATATTAAATAAGAAATTGCAGAAATAAACAATTCATATGTTTTACATTGTGTGTAATTCTGAATAGTGTGATGAAATATTGAGCCATCCACTCTGTCCCTCCTGGGACGTGAATCAACCCTTTGTCCAGAGTATCCATGCTGCTGTATACCCTACCTGCCTGTTAGTCACATAGTAGCCATCTTGGTTATCAGATCAACTGTAGAGGTATTGCAGTGCTTGTGTTAAAGTAACCCTTATTTTACTTAACAATACCGCCAAAGGGCAAGAGTATTGATGCTGACAATTCAGATAGGCCAAAGAGAAGCCATAAAGTTTTCCTTTAAGTGAAATGGTGAATATTCTGTGCTTAATAAGGAACCAAAAATAAGGTATGTGGAAGTTGCTAAGATCTATGGTAAGAATGAATCATCTTTCCATGAAATTAGGAAAAAGAAATCTGTGCATAGTATAATAGGGTGAGGTACTATCTGTGATTTCAGGAGGGTCTACTATATTTTAAGAAGAAATGATACATATAATGTGATACATAGATGAGGAAGAATGAAGAATTTCTTTTCAATATATATTTACTTTTTATATTCCTACCATTTACCTGTTAAACTTCCTTATAAACACCTAAACCAAATATTGTAATTACACTGTTTTCAACTAAATTATCAATTTACTTTGTCAACTTGTAATTTTTGTAACTAAAGTTTATTAAAGGCCATAGACTTTAAATTATGGTGAAATCTGAAAGAAGTACCTGCATTGCAGGAATAAGCCTATTCAGATCTAGAAAATGTGTGTAGTTCTAATGTGTAGAACAATTAGTAGTATCTCTTAGGAAGTGATCATTCCTGTTACAAAACTCTTACCTGTACTCTGTACAGTAATCACCCCTTATTCTCAGGGAATACGTTCCAAGACCCCCCCAATAGATGCCTGAAATGGAGGATAGCACTGAATGCTATATATACTATCTTTTTTTCCTATACATACATACCTATGATTGTTTAATTTAAACATTAACTTATAAATATGCAATTTATAAATTATTACAATGACAAAACAACAACTATAACAATACACTACAGCATCACTACTCTTGCTTTTGAGGGGCATTATTTAGTAAAATAAGGGTTGCTTGAGCACTACGATATCTCCACAGTCAATCTGATAACTGAGATGGCTATTACTTGACTAACAGGCAGGTAGCATATACAGCATGGATATGCTGGACAAAGTGATGATTCATATCCCAGGCAGGACAACCCGATGGCCAGAGATTTCATGGCACCACACAGAATTGTGCACAATTTGAAACTTATAAATGATTTCTGGAATGTTCCATTTAATATTTTTGGGCCATGGTTGAGCATGAGTTATTGAAACCCTGGAAAGCAAAACTGCAGCTAAGAGGGACCATTGTGTGTCAGAAAGATAAAAGTAGAACTATGCTGTTTAAAGTAGAGGTAGGAGATCTAAACCCTAGATCTACCTAGCCTCCTTCACCTCCTTCTCCCAAATAATCCCCAAGGCATATTTTCAAAACTCTGAGTTTCTACAGACCACAATTTGAAACCCAGTTTCACACTAGTGAAATTCACACAAATTCTCCTGTGATCCTTTATCAATATAGTTGGCCCTCCATATCTGTGGGTTCCACATCTGTGGATTCAACCACAGACAACAATATATATTTTTAATTGTGTCTGTATTGAACATGTACAGACTTTTTTTTCTTGTCACCATTTCCTAAACAACACATATAACAACTATTTAAGAGTATTTACATTGTATTAGGTATCATAAGTAATCTAGAGATTACTTATGTATATGGGAGGATGTGTATAGGTTATATGCAAATACTGAACCATTTTATATCACAGATTTGAGCATCTTCTGATTTTGATATCCACAAGAGGTCCTAGAACCAATCCCTTTGTTTCTGTCATTCTTATTTTCCCCCGCATCCTTTAATCCCTTCAGTATGCCACCTTGCAAAATCTCCAAGCCTAGGTAATCCCCACCCACCATCTTTGATGCTACTCTGTGTTAGATGGAATTTTAACAGTTACATATTCATTGGCTGGACACTCATGAGACATTCCCCCATGCTGCCCCTTTACTGTCAACTCTTAATAAGGTGTTGGAAATTTGCTTTATATGGTAGTTGAACCTACTTACACTCTCAACACTGCTATGAGATAGTGCTCATTTCTCTACAGTTTTAACTAAGTAGATGTTATCAGTTGTTTCTGTTTTTGCCAGTCTGGTAAGCATAAAGTTGTGTCTTTAATTTGCATTTTCCTGACTCATTGCATCAATGAGTATTTTCACATGATTTTGGCCATTTTGTGAATTTCCTGTTTGTTTTCTTATTTTTAAATTGCATTGCTTGATTTTTCTTACAAATTTGTATGAGTTCTTAATATATTCTGGATATTCTTTATTCGTTGTATATAATGTAAACATTCTTTTCCTAGTATGTATATTTTCAGTTAATTACACAACTTCCCTATGACAAAAGATAGGACATAATCAAATTTACCAATCTTCTGGGTTGTTTAAGAAATCTTCCCCTAAGCTATTGTCATAAAAATATTTTCTTATTTTAGATTTGAGTCTAAATTTGACTCAAATTTTAGATTTGAGTCTCTCCAGGCTTTCTTTTTCATATGGATATCAAATTAGTGCGACATCAGGAGTGGAATAGTCTTAATTTAGTCATAGGCTGGGTGATCACATGGGCCTGGATTAGGCACCATTAGATTTTACTGTTTACTGGCCTGTTTATCTATCTCTGTGCTAATACCAGCATTGCTTTAATTGGGGTCATTTTACATTTATAGGGTGTTACATACCCCCTGCCCCACCATTCCTCAGAATTCCTTTGCCCTTTACTGATTCATATACATTTTAGAATTAGTTTGTCTAAGGGAAGAATTGCCATTTTTCAATATTGATGTTGATCTTTCTTATCTACACATGATTTCTCTCTCCACTTTTTTGTCTTATTTCCTGCAAAGTTGGGTGAAGTCTCCTACAAAGGAAATTATGCATCTTGTTAGATTAATTCTTAAGTATTTTATGGGTCTTCTTTTTGCTGTATTAAAAAAAAGACTTTTTTTAAAAATTACATTTTCTGAGTTTTAAAATTTTTATATAGAAAAACTATTGATTGTTTTATCTCCAACAACCTTGCTGAATTTTATCATGATTGTCTGCCTAGATTCTCTTGGCTTTTCTGTATAGACAGCCATATAAACTGTTACACATGAAGATTAGAACAGAAAATGCAAAAAATTCTTATTCGTGTTCTTGTTAAGGTGACTTTGACCTCTGGAGCATAGAAACTGTACTAGCAGGGATCCTTATCTACAGGTTTTGGTCATCAAAGTAATAATCCACTTGCCTAAGGATTTTTTATTTTTAGTTATGAATTGGAATTGAATTTTTGCAGTGAATTAGTAGTTTTGCAGTTTTGCTTTAATGTTTCTTATGTTCAACTCTTTTTGAAGTGGGGGGCTTTGAACAATTTTGTAACTTCTTATTGGGTTTTTGTATGTCTTCATTCATAGCCCAGACATACTCCAACTAAGAGTAATACTATTGTAAATAGAAAAAAAATAAGTTCTCTGGTACTTACACAAGAAACACAAAACAGTAACAGCTATTCAGATGTAAGCAGTTATAGTTCAGAAGAACGGTTTATGGAAATTGAATCTCCACATATCAATGAAAATTATATACAAAGCAAAAGAGAGGTAAGTGTGGGACTATAACTTATAAATTTTCCTTACACTAAGATGGTTCTTATAAGACTCAGATTACTGACCTTTAGTGGTAATTATAATATTTTAATGCTTTTCAACTGTTATTACCTGAAAATCTGATGTTTAAAGTATATAGAATGGCTTGATCATAGAAAAATATTTTTTGATAGAAGAAAGTTGAAACTTTTAAAATGAGAGTAGTAAGGTCTTAAATAGTGAGGATACCACTGCTGAACCCCGGATTGCATATTTACAATAGGCACTTTCTGGTTTCGTGAATATATAGGTATTTGGTTGAACTTCCTGCCAGCATAAAAGCCCATCCATCCATCAATAAAAATATTTTAGTAACCTGTAAAATATAGAAAATCAAGACAGAATTTTACAACTTGGAGAGGGCTGCGATTTGAGCTAGACCTAAGTGGATGGGTAGGTATATGTAGATTAAGTGGAGAAAAATCAGTAACCTATGTAAAGGTTACTAAGTAAAACCTGTATATTCAAATAGTATAACATAAGGTTAGATGTGAAAGATGTGGTTTGAAAGACGAGTAGTTTAAACTTTAGTTTTCTGTGGCTCCTCATTTCCTGACTCAAAGAAATGGAAATCCTAATAAAGAAATGAAAAGCAGGAATAGAAAAAAAAGTAGCTCACATCACAGCTATTACAAGAAGATTGAGGTCAACTTAGAATCAAGGTTAACACATGGTAAATATTAGAGATGAAAAGGAAGGGATAGAAACAATCTGAGAAAGAATTGACAGCATTTAAAATTATTGGTTTTTGGGTTTGAGAAAGGTGATAAAATGTGAATTGAAATATATTTACGGAATTTTTTTCTAATTTCTAATACGTATTTTAGGAAAGTCATTTAGCATCTTCATTATCCAAGTCTAGTGAAGGAAGAGAGAAAACGTGGTTTGACATGCCCTGTGATGCTACTCATGTATCAGGTTTGTAGTCATAGTCTTGCTTTTTAAAAAATGATTACTGAAATGCTACGTGACATTTCAACTAAAGGAATTATGTATTTTAAGTCATACCGTTATTCAACTTAATGTAAAAAGAAAATAAACTAGGTAGAATTGAATGCATAATTACCTAAAACATAATAAAAATACTTAGTGGAAACAAAGCCTTTTTAAAATAAAAGCAAGAAAATATGAGGTATTTTTAATGAAAATTGCAGCGCTTTTAACTTTCTTTAACTGTTCCTAAGGCCCCACCCAACATCTTAGTCGCAAAAGAATATATATAGAAGATAATCTAAGTAATTCCAATGAAGTAGAAATGGAAGAGAAAGGAGAAAGGAGAGCAAACTTGCTTCCCAAAAAACTGTGTAAAATTGAAGATGCAGATCATCATATCCACAAAAGTAGGTAGATCAGTAGCCTGTATCAAAATGCAGTTATTTGGAGGGTGGTTCTTATATTTTGAATGAGTCTATTTACAAAACAAATTTGTAAAGACAACTTTGGATATGTCCAAGATGGATGATGCTTTATTGCAAAGTTCACATTTATATGAATAATTGTTGTAGTAAGGGTCTTAGATGCCCATAGATCTCCCTCATCATTCTGTCACTTACTATCACATTTAGGTTAACTAGAGTATGAATTTACTGATGTGCTAGTACCTCACTAAATACCTAATAATAATGTGGAACTAGTTAAAAAGCAGTTAAAAATAATCCATAAATGTTCCAGCTTAAAGTAGTCATTTCTGCTGTAATAGCCATACCAAAAAGTTTGTTTTATAAATCAGAATAATCTGATTTTTAAATTAAAAAAAACATAAGGAACTCTTCTGCCTTTGATTTCATAATCCTTAGGTTACACATAGATTCGGAAAATAAGATAGATTTTGTTCTTAGCCTAATTACAAGGCTAAATTTAGAGTAATGCATATTTTAACTTCAGCAGATTGTTTTCATTTTTTAGTGTCTGAAAGTGTATCTTCATTATCAACAAATGACTTTTCTATTCCTTGGGAGACCTGGCAAAATGAATTTGCAGGGATAGAGATGACTTATGAGACTTACGAGAGGCTCAATTCAGAATTTAAGAGAAGGAATAATGTGAGTTATTCTTTAAATTATGATTTATACCCAATAATATAATAATATGCCACACTTTCTACTAGACCATTGGCTTGTTTGATCCTTTGGCAACAAAATATCCATTCATGAAACCAACTTTCCTTATATGTGAATAATTGGAATAAAATCTGTATATTACCCGTATTCTTTCTTTTGCTACTACTTTTTTCTCTTTTGTCCTATTTTCCTTTTCAGTTTAATGTTTTGGCTTTTCTGTGATTTTTTTTTTTTTTTTACTGGACAGTTTTCATGCCACTTTTCAAGACATTTTTTATGTCATTTAGGTGAGCATTAATGAAGATAGTATAGTGTAGTATAAAGAATGAGCAGCTGCAGTCAGAGCAATACCATTTCATTTTGTTTTACTAGTTTTGTATTATAGTTATGTAGTCTTAGTTTTTGAGGTTCCAGTGAGATAATGCAAAAATGCTTTTTAAAACAGTTTTTAATTATTAGTAATATATTTCTGCCTATCTCTTTCACATGCCTCTATTTGGAATCGATAGTTTTTTAGTTTTTTATGCCCTCCTTTGAATAAAAGATATTTTGGGCACAGGTTATCAACACCCTCCCCCCCCCCCCCCGCCCCCAGTCTTGCTTTCCTTTCTCCTATATTCAGGGTTAAAATTAGAAATTGCTTGTTTTTTCTGTTTCTTTTTTTTTTTTTTTTTTTTTGGCCCAAGGCCAACCTAATCTGAATAGAGAAGCTTTGACTTATATATTCTCCTATGTGTCTGTAGCTAGATTTATGTTTTTGTGAAAAAAATGGTTTTAAAAAATTCTGAGTGTGACTTTTAGGCTGTGTCTTTGAAGAGAATTATAACCATCAGCATTTTTGTAAATACTGTAGAGTGTGGGGTTCTTATGAAAACAATTGTGGACTCAACCCTTAGTCAAAGACCTACTGATGGAGTTAAATAAGTTCACTCAGAGCAGTGTCTATTAACACTTCAGTTTAAATAACTGAGTTTTTAATTTTTCACTTTTCCAAGTTCTTCTTAGTAATTTACATTTCGTGGAAAATTATTTGCTGTTACTGTAGTCTTGGTTAGAGTGTTATTTTGTAAAGATATTTTAACTTAAAAATGAGTATTTTTCAGATCCGACATAAAATGTTGAGTTATTTTACTACGCAGTCTTGGAAAACAGCTCAGCAACATCTGAGAACAATGAATCATCAAAGTCAGGACTCTAGGTCTGTAATAAAAATCTGTTCTGAAAACTTTTGAATGCTACATATTCCTATATTCTGAATGCTACAGTTTTTAAAATTAATCTCATTTTGTTTCTGTAATAGGATTAAAAAACTTGATAAATTCCAATTCATTATCATAGAGGAGCTGGAGAATTTTGAAAAAGATTCACAGTCTTTAAAAGATTTGGAAAAGGAATTTGTGGTTTGTTACTTTAAAAATTTTTTAAATAAGTTTAAAACCTTATTTTTAAAGAGCTATACTTGGAAAAACTTTCTTTTTTGGGAGCACATCCTAAAGCTTTTTGTTCAGAAAATAATTTAGTTTTATCTTAGATTTCTAATCAGCTTCATAGAAACACTTTTGAAGTACGAACTTAAATTTATGATGAATATCTTTGATAATGAGAAATCCTGAGAGATTTTACTTTCAATTTTATTTTAATTTGAAAGAGCATATGACATCTGGAATATTTTTAACATATAGCCATACTGTTTATTTAAATTTGTAATAATAGAAATAGAGTAATTCTACTGTTGGATTTTAATTTTTAATCATATTAAAGTTTAACTGGATTTTATTTTAGGACTAAAATATTTAGGACTAAATAAAATTTTATTAATTAATTTAGGACTTTTGGGAAAAGATATTTCAGAAGTTCAGTGCATATCAAAAAAGCGAACAACAGAGGTTAGTATGACATTCTTAATGGCTATAATCTATAAAATTAGATTTTTAAATTAATAAATTTCTATTTGAAAAATTAAAATTATATATACTATATTATAGCACTCTAATTTGAATTATTGATAAATACAAGGTTAACTCATTATTTTACTTCTTAGGCTTCATCTTTTGAAAACTTCATTGGCTAAAAGTGTCTTCTGTAATACTGATAGTGAAGAAACTGTTTTTACATCCGAGGTATAAATTTTATGCTTTTTATAGGTTACCTCTCTTGATTACAAAAAGAATTTGTTAATGTAACTTTGTCTTTGCTGTGAAAACTTTATGGTAAATTTCATGGGTGAAATATATTTACTTTTTTACAGATGTGTTTGATGAAAGAAGATATGAAAGTGCTGCAAGACAGGCTTCTTAAGGACATGGTAAGTCAACTAAGTTTGAAAATGGGATAATCATACTTTAATGTCTTTTGTTTTTGATTTTTTTGTGTGTGTGCTTTTATGTCTTTCTTTTTCTTTTGGGTTGAGAGAAAATAGTTTTAGCCCAATTACTTTTAGTTCTTTAAATAATGGGAGCATATTTATAGTGAAAGAATAGGGGTAATTTAAACAGGCCCTCCTAAGGAGTAAAAGAGAATATAAATTTGCAAATTGAAAAATTATCTGAAAGAATGATTTGTTTGCAGTTTCTAAACACTGGGTACTGCAGCAGGCGTCTGTCCTGCTGTGTCTTCTGAAGGAGAAAATATGGCAGGACAAAACTCCCAGAAAGTCTGTAGTTTAGTGGAAGAATTACTGTCTGTTTGGACAAGATGTCATTTACTTAGATTTGAGGATTAAATTAGTTTACTTTCCAGTGGCCTAGTAGACCAGCAGCTGCATTCTGGGGGGAAATGTGGATGGACCTGGGAAGGGACTAAAGGTACTGTTTTAAGTGATAATGTCTTTGGAGTTTTCTCAAAGATGAAAGGCATTTTTAAGTACACTGATCTTTGTATACACAGTATATTAATGTACTTACAAAGATAGAACCTCAATATGCTGACATAGTACAGGATCAAGATGTTGTGGCTAAGCTAGTTTAGCTTCAAGCAAACAAGCTACTTAACTAGGTTGATCCTTGTTGAAATTGTTTTCTAGACTTTTAATTTTACTCTCTTCCTTTAAAAATTGAATCTAAATTTCACTGATTTGGGGCTTTAAAAGATTAGAGCCTTCTCTCAACTGATTGTCTTGAATATCAGTAATGATCACAGAATTCTGTGGATATCTGTAGACCTGTTAGAATGCAATATCTTCATGAAAGAAGTTGTTTTAAAATGAATCACTAATAACAGCTTGATTTTTTTTTTTCTATTTTATTTGGTGGTTTTACAGCGAAAATGTGAAATCTAAGTGTGATTTTTTTTTTCTTGGCTATAGCTAGAAGAGGAGCTTCTTAATGTACGCAGAGAACTGATGTCAGTATTCATGTCTCATGAAAGAAATGCTAATGTGTGAAATCTAGTTTTTATCACCATACTTTATCTAATTATTATTCTCTGTATATAACTGAGGAAATAAGAATAGTCCTACAAAGAGAAAAATATACATGTCACCGAAGCAAGTGTACCCTTTATAGGAACCCTCAAATTAAAAAAAAATGTCTTTTAATGGATGAGAGGGAACCACTATAACATGAGTCCAAGCCCAGAAGACTTCTGTCTATACAATATTTTTTTTTAATTTTGGAGATAAAAGCTTTAAGAAACTTTTTGAGTTAATTATACTCATAAAATGAGTTTCTTTAATAAATTAAATTTTATTGTGTAAAATGTATTATTACATAAAATGTGTTTTTGAATCAATGCAGTTTGGGGATGAATATAATTAAAATATGTTTAATAACTTAGAATTCAACTAATAAAAATTTAGCCACACTTACAAGGGGGAGGAAGTCCCTAGTTTAAAATGTATAACTGAGTGGTAGATCAGTACTTTCAGCACACTGTTGGAAACATTTATTCAGATATGGCTCTAATGTATTAGGAAGCACTAAATGGCCTAAAAAAGCTACTACATTGCCTAAATATGTTAATTCAATATAGAAGTCCTATTTCATAACCAGGCTGTTTGACAAATACTTTTAATCTAGTAGTCATTGTAATATCTTGCTAGATTAATTTATAAAAATGAGTATACATTTGATTTGCTTTTAATGAAGTTGAAATAAATGCTTATGTCACTTGAATAAATATAAATCATTATATTCCTATTTTGTGAACATTGGGTATCTGAAGAAGGATATTTATTTGATCCAAAGTATAATGCTAAGTAGCTTTACTATCCCTTGTCTATTTAATGGTAGCAGAGTATTATTCAAAAATAATACCAGTAATTAAACAGTGGGAAAACTGGCTTCTTAAAACCCTTCTCATTTTGGTCAGCTTTATGCAATTATTAGCATCAGCTAAGATTTATTGATAGAGTAGCGGGGTTGCTATTTTAAGAGAGTGACAGCGTTACAATATTAAATACCACTCAGGACTTGCAAATCCATCTTGCCCTGTGAGACTAATTGCATCATGTCTTATCACCCTGTTTACCTCATCGTCAGCCAAATTTCCAAGACTCCTAAATCATACCTCATACTTGATTTCAATACTGTACTATATGTGTAATCCATCCCAGGTTCTTTATTCTTTCCAACTCTTCTAAAATCCTATCATTACCAGCAGTTGTGCCCCTCTAAACCTCAATTTCCAACATTATCACTCCAGCCTATCTTTCCAACTTGCTTTGTATAGTAGTCTCAGGCTATTTATACTTTTTCTCTATTCCTGTTACCTTCTTGTCTGTCCTTCCTTCCTTACCCATTCTAGATGCCAGAGTTCAAAATAATACTCTCTTGCCCTTTCTCTTCCTGTCAACCTTATCCACTAATTCTTAGCTGTCATTCTACCAATTGAACAGCACAGGAGAAAATAATACAATCAGGCTTTAAATGTATGGCCACGTACTTCAAATGGGCACTCAACATTGCTCAACAGTCCTTACTCTGCTCTCTTTAATTGGCTTTACCACATTTCCAGAGTATTATTGCATATAAATACCTCTTTCCTTGATTCTTTACCTTTGAGCTGATTGTCTAACCTCATAATTTTCTCATCTTCACCCTAAAATCTAACATGTTTCCTGCATCAAGACCAGCATTTTCTGATTTCTCTTTCAGTCCAATAGCAGATTTGTTTATTTAAGAACAATCACCCTACTAGTGATTAATGGGTTTTAATCCCATTATCTTTGATTTTCCTCTCCTGATTTTTATAGTCCATGTTAATTAAATAAGTAAATAAGTAAATAAATAGGCTTCCATTGACATCAAGTTCTCCTGAAACCACTGCCCTACCCATATAATTATCCATTCACTTTTACAGAGAATATATCAGAATAATCTTCTCAGGTTACTATCTCAACTTCTTTGCTTCCTTCCCTCAATGCAGCTCTGCCCCTACTATTTCATCAAAACTACTTTTATCAAAATCAACAGTCATTTAAGTAAAAACAGATTAGATTTGGCAACATAGCCTCTCAGTGGCATTTCATGCTTAAAATCCTCTGCTGGCATGTATTTGCTACTCTTCTGTGTCTTTTCCTTGGGTTCATTCCTAGTCTCTTTCTTTTCCTCAGTCAGTACTTTCACCTTAAGTAATTTCATCTAGTCCCATATAATAACTATTTCTGTGTTGATGATCTCAAATTTATAAACGTTCTGACCTTCACTTTGGACATCAGAACATTATAAATACTGCTGTATTGACGTTTCTAATAAGAATCTCAACTCTCAAAATAACTTGATTTGTCTCCCTTACCATTCTTTCTCTTCATCAAAGAAAAAGTAAACTTTGTCTTCCTATCTCAATGAAGTTACTTTTAACTACCCAACTATTCAAACCAAAACCTAACAGTAATTCCTGAATTATTTTCCTTTTAGCCAAACAGTAAATTCATCAACAATTCCTATAGATTCTACTGCCAAAATATGACCCACATCTGAATACTTTCTGCCACTTGCACTGTCTCTGTGACAATGTCAGTATAATTTCTCACACAGACAATTTCAACGGCCTCTTACAATGGCTTTTCAGCATTTATACTTTCCCTTCCACACTTTTTTCACTTAGCAGCCAACACTGTCTTGCTAAAGCATAAATCATACCATGTCACTCCCTTACATAAAACTCTCCAGTGACACACACTCTTAACCAGTGGGTCAAGGGACAACTCATAAGGGAAATCAGAAAATACTTTGACAAATGAAAATGCAACATACCAAAACGTGATCCGTTGAAAGCAGTGCTCGGAGGGATATTTATAGCTGTAAGCACCTACAATAAACAGTAAGAAAGGTATCAAATCAATAACCTTACTTTATACCTTAAAGAACTAGAAAAATTTAAAGCTGTCAGAATCGATGAAATAATGAAGAACTAGATCAGAGATAAACAGAACAGAAAAACAACACAGAAAATCAATAAAAACAAAATTTGGTCCTCTGAAAAGATCAAGAAAATAAACCTTTAGCAGACTGACTAAGATAAACAGAAGACTCAAATTACTAATGTGAGAAATGAAAGTTAGGGACATGACTACTGAAATTTCGGAAATAAAAAGGATTCTAGGAGAATACTATGAATAATTATATATCAATAAATTAGTTAACCTAGATGACATCGATAAATTCCTAAAAACACAAATTACCAACACCGACTCAAGAAGAAATAAAAAATATCAACAGACTTATAACATGTAAAGAGGTTGAATTAGTAATCGAAAACCTCCCAACAAAGAATTCTATCATTTAAATAATGCCAGTTTTTTTAATTTTTTCAAATTTATTTATTTATTTTTTAGAGACAGAGTCTCACTCTGTCACCCAGGCTGGAGTATGTTGGTCTGATCTTAGCTCACTGTAACCTCAAACTCCTGGGCTCAAGTGATCTTCCTGCCTCAGCCTCCTAAGTAAGCTTAGGACTCTAGGCACGTGCCACTATGCTCAGCTATTTAATATTTTCTAGAGAATGGGGTCTTGCTGTGTATCCCATGCTGGCCTTGAACTCCTGGCCTCAAGTAGTCCTCCTGCCTTGGCTTCCCAAATCACTGGAATTACAGGCATGAGTCACCATGCCCAGCCCAGTCCTTCTTAAACTCTTCCAGAAAACAGAAGAGGAGAGAACATTCCAAACCACACAATGGCGTCATTACACACTAATATTCTCTGTGAGTATAGATGCACAAACCCTCAACAAAATAGCAAACCAAATCCAGCTTCACATTAAAAGCATTCCATACCATGACCAAATGGATTTATCCCAGCCAAGCATGGGTGGCTTAACATAGGAAAATGAATGTAATATACCATATCAATAGAATGAGGGAAGAAAAAGAAATATTCTTAGTTGATGCACAAAAAGCATTTGACAAAATCCAATACCCTTTTATAATAACACTCAAAAAACTGGAAGTAGAAGGAAAATTCCAAAACATGATAAAGAGTACGTATGAAGCCCTATAGCTTACATAATACTCAATGGGGAAATACTAAAAGCCCCCCTGCCCTGCCAAGACCAGGAATAAGACAGGGATGCCTGCTTTCACTGCTTGTATTCAATATTGTACTAGAAGTTGTAGCTAGATCTAGAAATGATGCAAGAAAAAGAAAAAGATTTCCAAGTGGGAATGGGAGAAACGAAACTATTTCTCCTTACAGGTGATTTGATCTTATGTCTAAGCAATCCTACAGAGTCAAGAAAATCATTAGAAGCTAATACAAATTCAGCAAAGTTGCAAGATACAAGATCAACAGAAAAATCAGTTGTATTTCTATATAATAGAAATTAACAATACAAAAATGAAATTAAGAAAACAATGTCCTTTACAATAGCATCAAAAAGATTAAAATTCTTAGGAATAAATTTAACCAAGGGAGGTATAAGACTGAAAACTACAAAACATTGTTGCAAGAAATTAAAGATGGCCTAAATAAGTGGAAAGGTAATCCCATGGTCATGGATTGGAAGATTTGATATGTTAAAATGGCAATACTCCCTGAAATAGACTACAGATACAATACAATCCATATCAAAATCCTAATGGTCTTCTTGCAGAAATGGAAAAGCTAACCCTAAAAATCATATGAAAATGGAAGAGACCCAGCATAACCAAAAAACTCTAATGAATAAAGTTGGAGAACTCATACTTCCCAAATTCAAAATTTACGACAAACCTACATTATTGAAATTATGTGGTACTAGCATAATGATAGACCTCTAGACCAATAGAATGTAATTGTGTGTCTAGAAATAAATCCACCCATCTATGGTCACCTGAGTTTCATCAAGGGTATAAGACCATTCCATGGGGGAAAGTATAGTTTCTTAAATTGTTCTGGGACAATTGGACAAACACATGCAATATAATGAGGATGGAACCTTACTTCAGATCATGTACAGAAATTAATGGATTAGAGACCTAAATGTAAGAGCCAAAACTCTGAAACGCAGGAAAAAAATGCAGGAGTCAATCTTTATGACCTTGGATCTGGCAGTGGATTCTTAAATATGATACAGATACAAGCAATGGAAGAAACATTAGATAAATCGGACTGTAGCACAATTCAAAACTTTTGTGCATCAAAGGACACTCCCAAAAAGTGGAAAGACACCCTACAGAATGGGAGAAAATATTTGCAAATTGTATCTCTGAGAGTCTAGTATTCAAAATATATAAAGAAGTGTTACAACCAAACAACAAAACACAACCCAAATACAAATGGCCAAAGGACTTGAATAAGCATTTCTTCAGAGAAGACCTACAGATGGCCAGTAAGCACACAGAAAGATATTCAGCATGATTAGTCATTAGGGAAATGTAAATCAATACCATAATGAAATGCCACTTTATCCCCACTTGATACCTAGAATCAAAAAAACAATAAATTTTGGTGAGGGCGTGGAGAAATTGGAACTCTTGGACATTTCTGGGGCAGTATAAAAGAATGCAGCCACAGTGGAAAACAGTTTGGTGGTTCCTCAAAAAGTTAAACGTAAGAGTTACCATATGACCCAGCAATTCTATTAGGTATATGCCGAAAAGAATTTCTATTAGTCTGCTTTGGCATTGCTGTAAAGAAATACCTGATACAGCATAATTTATACATAATAGACGCTTAATTGGCTTGTGGTTCTACAGGCTTTATGGGAAGCATGGTGCTGACATCTGTTTACCTTCAAGGGAGGCCTCACAAAGCTTATCATGAGGGAAGGTGAAGAGGAAGCAGGCATGTTATATGGTGAAAGCAAGAGAAGAGAGGGAGGGAGAGAGAGAGGAGGAGGTGCCACACGCTTTTAAATGACCAGATCTCATGAGAGCTCACTCACTATTGTGAAGACAGCATCAAGTCATGAGGGATCAGCCCCTAGGACCCAAACACCTCCCACCAGGCCCTACCTCCCACATTGGGGATGATAATTCAGCATGAGATTTGGTGGGGACAAATATTCAAACTACATCATTCTACCCCTGGCCCCTCCCAAATCTTATATGCGTCTCACATTGCAGTATACAACCATGCCTTCCCAAGAGTTGCCCAAAGTCTTAACTCATTCCAGCGTTAACTCAAAAGTCCCAAGTCTAAAGTCTCATCTGAGATAAGGCAAATAAATCCCTTCCACCCATGAGCCTGTAACATCAAAGGCAGGTTACTTACTTCCAAGATACAATGAGGGTATAGGCATTGGGTAAATATTCCCATTCCAAAAGGGAGAAATCAGCCAAAAGAAAGGGGCAACAGGCACCATGCAAGTCCCAAACCCAGGAGGGTAGTCATTAAATCTTAAAGCTCTAAAATAATCCTTAACTCCATGTCCCACTTCTCATACATCTGAAATCTAGGTAGAGGGTGCCAAGCCTCATTCACTCTTGCACTCTATGCACCTGTAGGCTTAACACCACGTGGAAACCACCAAGGCTTACGGTGACTTGTGCTCTCCAGAGTGGTGGCATAAGCAGTATCTGGGGCCCTTTGAGCTGAGGCTGGAGCTGGAGTCAGGGATGTAAGGAGCAGTGTCCTGAGGCTGCACAGGATATGGGCCCTGGGCCTGGCCTACAAACCATTCTTCCACCCTAGGCCTCTGGGCCCCTTGTGGTAGGGGCTGCAATGAAAGTTCTCTGAAATGCCTTCAAGGCCTTTTCCCCATTGTCTTGATAGTAGCACTTGGTTCCCTTTTAGTTATGCCACTATCTCTAGTAAGTGGTTGCTCCACAGCCTGCTTGAATTCCTCTCCCAAAATAGCTTTTTCTTTCTCTGCCACACAGCCAGGCTGTGAATTTTCAAAACTTTTACTCTCCATTTTCTGTTTAAATATAATTTCCAATGTTGAGTCATTTCTTTGTTCCCACGTGGGAGCATAGGCTGTTAGAAGCAGCCACGTCACTTCTTGAACACTTTGCTGCTTAGAAATTTCTTCGACCAGGTACCTTAGGTCATCATTCTCAAGCCCAAACTTCCACAGATCCCTAAGGCATGAACAGAATGCATCCAGCGTAAAATGTGTGACCTTTGCTCCAGCTCCTTGTAAGTTCCTCATTTCCATCTGAGACCTCTTCAACCGAGACTTCACTGTCCATATCACTATCAGCATTGTGGTCACAACCGCTTAACCAATCTCTAAGAAGCTGCAAGCTTTCCCTTATCTTTTTTTTTTATTATTATACTTTGTTTTAGGGTACATGTGCACATTGTGCAGGTTAGTTACATATGTATACATGTGCTATGTTGGTGTGCTGCACCCATTAACTCGTCATTTAACATTAGGTATATCTCCTAATGCTATCCCTCCCCCTTCCCCTACCCTACAACAGGCCCTGGTGTGTGATGTTCCCCTTCCTGTGCCCATGTGTTCTCATTGTTCAATTCCCACCTATGAGTGAGAACATGCGGTGTTTGGTTTTTTGTCCTTGTGATAGTTTGCTCAGAATGATGGTTTCCAGCTTCATCCATGTCCCTACAAAGGACATGAACTCATCATTTTTTATGGCTGCATAGTATTCCATGGTGTATATGTGCCACATTTTCTTAATCCAGTCTGTCATTGTTGGACATTTGGCTTGGTTCCAAGTCTTTGCTATTGTGAATAGTGCCACAATAAACATATGTGTGCATGTGTCTTTATAGCAGCATGATTTATAATCCTTTGGGTATATACCCAATAATGGGATTACTGGGTCAAATGGTATTTCTAGTTCTAGATCCCTGAGGAATCACCACACTGACTTCCATAATGGTTGAACTAGTTTACAGTCCCACCAGCAGTGTAAAAGTGTTCCTATTTCTCCACATCCTCTCCAGCACCTATTGTTTCCTGACTTTTTAATGATCGCCGTTCTAACTGATGTGAGATGGTATCTCATTGTGGTTTTGATTTGCATTTCTCTGATGGCCAGTGATGATGAGCATTTTTTCATGTGTCTTTTGGCTGCATAAATGTCTTCTTTTGAGAAGGGTCTGTTCATATCCTTCGCCCACTTTTTGATGGGGTTGTTTTTTCTTGTAAATTTGTTTGAGTTCATTGTAGATTCTGGATATTAGCCCTTTGTCAGATAAGTAGATTGCAAAAATCTTCTCCCATTCTGTAGGTTGCCTGTTCACTCTGATGGTAGTTTCTTTTGCTGTGCAGAAGCTCTTTAGTTTAATTAGATCCCATTTGTCAATTTTGGCTTCTGTTGCCATTGCTTTTGGTGTTTTAGACATGCAGTCCTTGCCCATGCCTATGTCCTGAATGGTATTACCTAGGTTTTCTTCTAGGGTTTTTATGGTTTTAGGTCTAACATTTAAGTCTTTAATCCATCTTGAATTAATTTTTGTATAAGGTATAAGGAAGGGATCCAGTTTCAGCTTTCTACATATGGCTAGCCAGTTTTCCCAGCACCATTTATTAAATAGGGAATCGTTTCCCCATTTCTTGTTTTTGTCAGGTTTGTCAAAGATCAGATGGTTGTAGATATGTGGCATTATTTCTGAGGGCTCTGTTCTGTTCCATTGGTCTATATCTCTGTTTTGGTACCAGTACCATGCTGTTTTGGTTACTGTAGCCTTGTAGTATAGTTTGAAGTCAGGTAGGCGTGATGCTTCCAGCTTTGTTTTTTTGGCTTAGGATTGACTTGGCAATGCGGGCTCTTTTTCAAGTGGGCGTCATCCCTGGGATGCAAGGCTGGTTCAACATATGCAAATCAATAAACGTAATCCAGCATATAAACAGAACGAATGACAAAAACCATATGATTATCTCAATAGATGCAGAAAAGGCCTTTGATAAGATTCAGCAACGCTTCATGCTAAAAACTCTCAATAAATTAGGTATTGATGGGACGTATCTCAAAATAATAAGAGCTATCTATGACAAACCCACAGCCAATATCATACTGAATGGGCAAAAACTGGAAGCATTCCCTTTGAAAACTGGCACGAGACAGGGATGCCCTCTCTCACCACTCCTATTCAACATAGTGTTGGAAGTTCTGGCCAGGGTAATCAGGCAGGAGAAGGAAATAAAGGGTATTCAGTTAGGAAAAGAGGAAGTCAAATTGTCCCTGTTTGCAGATGACATGATTGTATATCTAGAAAACCCCATTGTCTCAGCCCAAAATCCCCTTAAGCTGATAGGCAACTTCAGCAAAGTCTCAGGATACAAAATCAATGTGCAAAAATCACAAGCATTCTTATACACCAATAACAGACAGAGAGCCAAATCATGAGTGAACTCCCATTCACAATTGCTTCAAAGAATAAAATACCTAGGAATCCAACTTACAAGGGACATGAACTACCTCTTCAAGGAGAACTACAAATCACTGCTCAATGAAATAAAAGAGGATACAAACAAATGGAAGAACATTCCATGCTCATGGGTAGGAAGAATCAATATCATGAAAATGGCCATACTGCCCAAGGTAATTTATAGATTCAGTGCCATCCCCATCAAGCTACCAATGACTTTCTTCACAGAATTGGAAAAAACTACTTTAAAGTTCATATGGATCCCTTATCTTTCTTTCTTCTTCTGAGCCCTCCTCACTCTTCTAATCTCTTAACCAGTTCCAAACCTGCTTCCACATTTTCAGGTACCTTTATAGCAATGTCCCACTCCTCAGTACCAACTTTCTGTATTAGTCCATTCTTACATTGATACAAAGAAATATCTGAGACTGGGTAATTTACAAATAAAAGAGATTTAATTGGCTCACAGTTCTGCAGGCTTTACAGGAAGCATGGTGCTGGCACTTGTTTGGCTTCTAGGGAGGCCTCAGGAAGCTTACAATCATGGTGGAAGGTAAAGAGAAAGCAGGCAAGTCACATGGCAAAAGCAGGAGCAAGCAAGAGAGTGAGTTGCAGGGGCAGATGCCACTGATTTTTAAATGACCAGATCTTGTGAGAACTCACTATTGTGAAGACAGCACCAAGCCATGAGGGATCCACTCCCGTGACCCAGACAAATCCCACCAGGCTCCACCTCCAGCACTGGGTATTACAATTCAACATGAGATTGGGGTAGGGACAGATATCTAAAATATAGCAGAATTGAAAACAGATTGAACAAACACTTGGATGAGAATGTTCACAGCAATACTATTCACAATAGTCAAAAGGTGGAAACAACCCAAATAGCTGTCAACTGATGATAAATAAACATAATGTGGTATATATCCATACAGTGTAATATTATTCAGCTATAAAAGGAAAGGAGTATATAGTCATGCTACAATGTGGATGAACCTCAAAAACATTCTAAGTGAAAGAATGAGACACACAGGTCATATATTTTAGGATTTCATTTATATGAAATGCCCAGAATAGGTAAATCCACAGGGACAGAAAGCAGATTAGTGGTTGCCAGGGGATGAGGGAAAGGAAGAATGGGGAGTGACTGCTTAAAAGTTATGTTGTGATGAAATGTTTTGGAGCTAGATAGAGGTGAGGTGGTAGTTACATAACATTGTGAATGTACTAAATGCCACAGAATTATACTACTTTAAATGCCTTATTTTATTAATCTGCCTTTCATCTGAATTATTAAAACTTATTAAAACCAAGCCTTTATATCACGGGCTAGAAGGCCCCACATGAGCTGACCTCTGCCTCCCTTTACCCTTATTTTGTACTCCTTTCCGCCTTGTTGAGTATGCCTCAAGCATTACTTGAACAATCTCACTTTTTTCTAACTCTTTGGTTTTGAGATTCCATTTTCCTGGAAACTCTTGCTGTTTTTCACGTGTCCATTTAAGTGGTAATTCTTTAGAGAGCACTTCCCTCACCATCCAATTAATGTTACTATTTCTGTCTATCATATAGCAGTTTTTGGTATCTGAAATTTCTTTATTTCTGCCTTGCCTCCACAAACTCCACTTCTGTAAATTCTGTGTGGTAGGAAACTTGTATGTCTTATTCATCACAATTTTCAGAAGCTAAAAGAGTGTCTGGAAAAGTAGGCTTACAACAATGTGAATGAACAAAGTAATGAATACGGCAGTTTTTTTTTTGTTGTTTTTTTTTTTTTTTTTTTTTGAGACGGAGTCTCGCTCTGTCGCCCAGGCCGGACTGCGGACTGCAGTGGCGCAATCTCGGCTCACTGCAAGCTCCGCTTCCCGGGTTCACGCCATTCTCCTGCCTCAGCCTCCCGAGTAGCTGGGACTACAGGCGCCCGCCACCGCGCCCGGCTAATTTTTTGTATTTTTAGTAGAGACGGGGTTTCACCTTGTTAGCCAGGATGGTCTCGATCTCCTGACCTCATGATCCACCCGCCTCGGCCTCCCAAAGTGCTGGGATTACAGGCGTGAGCCACCGCGCCCGGCCAATACGGCAGTTTTAAGTAGGAATTTACTAAGTTCAAAGCGAACTAATGTGTCTCCTAAAATTCAAGTCCTATATGGTGTCAGCATTTTCATTGTAATTGATAAAGTATTAACCAGCCATTTGAACATCTATTATATGATATGCACTGAGCTCAAGTCTAGATACACAAATGAGTAATAAATGAACCCTTCCATGGTGTTACAGCTCTTTTAGAATATGTCTAGCAGGTTTTTCAGTTTTCACCAGAATGCCCACCTCAAAACAGAGATGAACTCCCTACTTAAAAATGAGGATATGTGTGCTTTTAATGTCATGCAGAATCATACAGATTTCCATTTCATTGGACCCTTAGAGGAATCATATAGGCAAATCAAATGTACATAGACTTCATTGTTAAGACAATGTATTTGTAATGGTTAGCTTTAGTTTTTCTATTTAAAGGCGCATGAAAATATTCTGAATTGACGTCTACAGGAGAACAACATTTTAGGAATACAGGTGTGTTGAGTGACATCAATATGTTGTACCATCTTGAGCTTTAGATAATATACTTTTAGCTTATGCTGTGATAGCAACAATTTTAAATAAAAGGAACTTGGAGGAGTGGAAGTCACACTAATGAAACACTTGCCTTTAATAATGATGAGGCTTTATTTACCTAATTTGATGTACATTTTGTACAAGTCAAATACAAAGACAATTGGGTTTATAAATGAGTATTGAAATTTGGAATAGATTTGAAGTTAAAAGGTTTTAAGCTTATTTAAAAACAATTTAGCTATTTGACTTCTGTGTAATTCATTTCTAAAATGTTCTATTATATGTTTATTTAAATTTTTTAAGTTCAGAGCAAGATCTAGCAAAGTTTGTCCTGAGGGGCTATACAGAAAATGTCGTAGGCTTTGTGGCCCAGAAGGCAAATTTCAGAGTATCACGTCGGTGCTTATTATAATCATTTCAATTGTAACCATTTAAATATATAAAAACCATTCTTAGCTTACTGGCCACTAAAAGGGCAGGGGCTGGCCAGATTTGGTCTGTGGGCTGTAGTTTGCAGACTTCAAGTTCGGAAGGGAAATCTTATAGATCAGAACTCTCTGTTCTTTATTATAAAATTTTTCCTTAGTTTATCTTACTGTTTCACAGAAATAGTGATTTAAATCAATTTTGCATAGCAGAGGCTAATGAGTATATTAATTAATATAGCTAAAATTCTTGATTGTTCTATTTTAAACATATTAAAAATAAATGATCATTGTAGCTAATGACTTAAATTTCTTACCTGGATTGTAATCTAACACCCTGGTGTAGGTTTACCGCATGTCCTCAACCAAATAGAGCTGTAAGGTGGTAACTGTCCCAGAAGTACACATGGAAAAGGACATGGAAGAGAAGAAATTTTACGTTAGTATAGCTAGGCAGAAACCTAAATACTAAATTCTACAGCCATTACTGTAGTGATCTCATTGCCACCAAATCGTAGTATTATGGATGGCCAACACCAACTTAAAAGGCCAGCAGATCCTTTAAATGAATAATAGATGGAGTGGTTTTCATACAGCATTTAATTCAACATGAAATTTGTAGTCTACAGTGACAAATTCTGCCAACTCTGAGTTCAGTGCCTAGTGTTGAGCTTCACAGTTGCTGGAGTTAGTTCTTTAACCATTCTGTTACCACCTATTAACAGTTAAACCACATACAGTTAGTGTATAAGTTTCTTATCTAATTAAAACTTAAAGTATGGAAGAATCATATATGCTATGAATAAACAAGTAGAATTTTGAGCAAAATAAAATACCAGCAAATAATATCAACAAACAAATCTAACTTGGAATGTAAAAATTGAAGCAAGATGATAGGTGGTTCTGGAGATTGTGCTTTCTGCCACATCAGGTGTCACCATTATAATTAAGAAGTAGGCTATCTGGAAAGCAGAGAATGGACTGGTGGTATAGACCAGTCTTTTAGGGAACACACCTGAATTGTAGTAATACATTCAGTGTATGTATTTTTGAGAAGGGATAATAAACTGCATTTAGAAAGGAATAATACACATATGTAACATGTCTGCAACTTGAAACATTAAATTATTGTCATATGTACCATATATCCAGATTTCTTTCCTCCCATTGCTTAGTAAGAAAACTGAATTTTTAGAATTTCCCCATTTATATCTTTAAGATTTACAGTTGAGATTAAAAACTTTGAAAAGGTTTTTTAAGAAAATTTTTATTACTTTAAAAATACTGCTCTATTTTCATAGAACTATGGAACTGCTAACCAGTACTTTCTGTTGTTCATTCGAACAAACATTTTTTGTTTGAACTAGTAGTATGTTCCTAGTATCATCACTGTAAATAAATTTGCAGCTAAATAAGCAAATGGGATTTATAGAAATCTACTTTTTGAAAATATTTTTCATATATTCAGTTTCATATGTTCACTTGCTTACGAATATCTTCTGAGATGTTTTCATATGAAAAATGGAGAAAAAGGTCTCTGGAAAAAAACTAGACAAATGGGTATCGGAAGCATATAGTAATAGCAGTTTTAATAGTACGATTAGGATTTTGCATTTCTGAGCTTGAATTTGTTGTTGAAGGACTGTAGGTACATAGCTAAAAACTTTGACTTTACTTCCAATGTATAATAAATGTAGGCCTGTAATTACCATATCTTTCCACAAGGTGGATGTCTTGATGTTAGGTTCTTCCTCCCCGCTCCCACCACCATTTCAATTGTCAAAAAATTACTTAGGTGATATGATTTCAAAGTCTCTTTATTTTATTTTTATATTTTTTGAGACAGGGTCTTGCTCTGTTGCCCTGGTTGGAGTGCAGTGGTGCAATCACGGCTCACTATGGCCTTAACCTCCCGGGCTCAAGTGATCCTGCCACCTCAGCCTCCCTAGTAGCTGGGACTACAGGCGCATACCACCATGCCCAGCTAATTTTTTGTTTTGTAGAGATGGAGTTTCGCTATGTTGCCCAGGCTGGTGTCGAACTCCTGGACTAAAGCAATCCACTCATCTCGGCCTCCCAAAGTGCTGGGATTACAGGCATGAGCCACCATGCCCAGCCCCCTTTAAATTTTTTTAGAAATACTTTTTACAAAGTCATATAATGTAGTATTTCCTCTATTACATTAGCTTAAAAGTTACTAGATGTTTCTAGAAGATATTTAATTTCCTCTCACTAAATTACTAACATGCTTGTAAAAATGTTTTGAACTCCTTAAAAACAGAACTTATGATTTAAATATTCATGGTTGCTTTAATAATTTTTTCTGAAAATAGGGGCAAATGATTTGTAAATTTATTGCATAAAAAGCTCATTATTGAATACTAGTAATGAAGAATTCTGATAATTCATATATACTGTTATTCAGTAGGACAAATAGTTTTTTCTAAATCTGTTGGCTGTTAAGTATATAAACTTTCTCTTCAAATTATAAATATATGCAAATGCGTGTACATATACATGTATGTCATCAGTGTAATATGACTTGTGAATTGCTTTTTAATTTTATTCCTCTAACTTGATAGTTGTGATGTGCAGGTGGAGAGTAAATATACTTGATTCAATTTTAGTTTATCTCTTAACCCTTATAATACCTGATAAGAACATGAAATATGTAAGTATAGAGTAATAGTTTGTGCATAATAAAAACACAATGGTAGAAGTTAGATACTATTGCCACAAATTTTGATTTAAGTGAATATGTCTGCTGGTTTTAGGATATCTTAGAACCTTTGAGTCTGAACCAGTCCAAACCCTCCTTTGGTTATCCTGCACTTTACCTTTTTAGTTTTATTATCCACTAGTTATGGGACTTGGGGAAAAAACTAAATATATGTCCCATCTAACCAGGTCATTTCTAACTATAGGATCTGCCTGGTTCTTTTGTTAAGCAGTACTGATCTTTTGTACTTTGGGGGCCAAGGTGGTTTCTAAACAGTAGCACCTTTTCCTTTTCTGTTTCATAGTAAATATATTAATATTTCTATGTGAGGGAAATTGAAATCTTAGTTTTACATAATTTGGGCTCCCATTAATATTTTAAATTGAATATTAAATACAGAGAGCTTCTAATATGTTGCTTAAGATAGAAAAGAGGTAAAGTTTTGGCTACAAATAATGGGTTATGAATAACAGAAAATATATAATGTATATATATATATATATATCAAATCCTTTAAATTTAACTGACTTCTAATTAGAAAGGATTTAGATACATTTCACAAACAAATTGAGGCTCAGAGAAGTCAACTGATTCACAGAAGGTTACAGAGCAGCTAAGAGGTAGAGCTGGAATTTTTCTACCATAACAATTTCTTATTAAAAAAAACTATAATTCAATGAATAGTGTGTTTTGCTAGTCTCTAGGACTGATCATAAGTCACTTTGGACAAAGTGCTAACATAAAGACTTGGCAGTTTCTGTGGGCGTCTGACCCAGTAGCAGTCTTAAGTAGAAAAGGAAAAATAGTGGAAAGCAATGAGGTAGCATATGTGGCAAGAAGTCATAGAGGACACTCAGTTGCTCCAGGTGCTACCTGGCAACCATATCAGTAGCTAACATTTATTGGATTCCCAGAACGTCCTCAGCAATGTGCCAGCACTTTAGCTACTTTGTCTTATTTAGATACTACAGCAATGTTGTGTGAGAGAGATATGACCATACTATAGAAAAAACAAGTAACTTGTTGAATAGCACAGAGCTTGGATTTGTGCACAAGTTCTGCAAGCTCTGAAAGTCATGCTCCAAGTTACTGTGCTTCCTGCCTCACCAGTATACCAGGAGGGAAGGAGGAGGGAAGGCTCATCTCTGTAAGGACACTTATTTGAAAGCCAATTAAAAATATTTTTCAGGGAACATGTATTGTTAGTTTCCCCCTTTGTGCCAAGATTTTCACCTTTGTGCTGGGGTAAATTTCCTTTCTTTAACAGTGTTTGCAGAGGTGAGCTTAAAAATACTCTAAAGAGGCATACTTTTCATTTTGATAGAATTTTTCAACAAATTATTGCTTATTTCTTGGTTAAAGGCACTCAATTTGATTTTCTAAGGCACAAACCAAACACATAAAAAGTTGGAATTCTCATTCATGTGTTTGGATTCTGATCGTTCACAAGTAAAAATTGACTTGTTTCACAGATCCCTGTTCTAAAGTACCACTCATCCCAACCACAAGAAAATGTAAAGCCTGGGTTAATTTCCTGCAATAAGTAGTCATTTAATTAAAGAACAAAATTAACAGGAATCAAAATGTTGCAGCTGTATTTTTTGTTAGACATTATATAAAAAAGGAAAAGTATAATACAGTAAATCATCTTGTATAACATGAACTTAAAGAGTTTTCAAATTAATTATGATCAGGATAAAAATGTCTTTTGAACATAATACTGAATGACACTGTCACATGTCCCTCATGTCAGAGGCCTGGGAGTGGTGAGCCTGCACATGCACGTTGCCCGTCCTCCATTACACTGCAGAACTGTAAAACAAGGTTGAAAGGCAAACAACAGTTTTCTTCTGATAGAGTTATGTTGGGTCTTAACTGACCCCAACAGTTCACACTCCTCAGACACCAAAGAAGGAAGGAAGTGTGTCCTCTGGTTACTCCTCTTGCAGGTAAGTGTGGTCAAGATTGCACCTGTGTGTGTGATCCTACTCTTCTCACAAACACAGCAGGTAGGGTAGTCTTGAGCTGAACTTCAGGAAAGTTCCCTGATGAATGTTCAGTGTTGGTATCAAAAAATTAAACACAAATTCTTCTCAGAAGAAAATCTCTATGGCCTGTGGAATCTAGAGATTATAAAAAAGACAAAGAATTTAAGGTTATTCATTTCTAGCAGTTAAAATAGCCAAAAACCTTATACAAATAAATTTGCTGCTATTAAAAAGATTCTCAGAAGTCCCATATGTAAAACATGAGGATGGAGCTACTCTGGTTAAAATAGGGTAGAGTCTCAGAGGGCTCCCCACTCTCAGGCCCCTGTTATATGCTGAATTCTTAGGACTATCTAGAACTTAGTTTTAAACCTGTGAGTTAAAAGCCCTTGAAGTACACAGAAAGGCCAGGGCTTTGCTAAATCAGTAGAAATGATGAATTTGTTAATAAATTATTGAAAATTATAGTAGAGTTATGACTTTTTGTAGAGTAATATGTTCATAGTAATTTTAAAACTCTTAAAATCTCATAACCAAAAATACCGTTCTGACTCTTGAATTGTTGAAATAATTTTAGGGTCTTTATACCACATTTTAAGTATTAGAGTCATTATTTTAGAAAGCTATCAACTTAGGACAATAAACATCTTTACTAAACATTTAATAATGTATAATCGGAAAATGTACAAAATTGAGATTGCAATATATAGAATATGTATTCATTCTATTTAAGACAGAATGAACATTAAATGTAATTGTGCATGATTTACTGAAACTGTTTTTCCTAAACATTCATATGACCTATTCCTCCATATGACCTATTCCTCCCCAAAAGTATGTTAGTCATGGGAGGGAACCTTAAAAAACAAACTCTTTGCATAATTTTTTCCTATTCATCCAACTTTCCCTTCCCCTTGATATATTCACCCTAAAACCATTGGTTAAGGTGGAATTCCATTGTACTTAGTTTCTGTTCTATAGCCACATTAATCTTACAGAGTAAATCTTTCAGATAACAATTGCAGTGGCCACTTTGGAACAAACAGAAAACTAAAGCTATTATTTTAGTTTAAGGCAGTATCTATATGCAGGATTTCCTTTCTCTTTGTATGTGGGCCTTGAGCATCTTCAGATAAAGGAGAAGACAAAGCAACTGATACAGTTGAAGGCTTGTTGCATCACAGTCATCTGCTTTAGAATCAGAGATGTTTGAGAACTTCACATAATTACTACCGGTCATGGCCATGGAAAAGAAGTGGGGGGAAATACTGAAAAAATATGCAGTTCAATAAGTAAAGAGAGTTAAATCTTTTCCCAACTTCGTCATCACTAAGAAGCCCAGTGTCATCCCTTGCATATCATAGCATAGACAGAGAATATATTCATCTTAATGGGAAAAGTCTTGATTATGGGAGAATCAGCCAATATATTCCCAATGGGACATAAACTCCATGAAGATGGGAGCCTCCTTTATCATATTCACTATTGCATTCTCAGCACTTACTCAAATATTTACTGAGGAAACAAATACTCAGCTTTAGGAGAACGCTGGCTGTGTTAAAGATGTGACTAATAATTTACGATAGGAAAAAGTAAATGTGAAGGTGGGGAGTGACTAATTTCACAAAAATCTGTAAGTATAAACAGGTGAGTTCTATAAATTGGAGGAATTCTGAATATTAGAGGGGAATTAAATACACAGAAAAATTACTTTCATTGCCTTGAGGCTTATTTTTGTTAAATATGCATTAACTACTTAAATAAACCGATATTGTTACCATACATATCACCTTTCACCAAGTCCTAAAGGAAATAATGGGAGCAGGCAGCATTCTTACTTGAGGTACATTCTATTTGTTCAATAGAGTTCTCTGGAAAAATGCTGAATTTGTATAGCTGGATACATGGTTTGTGGCGGGGGACGGGGGAAGGCGGTGTGTGTTTCAAAAATAAGTACCATGAAATTCACAGAAACAAATCTGACCTTGTCAAGTGCTTGCTTGATGCATGTACCTCCATTTCATTACTTTTGTACTCATTTAATTCTTTACGAATTGCTGCCTGAAATTTAAAAACAAGACATTGTTTTACAGGATATTAAAAAAATCAGGAAATTAGCATCGTGTTTATAAATTAACCATTCCTAATCCTTGTTGACTCTATTATGTAATATACAGAAAAAAACAAACAATTTTTTGGTTCATCATTAAAACTGCCATACTCATTATTATAGTCCTACCAAGCTAGTATGTAGCTAATATTCTGGAAGTCTTTGTAAAAATTTTATTGATACATAATATTTGTACATATATACAGGGTACATGTGATATTTTGTTATATGCATAGACTGTGTGATGATCAAGTATTTAGGATGTCTACCTCCAGTATTTATCATTTCTATGTGTTGGGAACATTTTAAGTCCTCTCTTCTAGCTGTTTTGAAATATACACAACATAGTTGTTAACTGTAGTGACCCTACTCTGCTATAGAACATTAGAACTTATTCCTTCTAATTGTATGTTACTACTGGTTAACCAACCTCTCTTTCTCTCCCCAAACCCTGCCACCCTTCCCAGCCTTTGGTATCTATCATTCTACTGTCTACCTCCATGACATCAACTTTTTTGATCCCACATGAGTGAGAACATGCGATATTTGTTTTTCTGTGCCTGGCTTATTTAACATAATAACATCCAGTTCCATACATGTTGTCAAAAATGACTGGATTTTCTTAAGGTGGAATATTCCATTTTGTGTGGCTGTGTATACACACTGTATTCACATATACATATATACACGCACTACATTTTCTTTATCCATTAATCTATTGATGGACACTTGGATGATTTTGTATCTTGGCTATTGTTAATAATGCTGCAGTGAACAGGGGAGTACAGATATCTCTTCAATGTACTGATTTGATTTCCTTTGCGTGTATACCTAGAAGTGGCATTTCTGGATCATATAGTTTTTAAACAATATTTTGAGGAGTCTCCATACTGTTTTCCATAATGGCTGCATTAATTTACATTCCCATCAACAGTATATAAAAGTTCACTTTTCTCCTAATCCTTTCCAGCATGTTTTTATTTTTTTAATAACTATTCTAACTGGAATAAGATGATATCTCATCGTGGTTTTGATTTGCATTTCCCTGTTGATTAATGATGTTGAGCATTTTTTCCATATACCTGTTGGCGATTTGTATGTCATCTTTTGAGAAATGTCTACTCATGTCTTTTGTCTACTTTCTAATGGGATTATTTGTTTTGTTTTTTGACTGTTGAGTTCCTTGTATATTCTGGATATTAGTCCCTTTTTGGATGAATAGTTTGCAGATATTAATATTTTCTCATATTCCCTGTTGTCTCTTTACTCTGTTGATTTGTTGTGTAGAAGCTTTGTAGTTTAATATAGTCTCATTTGTTTATTTTGGTTGCTATCTGTGCTTTTGAGGTCTTAGCCATAAAATGTTTGCCTAGACCAATGTCCTGGACTGTTTCTTCTGTGTTTTCTTTTAGTGGTTTTATAGTTTGGGGTCTTACATTTAAGTCTTTATTCTTCAAGTTGATTTTTGTATATAGTAAGAAATAGGGGTACAGTTTCATTCTTTTGCCATATGGATATCCAATTTTCCCAGCACCATTTATTGAAGAGTGTCCTTTCCCCAGTTTATGTTCTTGGCACCTTTGTCAAAAATCAGTTGGCTGTAAATAAGTGAATTTTTTCTGGGTTTTCTATTCTTTTCCATTGGTCTATGTGTCTTTTATACCAATATTATGCTGGTAGTATAACCTTATAATACATTTTGAAGTTAGTGTGATGCCTCCAGCTTTGTTCTTTTTGCTAAGGATTACTTTGGCTATTCAGGTTCTTTTTGGGTTTCACATGAATTTTAGGATGGCTTTTACTATTTTTGTGAAAAATGACATTGGTATTTTGATAGGGATTGCATTGGTCATTTTATGGTCATTTTAGCAGTATTAGTCCTTTCTATCCATGAGCATGAGATATCTTTCCATTTGTGTGTGGCCTCTTCAATTTCTTTCATCATTGTTTTGTAGTTTTCCTTGTAGAGGTCTTTCACCTCCTTGGTTCAATTCATTTTCAGGTATTTTTGGTACCTATTTTAAATAAGATTGCCTTCTTGATTTCTTTCTTAGCTAGTCCATTATTAGTTTATAGAAATGCTACTAATTTTTGTGTGATTTTGTGTATCCTATGGCTTTAGTGAATTTATCAGATCTAAGTTTTTGGTGGAGTCTTTAGGTTTCTCTAGGTATAAGATCATATTGTCTGTAAAGAGGGATAACTTGACTTTCTCTTTTCCAGTTTGGATGCCCTTTCTTTCTGTTGCTCGATTGCTCTGGCTAGGACTAGTATTATGTAAGTGTTCCATTCATTAATTTGCTGAACTGTAGTGGGAAGACAACCCTTCCCCAAACTCCGTTCACTCCATACCTAAACGGACCAAGCACATGCTTAGGGCACTAATGAAACAGGAACACCAAGATAATGAGTAAACTTCAGCTTTTGGTGAACTTGGAATTTTATAATCAGAGATAATCTAGAAATAAGCCTTTCTAACTTCAGCATACATTAATATTTTGGCTTCCCCAGGCCCACTTGCATCATGTACTTCTTTCTCAGATAAACACTCGAGGGACCTGATGAGACTGAAAACATCAAACACAGCCTCTGGGACAAGGAAAGTCTTTAAGAACTTTAGGGGTATATTATTCTCATACTCAAACACATCTGCAGACCACCAAAGATACTTCTCCTCGCATCACTGTGATCCTCTGGGCACATCAGTCACAAAGAACCAGGCAAGTTAGTCCAACACGTTCACATTTCTCCAAGTTGATGCAATATCTGTGTACATACTCATACTCAGCATATGAAGAATGAAGAACAATTAGCAAATTCCTTGCCTGAATGTATAATTTTTCTCTTCCTAAAGGCTTTAAGTCTTCTGAAAATTAATAGAAGCAAGAAGGTGACAAAACTCTATGGACACTCTTGGGCTTAAATCTTGCCAGTCAAGTGTTTGATCACAGACAAGAACTGACCCTCTCTGTGCTCACCAAATGTCATGCAGAGACTCTATGACCTACTACCTCCTTGTGTTCTTCCTGCCTCTCTAGCTGTTCAGTTCAGACTTCTTAGGAGGTTCTCAGAGATACCTCAAACTGCACAAGTCCAGGGGGAGAATCTAGAACCTTTTCTATACTGTAGAGGCTTTCTTGAATGCCTCTTTGTCCCCACTGTAGCTCTTTTTGTTTAAACTTGTCAGTTGATCTCTTATGGCAGCCTTGCCCACCTTTGATTTATCCCTTATACCAAGGTTTCTCAATTTCCACAGTCTTGACATTTGGTACTAGATAATCCTTTGTTGTGGGGGCTGTTATGTGCATTGTGAGATGCTGAGCAGTGTCCCTGGCCTCTACCAGGAGATGCCAGTAGCATCCCGAGTTGTGACAATCAAAAATGTCTCTAGACATTGCCAAATGTCCCTCGGGGCAAAACTGTCACCTAGCTGAGAACCACTTCTCAATCTGACCCTGAATTATCTTTGAGAAACCAATATTTACTGCAGTATACCCTTAAATAGTTGAGGGCTCCCATTGTCTATGAATAAACTCCCTGGCATGACATATTTTGCCTTTATTATATCATCCAACACCCCCCACCAGCACAGGCAGTTAGGTACCTTATCTGCTGCTGACAGTCTCGTCCAGGGTTTGTCTGCCCTCCTGTCATAGTCCTGCGCTTTTGCTACTTCCACGTAATCACTGAATCGTATCAGAATTTTTCTGTCTCTTAATTCATCAACAGTGGGTCTCTGATTAAGCTAAAATTAAAGATCATCATAGTTAAGTATCACATGCCAAACTAGCTTTTTTGAAGTACTCTGAACAAACAGCACTTCTCTTAAAAAACAAAACAAAACAAAAAAAACCTGAAACTGGAAAATATAACCCAAATACAAGCAATCTCTAATGTGAAGGGCTGAAATTATATACTGTACTCTTAAATCACAATCCCCCTTCCTCCAACATATTTTATCAGAAGGAGTCACACCCCCAGTAGTACATAGCACCAGCTCAAGGAATGGTTAGTGAATTAACTTAGATTTTATGGCATCACTGGCTTCAGATACAATTAGATAAGCTTTTTAAAAGTACTAATAAAGTTATTATATGTCCAGCTTAGGAAGGATATTCTGTTAATTTCAAGAGAATTATTATGGAGCAGCACAACGAAGAAGGGGAATCCAGAACACTTGAATTTAGAAATGGTCAAGGCTTTAAAAGTAGATTAAGATTTATAGAGTTGCTACCTGTATTGGCCATAGTAAATGTTAACTGTTTGAGTCACAGAGAACAAACCTTTGAGTCTAATAAAGCTTTCTGCAACTGAGGAACTTCTAGACATATTGGAGGTGAACAAAAGCGATGAGTGTAAAATGTGACTAAAACACTGATACCCAGGTATGCTTTTCCTAGACACTGTAAATTAAGAAAATGCCAATCAACTTCTGGCTTCCACCTGAACATAAGTAAAAAATGTCATGTGCATTGTGCACCTCTCCAAGTGCTACCGTGCTAGGGAAGGACTTCGTCCATAGGGAACGTCAGAGGGAGTTAATTCATTGTTGCTGAGCAAATATCCTGATTTAACTGATGCCATGATGTCCAGGAGAACATTATTCATGATCACAGAGTGATACCTAGCATTACCCATCCCACCTGCTACCGAAGCAGCTGTTCTCTAGACCACCTTTTATTATTCAGGCAATAAAATGCTTATACTACCTTTCTTGTCAATCTTTGCTTGATTTCTCTTCTTTCTTCCTGCTCTGTCTGATCATTCCTTTCTGTGAAAGATTAAAATAGGAAAAAAAAAATAACAAAGAGAAACAGGTTGAAACGTTCTTCTCTTCAGCAGGGAAGTGTTCCCAAGATATCCATATTTCTGGGAGCTGAAGTTAATTCCACATCACTCATGGTGTTTTCTTCCCACTTTGTCAGTCACTGCTCAGGAGATCATGGTCTCATTACACAGAAATACTTGTACTAAGCAAAGCTTTGCTGTCATCCCAACCTGGTCTCCTCAGCCCTTCTGTGCATTAGAAACAACCACAGATATGGCTGCTGTTTGTTTAAGGAAGTAGACACCTCTGTGTCTGTCTTTCTCCCCAAATATCTTTATATTTACATCTAGCACTTAGATGCCACATAAAAAAAGCTGTAGTAGACTAAGTAAATAAATGTATATGTACATTTCAATATAAATAGCACTGCCACTAATTTTTTTCCTTAATAAGCGTACAGACTTTTTAACCAACATAAAACATGGAACACCTTCTTCAGCTCCTGGGCAGCATATGCTTGCCTGGAATTTATATGTTCAGACTATATTTCAAATCTTAACACATCTATGAACCTCGCTGACTCTCCATTGCTGAAGCGTGAACACTGTTATATGACAGTGCCTTTTAAAGGAGCCCAAGTCCCTCAGCAAAATTAGCTTTGCTTGGTAAGTTGTGACTATTAACATTCAAGCTGTGCTCGCACCTACCCTTGGAAGCCAAAAATAGACGAAAGTGCTGAGATATAGTATAAAACGTAAGCTTCCCCCTGGGATACAAGATAATGGCTGTCCTATTTCTGGTGTTCTCTGTTGCTAAATAAAGCCTTATGTCCCTGACCTGAACATAGCTCCATTCCTAGGAAAGAGATTTCAACAATCAGCACTCCTAGAAACACTGGTAGGTTTTGGTAAGGGAAATCCTGCCACTTGCAATTAACACAATTTCACATTATCTGCCTTTATGTAAAAGATGCGTTTCAAATATTTATACATTTGTGGGATTGGTTATATGAGAGTTTAATATATTGTGCTTTCCAGTAATTTTTTTTAAGTGAGTCATCTTGGATTAGGGTGTTTTAGAAAAGGTAATGAAATCCTCTTTCTGCTTAATTCTTTATACAAGTGAGAAACCAGAAGAAACCATACTTTTAAGGTATCATCAGAAAGCTGATACAATTAGAGAGACATTGTGAAAGTGTCCAGACAAGGCAAGCCATGAGGGATTTACGTGACGTAAAATGTTTCAGATTTCTTTAAAATAGGCCATGGGCAGCTCCCAAGTGCAGCTTCCATGTGAAAAGATTGAAACAAAGTCAGATCTTTTTTTTTTTTTTAATCCTGAAAAATGCCATAATTACTACGAAGGTCACCAGCAGGGTCTTTGGAGAACTGATCTTTGAAAGTTCCTGTCAGAGTGCTGCTTTGTGCCAGGCGCTCTGTTGGAGACCTCCTCCAAGAAGTCCTCCCTGTTAGCCTAAGCCCACAGACCTCCCCTTCTGAGCTCCCCTTAGTGATATGTTTATGGATTTCTTATTTCCAGACCCAGAACACCCTCTGCATTATACAAAGCAAGGGACCCATAATCAGGACTGCTATACTCATATTTTCTGGAAATAGCTCCAGCAGCTTGGACAGTTATACCTGAGACTTCCATGAATATCCAGAAATGTATTACTGCTTCTGATGCAGTAGTTAAGAAGATGGGCAATGGAGTTAGGCAGACCTGGGGTTGAACTCTAGTGCTATCCTTTTCCCAATATTCATTTATTAAAAAGTGCAAACCTCACAAATATGTTGCAATGATTAAATGAGGGAATATATACCAAGTACTGAATATAGTCCCTGGCACAGATTGGGCCTAATAAAGAATTACCATCACCATATAAAGGGACCCCTGCTCTTCTGCTTTTCTATCCACGTTATAGTGTTATATGGGCGGAGTTTTGAGTGCTCCTCAGATATGACTGCAGTTAGTCATGAGTTCCCCCTTGAAGCAAATACAAAAGTGATATTCTAAGAATTGGTTACAAGAAGAAAATACAATACAGTATGAGTGCTTGAAGTCCTGTGTATCTAGAGCCTATGAGTATGATGTTTCATACTAGGCTATATATAGTTACCCTATTCTCATCTCCACAGAACAAAAGTAAAACCAAACACCCACCACAAACCTAGCAGTAAAATTCTCAGGTCCTTCCACTCAGGACACTAGAGAGGGCTTCCGAGCTAAGGACAAACCTACATTCACTGATGAAGGCACAGTGTTTATGGCGGGATTGCCATGGCCACCGCAGAGGAAACCCATTTTCCCTTTCATGCACTGAAGGTAAGGGCAGTCAGTTTCAGTTATGCATTTGCTAGCTCCCTATTCACCAAAGATAGTTCTATTTCTAAGGCTCTGATATTTATTTCCAAAGATTAACACAATTAGAAGTACTTGCTGATGGGAAGACCTGGTTGCCCACGATAGGAAGGAAGAGGCTGCTACTGAAAGAAGACATGGTTCCTGGGTTAAAGGTCTGGGCTGTAGTACTCTCTTCCTGTTGCTGACAGCAGGCTACTTGGAATGTGGTGCTTCCTGTGTCTTGAACTTGCCTGGTTCAAGTCTGGACTGCTACTTTTAGTAGCATCTGCAACTTACAAGCTTTATAAATAAGTGACTTAATTTTTAAAAATTCAAATATTTGGCAACTGAAACAGCTTGACTTTTCTGTCTGCCTACTTAATTAAGCATGTTATCAATGAAGAGCTTTTCTTTAAATCCTCAGAGATGGTATAGTTAACATAGAACAGTAGTCACTATATCTTAAGTTTAAAAAGTAAAATGAAGAAGTCTTTATCTGAGGGTTATTTTCAACAATCTATAAAGGAGGGGATTGTTTTAGGCAGTTAATGAAGGCACTGAGGCAAAGAAAGGAGGGAGGAATCAATTCAAGTTCAGTACCCAGACCAACAAGGGGCTCTGCGGTATTTTCTGACAGAAAGTCAGCTTGGTACCATTATAACTTCATAAAAAGATGTTCACAAATAAGAAAACAAACTCAGAGAAAGTCTGCAGTATTCATCACATAAAGAGAAAAAAAGTCCTTTAAAAATCCAAGCCATTAGAAGACACTTTCTGTGGAAAATGTTTTAAAAACTGAAAATGACTAGATAAAGAACTATTGGAGAAACACTTTTTCAAGAGGTTTGGCCACCCCTAAATCACTGACTTTATGGAATATTTAATGGAATATAGTGCCCTAGAGCATGGAGGTTACTCATGAACACCTATGCTCAGCATATGCTATAATTGTCCACCTAACGGGAAATGCAAGGGGTTGCAAGGCTGGGAGCAACAGAGGGTCCTGGAACCTCAAAGTCCTGAGCCACAGGAAAGCTTCTCATGGCTTCACCGTTTCCCTGAGCTGACTGCTTTATTCCTCCCAAGTGTAACAGGCAAGGGGCGTGTCCTTCTCTAGTGTGTTCATGCGGTTCATGCTTTGTGATTTCTATAGCCATGAAGAACCCCGACCCAAACTGCCAGGAAGACCTGCTTGAAACCTAACGCACTTAGACATATGGGACTAACCCTGAAAATAAAAACATCTTTATGCTAAGAGGAAAGGAGTTTTTTTAAATTAAAAAAAATGTTTCTAGGTATATCAGCTTTCCTTTGGGGCTTGCTTTCAGAATTCAGCAGCAGCTCAGGTTTACTGGGAGCATGGAGCATTCCGCTTGCAGAGAAGGGCTGGGTTATGGGAACTCAGGATTTGTGCAACAGCCTCACCACACGTGAAGGAAAACCTCTAGAGGAATCACCAGCTACTCACGTTTCAAGATATTTCTTCTCTCCAGCTCTTCCACGGCAGGTCTTTGGCTCAGCCGTCTGCGGAAAAACACTAAAATTACATTTTGCACCATAGTGGCTGCCTGCAAATTCCACCTGGGGTCTGCAAGGATGAGAGGTGGCTGGCAAACCCCTATAGATCGCCTCCCAAAATTGGAAGGAGAGAAAGTGAACCTTTGGTTGTTGCCTCTTGCTGGCAAAATCAAGTCAGACTTCCAGGTGACAGTCAAAGCTCTCCCGTCACAGAGCTAATACTAGACTAGTCCTTGCTCCAGCTCCACATGTGCAGGTCTTCATTTTTCTGATCTGTCGCCCAAACCTTGCCTGGTCTGGACTGTTCACCGGAGCAGTGTGTTTAAGCAGCGAGGAGATCTGTTCAGGAAATTCTTTTTCCTGCCCATTGGCTTAGGGAGGGGTGGGTAGCACCACCTGTTTTCAGGCTTCTGGATCCAGAGATGCTGGGAGATTCATGCTTCCCAGCACTGCCTCCGTTGTCAGCACGGGAGACACCAGCCTTGGGAGCACTGATCTCTCCTTCCGGCTTTCTGCCTGCTGAACTGCTGAGTAGAGCCGCCTGTGCCCAGCCCAGCACAGGGGGAGTGTCTAAAGACGTCTAAGGGGCCTCCCGCCTCTTGTCAGCAAGCATGCAGCCCAGCTCGAGCGCTGAATAAAAACTGGGAATCTCTTCCAGCCAGCGCAGCTAACAGAGCTGAGCCCACCCACACGCATTCCCCTCCCACCATCAGCCCAGACGGAGTGTGCGATATGAAGACAAATTATTATTTCTTTTTCAAGTGGTCTCTCATTGAGGAAGTTGGAGGATGCAGCCAACAGTCACCACCAAAAAACATAAAGGGCTTGTCAGGAGAAGGAGGCATCATCATCCAAAATTAATGCCAAGCTCTGATTATTTTTATGACTACAATAATATTGTCCTTGGGCCAGAGCCAGAAACCTTCCCACTTCCAGATCCTCTAACCACAGCAGGGAGACAACAGGGCCCAGTATTTGAATGCCTAGAATTTAGGGCCATAATATTTTGCCCCAGTGAGGATGTTGCCTCCATTTAAAAATTATTTATCTCCTATTTATAATCCTTGTCCCAGCAGAAAGCCTAGGGCATTGCGGGGCTCAGCCACTCCTCCCTCCCCACTAGAACACAACCCTTTGTGGTTCTGCTCCCCTGGGGGCTTTGTCTTCTGGCTCTGTGGGTGGTTGCTTCCACATCATATCTCGATGTTCAGTGAGACTTGAACCTCCCCCCCTGACAATTCCTGGCTGGAATCCTCCCCAGTCCCAAACAATGTATGCAAAGCCTAGCTCACTTAAGTGTTGCTTTTGCAGTCTAGTCAAAACACCCCAAAGGCCACTCATTCAAGCACTCAGGAGATGACTATGACATATTTGCTATGTGCCAGGCACTGTTCCAAGCCCCCAGAACAGAGTGCTGAGTATGGGAAGTCTTCCCTGCCCTTGGGAAGCTCATAGTCTAGAGCAAGCTTGTCTAACCCGTGGCCTGCAGGCTGCATGCAGCTCAGGACAGCTTTGAAGGAGGCCCAACACAAATTCATAAACTTTCTGAAAACACAAATTATGAGGGTTTTTTTGCAATTATTTTTAGCTAATCACCTATCGTTAGTGTATTTTATGTATGCGGCTCAAGACAATTCTTCCAGTGTGGCCCAGGGAAGCTGAAAGATTGGATGCCCCTGGTCTAGAGGTAAAGGCAGACAAATGAACAAAATCATCTGAGAGAGTGGTCAATGCCGTGGAGGAAATGGCGGATATGGTGGGTGAGTGGTTGGGCAGGGGCAGATACATTCAGAATCTGGCAGAGATACATTTCGCTGAGACCCAAATGAAGAGAAGAAACCAGTGTGGGAAGACCATAGCGTCTCTTAACTGTTCACACACTGGGCTTAAACACTGAGGGAGTGAGGATGGGGGTGGGTAATCAAGGCAGGCTTCATGGAAGAGGAAACTTCTGAGAGAGTTACACAGAATCCACTTGGTACAGCAGTGTCTGCAAGGGTCTTGGAGAAGGAATTAGGTAAAGGAAGAGAAATCATCAGGAAATTGGAGTTGTCTGGGGTCTCCCCTTAGAGCTGGGCACCCAGCATTAGCTCGCTTCTGAATGTATCTGAGTCTCTGTAAACAGGGAATGGTAAGAGAACCCAACAGCCTCTGTGTGTGAATAATGGTGGGGCAGACCACCATAGGAAAAGCAGGAACAAGCCAGATTCCTGGCCCCCATGCTGCCCACAGAAGGGCTCGGAAGCAGGAAGGAGATGGGATGGAGGGGGAAGGCACACAGGCACTTTTAGAGCAATAGAAATGAAAAATCCCTGAAGCCCAGCAAGAGTGAGCGCACCATGAGTCTTTTACCCATGAAAAGGTACTTCCTTTGCACAGCTCCTCTGGCTAAGAGGGAGAGGCTGTGTATAGGAATGGGATCTTGGGAAGTAAAACGTGGAGTCCTAATAAGTAAGCAACAATGAGGAAGGGGTCCTAGGTGGGGGAGAAGAATTGTTCTGAGAGCCAGCTAATCACAGACAACCCACTGGCATGACATCCTATTTCCAAACACCTTGTTCCACTCGAAGACCCAGCAGTACTATCTTATCTGCACATAAGCCCCTCTGGCACAACCCTATAAAACTTCCCTCCAGCGCCTGCCTCTTTCCAGCAGCCCCTTCTCTACTGTGCTGCCCATTGCACCCTTGCAACGGATCTTCATACTTTCTCTAATAAATTTGCCTTTCTTTACCTATAACTGCCTTGGTAAACTCTTTCACTGTCCGCGATGCTGGCCCCAGCCATTTGTATTTTGTGTGTGGCTCAAGACAATTCTTGAGCCAGCTGCCCAGCCAGGAACACCCATAGGGACACCTGAGGAGTGAGGCTGTGCATTTCCTCAAATCTGAGAAGTACCCCAAATGTCCCTGGAGGCTAGTGTCCACTGGCATGGCCCCCGAACAAGGCTTCCCCCCGCCCTTTGTTGGAACCTTGTCTTTCTCATCCAAAATGAGAATTAGTACCAGACCCTCTTAATGAGCATTAAATGAGATAATGCACAAAAATGTTTGTGACAATGCATGCTTGGGATATAGTAATTTCTCAAGAAAACCCAACCTGTGACTTGCCAGCTGATCGCGGACCATGTTCCCAGAAAAGCATTTCATCCAACTGGTACACCTCAGGAAAGCGTGGACATCAAGCCAGCAAAAACTGTGCAATTGGTCCCAAGGCACAGAGGCAGTCTGGTAGTGGTCCAATCGCTCACTGCAGGGCTTCATCTAGCTGCCAAGCTTCTCACTGAATGTCAACAGGGTACCCCTGAATGGTCTAGAATATGCAGTCCTCTGGGTAGACACAGCCCCGGAGGCACAGGGTTGTAAACAGAGCAAAAGGGTGCTCAGGCCAGGACCCCACTGGCTTGTCACCAACCTGCCTCTCTACTTACAGAGTGCCAGGACCCCACACCTGGAAGGGTGGATGCAGAACCCTAGACAGTGCTGTGGGCCCCAAGACCCTCCCTGTGGTTCTCACCAGTGGAGGGGATTGAGGTGAGCAAGAAGACCCCTGACTGCCAGGTGAGGGTGCTAAGCAGGGTCTTAGGGTGGTTCTGCCAACCCAACAAGGCCAGGCCACCGTTCAGACTAGGCTCTAATCTGCACATGAATGGCTTCCCAGAAGGTGACACTTTAGTTGGGATCCAGAGGATGATTGGGGATCGCTAGGTGAGGAGAGGACATGTGCAAAGGTCCTGAGGTGGGGTCGTTTAGATCGCATGGAGGTGTGTGTGCACCGAGGCTGAGCAGGGGCAGGACCCACACAGCCTGGCATCGCTGGAGAGAGAGTCTGGATTCACTCCTGGAACCCCAGAGCGGCACTGAAGGATTTAAAGCAGACCTGGGTGAGATGGGGTGTGGGCGTGCCAGGACTAGATTTGCATTTGCAAACACTCTCCGGACTCTTCCAGATTTCTGTCCAACAGAGATGGAGATGAACCCACTACCAAGAGATACGGACCTGCCCAGACCCCCACCAGATACCAAGGACAAAGTGTGCTGCAGGCCTGTGAGGGCCCCCTGAAGTGTTCAAGACTTGGGGAAGAAGTTGGCCACAGAGCAAAAACACCCCACACTCCAAATTAATACTTGTTACCCTAAGTATACATAAAAGATACCCTTTTGTCCACCTGCTACCTGAAGCTATGCTAACTCTTCATGCAGAGTTGGGGCTTCCAAAAGGAAAAATGGTGACGAGCCTGATGCCAAGGACAGACAATTACTTTGCCAACATTACAGGCGAGACCCTTGAGGCTCAGAGAGAGGAATGTGATCAGCAGCTACTACAGCTGGAATCAGAACCCACAGCCAGTTCCAGATGCTGGGAGGGCTGAGGCAGGGAGGAACACCGGCAACACCAGCTGGCAGGAACTAGCCAGCAGGGACACAGCTGGGATGAGGCCCAGGAAGCATTCTCCCAGCACAGAGAGTCAGGCCCAGGCAGAGGCATGCATCACAGGCCACCACCCCTGCCCCACAGTGTGCTGACCCCTGCCCTGACACACAGTCGCCACTCAGGCCAGGGTGGCCCAGGAAATTTTCTAGGCAGAACCATGGCCAGGAAAAGGGCAGTCAGGTTGAACGAGTCATGAAGCTCTGTGAGAGCAGACCCCCAGAGCCGGCGCAGGCAAGGGGAGCAGCCTGTGTCGAGGAGCAAAGGAATGGGCGCCGGTTCCTCTCCCTCACTACATAGCCTGCTTGGACCTGGCTGGGGCAGGGATGCCGCCAGGGCTTCCTGGGCTTTGAGCTTCAGTATCAAGTTGCTCTCCGAGGAGCCGCTAGAGACGTGGCCGGAGCATAGCTGGGCTTTGGAAGCTGCAGAAGGCCCTGCAGAGGGGTGGGGCGGGGTAGGTGGGGGTGTAGAACCCCTGTGGGATTCCCCAAACCTCCCCACCCTCTGCAGCTGCTTGAGACTCCTGATTCAGAAATGGGGCTGCTGGTGACGTCCTGGTGCCGCCTGGAGCTGGGGAAGCCACAGTCTATTTCTGACTCTCCCCACTGAGAAAGCCTGAGTGTGGCAGTTAATTAAAGCATCGCGTGGGTGTGGGAGCAACACTAAGAAAAGAAACCCCAGGGACAGAGAGCAGCATCTGCCGGTCTCCCTACCTGGTCCCTGCTTGTGCACACACGAGAGGTGGGGATGACAGGGAGGCCGGAAGGACCAGGCTGGGCTGGGGAGCCAGGAAGAGGCTGGGCAGGCCCTGGAATGCAGACAGGAATTAAAGGTATCGAGCACAACACACCCTGGAAAAGGATGTCTGTATGTTCAAGTGTGGATGTGAGTCATTTCTGGGGGCCAAGGGGGCACCAGCCAAACAGGTGACCCCACAGGCACTTCCTGGTTCCGAGTGCCTCTCACACGACAGATCTGTAGCAGTCACCTACGACACACCTGGCCCTGTGCTGTGAGTAGCACAGAGGAGACAGGGAGCAGGGGACAAACAATGGGGAGGAAGGGGCCTAGAGGTGGAGCTGATGAGACCGCCGACAGCCTGGACAGTCAGGACGCCTGGAGAGGCTCCAGGAGTCATGATGCCACTGTGCCACCCACATTTCCAGGTCTGTGGAGGCTGTCAACTGTCTATTCCACAGTCAGCACTGGTGCCCCAGCACTGGCACAGAGCTAGGATTCCAGTTCCAGCTCTGACCCCTGCCAGCTGGGTGATGGCGTCACGCCCTCCCTTACTTGAGCCTCTGATTCCCCAGGTGAACACCTGCCAACAAAACCCACAGGGATGCTGGGAGAGTCGAGAACACTAAATACAGGAGGAGGTTGACACACAAATAGGTGGCATCATTACTACTATAGCACTGATATTATTCACCTGGCGTGCTGAGCCCAGGTCTCTTCCACCTTCAGCCAGCAGAGCTGCAGGCTCCATCCTGCCCAGCGCCTCCTTGCAGGCCTGGATCCCCAAGAATCACTCCTCCTTCAGACACTCACAGCCTCCTCCATCAGACGGATGCTCACACCCTCTTTCAACATCTGCTCATTCACACCTCCATCAGATGTTCACATCTTCCTCCATCAGATGCCCACACATTCCTCCATCAGACACTCACACCCTCTTCATCACTCATGCTCTCTCCATCAGACATTCACACCGTCTCCATCAGACACACCCTCCTCCATCAAATACTCACACCTTCTTTCATCATCTACTCACACTGTCCATCACTCACTTGCTTCCATCAGACACTCATACCCTCTTCTATCAGACACTCATACCCTCTTCCATCAGACACTCACGCCCTCTTCTATCAGACACTCATACCCTCTTCCATCAGACACGCACACCCTCTTCCACCAGACACGCACATGCTCCTGTCTGTCATAGCCTCTTTCATCAGACACCCCCTCTTCTCCCATCAGACGCCGTCTCAGTGCCAAGTTTGTACCAGTTTCTGAATCGTCCTCTGCACACACTGCTCAGCTGACTGCCTTCCTGCATGATGAGCACAGCAGCAGGGGCTGCAGGTAATTTCAGGAAGTGGAAGGACACGGGGTCAGGAGAAGCATAGTTCCAGCTCCCCAAGCTTTGCTTCCCCAATGAAGCCCCACCCAGCCAGGCTGCCCCACTAAACGCACATCCCCCAAATCTTGATCTCACCCCAGCACAGATGTCACAGAAAAGGTTTGAATCAACATCTAAAGTCACCTCAGTGTGGAGCAGAAATTGAGAAGCAATTCCTTCCATACAAGGCAGAATGCCTTCCTAGAGAGAACAGACAGCTCGACACCCACAGGGGACGCCCGGGCTATTTTGGGAGGCTCCTTTCTGGGAATGCCAATCCTGCCCCACAGCCGCCTTGAGTCACTGAGAAAAGCTGGCGGCCCCCGCCTGGAGATGGGATTCCCCAGCGAGGCAGCGTCTCCACACACCATTCACACGACGCATTGATGCATCCTCAGACATCTGATGGTGAATGGGGCAGATGTCTCGTCTGCTTGCCCCCAGGCGCACACCATCTGGGTGCACGGATGACAGGCACATTGACCCTATGTCTCAGAGCGTCAGAGCAATGTGGGTGTGTCTGGAGAGAAGTTCAGGAAGAGAAGAGGACTCTCCAGGCCATAAGATGAGGCCTGGATGATGAAAGAAACCGCCCAGGGAAAGACCTGGGATGGGCATCCAGGCAGAGGGGATGGAGTGTGTCCACACTAGGAAACAGCAAGCAGGGATGTTCTGCCGACTGAGGGCTCAGCTGAGAGGTGCTGGCTGCTGGTCCACATGCCTGGGGCAAGCCCCATCTCAGCAGCCAGCAGTCCTGACTTCTGGGATGCCGGGGAGGATGTGACTCCAGGCACTCTGAGTCCAAAGCCGACCTTTTCACACCCTGTTCCCCACCTCCTCACACCTGCTCCGTGCCCAGCATCCTGGGCTCAGGGGCTGGCTCCAGCCACCACCCAGGCACACACCAGACCCCTGGGAGAACTGGCTCCTCTTACTCCCTACGTCCAACACCCCAGGAAGCTCCAAGTCTGCTGGGTTCTGCTTGCATCCATCCATCCGTCCATCCATCCATCTGCCTCTCTCCATCCCCAAGGCCACTTCCCTGATCCAGGCCACAAGCCTCAGCCCTGGATGATGGAGACTTCCACACTGTCCACCTCCCTGCCCACAGCAGCATAACTCTAACTCCTACTCCCACGATGAGCTCAAGCCCGGGTTCCCACCATCCTCAGGACAAACTCCAAGGCCCTCAGCAAAGCCTTTCAGTTTACGGTGACCCCTCCAGCAGCCCCTCCTACTCCCACCCCTCCCAAAACTCCATGCCGGGTGATGGCCCCACGTCGAGCTGCATTTACCAATAAGTGGCTGTTCACACTGTCCCTGTCCGGCAAAGATGTCCTTCTCCTCACACGGGTCCGCAGCCCCACTGTACCCCACACACCCCCATTATTACAATTGTTCTGTCTTGTCCCTTTTCCTCCAAATCCCTGACACGCATAACCAAAAAAACAACATAACACCCTATCTGCAATATAAAGGAGGAAAAAGGAAATTAAGTTTTAATCAAATAACACATATTCCGATAGGTAAGTAAGTGCCAGGCATGGCTGGATTGGGTGACACAGCACACAATGCCAATGCTGCCGCTACAGAAAAATCACCATCACAGTGCCAGCCACCAATGCAGACAGACCCACAGCTGCCACACTGGTCACTCCATGCCCTGAGAGACACTAGTGGAGGAATGCTTCTTGGTGAAGCTCTGGACAAAGCAAGGTTCCCTCCCCAATCTGTGGGAGAGGTTTCTGGCATTTTGCATTCCAGGAGACGCCACCTGTAATACAGCTCCACCAAAATACCTCCTGTGTGTGTCCACAATGCACTTGGGATGAGGCTCAGGTCATCATAAACAGGCTTCGGACTCTCATGAGTGTCCCAGGGACATTCAGAAGTCAAGTGGAATGGGGGGCCAGTCTTCATTGCTAAGGGAGTGCCCCATGGCTGCAGAACACCTGCCTCCCGGGACCATCCTGAAAATACAGCAGGAGCTCCAGTTGCTGTGACAATCCACAGAGCTGCCCTGAGTTTCCAAAAGGCAACAGAACGGCTGGCCTGCCTCCTGTGTCCTGAGGGCATAGGAGGCAGGGCAACTTCAACTCCACCAGGAAGCCCCGCCAAGCTTGGTGCAGTGGGGGGCTTCTGATGTCGGGAAGGTGTCCCATGCCTCTTGTGCCCACAGTGACAAGCCTTCAGGCCAAAGGCTCCTGCCTACTCTGTCCTCCCAACCCCACCCTGCAGGAGAAATATGTCCCCTGGAGCCTGGGCTCCCTCCCAGGGCAGCACAGAAAAGAACTCCAGGTACGTGGAGTTGGCCTCCCAGACTCTCCAGTGTCTCTTGTCCTCCACCTCCTGGGTGCAGCCAGTCTCCTCTCTGCACCTCCATGGTCTCACCTGGTGAGACTGAAAGGAGAGAGCCGTATGTGAGGGGGCTAGCCAGGCCGCTGTGCCCTGGGCTCCGCAAGCTGCACACCGCACTGTCTCCATCACTGTTGCTATTTCTGTTTTGTCAGCCTGGCTCTGTGGCCCACCCTAAGCCAAAAAGGGACTCTAGACTGCCCTGCCCAGGGTTGGGTTAGTGCCCCTGGGATACAGATGAGATGAGTCCTTCACCCTCTGCACCAGGAACAGCCCCAGTGGTGGTGGGGAGGGGTCTCGCCTCCAATCAGCCTCCTGGAGCCGGGTGTTCCAAGGGCTCAGGTGAGGCACCAAGATCACGTGCACCCCCGCCCATGAAGGCCAGCTGGTCACCAGCACCAGTCTCTCCGGATGGTTCCCGGGCTGCCCTGAGAGGCTTCCCCAACCCCACCGTGAACATGCCCCTTCTACCTCCTCTTCCAGGTGCTAAAGACAGCAACATGGACACCAAGGGACATCCAGGTCACCTTCCATCTGGGGACTCTCAGAGGTACTGAGGAATCACCTGGTGCCTGAGAACTATGGGAGGGAAGGAGGGAGGGAAGGAGAGAAGGGAGGGGAGCAGGGAGAGGGAAGGATTCAAATCCTCCGGAGGAAAACCAGGCCCTTGACTTTCAGGACCAAACTCGCATCTACCTGTAGAGAGGCACTTTCTGTTCTCACAGTCAAGGTAACGCAGAGAATGTCATTCACAGTGACACCCAGCCCTGCCAATGCTACTTTTGAAAGGAGGAAAGTGGAGTGAGGAAGAAAGGCCAAGAACATGTGTGCAAAGAGGAGGGAGAGACGCACCCTGCAGGGAAGGACGTGAGAGAGGGAAGCAGAGACAGCAGGCGTAACAGGCAGGGCCAGGACTGTGTGTGCAGAGCAGGCATGAGAGACAGGGCAGGGACAGAGTGTGTGGGAGAGTGGGTATGAGAGGCAGAGTGAGGACAGTGTGTACAGAGAGAGCAGGTGTGAGAGGCAGGGCCAGGAGGGTGTGTGCAGAGACAGCAGGTGTGAGAGGCAGGGTGAGGACAGCATGTGCCCTGTAATGCCAGGTGTAAGGCTGGGGCAGGGGAGCGCACTGGAAGGAATGTGCCCCACACCCCACTGGGCCCCACCACCCTGCCTGGCCTCCTTGGGTCCCAGCCAAGGGTGAGCCAAGCCCAGGTTGAGTCAGCTGGGAAGAACCAAGATGCTGGCCCCACATTGGCCCAGACCAGGGACACTCAGCGAAGATCTGTGCTCAGCCACCAGGACCCAGAGGCCCGAGCCTGTGGCAGGGAATTCCTGGAGGGAGACAACCTGCTGAGGAGCAGAGCTCCAGCCTCCTCGAAGCCCCTGAGCACCCCTCCCCTCCCCCACCCCACTGATCTCCCTCCTCCCCATACCTTGTCCTCCTTTGGTCATGCTGACCTGCTGAGCTGCCCTTGCCCAGCGCGGCTGCTACAACACAGTCCCCTAAGCTCAGTGTCTTATAAACAACAAAAATCCATTTCTCCCTGTTCTGGAGTCTGGGAAGTCCAAGGTTGAGGTGCCAGCAGATTCGGCATCCGGGGAGGACCCACTTTCCCAGAGACAGCATCTTCTCACTGTGTCCTCACATGGTGGAGGGAGCAATGCAGCCCTCAGGGGTCCCTTTTTTGAGGGCGCTAATCCCGCTCAAGAGCACTGCACCCTCATGACCTAATCACCTCCCAAAGGCCCCATGTACAACCACCATCATACTGGGGGTGACACATGAATTTGGGGAGGACACAAACATTCAGACCACAGCACATGCCAAGCTGATTCCCACCCAGCGCCTCTGCCTGGGCCCTTCCCTCTGCTGAGAAAGTTGTTACCCAGATCTCCCCATGGTTCAGCTTAAACCTCTTCTTCCAGAAAGCCCACCCCGACTCCTCCAGCTGAAGTAACTGGCTCCTTTCTGCACAGGTTGCTCCCCAGTGCATTTGTGTATTTTGTGGCCTTCATGGCCAGAATTGATTATTTATGTTTTGAGTACCTCAATGGTAAGAACTGCATCAGTAGTACCCAATGCTGTGTACTCAGGGCCCTGGAACCAAGCCTGGTCCGTGATAAGTGACCAATGAATGAGTGACTGAATGAATGAATGAGTGAATGAGTGAATGAACGAGTGAATGAATGAACAAGTGACTGAATGAATGAATGAGTGTCTGAATGCATGAGTGGATACATGAATGGGACATCAAGGCAACGCCAGGTTTACATTGAGAAACTTGAGCCCAAAGGCTGGTTTTGACAGCAACAAGGCAACCTTGGGCAAGCCACCCTCCAAGCCTGTGAAAGAGACACCACAGTCCCACGCTTGCACAGCTGCCACCAGAGTACAAAAGGCAGTATGTGTGCCAACCCAGGACAAGGCACCAAGCTGGCCAGTTAGGGACTCAGGACCCCTCCAAGGGCAGAGACTTTGTCTACCTGGTCACTGCTGAATCCCCAGCCCCTGCACAGCCTCTCAAGCTGGCACAGCAAAATGAACAGAGAAGCCACTGGCAATACAGGGGCCCCGCTGCAGGGGGCATGGTTCTGGGCTTGTGGGACACAGCTCTGCCTTACTAGTAGAACTGGGCTGCTGTTGTGGGGCAAGTCCAAAGTTCATCGTCATTCACAGACCTCCATGGAAATAACAACCACATGGAGTGTGTGGTTGTGCCAAACAGCACGTCACTGTGCCACCTCCAGATCAGCAGAGGGCAGAAAGTTGGAAAATCCACAATGTTGACAGGAGTGTAGACAGAGCCCCTCCCCCCGCCCCCCCACTGGTGGGGCTGTCAATCAGGGGCATTCCCTGGTGGTCAATGCTCAGGTCAAAAATGACAGATGCATATATTCTCTAACCTGCCAGTTCCAGTTCCAAGATTTCTGATGTGTGTGAACATCCTTCCACATGGGCCTCTTACAGACACACGTATGAGGATGTTCATTATAGCCAAGCACAGGGCAGAGCCTTAATGCCCATTGGGCCTAAAGGACCTGTGTTCAACCCTGCAGTGGAATTCAATGCCATTACAGAAAGGAACCGGGTGCTGCTCCATTAGCCCTTATGTGGAAGGCTCTCCCAGCCAGACTCTGGGGAAGATAAAAGGGAATAAACGTGAATATAGAAACTGCAAAACCACATCATCATTAAGAGTCTAAGCTTTGAACTTGCCCTTTGCTTGAATAGTGGCTTCTCTACAAATCACCTGAGGAGAGAGGCTGTGAGTGAGAGACTGAGTGCAATCTTACATCTGCTCATGAGCTTTCTGCCAACCTTGAATCTGTGAGGGTCAATTTGATGTGTCAACCTGAATGGTATGGGGGGTGGGGTCCCAGTCCCCAGTTACTCAACCAAACACTCCTCTAGGTGCTGCTGTGACGGCGTCTGGTAGATGTGACCAAGGGCCGTGATCAGCTGACTTTAAGTCAAGGAGAGTGTCCTGGCTGAAATGGGTGGGCCTGATCTGATCAGTGGGAAGGCCTTAGATACCGGTTGAGGCTTCTTGAAGCAGAAATCCTTCAGTGGCTCCAGCCATGCTGGGCATCCCGTGCTGACTTCGTGGCCTCCCTGTTGATTTCAGAACTGCCTGGCCACACCAGCTGAGCTGTGCATGGATCAGGAACTGGTTGCTTCTGTTCCCAAACCTATTTGTACCAGGTGTACTTGTCTCTGTAATAAATGTAATTAAGCTTTTAATGCACATTGATTAAATGATCTCATATGGGTGTAAAATGAAAATGTAAATTCCATGAAAACTAAGCTTTGGAGTCAGTAGAGGCAAGTTGCTAAAAATACCACTGTGCAGTTTGCGTGGGAGAGAGAAGTGAGATCTGGGGAGGTGGGGCCTTAAAACTCTGGAAGGATTCTGCACTGAGATTGCTTCCAAGTGCCTTTAAATACTCACTCCTCTCCAAAGAAACTGTCAGTGGAACTTGGAGGAGACACATCCAGCCTTTGTTTAGAGCAAAAATAACTTAAGTTGGTAGATCCTTCCTCAAAGAAATGTCCTTGGATTCTACCTCAAAGTGACGGCCAAACAAGTGACATCTGTATGGTTTAAAATTGTGTTTAAAGCATGAACAAATCATGCTTATGATCTCTTCTTTCAAATGGCTTTTTGAGTAGTCACCTGGGGCTGAGCACTGAGGACAGGTCTTTACCTCCCTCCAGAGACTGATGCCGAGCGAAGGATCTACCGCAGGTTCCAGCTCACCCCGAGCTGGGCACAGCACATGGGAGGTAATATCTGCAGATTACTGTTCTGGGCGTTAGGACTCCTATAAAGACCCACTTCTGAATGATCACAAATGGCCCCGTGGACAGTGGCTGACTCCGGACAGATGGATGAGGTGGGAGTGAGAAGTACCGTTTTATTTTTTACCATGTATATAAGTCCCTTCTTCAAATTTTGAAAATGGAAAGAATACGTAATGCTCCCCACTGCCTGCTCCCAGGGCTAAGATCCTTTGGGGTCCATTCCACAGGCACCAATGGAGCACCTGCCAGGTACCAGGGCCTGCCTTGCCCTCCAGCTCCTTCCGCTTTCCTCCTTGGACGCTGAGCATTGTCTGCCTCTGATCTTTTGCTCGGGCAGGGCCCCTGCCAGCCCTTCCCCTCCCCATCTCCATCTCTGGGCTTCCAGGGTCACTCCCATGCACTCCTCCCTGTGGCTTCCCAGGGTCCCAGACCTGAACAGCCCGCCGCTCTCCAGGATTCACCTGCCCTGGCGGCTGTTCCACTGGGCACATCCTGTGACTCCCATCCCCCACTCCTAGTGAGGCTGGGAGCTGGAGGCAGGGTCTTGCCCAGCACGGGGCCCGAGCCACACGGTAGGTGCCCGTCAGGCTGACTGAACGAGCCGAGTCAGAGAGAAACCAAATCCATCTGAAAGTGTCCTTGATTTAAGAAAAGACAGGCGCACCTCATCTGCAGACCACACCATTTCCACCGGACCCAGACCTTCATCAGCAATGGCACTGAGGTGCACCAGCGCCCACCAGCCCAGGAGGGGATGCTGGAAGCCACCTGAGTGGAACACGGTCACTCTGCACTGCAGCCCTTCCCGTGTCTAGCCATAGCCACATATTCCACATGTGCCACACACATGTTCACCTGACCTCCCCTCCCCCACGCCTGCTGGTGGAATGGAAGCTTCGGAAGGCAGCCCCCGCATCTGCTTTGTTCTTCCCCCCATCCTAGGCCCAGTGCGGAGAGTGGCACACAGAGGCTGTTCAGGAAACATCTGTTGCTGAACTAAAATATTGGGGAGGGGGTGGGATCACTGCGGAGGGGGTGGGATCACTGTGGGGAGGGGGTGGGATGGCAGGGGAGGGGGTGGGATGGCTGCGGAGGGGGTGGGATGGCTGCGGAGGGGGTGGGATCGCTGCGGAAGGGGTGGGATCGCTGCGGAGGGGGTGGGATCGCTGCGGAGGGGGTGGGATCGCTGCGGAGGGGGTGGGATCGCTGGAGAAGGGGTGGGATCGTTGCGGGGCGGATCGCTGGGGAAGGGGTGGGATCGCTGGGGAAGGGGTGGGATCGCTGGGGAAGGGGTGGGATTGCTGGGGAAGGGGTGGGATCGCTGCAGAAAGGGTAGGATTGCTGGGGAGGGGGTAGCTGTGTTTGTCCACATCACTCTCAGCGCCTCTCAGGGTTCCTCTTTCCCTCCTCCTCCTCAACTTCCTGCCAGCTGCTCACCTCCCTGGCCCAGTGTGGGAGGGTCAGGAATGGGGCATTTTTAAATTCCCCGGCGGTGCTCTCCAAGCCCATAGGGATCCACATGCACTCCTCAAACCAGGCTGCTCCAGAAATCACTTAGAAATCATTGCTACCTAACAGACAGAATGCTTTCCATTCACTCATCCATCTCTTCATTTGTTGCTTCTTTTCTTCCTTTAATGTAACAAAATTAACTTGAACACCTAAAGCAGCAGAAGCCGCGAGTTTCCTACCCCATCTCCCTTCTCCCCTTCTTATGCCTGAATGCTGGTCCTATTCAGAGCAGTCTCTTTTCCAGCTGACCACGGCCACATGAGGAGGGTCCAACCAAGGAGCAGTAGGTAGATGTGTGTGGAGGAGCTTCTGGGAGGAGCCCTCTGGAAAAGCTGACTCAGCTGAGATGTATGCCCCTTTGGGACTTGAATATGATGTCTGGTGCCTTTGCAGCCACCCTGGACCATGGAGGATCAACACCGGCATAAGGGTAAATAGCAGGAAGGTAAGAGGAGTCTGCGTCCTTGTTGATTTTGGAACAACCATGCCAGTCCTGACCGCCTGTGCAACTATTCCAGGGAGTGGGGTGGCTCTAACGTGCGGTCTGGAGTCGGCCCACCTGGGTCACATCTCAGCTCCACTAGCTTACTAGCTGTGTGACTTTGAGCATCTTACCCAATCTCTCTGGGCCTCCATTTCCTTAGCTGCTAAGAACATCCAATAATAGCATTTACGTCTTATGTTTATATGAATGCAGGCAAACACCACCCCTCATACATAACATGGGTTTCATACATGTTAGTGAGCTATGGTTGTGCTCTTATTACCATGACTACTACTCACACACGCTAAGCCCCGATCCTGGGTGAAGCAGGACTGTGTGGTATTTAGTCCCTGCAAGCATCTGAGCAGGCAGACATCACACACCCATTTCAAGGCTTGGACTCACCATGTGACTTCCCTGGGCTCACTCAGCCCATGGCTCTCAGCCAGGCAGCCTCCAAGTCCACCAAACCACCTGCTCCCTGGTTTGGGAATCATGTTTTATTGACACTGAATGGGGGTTGATGTTGTTTTGCATTTTCTTACAAAACATGCTGTACCATCCTCTACAGATTCCCAAGCAACCAAGGAAAACAAACAGCAGCTGACCCTCCCTGGAGCCCTCAGCAGGGACAGGGCCACTTCATATTGACACTGCACAGAAGGGGCCTGAGCCTCTCCCCTGCACAGGATGGGACTCGGGACCCACTCCCTGTACCCTGCATGCCACACACAGATGGGCTTTCCCTCCCTGTACACGGGGACTTCCACCCAAGACGATGAAGCGTCATATTTATATCCTCTGGGGCTGAGATTTGCCAGTTTAAACTTGTCCCAATTTGGAAGCTGTGTGTTCTGTTGCTTAGCTACCTCCATCTAAAAGCAGAACGTACAAGATCCATACATGATAGCCACCATTTTGCCTGATCCGTGCTGGCCTTGCCTGCCCCGGCCTTTGCAGGACTACCAGGCCCCTCCCTTTAGGGCTGAGGTTGATTTCTGCCCACAATACCACACAGAGCCTGCTCACAGCACTGCCTCGTGAGCTCCTTCGCATTTTTGCAACAAATCCTTGAAAGTGCCCTCATAAATCTTGGTGGTCTTCTTGACCTTGGAGGCTCTGCAGTGTTCACAGGCAGACCCCTCACCACAGTGGTGAAGCAGGAGGTGGTGCCACGCCAAGAGCTCAGGAAGGTGCATCTGTGCAGAACAGACCTGATCTCCACTTGCCCTGAGATTTCTAAACAAAGAGAGACCGGAAGCCCCAGCAACGGTCCCCCTGGAGGGCTGGGAAAGTCAGTCGGATAAATCTGCAGCATCAAAAAAAGGAAGAAAATCATAAATTGCTAAATGCCAACAGCTTCTGTTCTTGGGATCTCGGAATCCAAAGAAGGCTATAGATGGCAGAGCCCTGCATGCCTCAGCTGACGTGTGGCCAGTACCGGTACAGCACCGGCCCAACCAGGTGCCTCAGTTGATGGGTGGCCAGTACCGGGACAGCACCGGCCCAGCCAGGTGCCTCAGCTGACGGGTGGCCAGTACCGGGACAGCACCGGCCCAATCAGGTGCCTCAGTTGACGGGTGGCCAGTACTGGGACAGCACTGGCCCAACCAGGTGCCTCAGTTGACGGGTGGCCAGTACTGGGACAGCACCGGCCCAACCAGGCCACACACGGGGGTGGCAACCTGAGCTGGACCTGTGGGATCTGCAGGGTCCCGGCTCAGACTCACCTTCCCACCATTTTGTTTTCTTTTTTTTTTTTTTTTTAACGACAGGGTCTCAATCTGTTGCCCGGGCTGGAGTGCAATGGCACCATCATAGTTCACTGCAGCCTCTAACTCCTAGGCTCAAGCCATCCTCTCTCCCTCCTGAGCCTCCCAAGTAGCTGAGATCACAGGTGTGCACCACCATGCCTAGCTGTTTTTAAATTTCTATTTTTTGTAGAGATGGAGTCTGGCTGTGTTGCCCAGGCTGATCTGGAAAATAGCAGGAAGATAAGAGGGAGGTGCCTCAGTCCCGTGGGCAGTTGGTGACTCAGGCACCTTCCTCTTATCTGCCTGTGGGCACCCAGGTCTGGTGACCAGCCTGGGCAACACAGCAAGTGATCCTGGACTCAAGCGATTCTCCTGCCTCGGCTTCCCAAAGTTCTGGGATTGCGGGAATGAGCCACTGCGCCCAGCCCCCACCATTCTCAAGAGTCCTCTTCACTCCAGGCACGATCAGACTCAGCAGAGGCTCCGGAACCTGCTTTAGATGTGGGCTTCATTCCCTTCATAGGCCAAGCCCCCAGACGTCAAGGGGATTGAGAGCCCAAGTTCCCCGAGTGTCTCCTAGGGAGCAAAGATGGGGCAAATTCGTGATTATGGAAATGATGAAAATGATGATGAGGATAAAAATGTTGACAAAGTTGTTGCTAAAGATGATGGAAAGATAATGAGGAAGAAAAAGATGAAAATGACAAAGATGATGATAAACAAGCAGTGAAGGTGATGATAGTGATGAAGATAAAATGATGACAATGAAAAGATGCCGAAGCAGAAGAAAAGGATCTGAAGAAGATCAAGTTGGTGAAGCAAAGGGAATGGTGACACCAATAACTGGTCATGTTTAGGAGATGCCTTCCCATGCAGTTTCCCCTTCGTCCCTGCAGCAGTAGCTGCAAAATCACCGAGTACCCACAGGACTCAGTACCATTCTAGGGACTGGAGATACAGCTGAGAGGGAGAGGCTTCTTTTTGGAGTGAGGAAAATATCTTAAAATCGATTGTGCTGATGGAAATACAACTCTATGAGTATGTTGGAAGCCCTGAATTGGACACTTAAAGTGCGTGAAGCATGTGGTGTGTGAATTATGTCTCAACAAAGCTGTTAAAACTGAAAGAGACAAATTCCCTATCCTCATGGAACTCAGATTTCTTCCTTTTCTTCCTGGAGAGCTTCCTCTCTGCCAGGCATGATTCCAGGCATTCTACGTGTGACGGCTCATTGCATCCTTCCCGTGGCCCCAAAAGACAGGCTCTGTTGTAGTCACATCCCTTTTACAGAGGAGGAAAGTAAGGCGCATGTCAGGAGGTGACTTCCCCATGCCCACATGCTGGAAAACTGCAGAGCTGGCTGGGAACCGAGGCATTCTGTCCATCCTGACTTCTCAGCGGTGCACTGTGCGGCTTCCTTAGAGCAAGGGTGGAGCTGAGAGGGCCGCACACAAGGGCCCCCTCACATATGCGAGGAAGGAGACAGGTTCGCTGAGGCTCCCTAGGATACTGACAGTGGTAGCCCTGGAGGCTTCCGCTGCTGACAGTCACTTTACAGGATGACCCATTTATTTTCCCTGCTAACTCAAGAGTTGAAAATCCCCTTAACCTCAGTGTAAAGAAACATGTACTTCTCCCAATACAAGTGCATAAGTGACTTCACATCAGAGGTGGCCAGTGGGTGGTCCCGGGCCAAATCTGGTCCACAAATATGTTTTCTGGGTGCACACATTGCTTTTAAAAATAGGAAGAGGCTCTCAACATTTACATGAAGGCTATTTCACCAAAAAAATCAAATCTTCGGTTTCTCTTGGAAATTCTGGCCACAATGGCCTGACATGTGGCCAGGGGTGATGGCCCACAGGATCTGAGTGACAGCTGCCCTCTTGAGCAAGAGTGCACACTCCCCAGGATGCCACAGCCCTGCCTGGCCCAGGTCACTTATGGAGCATTTGGGTCTGTGACTTCTACTCTGTTGAATGAGCTGTGAAGACACCATCCCCCACCCGCCTCCTGTGGCGAGTCATGGGTTAATACTATTGGTCTTACTCATTCCGATAAAGCTTTCTCTCCTATTCCTCCTGACAAGTGCTCAGAAAGCTTTAGGAGTAGCTTGTTTCCACCAGAGACTTCCTTCCAGTGAGGGTGAAGTGGAGGCTTCTGGAGTATCCTCACCTGAGGGCCTAAGGACCTGCAGCTCAGAAATAGCCCAGGCTGGTCAGCAGCCAGACGGCAGTGGTGTCGCCAGAAGCGTATGCAGACCCTGGCCTGGAGACAGCACAGAACCAGTCTCCAAAATTGGCAATGGCCACTGAGGTCCTGAGGGCTCACACTATTCACAAATACACTTCTGAATAGGTTGGTTATAATCAATGTAGTAAATGGAATCATTGCTTAAATGTATCCAAAGAGCCCACTATGCAAAGAGAGATATTCATTCAATAAACACTTATTGTACTGAACTAAACTCTTATTTTATTGAAATAAACTCTTAGGAAATTCCATCTAACCCACTGTGCGTGCTGAGACAGTTGCATGGATGGATGGACAGATATTAGGGTACATCAAGCACAGTGAATAGGATGCCATTTAGTTCAACAATGTCTCCATTCACCTCCTCATCCATCTAACTACACAACATCCCACCACTTATCCACCCATCTACCTATTCATCCAGCTGTCTCTCCATCTACCTATACTCATGCATCTTATAATGCAATTACCCCAGCAGCCATTAACCTGTTCAATCATCCCACCATCCAGATGGCCATCCATCTAACTACCCAACCACCCACCTATCCAATCATACAATCATCCATCTATCCATCTAACCAACCATCCATTCAACAGTAATTAGCTGGGAGCCTACTGTGTACCAGGCACTGAGGATAAAACATTGAAGAAGTTTCTTCCTTCCTTAAAGGAAAGTCTACTGCCTAGGTGGAGGATAATTTGAACCAGAGGATGGCCATGGATGAGTTCCAGGGAGTTGTGAAATAGGCTAAGGAAAAGGACTTTGAGCTGGAAAGACTCAGGTTCATGTCCTCACTCAGCTACTCACTGGCTACTAACAATTCTGAGCCTCCATTTCCTCACATGCAAAGTGGAGGCTGTGAGGCCTATCACACAGGAAGGAAATACTGTCATGGACCCAGAGTCCCCAGCGTGCAGACTGCTCTAGAACAGGGGTCCCAACCCCAGTACCCATCTGGGGCAACCTAGCCTATTAGGAACCTGGCCACACAGCAGGAGGTGAGTAGTGGCGAGCAAGCATTACTGCCTTAGCTCCACCTCCTGTCAGATCAGCAGCAGCATTCGATTCTCAGCAGATTGTGAACTACGCATATGAGGGATCTGGGTTGCACACTTCTTATGAGAATCTAATGCCTGATGATCCATCCCTGTTTCCCATCACCTCCAGATGGGACCATCTAGTTGCAGGAAAACAAGCTCAGGGCTCCCACTGATTCTATATTACAGTGAGTTGTATAATAACTTCATTATATATTACAATGTAATAATAATAGAGATAAACTGTACAATAAAGGTAATGTGCTTGAATCATCCCAAAACCATCCTCCTCCCTGGTCCATGGAAAAACTGTCTTCCATGAAACTGGTTCCTGGTACAAAAATGGATGGGGACTGCTGCTCTAGACAATGGTGGCTATGCAAGGAGAAATTCCCACAACCATAGGAGATGTTTGCACACCTGACATGCTTAAAACTCTCATCCAGTTCGCAGACCCATGATCCATAAAGATAAATGATCACAAGCCTCATCGCCTGTTTTGCAACCTTGGGGTTCACTATAAAACAGGAAACCCAAGCCAGGCGTGGTGGCTTACGCCTGCAATCCCAGCACTTTGGGAGGCCAAGGCAGGCGGATCATGAGGTCAAGAGATCAAGACCATCCTGGCCAACATGGTGAAACACTGTTTCTACTAAAAATACAAAAGTTAGCTGGGCATGGTGGTGCACACCTGTAATCCCAGCTAATTGGGAGGCTGAGGCAGGAGAATCGCTTGAACCCAGAAGGCAGAGGTTACAGTGAGCCGAGATCACGCCACTGCACTCCAGCCTGGAGACAGAGTGAGAGTCCATCTCAAAAAAAAAAACAAAAAAAAAAAAACCAGAACCCCAAGTACAGCTGAGTCTTTCCTGCCACAACTGCATTTCTTTTGGCTGAAGATGCCCAGCTGTTGGCATTTTGATCAAGAACGATCCTGGGTATGATGAGTTCCTTGTTCGTCTCTGCATTTACCTTCTTTCTGGTGATCCCTTTGGAAATTGTCCCACTGGCAATTTCAGAGACTGAGCAGACAAATGTGCTTTTGAATATCAGGAAGCCAAATTCCCCCCGATGAGGTCCCTCCTCATGTGTACACCACACTGGGAGAACAGTCTGGGCTTTGCTCCTTGAAGACTGTTCATTAACAAGAACCCTCTTCGAGTCGAGGGTTCCCTGAACTTCCCAGTCCAGCCTGGGTCCACAGGGACAGTCCCAAGGTCTGGCTTGTGAGATGTCTCACCTCTGAAGTCGGGGAACTCAGCCCCCAACTCCCTTCTCAGCAATATGAGGGAATCTCACCCTCCCCCCACCTCCTGTTTGATCCAAACAGAAGCCCTTTACCCTTGATGTACCCAACCTAAAACCCCAAATTATTCAGCAAGGCCCAACCGCGGAGGCCCCACAGGCTTCAGAACAAGAAAAAATGGGTTTCCAGACCCCAGTGTCTTCAGATTGTGCTTTTAAAAAAAGCTTAACACTGCTCCATTCCCGAGAGACAGATAGGGCTTATTTCACTGGAACACACAGAAGCCTGTTGTGGTTCCTGGCGGTCAGTGAAAAACAACCACTCCCTTCTGTCCAAGTGTGTGAAACTGGAGGGAAGATAGTGTAGAAGAAAATGGACCAAGGATAACAGGAAGTACAGGACCGTATAAAACACCACGACGGGCTCTGAATACCCTCGACCTCAGCTGAGATCAGCAAGTCCAGCATGGACCGGGCAGTCTCCCGTTCCAGTCCCTGTGCTCCTTGGGCAGTCTCACCTGCACAAGTGGATGGAAGCACTGCCAAAAACCCCAGGCACCTGACGGCATAGGGACCCTTTGGACATATAACCTTTCCCCTGTGTCTGCCTGCCTTCTTCCTGGATTCCCTCTCCACCATTGCAGATCCACCCACCCCTAGGCTGGCAGGCCCTCCTCCCTCAGCCACAGGCCTGCCGTTCATCCTCACCAGCTCTGCCGTCCTCTCTGCAGCCCCGCGTCCCCAGGATGGTGCTGGCTCCTGGGCCTGTAGCATGTGAGAAACCCTTGTCTCCCCACCCAGCTCTAGCCTTGCTCTCCCAAACCAGCCCTGCACTGCAGCAGAGGGGCGTTTCCCAGACATGCCCTCGCTCCTGACCCCCAGGGAGCCCTGGCTGCTTCTCGGGAGAGCCAGGCCTCCTCATCTGCCATTTCCCACCAGCTTAGCCAGCGCCTCCTTGGTGGGCAAGGCCCTCACAGAAGAGCAGAGCAGGGCCCCGCCACGCCAGTGGGCACACCCTGAAGAGGCGAACAGAACAGATGAGTAAACGGCACTTTCAGCAGCTGTGGAAGTGGCTAAAAACACAGCAGGGGACGATGTGACACAGGGTAATGGCGAGGCTGTGCCACTGGGAGATGGTCAGGAAGGTGACATCTGAGCTGAGCCCAGAATGACAAGAGGAGGTCTGTGTGGATTGGGAACCCATAGCGGGCAGCACAGGAGCCTCCACCACCTGGACCCATGGCCCCTCCAGTCTTCTCCCTCTGCCCTGCCACCCTCACCCAGCCCTGAACCTTCTCAGCCCCCAGGGTAGTCCTGGGAAGGCGGTGCTGCTTCCCACCTTCGAGCTCTCACTGGCTGGTCTGCCTGGGACACCCTCACCCTCCCTCCTGAAGCTGGTCCACACATCTATCTCTGTACATCTTTCACCAGACACAATAATTTATCACCTGTGAGTGCATCTTTTCATCTCTGCACCCCAGCGCCTAGCACGTGCACGCTACATGAATTCGAAATCTCTGTAATTGGGGGGTAAGCACCCCAAGAGATGGGCAATGACATTGGATGTGACAGGATCAACTGGGCCCGTTCTGCAGGTGCAGCCTCCCCCTGTAGGTAATTTCAAATGCTACCTTCCATCCCAGCAGCCATGGATTAACCCTGAGGCAGAAGGCAAACTTTGCAGCCTTTTCAGGGCGGCAATGATAACTGTGACAAGAGAAACCGTCAGCGCTTGCGGCAGCTCAGCCCTGCTCCGGGAGTGACCCATGTCAGGTGTGTTCGCTCCTCAGTGAGGGTCTTGGGGAAGGTAGTAAGATCCATGAAGGAGCCTGTGTGCAGCACCCACACCATACCGAGCACAGAACTTCAGGGTTGCAGACATCAGCGGGCAAAGGACTCAGCCCAGTGAACGTGGACCATAACCACCTCATTAACACAAACATTCACCGGAAACTGGCCTTTAGCTATAGTGTATCATCAGCTTCCCGGCCCTGTCCACAAGGTGTGAGCCGGATGCTTGGCCTCAGGCAGCAAGGCTCAGTGGCTGGGAGCGAGGGCCCTGGAGCCCACAGCCTGGCCATTCATGAACTGTGAGACCCAGGGACACTGCTTAGCCTCTCTGCCCAGTCTCCTCATCTGCAGAGCAGGGATGATGGTCCCTGCTCGGCATCACAGGCAATCAGCACTGCACCTGCCCAGCGTCACGGCAGACCCTCTCAGATGCTATTAGTGGTGTCATTATGAAGGCTGGCATTGGAAGCTGATTCCTCCCCCGCTTCCACGTGTCTGAAATTTACCAAACACCATTTCTGTGGAAGTGAAAATTTCCGTCCATGCAGTTTCAGGTAAAAGCTCACAGCAGAACGAAGGCCCCATTGAGACAGGCTGGTCCCCTGGCTGGCCAGGCACGGTTTCCGCCTTGCAGCCCAAACCACAGCCTCTGCGGGGACACTGTCTGTCTCCACATTTCTGTGCGTTCTGTCTCCAGGACCAAAAATAGGCCTGCCTTGCCTAAAGCACATCTAGAGGAGGGAGCGTCTAAACTCGCTGCACGCTGTGTCCTGCTCCTGCAGACAGAGCAGGAGTGGGAGGCCACAGCCCGGGAGGACACCTGAGGGTGCAGCGTGTTCTGGAGGCCACAGGACAAAACGTGCAGAGAAGCCACTCAGAGATCCGCTAACTGCTGTATGAACATGCTAAGTGCCCCCTCCTGAAAGATGCTACTGAGCATTAATCAGCTTCTCACACACGTTCCTGGGAGCAAAGAACGCCCCAAGGGGAATGACAGTTTGTGCATGACTTAGGAGGTGCCTACCCTATTCCTCTCTCTTCGGGCAAAATTACACAACAGTCACGAATGGGAATGACACTCAAGCCCCATCAACAGCAATGCTCCTGCACTCCCTGGCCCACTAGCATCGTGACCGCTGTTCATGCAGCAGCATTCATTTCATCCTGCCACAAGGCCTGCTGCTGGCCTCTGCCCCGTGCAGGTGACAGCTCGCCCAGGAGTGCATCCAGCCTTGACTGTGACAGCAGCAGCTCTGGCCCCAGCACCCCCTGCTGAGAATGTGCTTTTATGACTTTCTTCAGGGACCAATGTGGAATCTTCCAGAGGGCCCTGAGGCAGGTATTGCCACCATCCCCATTTCACAAACAAGGAGAGAGATTCTGAGACACTGGTGCTGGCCTATCTCACGCAGCTGAGACAAAGACGGCTGGGGCTCTAGCCTGCTTGCTGCACTGTTCCAGAGCCCTTGCTGGGCAGTGTCTCTTTCTATATGTTCCCCCTGAGGATGTCCAACCCCCCACTGCTCCATGCTGTGTTGACAGTCTGCACTGCCACCACCCCCAACCCCCCTGTCTTTGCCCTGTTGCCCAGGCTGGAGTACAATAGCATGATCTTGGCTCACTGCAAACTCTGCCTCCCAGGTTCAAGCGATTCTCCTGCCTCAGCCTCCTGAGTAGCTTGGACTACAGGCACCTGCCACCACGCCTGGCTAATTTTTGTATTTTCAGTAGAGACGAGGTTTCACCATATTGGCCAGGCTGGTCTCGAACTCCTGACCTCAAGTGATCTGCCTGCCTCAGCCTCCCAAAGTGCTGGGATTACAGGCATGAGCCACCGGACCCGGCCAACATTCTGCACTGCTTTAGAGCAAGTGTGAAGTCCTTTGCCCGAGACACCTGGTGCATTGCCCAGTTGCCAGCTGATACCCTGATCAAAGCCAAACCAATATAAGAAAATTCAAAGCCATGCCTAAGATAAACAAGGAGCCACAGTGCTTTCGTGTCTAGAATGCTTCTCCCAGGCCCAGGGCTAGGGCTCTAACAAATGGCCTATCTCACTGCACGGCAGCTTCTGCAAGCTACGTGGCCCTGGGCCAGTTACCTTCTCACCAAGGCTTAATTTTCTCATCTGTAAAATGGAGATGATAGTACCACCTGCTTTACTGGGTTACTGTGAAGACTAGATAAATGAAAGAAAGTAAGGCAGACGTCAAGCACATCGCCGGCACCTATGCTGAAAGCCGGCAGCAGGTGCTTCCCACTGCTCTCCTTAGATGGTGGCTGTAGACAGGATGGAGGCAAAACAGCCCGTGCCTCTGTGCATAATTTCCAGTGCACACCTACCGTGCAGGAGCTGCGGGCCTCTCATACTCTGCTGATGCATCCACACAGGTTTTAAAGGTAAGCTGAGCTCCTACACAGAGAGGGGTGAAAATCAGCATAGAGCTTCACTCTTTCAAATGGGACCCTGACTTTCCTGGGGGTCCCAGACCAAGCACACGGATGTGTTCTGGGGTAGCCGTGGGGAGCAGTGACTGCTTCACCAGGAAAAGGCCCAGGAACACTCAGAAGATAAAATATGAAGGTTCTGGAAATTAAAAAAAGGAAATCGCAAATGTTCTTTGGGATACAGTAGATGGCACGTTGCCATGGCAACCAGAGGCTGAATTACTTAGCAAGAGACGGTGGAGGAATCTCTGAAAGGAGGCAGAGCAGAGACAAAGGGAGACCAATTAAGCCACTGCTGTAGGGAAAACAAATGGCGCCTCCAGGAAGCCATGTCTGACCTCCTGGGATGCTGCTACTCCGCTGCTGTTTTCTCTGTGTCTAATTCCAGGTTTTTAAACATGGTGACAAATAGCAGGGAGCTACTACATTCCAGTCCAAGGTTTAAAATTAGTTCCAGATTCAGTAAGTAATGGAGTAAAAACAAGCCACAGGGCCCATGTTTTTGGTACTTCTTACATAGGGGGGCGTTTGGGGTATCCCCGGCAGCCCAACCTTCTCCCAACTTCCTCTCAACCTTCACAGTCGGCGGTGGGGACCCCAGGCATCTCTCATTCCAAGCCCCACCATAATTTTTGTTGTTTTTTGAACCACATGTACTATCTTCCATTACTTACCTTTTTTTTTGTTGTTTAGATCAATTCACTTAGTATTTTAATTTGAAAGAACTTGGTTTGACTATCAAATAGAAAACCATTATTAACTGGTACAGGTAAAGGCAACCGCAAATAACAGAAGTGAATAAAATTCTGATGACCTCTAGGCTGGGGAGGATTTTTAAACACGGTACAAATAGTGCGAACCATAAAGCACATCAGGGGTCAGCAAAGTGCCAGCTGGACCCAATGGACCGCTGGCTATTTTTGTAAATAAAGTTTTATTGACACACAGCCATGCCCCTTCATCCTCAGATTGTCTACAGCTACTTCATCACTACAGCGCCTGAACTGAGTAGGGGTGGCGGGGACAGCCTGGCTCACAAACCTCAAAGTACTGACAACTTGGTCCTCACAGAAAAAGGCTGTGAGCTCCTCAAGTTTATGATCAGCAATCTGACAGCCTTAAAAATCAAAACTTTTGTGCCTCAAAGAAAAGTATTTTAAAACTGAAAATACAAGCCCCAGAGAGAAGAATCATGTAACTCAAAATGGGGAAGGATTAGAAGCTACATCTTCAAAAGTAAACTCCTAAAAATCATTAAGATAAAGAAAACTTCAGGCAAAGTACATAAAGAAGAAACCAAAAAGCTGATAAACGCTGAAAATAATGCTCAACCTCACCAGAAATCAGAGAAACAGGAAACCAAGCCTTAGGAACACACGTCCCATCACTGAGACTTGCAGAAATGAAAGCCTGGGATGACGACACCACGATGCAGAGGCCGAGCGGCAGGGCTGTCCCAACCGCTGGTAGAAATGCAACCTGCACCTGCGCCCCAAGCACAACTCTGTAACACCTGGAAGGGTAGGACCTCGTGCTCTATCCACAGCCCCACCCCGGGCCGGCCTCACCTGCTTACGTTCACGGCCCTCCACCGTGAAAACACTCAAGTAAGGATTTTGGTGGGAGTTGGGAACACTGGGGCTCAAGCTCCCCAGCGGAGACCAGAAACAACCCTTCCTCGAAATGAAAAGCCCCACTGCTCAGAGGAAAATCTGCCCAGAGCGGGAGTCCAACATTCAGATCATGGATTCTCACCCGGGGAGCGTTCTGTTGTCTCTGACCTCAGGGGACGTTGGGCGGTGTCTGGGACACGTTTGGTGGTCAGAAGCGGAGGGTGTACTACTAGTATCTAGTGGAAGGCGGGAGGAATGCTGCTAACACACTACACACACGGGACGGCCCCTCCACGGAGAACGATCTGGGCCCAAACATCAATGGTTCCCTGGCTGGGGACCCTGCTGTAGACCCTCGCTTCTCAAAGTGTGGCCTGCAGCCCAGCAGCGAGCAGTGTCGGCAGCCCTAGAAGCTTGCTAGAAATGCAGATTCTCAGGCCTCCCTGCACCTGCAGCATCAGAACCTGCATTTTCCCAGGGTCTCCAGTGACTCAGGGGCCTGGGGACAGCAAGGGTGCAGAGCAAACCAACAGAGGCACTGGCGCTCCGGGAGCTGGTTCCCCTCACCCCTGGGGCACTGTCTCTCCCTCCAGGGAAGGGTTGGCTTTTGAGGTTTAAAGAGGGAAGGAGCGGACTAGGGGCTGTCCAGGGCACTGTCTACCAAGCCCAGCCCTACACAGACTGACTCACACCTCACAGGGTGGGCAGGAGATGTGGACTGTGGCTCCTGGGACGGTGCACCTGAGCTTTATCAGAATTTCCTCTCCTACCGCACACGAGACACGTTAGCCTGCCATCTGGCCTGGTGAAAGGGGAAACAGAGGCCCACCCTGCCAGAATGGCATGACTTTCCTCTGAAAGCCCACCGATGCCTGCTCAGTGGCTCTTGGCACCTTTGGGCAGTGTCCGTGGGCGCAAACTGGGGTACGCAGCAAGCTCCGAGGGGTTCTGAACTCCAGTGGCTCTGGAATGTGGAAAGCAACTAGGGAGGTGCCCGATCCTGGAAAGCCACACAAGTCAGCTCCACCCGGCTCATGGTAGCCTTGCCTTCCAAAAGAAGGCCCCCATTCTGTCTCAGGGGCATGACTGGATCCCTTCAGACCTCAACCAGCAAGACGCAGCAGCTCCACTCTGTCCTGCCCCATGAGACAGTCCAACTCCAGCCCAGCAGACAGCAGGGACCACCCAGGGAAACTTATGGGGGTGCAACACAGAAGGTGCCCACCCGTGGCTCTGGGTCACAGCCAGACGGCAGATGGGTGGACTTGGTGCACATATTGTCCAGAAAATGATGCGTATGTGGATATACCTGTATGTGTATATATGCACAGACATGCACCTCATGACATTTCAATGATACACGACATATACGACACATATAAGATAGTTGTCCCAGAAGATGAAAATGGAGCTGTAAAATTCCTTATGCCTCGTGACATTGTTGCTGTCATATGACATCGTGGTGTAAGGCGTTCCTAACGTGTGTGGCGATGCTGGTGTGAAAAAACCTACTGTGCTGCCAAGGCCTCTCAAAGTCTAGTGCGTGTAACCGTGCAGTACATCACACGTGATCATGATATGAAAGGACTATGTTACTGCTGTATGTAGTCACTATAATTTTAATGATTATTTTAGAGTGTACTCCTACTTATTAAAAAAAAGTTAACTGTAAAGCAGCCTCCAGCAGGTCCCTCAGAAGGAATCCAGAAGGCACTGTTCTCATAGGAGATGACAGCTCTACGCATGTTACTGCCCCTGAAGATCTTCCAGTGGGACAAGCTGTGGAGGAGGAAGATGACAGTGATTGATGGTTCTGACCCTGTGCAGGCCTAGGCTAATGCGGCATTTGTGTTTTAATTTTTAATAAAACATTTAAAAAGTTAAAAAATTGAAAAATATAAAAAGCTTGTAGAATAAGGGTAAAGAGAAATTACTTTTATACAGCTGTATAATTTGTGTTTTGTGCTAAGTGTTATTATAAGAGTCCGAAAGTTAAAGTTTATCCAGTAAAAAGTTACTATTAAAGAAAAAAAAAGTTTATGTAAATTTAGCGTAGCCTAAGTGTGCAGTGATTCTGAAGTCTGCGGAGGTGCACGGTCGCGTGCTAGCCTTCCCGTTCACTCACTGCTCACTCGGGACTCACCCAGAGCAACTTCCAGGCCTGCAAGCTCCATTCATGGTAAGTGCTCTATACAGAGGTGACATTTTGTATTTTGTATGTCATATTTTTACTGTACCTTTTCTATGTTGAGAAATGTTTCTATACCATAACGTGCTAGAATTGCCTACAGTATATGGTAGAGTCATGTGCTGTACGGGTTTGTAGCCTCGGAGCCATCAGCTACAGCGTGGAGCCAGGCGTGCTGCAGACCGCGCCCTCTGGGTTTGTGTAGTGCGCTCTGTGATGTTCCCACAACAACAAAATCTCCTAATGACGCATTTCTCAGAATGTATCCTGTCATTAAGTGACACGTGACTGCATAACTGTGTGTATGTGGGTGGGGGGGTAGCTTTACTTGACAAATTTAGAAGATCTGGCAACACTGGATCCACCTTCTTGCAGGAAAATGATCAGATAGAGGTGAACAGAGACTGCCCCTGTCTCTAACACTGACAAGCCATGTCCTCATCAGTTTGGCCCAGTCCTTGCCTGGCTGCTACAGGCCAGTGGAGCAATTCACCCTCCAGGAGGCATTTGATGATGTCCAGGGACAGTTTTGATTGTCACGGGAGGTGTAGTGTGTAGAGGCCGAGAATGCCGCTAAACATCTGAGCATGCACGGGACAGCCCCCACAGGAAAGGGCCTCCACACGGCCCCAAACGTCAACGGTGGCGGGGTCAAGAGACCTGCTGCAGACGGTGGGTTGTGCGTCCCGGCCTGGCACACCCAGGATGTGGGATCTCAGAGGGGCTCCGCCTGCAAGGCCAGAGCACAGGCCCGGCTGTGCCCGCAAGCTGCCACTTACTTGGAAAGCTTCATCTCGATCTGCTGCCGGATCTCCTGTCTTTCTTCATCAGTCCTTCTGGGGAAAATGTTCCGGTCTTCTAGTTCCTGTTTGCTTGGCCGGTTCCTTAGCTTCACGGCCAGGAGCTCCTTCTTGCATTTCCGTGGCAGTGTTCCTAAAAGCCCCATCCAGGGCAAGAGGAGAGAAGGGAACAAAGGAGACAGGTCTTAGCGGAGGGCTGGCTTGTCAATGGAGCCGCCCACCTGCCAGAGGAAGGACTCCAGACCAGGGTGATGGTGGCTAGAACTGAGAGGACACACGCTCGCCAGCTTGCGGCACTTTCCAGTGGAACAGTGGGCAACACAGGGGTAAGGTGATGTCACCATCTCTGTCCGCTAAGCCCCCTACTCATGGGTTTCCAGGTACAGTCCCGGCTGACACCTGCTGTCCCAGATGATTACTAATAGCACCTACATTTTTCTTTCAAAAACGTCTGAGTTTGGACCAAAAATGACACAGTGACTTTCCCCATGGTGGCCACTGCCCCCACCCAGCTCCACATGGTCCCTGCACTTTCTCCCTGCCCACTGTCCCCCCAGCCACATGGCTCTTCCTTCAGTTTCTAGATATCCCACGCTAGGGTCTCCATGTCATCTCCTTCCTCTGCCTACCGCACAGCCTTGCCAGGACCATCCAGGGTTGGACCCAGGTCCTCAGAAACCCTCTGAGCCTTCAATCACCACCACTCCACTTATCTTAATTCCCCCCAACCAACTGATATCTTTTCAGTTTGTTTACCATCTGTCTCCTGCAGAGACTTTAAGTGACAGCCTTTCCCCCACCCGCCCATGTCCTAGCAGGGTGTGGAGATGGCAGATCATTGGTGAATACTGTTGCGTGAACTTAACGGTGGGCTGACTCCAGGTCTGCTAGGCCAGCCCTTGTGTTCTATGTGTGTCTGGAATCAGCTGAGTGAAGTTAACAGCATGAGAGGAAGGTATTAGGGAATGGAATGTTTATATTTACTTAGGAGCAGAGATGGGGTTTAGCTCTTTCGCAGGCAGAGTGTCATTCCTTAGTGCACTAGGAAATGTGGGTGCTAGTTAATTCAGCTTTCCGAACAGCACAGTCCCCACCTGCCCTGCCACTGCAGATGCTGCTGCCTGCAAGTAACTCCAGAGTATCTACATGCGATGTAGGTTGCAGTTTTGCAGTCTGTGGTTTTGCAGTTTTTTTGGGCCGGGATTTAATTCCTGGGGGCTCAAGTTGTTATCCAATATGATCACTTCCATAGATGAAGGCAGGTTTTATTTCTTAAGAAACATGGTACCTAAAAGGAAGTCAACTCCTAGTGTGGAGGCGGGAATAGAAAGCAAGAAAGTCAGTTGAACAACATGGTCGTTTCACAGAAGTTTGGGATAAAGTAAGATACAAAAAGTGGAACTCAGCCAAGTCTTGAATTTCTAACATGCGATTGTTTGCCATGTGTTTTAGAGAGAAAACAACTCTGAAAATCATTTCAGCAAGGGCTCAGGCCCCACTTTGTTTTAATAGCTTTATAAATGACTGCAGTCTTGTATTTATAGTCTCCTCAGGAGCCTGGAGGAGTTGCAGGCATTTTTCAGTTGGCCTTTACTGCATGTTATGAGAGAGACTGAATGCGACGGTGACATTCATGAATGCAGGAAGTCTCAAAGGTCTCGGGACAGATTCCTTCATAATGCTAAGGGACTAATACAGGAAAAGGAACTGCCATTTTCAGAGAACTATGGTATGCTTAAACATAAAACTATACTGAACGTGGTTTAATCTTTTCAGCTTTTGATGAACCAAGTCCTTAAGCCCATTGCAAATGTCTCAGGCTTATCATCACATACTTTCAATCGTATTTGCTCTTAACCGAGAAAAAGTTCCCTTCTTTGCAGATTTCTAGACATAAATGAAAACTCACTCTGTGTGAAATCTGTGCTAGGAGCAAGTCATTCTCATTTACTTATTAATCCGGCCTCTATGAACACAGCAAGGATACACAGTAGGACCACAACAAAAACTTACAGATCTGACTGATCTTCACCAAGGTATCAGAAGGTTACCAGGTTTTGCTACTTAAAAGCCAAAAGAGGAAATTTCCAAAAGACATAGCTTAAAATGAGGACTTTTCATGGATTTGAGTGACCCTTCTACCCACTGATTGAATTAATCTAAATGAGCATGCCTTCCCAGAGCAGGCTGCCTAGCACTGAGCAGGAGGTAGAAGCTGAGAAACAGGTGCAGGGACGGACGGAGAGCTTTCAGTCTAGATTGTGTGACAGACATCACCCTCCCCAAATGCCCCCAAACACGCTTACTTTCTCATCCTAACCTTTGATCTGGAAATCCCACTTCTAGGAGTCTGTCTCCTAAAATGATTGGGACAAACACATAAAAAGTACATGAAAGGATGTTCATCCCGGACTTTTTCATAAAAGTAAGAAATTGAACACAACGTAAACATCCAGTCAGAGGATGCCTGTTAAATTACGATGCATCTGTTCCATCTGAATATTGTGTACCTATTAAAAATGGTGGCGTATATGTTACGGAATGACAAAAGATAGTCACTATATATTGCTAAGGAAAGCAAATGACAGAAAGTATGCATATTATATGCCAAAATATATATGTGTATGTGTCCAATTTTGTAAATATATATTAAAATAAATTGGCAAATAAAAGCCAAGAATTGATCATTTTACTTAATTTTGGTTACTGTATTTTATTTTTTATATAGTTTCCTTATAAAAAAAGAAGTCATTGCTTAGAAAGAACATTGTTAGGTAACATCACAGAAAATGACAAAAAAAAAATCTCTCCTTTGTAAAAGCAAAGAGAAAACTGGCAAAAAAAGATTGCAGTCAATTTTTTCACAATTCTTGAAATTAACCACATGTTTACAGCAAAACAAGGAATGTTTATTCCAGAAAAATTGGTGGAATTTTGAGAAGAATGTTTCACCTTTTCCAGTCCTGTGCCCCATTCTTCAACTCTGCAGTAGTCTTGACATGTGACAGTCTGCATTTGTAGTGAAGACCAGCTGCCTGGCAGCCACCGAGGGAAAAGAACAGGGCTAGAGCTCTTCAAAGACTCATTCCCCCCAAACTGTCATCATTTGACCCATCTTGTGTTCCCTGAAACACCACTTTTGCAAGGCTGTCTGTATTGGACCTGATCCAGAGCTCACCCAGTGCAAAAGGCCTTTTTCTCAAGGGGGTTTGAAAATAATACAGCATTGTCTTTCCAAGTACACAACTTTCATTTATCTTCAGACCAGTCCTGCTCAGTAATACCCTATGGAACTCTTTATTGGCAAAACTCAATAAACATCCATGCATTGTGCAAGAAATTAAACTAAAAAGTAAAACCCTGATATTACCAGCTCTAGTCCAACTCCAGCAAATGTGGTGGGCGGGGGCATCGTTCCAATCACAACTGACAGGGCTTAGGAGGAAGGATGGGCAAATGCCGGCTCCTTCTCTCCGGATACCAGAGTGGCACAGATAGCTGCTAAGTGGCACCGCTCTCAGCTCCACCTCACCAAGCAGGAACTGCCTTCCACGCTCCCTGCACACAGACACAAACGTGTGGGGCTCAGGACATTCCCCTAGCCCCGGTCTCATCAGGTCCCATCTTCCATCCCAGTGGAGCAAAGGATGCTCAGGAGAATCCCAGACTCTGTACTCAAGCACACAGAAGCATGGACACCATCGGTCACTCCCTTCTTTGTGAAAGGCTCTCTTCTCTCTCCTTGCAGGTCTCTGCCCTAGCCTGCTATCCTCCTGCCTCAATGATTATGTCTCAGTTTACTTTGCTGGCTCTTCATCATCTCCCCTACCTCCAGAGGTGGATGTGCCCAGGACCCAATCCTCAAACCCCTTCACTCTCTGTCCACATTTGCTTCCTATATGACCTCCTGTGTCCCATGACACTAAGAACCAACTGCTACTGGCTCGAGATTTCCATCTCCAGACACCACCTCCCTCCTGAACTCCAGGCTTGCACATTCAGCTTTCTTCACCATGCTTCCCCCAGATCTCTAGCAGGCATCCCAAACTTAGCACGTCCAAAACTAAGTAGGACCTCCTGCTCTCCTGTCGAAGCACAGAGTGGTTAAGAAGCAGAACCAGGATGTAAACCAAGGCCTGACTCCAGCGACCACACTCCCAGCCTGACATTCGTGGCTCTGCTCAGTTCAATAAGGCACCTGTCCATAATGGACCTATTCCATACCTGGCACTGAAGAGCAAAGATGAGGAAGATGCCACACGTCTCGCTAAGCTTGGTCAGGTGAGGGAAGGAAAGGTAAAACCGGCATTTATCATGTTCTCAAGCACATTATGTGTGTTTCTATTTGTGCACTGTCACAACATATCCTAATTATTTGTGTGGCTTTTTCCCTGACCATAGTCATTATATGAGCTTAAAACATTTTCACTCCATGGAGAAAAACAAATATGATGAGTTTATCTACAGCGAGGATTATACCTTGTTCATTGTTGCCATATACAAACTCAAAAGCTGCGGAGTGATCTGGTGCAAGAGGAACAAATAAGCCACATGAGGAAGGTAGTGTGCCAGAAAGGGACTTCTGAAGGAAGTAGCGTCTGAGCTGAAGCCTAAAAATAAGTGGGGTTCCCATCTGGGGACACCCAATAGCAGAGCCTAACTTTATTCTCTAGAAGGAATGTGTTGTGAAAACTTGTCTGAGTCTTCAAAGTAAAAAGCTATGACATTAACTTCTGCTTCTGACCAAGGTGGACAAACATGGACTGAATTGTCTTCCTCACTCAAACCTCAAACACAAAGTCAAAATGTATAAAACCGTAGTTTTCAACGTGCTAGAAATCAGCAACAGAAGACAGTGATTCTTGAAAAATGAGAATCAAATGGAGTAGGCCCATGACTGGCCAGCTACTGCCTCTAGAGAGTTGCCAGGCCACAATCCAGGGAGGGGGAATCCAGGAAGAGCCTGGAAAACTCCCAGAGTTGAGAATATGAACCTGAGAGGCCAAGGGGATCAGGGCAGCCAGAGTTAGCGTGAAAGAGACCTGGAGAGGAGAGAGTTGCATAGTAAGAAGATCCAAAGATCTGCAGAGGGTCCCTTGAACCCTCAGTGGATTAATATGTGACTCTGAGGAAAGAATCCTCTGAAATGATGAGATAGCAGTGCCCGGTGCACACATGGCACTAGACGGAGGGCCGGTTCCCATCAGCCAGACAGAAAACTTCATGGTGTACAGACATTGAATAGAGTACACGGGGTTCTGCCTCTGGAATGGGAGTTAGCTGTTGAGCTAACTCAATAATTGAGCACTGCTCTGGTTCTATCTAACAAATGTTAAAGCAAAACCTGGCATGAATTAGACTATTTTCAAGTAACTTAACTGCTTCCCAGAACAAAACTCAAGAGTATTTATAGGAATACAAAAAACATCCAACACCCAAGAAGGTAAAATTCACATGTGTCATCCAATAAAAAATTACCATGCCTGCAAAGAAGCAGGAAAAGGCTCAGTGAACTTTATGCATGAAACATAAAGAAAACTGTGTCTGGGCCATGGTAATCAAAATCTATAACCATGAGAAAATATTAAAAGTGTACAGAAATAAAAAGACATTATCTGTATTCACTGTATAGAGTAACAAAGAGAATGACAGCAGATGTCTCAAGAGAAACAATGTGGATGACAAGACAGTGGAGCAACAATTACAAAGTAATGAAAGAAAAAAAACCCCAGACAACTCGGAATTCCATACTTGGAAAAACTATCTTTCAAAATAAAGACAAAATAAGTACCTTCTTGGACATAAAAAAGCTGGAAGATTTCATCACCAGCAGACCTGCATTATAAGAAATGACAAAGGAAATCCTTTAGGCAAAAGGAAGATGATAGCCAATAGAAACCTGAATCTATACCAAGGAAAGAAGAGTAATAGAAATGGTAACCACAAGTGTAAATATATAATTGTTTTCTTATTATTTATCTTTAAAAGAAAACTGACTTTGATACTAAAAATAAAGTAGTATGAGGTTTATAACATGAGTGGAATGGACAACAACAATAGAACAAATGTTGGGAAAGGAGAACAGAAGTATACTCTGGTGAGGTCATGAGACTAAAAGTGAATTAGCATACTATTGCTTGAGGTAGGCAGTGATAAGATAAGAGAGGTATGCTATAACCACTAAAGCAACCATTATAACTATGGAAATAGTCAAAGAGGTATATAGCTAATAAGCCAACAGAGGAGATAAAGTGGAATAAAAGAATCACTCAATCCAAAAGAAAGCAGAAAGATAGAAAAGATGGAAAAAACTAGATGGAACAAATAGAAAATAAATTGCCAGACGGTAGAGTTAAACCTAATAAAATAATCATTAAGTGCAAATGGTCAGAATACCCTAATTAATGGCAAAAATTTTCAGAATGGATTAAAACATGAGACAAAACTATGTGCTGCCAACAAGTCTTATATATAAAGAACCTATAAAGAACAACAAAACTATATATAAAGTTACAAATAGATTAAAAATAAAATCTTAAAAAAGATGTACCATTCTGACACTAATCAAACAGAGCTGAAATGGGCACATTAATGTCAAGCAAGGTAGAATTCAGAGCAAGAAACCTCATCAGGTTCTTTGAAAAGGGTCATCTTATAATGGTAAAGAGATACCTTCATCAGGAGAGCACAATGATACTAAATATTGACAAACCTATGTGAGCTTTAAAATACCTAAAGCAAAAAGTGACAGAATTGAGGAAAGAAATAAAGAAATCCACACATCATTTCTTGGAGATTTCAAAACCCCTCTCTAAATAATTCATAGAATAAATAGAAAACTTGTAAGGCTACTGAAGACATGAATGACATTATCGACCAATTTGATCTAACACTTATAAAGCACTATACCAAACAACAGAAGAGCACGCATTCTTTTCAAGTACACACAAAACATTTACCAAGATTGGACATATTTGGACCAGAAATAAGCTTCAATAAATGCCAAAGGACTCAGTCATACCAAGTATGTTCTCTGACCAGAGTGGAAATAAATTGGCAATCAATAACAAAAAAAAATACCTCTAAAAAAACCCACATATTTGGAAACTAAATTAAATTCCTGAATAATTCATGGCTCCAATAAGAAATCAAAAGGGAAATTTGAAAGTGTTTTGAAACAAATGAAAATACAATATATCAAAATAATGGTAACAGGGAAATTTATAACATTAAATGCCAATATTAAAAAAGAAGAAAGGTCTCAAATCGATGATATCAGGTTCCATCTTAGGAACCTAGACAAAGAAGAACAAAATAAACCACAAGAGTAGAAGAAAAAGATAATAAGGATCAAAGCAGAAACCAATGAAATTTAAAAAATAATAAAGAAAATAATTCATCAGGAAGAAGAAGGAAAAAGAGATGGTAAGGGAACACACAAATTACCTATATCAGAAACTGGAGAGGTGACACTGACATCATCTAATTCTACAGATGTTAAGAAGATATAAAAAATATAGTGAATCACTTCATGCTAATAAATTTGACAATTGATATAAAATGAACAACTTCCTTGAAAAAACACAAACTACCAAACCTCACTTAAGAAGAAATATGTAACCAGAATGGACCTATATTTATTAAAAATAGAATTTCTAATTAAAAATCTTCATGCACATACACACTGCAGTCTCAGACACATGCACTGATGAGTTCTACAAAACATTTAGAGAATAATACTAATTTTATGTAAATTATTTCAAAAAAGTGAAAGGAAGTTTTTATGGTTTGAATGTTTGTGTCCCTTCCAAAATTCATGTTGAAACTTAATCTCCAATGTAATAGTGTTAACAGACAGGGACTTTTGCAAGTGATTAGGGTCAGGAGGTCTCCTCCATCATGAATGGCTTGAGGGCTCCTCCATAATGAATGGATTTAAGGCCCTTAAAAAAGGGCTTCACAATAGTTCACATCTTTTTGTCCTTCCATCTCTTGTCATGTAAGGACACCTAGATGGTGCCACCTATGAAGAATGGGTTCTCACCAGACATTGAACTTGCCAGCTTCTTGAACTCCTAGCCTCCAGAACTGGGAAAAATAAATTTGTGTTATTTATTACCACCTTGTCTGTGGTATTTTGTTATAGCAGCATGAATAAACTAAGACAGGAGAGACTACAAATAATTCTGTGAAGCCAGAATTTACTCTGACAAAGTAAAACTAGAAAATATTCCAAGAAAAGAAAATGAAAGACCAATATTCCTGAAAAACACTGATGTAAAACTCTAAAAAAAAAAGCAAATCAAACCCAACAATTTATAAAAATTGTGATACACCATGACCAAGTGGAGTTTTTATTTCAGGAAGGCAAGATTAGTTTATCGCTCAAAAAGCAACAGTGTAATTTACCAAAATTCACAAACTGAAAAAAGGAAAGCACACAATTACCTCAATGTACATAGAAAAAGTATTTGGCAGCCAATGAGGAAACTAACACTATAGCTTGCTACCACTATTGCCACAGACTTCTGCAGACTAGGCAACAGAGGTACTCACAGGCATTGCTGACATTGATTACAGCTGAAAAACCTGCACAGAGACTATATTACTGCACCCACCTGGAACAAAGGGCAATGTACTCTACCCTACTGACACCCTAGGTCCCATCTATAGGTAAAAGTTTTTCCCAAAATATGCCAATCTGTAAAATTAGAAGAGGTGATTGTACCACAATATGTGCAGATACCAATGCATGGACACAAGAAACAAGAAAGCAAGGAAACATGATGCTGCCAAAAAAAAAACCACAATAATTCTCCAGTAACTGACCCTAAAGAAATAAAACTTTATGAATCGCATGAGAAGAAATTCAAAATAATGACCTTAAGAAACCTTAGCAAGATACAAGAGAATACAGTAGAAAATTCAATGAAATCAGGAAAACAATTTATGATCTGAATAAGAAAGTCAACAAAGAGTCATCATTTAAAAAGGAACAAACAGAAATCTTGTAGCTGAAGAATTCAATAAATAATTTTTTTAAATTGAGAGCTTCAACAACAGACTAGATCAAGCAAAATGAACTTCTGAACTCAAAATAACCCATCCAGAGGGGAAAAGAGAGAGAGCAAAGGATTAAAAAATGAAGAAAACCTATGGGACTTATGAGACACCATTAAGTAAACAAATGTTTGCATTATGAAATTTTCAAAGAAGACAGATAAAAACACAGAAAACTTATTTAACAAAACTACAGGTGAAAAATTCCCATGTGTTGGCAGAGAGATGGACATCCAGATCCATGAAACTCAAACATCCCCAAATAACTTTAACTCAAAGAAGTCCTCTCTCAGATACATCATAATCAAACCACCAAAAGGTGAAAACAAGAAAAGATTCTAAAAGCAGAAGGAAATAAAAATAACAAAGTCACATATAGGGGAATCCCCATTAGTCTATGAGCAAACTTCTCAGCAGAAACCTGTCAGGCCTGGAGAGAATGGGATGATAAGAGAGGGGGAAAAAAATCTCTACTAACCAAGAATATTATATCCAGCAAAGCTATCCTTGAGAAATGGAGGAAATACAATCTTTCCCAGGCAAGAATAAGCTGAGGAAATTCATTACCACTAGATTGCCTTTACAAGAAATGCTCAAGAGAGTACTTCAACCAGAAGTGAAAGGACAATAATTACTATCATGAAAACATGTGAAAGTATAAAACTCACTGGTAGACGCAAATTCATAATCAACTTCAGAATCTACATTATGATAATGGTGTAGGTAAATCTTTCAAATCTCTAGTATGAAGATTAAAAAATCAAAATGGTCAAAAATAACTATAGCTACAATAAGTTGTTAAGAAACATACAAAATTAAAAAGATGTAAATTAAGGCAGCATAATTAAAAACTGTGGGAGTGGGGTAAGGTAAAAGTCTAGAGTATTTGTATGTGACCAGAGTTACATTGTTTTCTACTTAAAATAGTGTATTATAACTTTATAATTTTTTATATAAGCCCCATGGTAACAAAAAAATTACAGCAGATACACAAATGAGAACAAGGAAAGAATCAAAGCTTTGCACTACAGAAAACCATCAAACCACAAAGGTAAACAACAACAGAGGAAAAGAGGATCAAAAGATCTATAAAATAACCAGAAAACAACTAACAAAATGGCAGGAGTATTTACCCATCAATACTAACTTTGAATATAAATGAATAAAGTCTCCAGCTAAAATAGAGAGTGGCTAAATAGATTTTTAAAAACAAGACCTAATTGTATGCTGCCTATAAGAGATTCACTTCACCTCTAAGGACACACACAGACTGAAAGTGAAGGGAAGGACAAAAATACTCCATGCAAATTGAAACCCAAAGAAAAGCAGGAGTAGCTATGCTTATATCTGATAAATTAGAGTTTAAGTCAAAAACTGTAAAAGGTCATTATACAATGATGAAATCAATTCAACAAGAGGATGTTACCATTGTAAATATATATGCATACAAATTTGTACCTAAATATATAAAGCACATATTATTAGATCTAAATGAAGACATAAATTGCAACACAATAATAGCAGGTGATATCAACACCTTACTTCAGCAATGGACAGATCATCCAGTCAAAAAATGAACAGAGAAATATTGGATTTAAAGTGTACTTTAGACAAAACAGACATAATGTACATTTACAGAACATTCTATCCAGCAGCTGCAGAATACACATTCTTCTCAATTGCACATGGAACATTCTCCTAGATAATATATTAGGCCAGAAAACAAATCTTAACAAATTTAAGAAGATAAAAATCATATCAAGTATCTTCTTTGACTACAAAGGTATAAAGCCAGAAATTAGTAACAGGAGGAACTTCAGAAACTTTTCAAATATGAGGAAATAAAACATCATGCTCCTGAATAACCAAGGAGTCAACAACAAAATTAAAAGGGAAATTAGAAAGTATCTTTAGACAAACAAAAGTAAAAACATACCAAACCCTATGAGATACAGCAAAAGCAGTTGTAACAAGGAAGCATGCAACAACAATTGCCTACATCAAAAAATAAGATGTGAAATAAACAACCTAACACTATACCTCAAGAAACCAGGAAAAGACCAAACTCAACCCAAAATTAGTAGAAGGAAAAAAAAATAAAGGTTAGAGCAGAAATAAAATAAAGACTAGAAAATACAAAAGATTAACAAATGAGGTTTTTTTGAAAAGACAAAGCTGACAAATCTTTAGACTAAGAAATGAAGGAAAATCAGAGATGAAAAATGGAACATTAGATACCACAGAAGGAATCATAAGACACTATTATGAACAATTACCTGCACAATGCACAGTACGAACAATTGGATAACCTAGAAGAAATGGATCATTTCCTGGACACGTACAGCCTACCAAGATTTACTTATGAAGAAATAGAAAATCAGAACAGACCAATAATGAGTAAGGAGATTGAGTCAGTACTAAAAAATCTCCCATCAAAGGAAAGTCCAGGACTTGACTGCTTCACTTCTGAATTCCACCAAACATTTAAGGAACTAATATCAGTTCTTCCTAAACTATTCTAAAATATTGAAAAGGAAGGAGTATTTCCAAACTATTCTACAAGGCCAGCATTACCTGTTACTAAGACCAGATAAGGACACAAAAAAAGAAAACTATAGGCCAGCATCCCTGATGAACATAGATATAAAAATCCTCAACAAAATAATAGCAAACTAGATTCAACAACACATTTAAAAAGATCCTTCAACATGATCAGGTGGAATTTATCCCAGGGATGCAAGCATGGTTCAATATGTAAAAATTAATATGTTAAATCATAGATGCAGAAAAAGCATTTGACAAAATTCAACATCACTTCATAATAAAACCTCTTAATGAAGTCAGTTTAGAAGAATTGTAACTCAATATAATAAAGGCCATATATGACAAATCCATAGTTAACATCATTTTGAAGGAGGAAAATTGAAAGTCTTTCCTCCAGGATCTGAAACAAGACAAGGATGACCACTCTTTTTTTTTTTTTTTTTTTTGAGATGGAGTCTTGTTCTGTTGCCCAGGCTGGAGTGCAGTGGCACAATCTTGGCTCACTGCAACCTCGGCCTCCCAGGTTCAAGTGATCCTCCTGCCTCAGCCTCCCGAGTAGCTGGGATTACAGGTATGCACCAGCACACCTGGCTAATTTTTTGTATTTTTAGTAGAAATGAGGTTTCTTTGTGTTGGCCAGGCTGGTCTTGAACTCTTTATCCTCAAGTAATCCACCTGTCTCACCCTCCCAAAGTGCTGGGATTACAGGCATGAGCCACCATGCCCAGCTAAGGATGCCCACTTTTACTACTTTCATTCAACAAAATACTAGAAGTCCTAGCCAGAGCAATTAGGCTACAGAAAAAAAAAAGGCATCCAAATTAGAAAGGAAAAGCTAAATTGTTCCTGTCTGCAGATGACATGAACTTCTATATAGAAAACCCTAAAGACCTCACCAAAAAACTGTTAAAATAAACAAATTCCATAAAGTTGCAGGATACAAAAATCAACATACAAAAATCCCTACTGTTTCTGTACAGCAATAGCAAACTATCTGAAAAAGAAATCAAGAAAATAATCCCATTCACAATAGCTACAAAAAAGTAAAATGGGAATAAATATAACCAAGGAGATGAAAGATCTGTATTCTGAAAATTATGAATCATTGAAAGAAATTGAAGATGACACAAATAAATGAAAAAATATCCTTTGTCCATGGCTGGGAAGAATAAACATTGCTAAAATGCCCATATTATCCAAAGTGATACACAGATTCAATGCAATCTTTATCAAAATACCAATGACATTATTCATAAAAATAGGAAAACAATGAATCTAAAATTGGTATGGAGCCACAAAAGACACTGAATATTTACAGCAATCTTGAGCAAGAACGAAGCTGGAGGCACAACACTACCTGACTTCAAGATATACTACTATAGGCTGGGTGCAGGGGCTCACACCTGTAATCCCAACACTTTGAGAGGCCAAGGTGGGAGAAATGCTTGAGCTCAAGAGTTCAAGAGCACCCTGGAAAACATAGTGAGACCTCGTCTCTACAAAAAAAAAATACAAAAATTAACTGGGTGTGGTGGTACATGTCTATAGTCTCGGCTACTCAGAAAGCCAATGTTTGAGGATCACTTGAGCCCAAGAGGTCAAGGCTTCAGTGAGCTGTGGTTATACCACTGCACTCCAGCCTGGACAACAGAGTGAGACCCTGTCTCTAAAAAAATAAAATAAAATAAATAGATATACTACAAAGCTATAGTAACCAAAACAGCATGGTACCAAACAATATTTTGGTATAATAACTAAAGCAGCATAAAAACAGACACACAGACCAATGAAACTCTCAAACATAAAAATCAATTGACCTAATTTTGAAAAATGGGAAGATTTTAATAGATATTTTCCCAACAAAGATATGGTGATAAGTATATGAAAAAATGCTCAACATCATTAATTATTAGAAAAAATGCAAATTAAAACCATAATAAGACACCACAACACACCCACTAGAATTAAAAATTAAATTCTAACTCTCTGCTAAGTCTGTGGAATTCTGCATATAGGCATAGCCCAGCCCTTGGCCAACTGGATCTGCACAGAGTTCTTTACATGAAATTAAAAAGACTGACCACATCAAGTATTGGAGAGGATGTGGAGGAACTGAAACTCTAATACCTTGATGGTGAGAATATATCAGAGGACCACTCTAAATGGCAGGATCACTTCACATTTTTCCGGTTATTAAAAAGTTAAAAACCTACCACATGACTCAGCCATTCCACTTCTAGCTATTTATCCAAGATAAGTGAAAGCATATGTCCACACAAAGACTTGTACACAAATGCTGATCACAGATTTATTTGTAATAACTAAAAACAACCCATATGTCCATCAACAGATGAGACCTGGTTGATGCTTCCAAGGCCCCTCATTTGTTCCCAGCTGTTCCTGATAGCCCCACTCCAAGAAGACCACACATGGCACTTTGATCCCAGGAAGAGCTGCCCTCTCTAGAGTGAAGAGAGGTGCCTGGCTCTAAGACTAGTCGTCAGAATCCTCCCTTCTATTCCTAGGTGAGTGGGGAGACAGGAAAGGGACAAAGAAGAGGAGGCAGATCTCACATCAGTCTTCTCCCTGATACCTAATCTCCAAGATGGAAAAGCTTAACATATATTAATGTATCTTCGCTTGTATAAGCATAAAACAGCCCCAATGGGACAGATAAGAAACCAGTAGCACTGGGGCTCCTTTGAGCAATGTATACTGAGTATACCACCTGTTTGCAAAAATAAATAGAAATACAATCAGTATGAAACAATGAGAACACATGGACACAGGAACAGGACCATCACACACCGGGGCCTGTTGTGGGGTGGGGGGTGGGGGAGGGATAGCATTAGAAGATATGCCTAATGTAAATGACGAGTTAATGGGTGCAGCACACCAACATGGCACATGTACACATATGTAACAAACCAGCACTGTGCACATGTACCCTAAAACTTCAGTTAAAAAAAAAAAAAGAAAAAAGAAAAGTGCTCACATGCTTCTCCAGAGTGACCCTCTAGCCACTCCTCTGGGCAGTGCTCCTTGAGGTCAGGACTTCCCAGAGGACAAGGCTGTAGGGTGATTTGCTTCCCAATGGGGAGTCCCAGTCAGAGCCACCCTTCAACCTACCAGGGAGCTTGCTCTGACCATCAGAATTAGAGCCCATCTTAGTTTGTTTCATGCTGCTATAACAGAATACCCAAGACTGGGTAATTTACATTGAACAGAAATTTATTGGCTCACAGTTTTGGAGGCTGGGAAGTCCAACAGCAAGGTACCAGCATAACAAGGGGCCTTCTTGTTATGTCATAACATAACAGAAGGGCAAAGAGAGGCTGAGAGAGGGCCAGACAGACTCTTTTATACCAGCATTAATCCCATCCATGATGGCGGAGCTCTCATGGCCCAATCACCTTTTAGAAGTCCCACCTCTTAATACTGTTATAATGGCAATTAAATTTCAACATGAGTTTTGGAGGAGACAAACATTCATACCATGGTGGAGCTGAAAGGTGCTCACCAGGCTCTCCTTCTACCCTCACCTCCCTGGTGAATTAATGAAAAGAACACCAAAGTTCATGGAGATATGAGTTGTCCCAGGTCATAGCTGAGACCAGAGAGCTGACTGCCTCCCAGCAAAGCTCAAAGAACTATGTTCTCTTCCTCAGCTACAAAAATAATGTATGCTCGTTGCAAACAACTTAAGCCTAATAGTATTAAGGAAAGATAGTATTCCTTTCTCTGCCCACATCTCACCTCTAAAAAAAGCGACTGCTAACATTTTGCAGTATCTACTTCCAGACCTACTTCTACACAATTAACAATTTACAGACTCCCACTTAATTCTGATGTCTTACAAAAGTAGGATCATACCATACACACTACTTTGCAATATGCTGTTTCCTCCACACCACAGCTGGTCCTGGTTCCAAAGCAGGGTGTTTTAATCCAGCTCTTTCAATAGCTGTTAATAACCCCACAGTGTGAACATCACATAATCCCATCATTTATTGGTCCAGCTCACCATGAATGGACACTTAGGTTAGTGTTTGTTTTTCTACTTCTAACCAAAGCCGCAGAAAATGTCCTCATTCCTGCATTTCTCTGCATGCATATGAATATTTCCATCAGCTTGATCCCTAGAAAGGGGAGAATTCCTGAGTCAAAGTTTCTGATTACTGTAGGTTTTGGCAGGAGCTCTTTTGGCTATTTCTCCCTGTATCACCGGGCTGGCTACTGCTTTTAGAACCAGTCTCAGATACTCTCTAGAGAAGAAAAAGGATGCCAATGTGGTGGGAGAAGGGAGAGGATCAGGAAAACTAACTAATGGGTACTAAGATTAATACCTGGGTGACGAAATAATCTGTACAACAAACCCTCATGACACAAGTTTATCTATATAACAAACCTGCACATGTACCCCTGAACTTTAAAGTTAAATTTTAAAAAAGAGAAAAAAAGGAAATGTATATAAATAAGAACATAAGGCAAAGAGGCTTTGGAGTTAAAATAAACTCATGATGAGATATCTTTTTCTCAATTAGCCTGCATGTTGGAATTTATCCTAAGGACATAATTACAGAGATGCACAAAGTCTTAGTTACAAGGAAGTATGTCTCCACGTTGCTAATGCAGCCATTTCCCAGCACAAACTGCAAGCCAGGATTGGCAGTCGTGGATCCTGCTGGGTTCAGGCTGCATGAATTGATGTGCATGAGGCTTTGGCATTTGGGTAGAGGGAGTAATGAATCCCAGGAAAGAGGAGGGTGGCAGGGATTCCCCAACTCCTCCCAGCCTGGCCTATGTCCTGGCTTTATAAGCCCCTGTGTGAGAACAGTCCTGGAGTCTGTTTTGCACAAGCAGTGACATTTTCAGATATTGTACCTTTTAATTCTAGAACTTCCATTTGGTTTTCTTTTTGTTTCTGTTTCTCTGCTAAGATTCTCCATCTGGTCATTCATTGTGATCATTTTGTTGACACTCTAAGACCTCTAACATATTTATAATAACTGCAGGTCCATTTTGGTTTTGAACAAAGCCTTAAGGTATGCCCCTTACTCCTAAGTCTTGGTCTTTGTGGGATTTCAAGTCTGTTGCATTCATCAAGATCTCTTCATTCTGTTTGAGCTGAACTCCCAACATCTCCTAGCACCCCCTGACCTTCAGCTGTCATGCTCACAGGCAATCTCTGCTAAGTCTGTAGAATTCTGCATATAGGCATAGCCCAGGCTATGGCCAACTGGATCTGCACAGAACCCGTTACATAGCTCCTTCCTGTCCTACAAACTCCAGCTGTTTCAGTAGCCCAGACTCCAGTCTCTGCCTCCTCATCTCGGTGAGATCACCACTCTGCTCAGAGGCCACCTCCCTGCACCCTGCAGGAAGATGCCTCCCCCAGAAACCAGGGAGATCAATTATGGGCTAACCCAGGGGTCTCCACTCTCTCAAGGATAACAGGCATGTACTGTTTCTGTTCAATGCCTCGAAACAGTCCTCTCATTCATTTTGTCCAGTCTCTCGTTTGATTTTAGTGGGAGGGCAGCTACCATCGCTTCATCATGGCCAGAGGCAGAAGTGCCTGACGTTTTCTGAAACAACAGTGACACTGTTATAGATGCCGACACCAGACTCTGGGGGTCTTGAGGGCAAACTCTCCCTGCCATGCCTGACACATACATCATGGCACATCTTTTCTGAATGAGTGGGGCTGTGATGTTGGAGGAGGGGACTGCCTGGGCTTTGATGTGGAAACATGGAGATGACATTAGCTGAGTATGAGGATCTGGGAAGTTGAGCGGGTTTCCCGGGAAAGAGGACAAGGTTAGCTTTGGCTCTGCTGAACTCAGGGTGCATCAGGGCCTCTGCAGGGACAGTGGACAAATGGACATGTGAGGTTTTAGCATCAGAAAGAGCTGGAGCCAGGGATGGAGATTTGTGACGATCCACATATGGGGACAGATGTGAGGTTGAGCCTCAAGAGAGAGCACAGAGCCAGCAAAGGAAGGAGCCAGGAAGCTTGGGCCTGCTCACCTTTAGGGGCGGGTCAGGGAAGAGGGGCCAGGATGGCAGGAAGAAAGGCAGGGATGGTGTCCTGGGAGCCAGGGAGAGAGCAGGGTTGGAGGTTAATGAGAGGAGGGAGCCAACAATGGGGGAGGAGGGGCTGCCAGGCGTGGGGGGCATCCAGACCCTGCAATGGGTGCCTGAGGGTAAGGGAAGTGTCACTATCCCTCAGTCTGAAAGGGAAGCGCCCAGGCAGGCCTTCTGGGCTGATGAACTTTCTCTAGAGAAAAACGCATCTGTACGATGACGTGGATGAGATTGGAGGCTATTATTCTAAGTGAAGTAACTCAGGAATGGAAAACCAAACATCGTATGTTCTCACTTATGTGTGGGAGCTAAGCTATGAGAATGCAAAGGCATAAGAATGATACAATGGACATTGGGGTCTTGGGGAGAAGAGTGGGAGGGGGGCAAAGGATAAAAGACAAACAAATATGGTGCAGTGTTTACTGCTTGGGTGATGAGTGCACAAGGATCTCACAAATAACTTACTCACATAAGCAAATACCACCTGTACCCCAATAACTTATGGAAGAAATAAAATAAAACGGAAAAATGCATCTGTGGGTGTGTATTTCAGATGGGAGCTGGTGTTGCATGTTCACTACAGAGTCCTGTGGATCTCTACCATTCCACACCTCCAGGCTTCTATAAAGTCTAGTTTCTGTAAAAAGCATCACTACCTGTCACAAAGAGGAAAGTGAGGGTGCTTTGCTTTATACAGTAGCTGTAAACCAGTAGGAAGTGGGTGTGGAAAAGTCAGGCTCTGTCTGAAAGCCTGAGCTCTAGCCCAGGGCGCCTGACTAAGGAATGGCACTGGAAACTCTCCTCTCCAGCTCCTGGCCAGAGGGGCTGTCTAAGGAGTGGAATGGGGACTCTCTTCTCCTCCTGGGCTCCTGCTGTGAGGGTTTTTGTGTGTGCCACGGTTGTTGGCAGAACAACAGCCACAAAGATGTCCCTATATCTCTTGTGCATTTTCTTTATATAAAGAGTGAGATCACTGGCATAGTAGACAAGGCTGCACATGGCCACTCCCCTACTGGCTTCTCCAGAATGATCTCTGCCTGTCTTCTTCCCTTTCGTCCCTCAAAGGCTGGGCTTCCTTCCACCCTGGAGCTTCTGAGCCTGTGAGACCCTCCCACCTCTGCTCCTCCTCTGGATCTCAGCTCAGTGCCCTCCCCAGCCCAGCCCCGGAAGCCAGTGCACTTGCCAGGGCACTGCAGTTGCATCACAGGCCTGGATGGGGCATCCTCTGCGAGAACGCCTGTGCCCATGGATGTAATTTACATACTCACCAAGAAGTTAACATCAACTCTTCACAGCAGGTCAAGTGCAAGGAGACCACTATTCTCCAATCTTCCTACAAAAACGTGGTGTCTATTTTCCTACCCCGTGTGTCTAGGCCAGCACTGGGACATGGTTTTGCAACAGAATAGGGCACAAGTGACAGGGTTTCCTCTTGCTTCCACTCTGCATGATTTCCCTTACTCTGACACCACTGCCACCATAGCCATGAAATTTAAAATAACACACGCACGTTGGATTGCAAAAGTCCTGCATACTTCCTGAAAAAAAAATAGTGATTAGTGAAGATCACCATTGTTGAGGACTTCTACAAGCAGCACAGAAAGAGACTTCTGTAAATACCTGTTAACTACACAGAGAGCGCTCCATGGACACCCGTCAACTGCACAGAAAAAGACTTCTGTAAACACCTGTCAACTGCACAGAGAGAGCTCCACGGACATCTGTCAACTGCACAGAAAGAGCTCCATGGACACCCGTCAACTGCACAGAGAGTGCTCTGTGGAGACCTGTCAGCTGCACAGACAGCGCTCCATGGACACCCGTCAATGGCACAGAGAGTGCTCCACAGACACCTGTCAACTGCACAGAGGGCCCTCCATATACCCCTTTAACTGCTCAGCTGTGCTAAGTGCCATGCCGCGCACAATGGCCACCCTGACCTGTTGAAGTTTCAGGATGGCTCCACCAGGTCCTTGATGGCTCTGCCCCCAGGGCTGCTCCCTGGGCTGCTGTGGATGGACCTGCTCATCTTAAAGAGAGAGGAGCAGGAGGCCACAGCAGCCCTCGCTGTCCCCCACAGAAGGGCCTTGGAGTAGGCAATCTCACATCATTGAGTTGTCAGGTTCTCAAAGTAATTCTCAGAGGGATCACCATGACCTTTTTTGAAGGGAAATTGAACCTCCAGCAGGTGCCAGCCCCACAGACTGGGACCCAAGTGGGCAAACTGAATGGCCACACAGAGCTCAGAGCCCAGCCAAGGCCCCCAGACACCAGGCTAGCCTGCACTCCCTGGGGGCACACACGCAGAAGCTGGGGAATGAGCAGGGCAAAGGGGAGGATCCCAGCCCCAGGCCTCCTGCCACAGAGGGGCTCAGTTGAGGAGGGAGCTGGCAAAACACCGAACTGACTCAGAAGTTTGAGCATCACAGGGGAAGGATATTCTGACCTCTGAATCCAAACAGTGTTTACGACTCAGACTCAGTGGCAGTTCACTACCTGCAAATAAACAGAAAAGTCTAGTGCTACCTGGGGATGCAGGGGAGGCAGAGGGCCGTTGGAAAACCAGAAGCAGGGGATGCAGAGGGCCGTTGGAAAACAAAATGAAGTAGGGGATGCAGAAGCAGGGGATGCAGAGGGCTGCTGGAAAACAAAATGAAGCAGCTTTAAGGATCGGACCTCACACGCTGTGCTGGTGCAACATGCCAGGGACACACCCACTGGACAGATGCTGGTGCTGCTGACCACGGCCTTCCTCTGTGGATGTGACTTGGCTTTCCTCACAGTGCATGCAGGAGGTGCTCAATAAACGCTCTTGACTGACTATATGGTCCCTGTCAGCGTGGAGCTGGGCAGGGCCCCTCTCTAGTCAACTCAGGTCGCTGGCGAATCATCTCCCGCTTCCTCCCCTCTGCGCTTTCTCTTGCAGCCAGGGGCCCACAGCTGCAAGAATGGAGTCCAGCAGCACCATCCCCACTCCCCAGCTCCTGCCAGTTTCTCCTCTCTGCCTCAGTCTCCCACATTATGATTCACCTGTGTACCACCGCTCTGCCCCAGAATTCACAAGTTGAAGCTTTGACCCACAATGTGACTGTATTTGTGGGTAGGGCCTGTAAGGAGGTAACTAAGGTTAAAGGAGGTTGCAAGAGCGGGGCCCTGATCTGATGGAACTGGTGTCCCTGTAGAGGAAACAGAGGCCAGAGTACTCATCACCCACTCTCACCAACCAGCACACAGGGGAACGGCCCTATAAAGACACAGAGAGAGGCCTCACTGGAAATCACCTTGTTCTTGGACTTTCAGCCTCCAGAATGGTAAGAAAACAAACGTCTGTCGTTTCAGGCATCCACTCTGTGGTATCCTGTTACGGCAGCTGGAGCTGACTCTGACACTCCCTGCAGACCCCATCCCCTCCTGCCTGAGCCTCCTCATGGCCCCTCCCTGTCTTTTCTCTGGAGCCCACCCTCCCACCCTCGGAAAGTCCTGGGGCCCTTTCCAAGGCTTGAATCATGACAGACGGCATCAGGTCTGCACTCCAGAAAGATCAGTTCAGCTGCAGGAGATCCCACACTGCTTCCCACCAGTGGCAGCAAGAGCAGCCAAGATTGAATGAGCCCTTGCGGTATGCCAGGCCCAGAGGCAGCCTTTGAATGCGTTTCCCATGTCATCTCCCCGCAGCCCTATAAGGCAGGTGCTAGGATTTAGTTTTCCTATTTTGCAGATGACAACGTCCCACAGTGTAGCCCAAGGCCACATAGCCAGGAGGTGAGTGACTTGGGACAACCCTCAGAGGCTTCACACTTTGGTGTCTTTTGAATTCCAGCTTTCTTTACAGGGTGAATAAAGGTCTCTCTCCCTGGCCAGTCCCTAGGTCTCACACTGGGCTATGCAACAACCACGCTACCCTGTGCACCTCACGCGTCTCATCTCCACGCCCAGGCTCAAGCTGTCCCTATGTGGAAAGCCTTTACCTTGATGACCAGGACTCCTCATTTTAAAGCTTTGGTTCTCCACCCTGGCAGCTCTTGAGAGTCACCTGGTGTTTGGGTCAGGGCTCTCCAGAGACACAGAAGCAATGGGATAGACACACACCACACACACATATACATATGCATACACATACATGTTTGTACATACACATTCTATATATACACATATATATATATATACATCCACACACACACATATATGTGCATATGTGTGTGTTTTAAGACATTTATTTTAAGGAATTGACTCATGCGATTGCGGGGGCTGTACAGTCCTGGATTTGGAGGGCAGGCCAGCGGCTGGAGTGGATTCCGCAGTCTTGAGGCAAGATTTCCTCTTCTCTGGGAAACTCCAATTTATTCTCAAACCTTTAACTGACTGGAGAGGGCCACTCAAAGCCCCTTAAAGTCACCGACTGCAGGTGACAACCACATCTACAAAATACCTTCACAGCAACATGCAGACTAGCATTTCAATAGCTGGGTGGAACAGCTCAGCCAAGAGGACACACAAGATTGACCTTCACCCTTGCGGAGCCTGCAAAGTGCAGAGGCCCAGGCCCCAGGGAGACGGATACAGTTCCTACCAATGCTTTTAAGAGCACACGGCTGGCCCAGAACAGCTGCTTTCAGATGCACAAATCACAGAGTACTCTTTGCCTGTGTCCATCTGGTGCTCATGCCCCAATCTTGAAATCACCTCCTGGGGGCTCCTGCCTCCCCCTTGCTGCAGGCACCTGCGGGCTGGGACCCTGGCTTGTATCACTGTGTCCACAGCACCCAGGGCAGTGCCTGGCACCTATGATGTGCTTACGCATTGGACGAACAGTAGGCTACAGTCATGTGCTGTGGAGCTGGAAAGCCCTGGATTCAAAATGGGCAAGTTTCATCCCCTCTCTTTGCCTCATTTTCCTCTACTGTTAACAAACAAACAAACAAAAAAAGCGGTAATAGCAGCTGTCTTATCACCTTGTCAAGGGACTTAGGCAATAAAATGCATGAAAAGTGCTTATCAAGGTACTTGATGGGAAATAATAGCTCAAACAAAAAAAAGGGCCGGGGTGGGGCGGGGCGGGGGGCAGCCCTGTTTCAGCTGATTGTCACTGGGGCTGTGCGTTCCCACTCTGAGAGCTCTGCTGCTTGGTGCTCAGCCAGAACCACCCTGGGCCAGACCTGCCTCCGCTGCAAGACGCCCACCAGGTCGTCCTGAGACCAGGTTCTCACAAGCATCCTGCATCCCAGCGAGCATCTCCAGCGCCATCTGGTGTCAGTGCAGGGAGTGGCTGGGTTTCCACAGCCTTTCAAATCTCTAGCCCCAACTTTCAAGAAAAGGCAGGGGCTGCCTGCTGTTCTGTGAAGTCACCATGGAGACGACTGTGGGGGAGTCCTCACTCGCTGCAGGTGGCTCTTCACTTTACAGAAGCATACACTGCACGAAGCCTTTCAGTACACCCTCCCCACACTTAAAATGGCATTCAAATAACACGTTAGCATTCACTTTTTACAAGTATGTCTACTGGGGAAAGGATCCCGGAGCCTGCAAAGAAGGCTTTCTTTACATTTAGACAGTACCAGGAACTGCCTGAGTGTTGCCTCTCTCCGTGTAACGTTCTCCATGTCATCAAATGCCCGTGTCACCACATTCTTGGCGTCACACATTTGTCTTAGGATTTTGATATGGTTTGGCTGTGTCCCCACCCAAATCTCATCTTGAATTGTAGCTCCCATAATTCCCAAGTGTTGTGGGAGGGACCCAATGGGAGATAATTGAATCATGGGGGTGGTTTCCCCCATACTTTTCTCGTGGTAGTGAATAAGTCTCATGAGATCTGGTGGTTTTATGAGGGAAAACTCCTTTTGCGTGGTTCTCATTCTCTCTTGCCTGCCACCATGATTGTGAGGCCTCCCCAGGCAGGTGCAACTGTAAGTCCATTAAACCTCTTTTTCTGGCTGGGTGTGGTGGCTCACACCTGTAATCCCAGCACTTTGAGAGGCCGAGGTGGGTGGATCACCTGAGGTCAGGAGTTCCAGACCAGCCTGGCCAACATGGTGAAACTCTGCCTCTACTAAAAATACAAAAATTAGCCAGGCATGGTGGTATGCACCTGTAATCCCAGCTACTTGGGAGGCTGGGGCAGGAGAATTGTTTGAACTCCGGAGGTGGAGGTTGCAGTGAGCCAAGATCGTGCCACGATACTCCAGCCTGGGCAACAGAGCAAGACTCTGTCTTAGAAAAAACAAAACAAAAAACAAAGCAAAACAAAATGAAAAAAACAACCACCTCTTTTTCCTTATAAATTACCCAGTCTCAGGTATGTTTTTATCAGCAGTGTGAAAACGGACTAATACACCTTTCAACTCCCGACCCAGCCCTCTTTTGCGTTGTTGAGTTTATGGTGAACATCAGCTTTTAAGGTCAGTCATGAGCTCCTAGAGGGTTGGAGACTGTGTCTAGTTTCTCCTTAGAATCCTTGAGGCCTAGATTGGGACATATAGTACTTGCTGAATACATAGCAAGGGTGTGTCTTAAGAAGCTTTAAAAAAAATCTATAAAGCCGGGAAATCCCGTATGTCCCTTTACTCTTGTACCGCCTAGCTGACTGGAATTGACTCATGGGATTGTGGGGGCTAGGATTTACTCTTTCACTCCTGCACCAGCACTAGAACCCCCCTGTGCTTGCTGAAATATACTTCCTAGGGCCTTACTCCTAGGACACAGTGGGGCAGGCTGTGCTAGAACATATTAATATGTACATAGTCACTCTCTCGGGTCACCTTTTATTACTATCTTGCATGTATATTTTATAAAGTACACAGTATATTAGCATGGTACCCCTAATGTATAGTTTATAAATAAATAATGTACAAATATCAGATTTTTTTCTTTTGCCGCTGGGACACACCCTCAGAAAACCTTGGCAGCAGGGCTACCACGTGAGCGCCATGTGCCCACACAGGCCAGGCCCTCCATGAGCGTTGTCTCATCCGCCCCCAGGACAACCTGACAAGGGGGTCACTGACATCACCTGTGAGCTACCGAAAGGCAGCCAGGGCCCAGATGTGCCACCACCTGCCCAGGGTCATCCCAATGGGCAGAGTAATCTGAGGCTGGGCGCCGTGGGTTACCCAACCTGGTCTGGGACGGGTGGCTCATGGCAGGTGCCATCGAGAGGCCTTCTTGAGGCTTGTTTCTCCTGACCAACCCAAAGGTCCCCGCCAGCCTGTCCTGGCACATAGACCCCGGTGATTAATTCCCCTTGCCCTTGTCCCTTGCTAAGCAGGCAAGCAAAACCACAGCCAGTTACACAAACACATGTAACTGCATGTCTGGATGGAGAACAGATGTACCTATGCAGCGGCAGGGACATCAACACTCTCACTGATGAATTGGCCGAGGAATGAGGAATAGCACAAATCAGCTACGGAACATTGACAAACTGGGAGCTAAACTTTGCTTCATGCCTGTGAGGCAGTATTTTGATGAGCGGTGGATGCCCAGTGCTTCCTTGTTCCTATATGCTCCTTAACCACAGTGATGATGAGGGTGACAGTGCTGATTACCACGGCAACCAGAACGCTCACTGAGCACAATGAGACAAAGCTATACTTCGGTGAGCACCCCTGTTGACCTTCATAAGAACTTTCTTGTCACCCCCATTTACAAGGGATAGAACTGAAGCACAGAGAGGTTAAGAAACTTTTCCAAGGTCACAGAGCTAGAAAGAAACATGTCGAGGCACGTGGGGTGGTCAAATCCTGCAGCAAGTCTCTCTACGCAGAGTAAGCCCCAGAGACGGAGGCCCACCCAGCTGCACAGACAGCCCTCCCTGTGACATTCCCAATGCCAGGGGCCAGATGTTTGTGTCCCCCAAAATTCCTATGTTGAAGCCTAACCCCAATGTGATGGTATTCGGGGGGTAGGGTCTTGGAAGGTGATTAGATCATTAGGTGGAACCCTCACCAATGGGATTGGTACCCTTAGGAAAGGGGCCTTAGAGAGCTCTGTGGCCCCTTCTGCCATGTGAGGACACATAGAAGGCACCACCTATGAGAAAGTGGGGCCTTGCCAAACCCCACGTGTCAGAACCTTGATCTTGGACTTCCCTGTCTCTGGAACTGTGAGGAATGAATTTCTGTTGTTTATAAGACACCCAGTCTAGGGATTTTGTTATGACAGCTCAAAGGGACTAAGACTACAGCATGGATGAAGTGGAGGGCCTGTGCTGTCCTTACATGGGCCCAGGTGAGACACAGTGGTGAGTCCTAGCCTGCAGCCTTGCTGTCATGAGCACCTGGGAGAAGCTGTCTGCAGGAGGAGCAGCAGCACAGGCAGCTGGGGGGCTCTGGAGAAGTCAGCTTCCTTCCATCAGTAGGTTCTTCCCTTGCAGCCCGGATTCCCATAGCAGCCCCTCAGTCCCTCGCTCCCCCTCATCACGTGTTTCTACTGCGCCCAGAGCTGGGACACTGTGAAAAACCAGACAGGTGTGGTCATGACTCTTGGGTTCAGCACAGAGAAAAGACAAAACACAAACATCTTTTTCTTGACAGGTTTTAAAACTTAAATCTTGGGGCAGTGACAACACAAAGACTGTTTCTCATAAAATTCGCTTTTGATGACTGGAGAATGAGCGCAAGGCCCTGCTCACCCACCGCTGACCAGGCATACCCACGAAGGCACCCCATGTGCAAGCCTGTGTGTGTGGGCACGCATGTGCATGTGGGCATAGGGCCTCCACCATTTCCAAAAATTAAATTCTCATGCAGATGCATTCTCCATTCTAATAGAGAACTGAAGTTCACAAAAACGTTTGATAACAAAAATTTTCTTTTTCACATGGGATAAGACAACGTCTGCCAAACCTCCCTCAACAGGGGAAAGAGAGGGAGAGAGGGAGAATAAATGAATAAATGAATAAAATAGTAGTTGTTGCGATTAATAATTGATTAATTTGCTGCCTGGTGCTTTCTGCTTTCACCCCATGGAGATGTGAAAACAATGTATCAGGCGAGACAGTGGGAATGGGGTTTGAACTCAACACACTGCAGAGAGAAGCAAATAACAACCATTATTCACCATTGTCTGCACCAGGCAAAGCAAAATACTCTTACAGGCCTTTCCTACTGTGAGTAATTTTCCCCCCAAAAAGCAACATTTATATACTTTCTGTATGACCAATATTGAATTTTCCCACAGCATTTTATCTCAGAGATCTATCACTTCTGGAGCATTGGGGACACAGTTGAGAATGTGACAAAAGCAAAGCACTGCTTTCTGCACTTGATTTCAGGGCTTCAGGGACCCTAGACTCTATACCCTGGGACCAGCACACAGAAGCCTCAATTTGCAAATGGCTGGAGGTTGCACCTCAGACATACCTGCCAGTTTGTGCAATGAGCCCAGCCCTCAACAAGGAGTTTCTCAGGGTCAGACAGGAATCCTGACCTTGGCCCACAAAAGGCCCATGGAGGAAAGGGGGCCTCACCCAGGGCTTGCAGATGACACCCCATGTAACACATTGCACGGTGCAGACAGCGGTGGGCCTGGGCCACGTTCACGACAGCAGTTTCCAGAATGAGTTTCTACAATGAGTGCTACCTTCCCCCACTCTCAGACCCCAGCTCAAAATCCGTGTTCACTTACAGACACTGGGTTTCGAGAACAAATAACAAGAGGCTCAGGTCTGAGCCACGCCATGGGAGAAACAGTCCAGGGATGAGGGCTCCCTGGACCTGGCACCTGTTAGTACTTTACAGGCACTGGCTTCTCTAATCCCCCATTGGCCCATTCTGGCTCATTCATGTAACTGATATTTATTTTGCACTTAGCACTCGTGAGCTGTGCGCACAGTAAGAACTACAGAGGCGAAGACTTGGTCTCGCGGAGCCCATGTGCTGGTAGAGAGGCTGCATGGGCAAAGCCAATGGTATTGGCGTCAGGGACGCTGCCGTAGGGGAAATAAGGTTGGGTGAGAAGAAGGGGCCAAGTGTTGCCACACAGCGGCCAGGTGGCTTCCTGCACTGAGCGATGTTTTAAACGCGGTGGAGCCTTGCACACCTCCAGGGACAGCAAGAGTCTCAGGGGCTGTGGTTGGGGTGTGAGGACCATCAAAGAGGCCCATGGGCTGGGTCCAAGGGAGAGGCGAGCCGGGAGAGGGAGGCAGGCCACATGGGGTGGGGCCACAGGCACTAGGGAGGATGTGGCATTCAGTGCCTCAGGGAGCCACTGGAGGGATTTGAGCAAGAGGTGACATTATCCAACTTCTATGAGACCCTGGTCCTGTGGCCACCTGTGTGGAGAATGAACTAGAAATGGGGCAATGGTGGCACAGAGAGACCGCCTGGAGGCCAAGTCCAGGCAGGAGAGCACAGCAAACCATTGCCAGAGAAGAGGGAGTTGGCTGGACCCGCGAACTGCTCCAAGGGGAACAGAGAGGACTTCAGGGTCATCCGGACATCAGCACAAAGCCAAAAGCTTCACAGGAGGCTTAGATGTATTGATTGAAATGGAGAAGAGTCCCAGCACAGGGCGCAGATGGGAACCGAGATCTGGAGATGTAAGCTATGCAATGCACACCAGTCCCCACGTGGACGCATGCGTAGAGTCCACAGAGACACCCTGGAGCTCAGGGGCCATCGGCTGGAGGGACAAATCAGATTCATCAGGGTCACAGATGTGTTTAAAGCCACACAACCAACAGGTGCTTACTGACTCTTAGAACCAGGTACCCTGGGATGATGGACACACCACGGGACACAGACAGATACCAGCATGATCCCTCATACAGACAAAATTAGACAGTCAACAATAAGTAATTGATAGGTAGCAAAGAGACAGAGAATAGAGAATGACAAGAATTAGTGTGAATCTGCAACTGTGTCCCAGCTAGGAAGGAAGGTTCAGTGTTGTCATAGAAGCCAACAATGAGGGCCTTCGTCTGACAACAAGGAAATGGGGCAGGGACAGGGGAGGGACCTGCCCAGGGCCAAGTCCAAGCTTCACAGCACATTCTGTTGGAGGCCATGGACCGGCCCAGCCACAGAGATCTCAGGGATGGAGGGGACTTTGTGGGTCAAATCCCAGAGCCTAGCTTTAGCTCAATGAGAAGAGGAACGAGTTAACCAAGAGGAGTGGAATCAGGGGGTTGAAAGGGGGTTCTCTAAAAGATGTGCCAAGTCCAAATCCCCAGAACCTGTGAAAGTGACCTTATTTGGAAATCGGATCTTTGCAGAAGTAATTAAGTTAATCTCTAGATGAGGAGATCATCCAGGATTATCCAGATGGGCCCTGCCTGCAATACTACTATCCTCATATGAAGGGGAGAGGAAGGAGGGAGAGGAGGCAGCTATGTGCCCACGGAGGCAGGGCTGGGATTCTCAGGCCAAGAATGCAGGAACCACCAGAAACTGGAAGAGAATGGCTCCTCCTTGGAGCACTCGCAGGGAGCACGACCCTACCCACACTTTGATTTTGGATTTCTAGCTTCTAGAACTGCAGAAGAGTAAATTCTGTGGTCATAAGTCACCCAGCAGATGATAAGGTGTTACAACAGCCACAAGAGGCTAACACAGCTGGCTGTGACCAGGCCACCTGGCTGAGCAGGAGGCGTCCCTGTGCAGAGCACTCAATCAGAGAAGGAAGGCACTGGGCGGGAGGGACAGAGGTGGGAGCCAAGGGTGCTGCTAGATGTGCTTTGATGCCGTCTCCAGTGCAGAAACTCTGTGTCTCAACCACGCTGCTGGCTCAACCACGCTGCCACAGAGGGTTTTGAGGTCATATCCGGGCCAGGCCTGAGGCTCCCGAGAGGTGAAATGCAGATTCCCATCCTCTTCTGTGTTTAAATAAAATGACTGCATTATACCTTTAACGCCAGGCGTGAGGACACTGCATCTGGATGGCCTAACAATGCCCTAAAGGAAAGTCAAGCCGGGAGACCCTTCTGGGCCAGAGGCTCTCCTCCCCAGGGGCTGTCCTCCCCAGGGGCTATCCTCCCCGTGTGGCTGGTGAGGACAGGAAGAAGTGCTCTCCGAGGTGCACCCTGAGCCAGGCCCTGTGCCAAGGGCTGACATGGATTAATCCACTCATCCTCAGAGAGGGTCTAGCACAGAGCGGAAAGCTGGCGCTGGCAGCCTGGGTTCAAGTCCCAGCCTGGCACCAACGAGCTGCATGACCATGGCCAGTTACATGGCCTCCCTATGCCTCAGTTTACACATCTGTAAAATAAGGACTATGATGTCATAGCCTCATGGGGCTCCTGTGAGGATAAAACCTTTCTTGTCACAACCTTAGACCAGCATCCCGGACACAAGAAACACCCGGTAAGGGGCCCTGGCTGCTGACATTGTCAATGTCAAGAGGAAGCAGTTCCCATCTCCCTCTTCACCAATGAAAGCATTGTGTCCTGGAGTGGATAAGGGACTTATGGAAGGGCACCCCCAAACCAAGGGCACAGACTATGCCAGTGATTCTCAGCTGGGGGTGATTCTGCCCCTCAGGGGCATCTGGCCAAGTCTGGAGACATTTTAGATTGTCTTCACTGGGGGAATCCAGTGTGGAGAGGCCAGGGATGCTGCAGGATATCCTAATGTGTCCAGGACAGCCCCCTCCCCAGCAGAGAATCGCCTGGCCTCTTGCCACCAGCGCTGAGGCTGAGGGACCGTGCTCTAGCCCTTGACCATCCCAACACCAGCTCTACTCAGAAGTGCACCCTCATAGCACCCTCCTGCTGGAGGCTCACAGGTGTTTAAGGGCAAGGATTCCAGGGCCTAACGAGTTTGGGAACACCACAGGCTCCAGCCTCTTCAGAGAGGTTGGTGCCCTCAGGCCAGTGACCAGCTCCTAGTTTCTGCCACAAAGACACTGGTTCCGCGGTGGCAGTCAGCCTCCTCCAAACGCACAGGTGACAGCACCCCCACCCCTTTCATGTTGTGCAGCCACATACTCAGAATTGCTTCCTCGGACCCGGTGGAAAGGCTCCAAAGCAGCAGGAAGCGGGAGGCTATGGAGCCCTGGGCTGCCGGTCTATCCACCCATCACAGTACCCACCGCATGCCTTCAGTACCAGCCAGGGTCAGCACCGACATCTGATGCCCTTTCCTGCTCCCCACAGACACCCAGGGAGACGTGGCCTGAGCTTTGCCCATGCCCGCAACAGTCACCATGAGATGCTTCCAGGAAGAACAGCAACGGACGCTTCCTGATCCTTCCCTTGCAGGCCAAACACCACGGCCGCCCTGGACCTTCCTGGGACTAATCAGAGGGCCCCGCACAGCCAGTACCAGCTGGGAGGGAAACCCCCTCAGCACTTCCTCCTCCTGGCCTGAGCCTCCTTCTCCCTTCATCACAGGGTGGTCTGCAGGCCTCTATCGTCCCGAGCCCCGGAGTCCTCAAGGGTAGGATGGAGCAATTACCTCATGGGAGAACGCACCATGAGGACAAATACGGAGCTGGCTTCCAAGGACCCTGTGAGCATCTGCTCCCAAACAAGCGTATGCTGCCTGTCCCATCCACAGCACTTCTGAGACGGCCATTTGAGATCAATAGAGCAATCTCTCTTCCTCCCTCTCCCCCTGCTTCCATCTCGTCCTGCTTTACTTGTTACAGTTTTTTTTTGTTTTTGTTTTTGCTATAACTTCTGTACACTGAGCATCTGTACACCAACTATATACTGTTCGCCACAGCATCCTCAGGGGTGGCATTCTCTAAGTCACTTGCTTCACCACTTTTATGTTGTTTTTTTTTTTCACATACACATGAAAACTAATATGCAACTCTCAAAACAATTTCACCGGGGTATTTTCTAGTTCCTTGCTCTAAGCCTGGCTGTGCACCCCCACCCCAGCTTGTTTCAGGAGAAGCTCATTTCCAGAGGACACAGCCCCCCTCTTGTTTCTCCCCAGGTGCAGCCCCTCGACCTGTTCCTCCCCCAGGCACGAGCTCTGTCCTCGACCCCCTGGTGACACTAGACCTCTGGCCGAGATCCCCACACTTAATGGGCCATCCTTTCCTCACCAGAAATAATGGAGTCGTTCAGCGCCTCCTCGTCCTGATACAAAAGCAAGTCGTCTTTGAGTTCAGAATTTATGATCAGGTTCTCCTTGTTCTCCTCAGATTCCTTAGCGGCAGTTCGCTTGTTCTCCAATGCCCCGTCAAAGCTCCAAGCCTCCTCCCTCTCCTTGCCCCGCTCCACGCTGGACGTTCTCGACAGACGGACATCCAGCCGCTTCTTTGGAGACCCTTTACTTTCTCTTCCTTGAAAACTAAACCAGAAAGATGGTTCAGGTTATAGGTCACCCCCTTCACCCAGAAACCCAGCACGATTGACTTTGGAGCTTATAATGAATATCACAGAGGCAGCCCCAAAATGCATGTGACCTCTTGGTTTTTATCCTGGACACACCAGAAGGAGCATGAGGATTTGAGTTCAAGGCAAATGGCTGTTTACAACATGCTGTTTTGAAAAGCACAGAACATGCAAGTAATAAAACCTGCCAAAATACATGCAATCAATGTTCAGGGCGAGGACTTCACAAAAACTGAGAAGGACATTTTGTTTGTCTAATATTCCTCCAACCCATACTGTCTCCTATTACCTATTTTACCTCTAATCTTTCACAGTCCATGAGACACATGTGATCCAAAATAAGAGTAAGCTGCAGGCACAGGCTGCCTTACACTCTTGCCCAGTGACAACTATGAAGCCCTCAGTGTCCTGGGACAAAGTGGAACGGCCACTTTTCTCTAAGTCAGTCTCTCCTGCAAAGCTCCCACCCCACCCTGGGTCCTGAGGGGCTCACGCACAGGACTTTGTGGCCAGGTTCCCATAGTGCACATTCACTGTGCACCCCGTCCCAGAATGTGGGAACCAAGATCAGCTATGCAATCTGCAGAGCGAGGTGCAAAATGAAAATGTGACTTCCTTGTTCAGAAAGTGACTGTAGAACGGGACACCCAGCCAAGGCCCTGGGCGTGGCATGAGCTGCACAGCCTGAGGCTGGCCAGGCAGGGATTCTGGCAGCACAGGTCTCCCTCATGGGGCAGGGCCTCACCTGTCCTGGCGGTGCTTCGTGGCCAGCGCCCTGTGCAGCTCCTCAATGACGCGGCTTGGGGGAAGAGGCCGGTGGACCGTGGTGAGATGCGGAGACCCCGTGGGTGTGGAGAGCTGGCCCCGGAGGGAAGGGTCGGCACTCTTCATGCTGGAGGCTTGGAAGAGTGTGGCTTGGCCTGGGGTGTGGGAGGAAGCAGCAAGAACATAGGTCTTCAGGAGCTGGGACCAAGGGTTTTGCTGAGACTGGGGACCATGAGCGGAAAGGACGCTCCCCTGCACCTCCAGGAGGGGCCCCAACTAATGCCAAGATGCTGGACCGGGATCCCTGCTCCCAAAGCTAGAGGCCAGGGTGCATCTCTGTCCAGTTCTGCTCCATCTGTAGGGCAAACCCTGTTAGGGGCCAAGCCTTGCAGACACCAGCACCAGCATCCTCCCTGCAGGGCGCTGGGCTTAGAAAAGCCTCCTTCCTGCTTCTCTGCTATGAATTCAGCTTCCTGAAGCTGCTTCTTGTTCTTGGGAAACCCGGAAGAATCTGTGCAGCCACCCTTCAGCCTGGATGAGCACCATGGTCCGCTCTGCCCTCCCCACAGCATCTGTTCCAGCACCTTGGGCTTGCACTTCCAGCCCCCAGAACAGTAAGGAATAAATTTCTGGGCTCCAACCCTCTCCCTGTATCTCTGCCAGGAGGATCACCCCAGAAGGTGAATTGGATCACTCTCCCATCTTCCTTAGGACATGATTCGAACTCATGGCCCAGTCTCAAGGCCCCTGGGGGTGGCCCCACTCGGCTCCCTAGCTGCATCTCCACCTCACTCTCTTCACTCCAGCATGTGAAGATCTCTCCCGTCTTTGAAGGCACCACACTCCGTCCAACCTGAGTCTTTGCATGGGCTGTTCTTTCTGCCTGAAATGCTTCCCCGCTCCTCTGCTAGAATACCATTTCCTTAGAGAGGCCATGATCAGATCCCTCGTCTCCTGTCCCCTGGGACCTGAGCCTGCCCTGACACTTTTCCTCTTACTTGGAGTGAATCACGCTGCCCAGTCTGTTTCTTGCTCCTGGGCAGGCCTGTGTCCACCTTCCTTCCTACAGTTTCCCCAGGCCTGGCACTTAAAACACGGGCAATAAACACTTGTGTACATGAAATGACTTTGAAGATGATTCTAAACAGGCTTTGCTCATTCAAGTCTAAATGAGTGGGACACCCCCTCCTTCCATCAATGACAGTCTCCTGCATGTGCTCCGGGCCAGCAGGGTGTCAGGTGCCCGGAAGAGCAGAGAGCATGGGCTTTGTCTTCTGCAGATTTGGCCTCTGGTCTTGATCTGCCATTTCCCAGTATGCAAGACTCTGGGCAAGTCACTGAAGCTCTCAAAGGCTTAGCCTACTTGCCTGTAAAATGAGACCATCAGCTCCTTTTCAGGAGCCTAGCAGCTGGCACAGGCCCAGAAGCTCTTAGGTGTTCAGCACAAACTCTCATTCCAAAAGCGTCCTGGCAGGACTGGTGCAAACACCAGATCCCTTTAATCCCACCAGCAAAACAACCAGATCTAAACTACCCCATTCCCTAAAAACCAGAAACAAACTTCCAATACAATCCTGGGATGTGGACAGCATCAATAAAAAGTATTCCTCAAAACCCAAAAGGAAACTGTAAACCTCGTGGAGGACTTTAGTTATTTCGCTTTCTCTACAAGCACCTGCTTGGCCACACAAGGCCAGGCCACAGGGAAACGGGCCAGGCCCTGCCGTCAGCTGGTGGAGACAGACAGAGGCCAGGCAGACAGAAAGAGAGCAGATGATTGTAGAATAGAGAAGGAGACAGAAGGAGAGGGAGAGAAAAGGGCTGGGAGAGAGAGTGGTGGAGGGAGGGGGGCGAGAGGGCACCACGCAGGTGGGCTGAGAGTACTGGGCTGGTCGGGGGGAGGTGGTAGCTGGTTTGGGAGAGGGAGGTCAGGAAAGGCTGCTCTGCAGAGGGAAACTTTGAGCTGAGACCTGAGAAATGACAAGGAGCCAGCCATGCAAGAAGTGGCCAGGCAGGGCAGGGGCTGCAGGGAGACCCATCCCCAGCTTCTGCACACTGCGCTGTCCTCTCCCCACTGGCCTCAGCCTCCCCAGGCTGCTCCTGCTCAGGACAGTGCCCCACTCCTGAGCACACGCAGGTGACACGCAGCATCCCCCAGCCCCTCTGTCTCTAACCATCATTGCCTCTACTTCTCACCCCAGCCCCATGAGGAAGGAATCACTAGCCCTCTTGTACAAATAGGGAAACTGAGGCAGCGTGGTTTGCCTGCTCTCGCTCAGCTTGGTGGAGCTGGGATCCCACCCAGGTCTCTGCCCCACTGTCAATCACAGATGTGACAACCAGCACTGCCCCCACGGCCCCCATAGAGCTTTGCCTGGCTCGCCCCACCCAGCTTGTGCAGGGGACCACTTGTCACCCCCATTTCACAGATGAGGAAGCTGAGGTTCAGAAGCCACCTCAGGGGCAGGCTGCCAGGAAAAGGTGGGGGCTGAGAACAGCACATCGCACCCAGCTCCACTTACACTTGGCAGAGGCTGTGGGACTCCCATCCCGCAGAGTTGAGCGTTACCAACTGGACCAGGTGACAGCAGGGGTAAAGGAGAGGTAAAAGGGAGAGGGGTAAACGCATCTCCAGGGACCAGGCAGGTGAAACCCAGGAATGCAAAGGACCTCCTGCAATTTCTCCATGGGGGCAGGGTGGGGACCACAGCACACAGAGGAGAACCTGCCCACCTTAATGGGCCTGTAGTGACTCAGAGGGTGATCAGAGATGAAGACTTTTCAAGAAAGTCCAGGAATTTGGCCTATGAACCAGGAAGCAAGCCCTCATCAGAGACACCAAATCTGCCGGCACCCTGATCTTGGACTTCCAGCCTCTAGAAGAGTGACGAATAAATTTCTGTGGTTTATAAGTCACTCAGATGAACTAAGACACCTGCAGTCCTGCCTTGGGTGGAGACTCAGTTGGGCCAGGGTCCCTCCTGCAGCAAGGGAAGCCCAGGTAAGGAGACTTTCTTCTTTGCTACCATCTAGTGTTCACATGCTGAAGCACATGAACCTTTTCCCAAAGGAAAAGGAAAAAGAGGAACTGAGAAAATTAAATCAAAGTCACCAAAATGTAGTCTGTGCAGGAAGAAGCCAGGCCAGGACCCATAGCTCGGAACTACCCTCCTCCACCTCCCAGTCTCAATTCAGTCCCTATGGAAACGCATAAGTGTCAGAGTATCCCCTGATGTCCTTGCAACTGAGGGCAGGGCGGAAGCCAGAAGTGTCCGCAGACTGGGGACAGAACGCCAGAATTTAGGGCGTGTGGAGTCAGAATGAAGACCTGTGCCATCTGAGGCTCGACCTTCCCAAGCTTGGGAGAGGCAGGAAACTCTCTGGGTTACCAAGTTATTGAGGGCCAGGAACAAATTATACATTCGCCAGAATAAAATGAGGTGGATGGTGGCTAATTGAATGGACTTTAAATGGTTTTAGGTTTCAATGGAGGAAAAAGGGAGCTATCACAAAGACAATAACAAAATGCAAAGTAGCACAGTTTTGCCTCAAACTTTGTACTGTAATTTATGTGGCCATGTTGCATAAAGACTGAATATTTGGATTCATCTACAGAGATGTAGAAAGATGCAGAAAGCAGACAGACAGGGTTCAGAGCACGCATGCATTCATTCACTCATTCATTCATCCATCCAACCATCATCTGCACTTGCTGAGTGCCTGCTGTATGCCCTGTACTATGCCTGCACTTGGATTTGACAGTGAACACAGACGTGTGGCCGTCTCTCAGGGACTACTGTCTGGGGGGCAGGTGGTTAGAGAGAGGCAAACCATCCAACAGACAAGGCGTGTATGGCTCCTTGGGCAGCCCAAAGCAACAGAACAACTCTCACAGTTTTGGAGACCAGAAGTCTGAAATCAAGATGCTGGCAGCGTTGGTTCCTTCTGAGGCTGTGAGGGAGATGCCGTCCCAGGCCTCTCCCCCGGAAAATTCTTGGCGTTCTGTGGATGCATCAGTCCCATCCCTGTGTGTCCTGTCCTGCCTGTCACATGGACACTGTCATTGGATTCAGGGCCTAACCGAATCCAGCATGAGCTCAGCTTGATCTTTAACTTAATGGCAGTTGAGAGACCCTTATTCCAAACAAGGTCATGTTCTGAGGTTCCAGGTGGATGGGAATTTTGGGGTGACACCATTCAACCCACTAAACAAGGTGGGGCAATGTGGTAAATGCTGGAAGATGGGGCGCATGGTGCTATGAGGTCAAGGGTCAGGGCTGGCTCCCCTGGAGGAGAAACAGCTTGAGCTGTGGTCCCAAGCATGCAAAGGTACTGACCAGGCAAAGCAGGAAGGGAGAATGTTCTGTCAGGGAGAACAGCTGGGGCCAAGTCTCAGGGTGGTGGGGTGGCGGGGGCGCCCCCTCACTCATCCCTCCACCCACCCAGCAGCACATTCTCCCACAAACCAATACTACTTGGGGAACCACAGGGCACCACAGCCCCACATCTAACCCATCCAGGACATCTGCAGTCCCAGCTAAAGAGGCCCCCTGTGGGGTGCATCTCACCTCCTCCGTTTCTGTGGTATCTGGCTGAGAATCATCAGTTAGACTGGAATACTTAATTCGTGTTAGGTGTACAAGGAAAATGCCCCACTGAAAGCATTTTCCACCCAAGAGTCCCCTCCAGATTGAACATTCACCCCATAAGGGGCAGTAAGGTCCCCAGAAAAGAGCCAAGGGCTGGGACCCAGCCCTCCCGAGCTCATGCCCGGGCTCTCCTTGTCTCAGCAGCTGACACCTCTTCCAAAAGGTGGCAGTTCCCTCTTTCATGAAAACTGGGAAGAAGCACAATGAGGATTAGGTGAGATCGCAGAGGGGAGGGCACCAGCCCCTGGCCACACGTGTGGTAGCAACAAGCTTTGGGCCCAAAAACTGGGTTCAAAAGTCTCAATCATTTCCAGGACCTGGGACAAGTTACTGGAGTTTCCTGAGCCTGTTTTCTCAACCATAAATGGGGCACCTCGTGCCTACCCAGCAAATGGCAATTATTGATGGTGGTTAATCACTGGTTAGGTGATTGTAACAAAACTGTCAAACCCTGCTATGCATCATGTTTCACGCCCACAGCCTTCAAAGACAGCACGCAAGGCTTTACTCTGAAAAGTCATTATCTCTTGATCAACAGCCTACTTTTTCCCTGAGACCATCAATGTGTCCTGTTTGTAGCAGTCAATTCCAGATAAAAAATACCTAAGCTTGCAAAGTAATTATCTCTACTTGCTAGGATTATTCTGCCAGTGTGACAAAAGCTACATAAGTGTATGACTGTGGGGGCCTCTGTCCAGCTGTGCACCCCTATCTGACCACCAATGTCTGCTGTTTACTCCTGGCTCTGCCTTGCTGGACAGAACTCACTGGAAAGTGAAACAGCAAAACAGAGACCAGCAGAGAGAGGGAGGGAGGAAGGGAGAGAGACTGACTGAAAGAGACTGAGACTCAGAGAGAAGCACAAAGAGAAAGACAGACACATGAGCATCCAGAAAGAATGGAATGGAACAGAACAGAATGGAATGGAACAGAAAGGAATGGAAAGGAAAGGAATGGAATGGAATGGAAAGGAACAGAATGGAAAGGAAAAGAAAAAAGAAAAAGAAAAGCCAAGCCAAGCTAAAGCCAAGCCCCATCCTGGGAACTGGCTGCACCTCTTGCATTCAGGTCCTGGAAGATCCCCCCTTTGACTCCTGCAAAGAGACTCCCCTGTTTGCTTGAGGGAGCCTAGGCAGTCTACTCCTGCCAACCACAGTTTCCTTGGTAAGATCTACTCCTCTGGGCCTGCCCTGAGCCCCAGTCACAGAAGCTAATGATGAGAACCAGCCCACAGTTGGTGCCCAATCAAGACTGGTTGAAGGTATGGATGGATGGATGAGTGAATGGGTGAATAAATAGATAGATGATGGATGGGTGGATGAATGTAGGATAGATGGATGGATGGGGCAGAGAAAGGAAATAGAATGGGCAGGATGCATGTGGACCCACCTGTGACATTTTTTGTGGTTTTGGAGCTTGCCTTGGGTGGCGGAGTGGGCAGCAGTGGGGGGCTGGGGAGCTGGCCCACGGATCTCTCCAGAGGTCTGGGAGGACTGTCCAGGGAGTCAGCCCCAGCTAAGGCTTGGGAGAGCTCATTGGTGGTGGGCAGGAGGCTGCCAGCGTCTGCTTCTTCACCACTGGATGCAGAAGGCATCTTGGCTGGTTCAAAGGCAAAGCAGAGAGTTAAAAACATGTTTCCTCTGACAGCAGTGGAAGTAAGAGAGCAAAGCAAGAGGGTTTGGTGGGATGGGATCGTGAAGAGCATACAGAGCAGTGACCTCACACAGGCACTTGACTTCCTGCAAGTTCAACTCTCAATAGAACCATCGGAAGCAGAGAGAGGAATATGGAGAGAGGGAAGTCATTTCAATAGTATGAGGGATTCCATTCTTTTTTCCACATGAGAGGTCCATGCCACAGCTCCCACCTCACCTAGGAGCAGTGTTCACCATGCCAGGTTTTGGAGTCAGACACACCCAGGCTCAAGTGGTCTCTGAATTTACTCTTGGACCTTAAGTTACTAAATCTCTCCAAAACTCCATTTACTCATGCATGGCATTGTGTTAACAATAGTCCCTCACAGGATTGTTTCTCAGTTTAAGCAAGAAGTGGCCATGACACAGTGTAACCCTCCAGTCCAGCAGCTCTCATTCTTATTTGTCTGTTTGCAGCAGCCCTAACATCTGGCATGCCAGCCTAGAGTGGGAGTGAGGATAGGAAGGATCGACTTGGAGGAAGGGTCAGGCCACCCAGAACCCTCATCCCTCCCTTTCTAGCTGCTGATTCAGGCTCCATCCACCTCCTTCACAACCACCCCTCAGCCTGCCCATCCCCAGCTTTCCCTCAACCTATCAATCCTTCCCTTTCTTATTTCTCTTTTTGCCTGGCTTGGGTTCCATCATCCATTATTTCAACAACAATCGGACCAACAGTCCCTAAGTCCTTTGCCTGGATTCCTTTCCATTTAACTCTCTGGAAAAGTTTCATCTGGGGATTAAGCTGCCACTTGTCTGCTCCTGCCCTTGCCTACTATTGCAGGAGGAAGAGCCTACGGAGTCCACTTCAGGAAGAACTGTCACTCTGCAGGACCCGTGGCCAGGAGCTTCCTCCTGCAGGTGCTCTGCATGACTGCTCAAGCCCTTTCTGTCCCTTCCCCACCTCCAGCTTCCCACCTTTGCCTGCTCCCACCACACAGCTTCACCTCCAGCTTTACAGGGGAAACTGAGGTCATCAGACCGGGGCTCCTCTTGGATTTCTGACTCAAATGCAAACTGCTGTCCCCAGCATCTCTATTCTTCCTTCCCTCTGATCCAAGAGAGATGGTCTCCCTGGGACCAGCACTCCCTCACTTCCTGCCCTCTCAGCACACTCTTGAGTGCTAAGGCCTGTGGAAGGCACCTGGCATACATCATCTTATTCAGTTTTTACAACTACCCAATGAAGAACACACGAACACTCTCCCCACTGTATGTCTAAGGGAAAAGCCTAGTGGAGCTGGGGCTTGTCCTTGGGTCACTGTGTTAGCTCCTATGGGGTTCATTCATCTATCAGCTGCTGTTTCTGGAGGTACCCAAGAGCTGTTGGGTGCTGTCCATGGTGCTGAAAACACAGTGGTCAGGGAGGGGGTGTTACAACAGGCCTAATTCCTGCCTGCAGAGAGCCTCCAGCTAAACACCAGATGCAAATATTGCACGCTCCTTGTATCCCATTAGCTATCATTAGTTTCCGTTCCTTTATTGGCTATGTTGGAAGTTTTAAACTCTCATTCCCAGCCCTTTCTTATGTTAAGTTCATGACAATGGAGTCCTTATCTCAGAAAGGCCAGCCCTCCTAATGCCTGGAGAACAAAATCTCTGAAAGCAGAGATGGAGTATGTGTTGTTCTCCCTCAACAACACATACTCCAGCTGCAGACGGCAGACTCAGCTCTGTGTTATGAAGTTGGCCTGAACTGAGAACAACCATTACAACTGGCTCTATACTCTTGTTCTGCATGGATACCCACATGAAAATGCTGTTTTCATTTTATTTTTCTTGTTACATTAAACTGTCCTCAAAAGTGTTACTTGTTAAAAAGGGTTTAAGACTCCTATGCTTTGAGACTGTCATTATGTCATCTGACTTGTAACCTATAATGTCTAAGAGTCTACAACTCTGATTAGTTGTTTCACTTAGTAAGTTTTGCCCTGATAACAACATCAAAGTAAATATTTTATGCTTTCTAGGTAAAAATAGTTGTGAGGTGTCCTTGTTAAGCCACAGGTAAGCACAGAAATGCCCATTTTCTCTATGTAGGTTCCAGTTATAACTTTGTGGAGTTTTCTGTCTTGTGTAAATCAGCACAGGCAAGTGGACACCCTCATTCTTGGGACACCACACTTCACAGCCCATTTCCTCGGCAGCCAAGTTCCTGGCCAAGACCACCAGGCATGGGGTGAGCTCTCAGTAGCCAGCCCAGGCCTAGTTTTCTTCTAGGAAGTTTCTTCCTGGGGGGGTCCCACCCCTTTTCAGATATTCACACATCTATTATTCTGAAGTCCTTTAATATGGTCCTTGCATCCACACCCTGCTTTGATTGTTTGGGTTTACAGGACTTCTTGTTCCTGAACGCTTCTTTGTGAATGGGTTACGCTCTCAGGGTACTGGTCACCCAGCACATTTCCAAAGTCCTGCTTTTGGGAGACAGAGATGTCACGGAACTGGCTCACCCGGCCTCAATTACACCAGTATCCAGCATCCGCCCCCTTCCTCCATACGTTTGACCTATTTACAGACGAGTGACTTTGGCCTCCACCTTGCTTAGTGAGTCTCAGTCTCCTCATCTGTACAATAATCTGTATAAAATACCCGAACCTGCCCACTACAAGTATGGAAAGGCCAACATGAAACCATGGTGGGGAAGGTTTGTCTAGAGCTACTCAGCACTCCTCTGACTCATCTCCTCCAGGACAATGTGGCCAGCGTCTGAACCAGGCTCCAAGGGTCTGCTCAGAGGTGCCACCAAAGGAAGCATTACCAGGGAGGAAGGGCAGCCTGGGGTCAGTGTCCTCATACCAGGGAGGAAGGGCAGCCTGGGGTCAGTGTCCTCATACCAGGGAGGAAGGGCAGCCTGGGGTCAGTGTCCTCACTTCTGGGTCAGCCCCAGCCAATCATCTGGATCTATCTTCTATGTCTGATCTCCACATAAGACTTCACTAGATAAGCACTGACTTGGGCCAGTTCCACATCCCTCTGAGCTATTGACAGGTTGTCCCGCTTGGCCTGCATCACTGACTTATCCTTCTTTTCAGGATCCCAACAAGATCTAAAATATTCTACCCAAAACCAAACCAAACAGTCTTGACCTCATGTATACTCCCAGCTTAGTTACAATTATCTGCTCCTTTGAAAAATAAACTTATGAAAGATGACCTTTAACACTGCATCTCCACCCAGCAAGGCCTGGCCCCCTCACTGAGCCAGGGCCACCCCACTCAGCCATCCACCATCTTTAACACTTTCCCCTCTGGCTTCCCGACACATACTCTCCTGGTTCTCCCCTGGAGCTCTGGCCACCTCTGCTCAGCCTCTCTGGCAGGTCCCACCTCCTGCATCTGAATGTCCACCTGGGCTGCCCCAGGATGAAGGCCTAGGTCCTCTTCCCTGTCTAACCTTCTCACAGGTCATTCTCATCCACTCCTTTGGCTTCAGAACTGATTCCATTTCTCTGTTAACCCTGGACCATTTCTCTGAGCTCCAGACTCATATGTTACCAGTTGGCCACACTGGCATCTCCATCTGGAGGCCAATCACATCCAAACTTGAATCTTGGTCCCCACAAAAAATTCTCCTGAGCCTTCCCTTCCCTCTTGCTCATTCAACCATCAACCCATCTTGCAAATGTTATTGAACAACCATGGGTTCCAGGCACTATTCTAGAAGCTGTGGACATGGCACTAATCCAGACAGATCCCTACTGTATTAGTCTCTTCTTACACTGCTAAAAATAACTGCCCAAGACTGAGTAACTTATAAAGAAAAGAGGTTTAATTGGCTCACAGTTCAGCATGGCTGGGGAGGCCTCAGGAAACTTACAATCATGGCAGAAGGCAAAGGAGAAGTAAGCACCTTCTTCACAAGGCGGCAGGAAGGACATGTACCAAGTGAAGGGGGAAGAGTCTCTTATAAAACCATCAGATCTTGTGAGAACTCACTATTGTGAGAATAGCATGGAGGAAACTGCCCCCCTGTGATTCAATTGCCTCCACCTGGCCTCTCCCTTGACACGTGGAGATTATGGGGATTGTGGGGATTATAATTCAAGATGAGATTTTGGGTGGGGACACAGCGAAACCATATCACCTACTTTCACCAGGTTCAGTGTTCCATGACCCACCAGCTGTCCAGCCAGACCAGATGCCCCACGCCATCCTTCTCTTGTCCTCTCCACCCTGTACCCACCCCTTGTATCTAATTCACAGGCAAGTCTCACGAACTCTACTTCGAAAATATTTCTCAGAAATACCCACGTGTTTCCCAGTGTGAGCTGTCAGAACTTCTGCCTGGGCCTCCTCACCAGCCTCCCAGCTCCTGGCAATGCTTCCCACCCCAGTGGAAACCCATTCTCCAAACCAGGGTTTGGCAGGCCTTTTCTGCAGAGGGCCAGGTAGAAAATATTTCCAGCTTGGGCCATGTGGCCTCTGTTGCTATTACAGTCTCTGTTAGTATGGAGAACTCTGGAAGGCTAGCCAATCCAAACTACATCTGCCCTTGTTTCACAGCAAAGTAGATGTGCAGCCACCCTGACCCTCGGTACTACCCAGTAGCACTTTCTGAGATGATGGACACATTTCTTCCTTGTCCATATGGTGGCCACTAGACCCTCATGACCACTGAACACTGGACAAGCGGCTGGAGTGAAAAACAAGCTTAAATTTTAATTATTTCAAACAGTCACATGGCTAGTGGCTACTGCACTGGACAGGGGAGCTCTGGATTTCCCAGGACTGAGTCAATGGTCATAGTGCCACTGCCTTAAGGCACAGGGTAAAGGGTAAGTCTCTGAGGTCCCCTCATTCCACCTGCCCAAGGTGGGACTATGGGTTCCCCACCCTTCACCCTGATGGCCATGAGACTCACCACACCAGCTACGCTGACCAAAACCCTCCTCCAAAGTCTCCCCCAAAACATCCATCCTCACCACACACTGAACCCTCACATCCTTAGCCTGCCTGATGGCTCTAAGGACAGGAGACGGTTTTCAGCATCTCCTCTCTCCCTCCCTCCTCCCCATCTTCCCTCTCCTCTCTGACACCGCCCTCTGCATCTCACGTGAGTGTGCAGCCACCGTTGTATTTTGGAATCTTGTCAAAACTGAAATTGCAACATCTGTTAACATCTCAAGTGCTGAATCAATTTTTTAAAAAGTGGAAGAAGACACTGGTTCCCTGCATTTGGGGGACCGCTCCCTTGGGGCTGGACCAGCAGAGGCTCCCTCTTACCAAATGCAGTCTCAACCAGAAGCTTCTACACTGTACAAACCCCAATGCAGGGGTCAGGGCTAGGAATGGAAATACCTGAAGCTCAACCACAGCGCCACAAGTTCATGACTTACTGGTACCTCTTTGCTGAGCATGTTCCACTGACACCCTTCTGTGTAATCCCCACTTATTTTCCAGAGCAGGGGCTGATAAACCTTTTCTGTTCAGATGCAGATAGTAAACATTTTTGTCTTTCCAGGCTAAGAGGCAAAATCAAGAATATTATGTAGGAACTTAAACAAGAGGAAAAACTCTGCCCTGCCACTTGCCTCAAGAGGGCTACCAGGGCAGGGGACACACTTTGCAGCCAGTTACCACCCACTGAAGACATTCTGGAGTTCAAGGGTGGCCAGCCCAAGGATGGATGTGGTGAGCCATGGTCACTTGTACTCCACCCCCGTACACCCAGCACAACCTTGGTCTCAGCTTGGGCAGCTGGCTGTGGGCCAGGTGGCTCACCAACTCCCAGATGAGGTTCCTCCACTCGGTGCCCAGCAGTTGCCCAGAGCCCAGGCCCCAGGGGTAGCTGGGACCAGCATAGGCCCCAGGCAGTGGTTAAGGGCAGCCACCAGCTAGGAAGACAGGAGCAGGGCACAGGGAGGGAGGCACCCCTCCCTCCCTGGCTCCCAGGACCGGCCCACTAGAGCAGTGCTCCACAGCCATGCAGACACAGACATGGGCAGTATCTGACCTGAAGCCTGCAATTTGACAGTCCTTGTTCTAGACTCACATTCCAGAACATTCCAGAAGCAGAAGAAATGTTTGTCTCCTGTTTGGCTCTAGAGTTTAGGCTGTAGACTGTTATGGTGAAGATCAAACCCAGTCCTGCCACTGGGTTTGATCTGTTTTTATGCTCTATGGCCTGGGAAAGTGACTTAACCTCTCTGGGCTCTGTTTTCTCATCCAAAAATATGAGGCTGTTATAAGATAATAGAGTGCACACAGAACACGCTCCCTGAGTGTCACTCTCCTTTTTAATTAGTGCACTTGTGGGAAGGCCAGAACTCAGCCCCTGTCCCATAGTAGAAACACTGAAGAGGACCCTGTTCCCATTTGTGTCAAAACACCGGATCCTTCTGGGCTTTGTAGGGAATGCTCTGTTGCTGGTGTGGCACTTATTAGTCCGTTTTCATGCTGCTGATAAAGACATACCTGAGACTGAGTAATTTATAAAGAAAAAGAAGTTTAATGGACTCATAGTTCCATATAGCTGGGGAGGCCTCACAATCATGGCGGAAGGCGAAACGCACATCTTACATGGTGGCAGACAAAAGAGAATGAGAACGAAGCAAAAGGGGTTTTCCCTTATAAAACCATCAGATCTCATGAGGCTTATTCACTACCATGAGAACAGTACTGGGGAAACCACCCCCATGATTCAATGATCTCCCACCAGGTCCCTCCCACCACACGTGGGAATTATGGGAGCTACAATTCAAGATGAGATTTGGGTGCGGACACAGCCAAACCATATCGGGCACCATCCAAACAAAACCAGGAAAAGCAAAGTCGCCCCAAACACAAAAGCCCAAAGTCAACCCAAATCACCAAACCAAAGGCTCAAGGAAAATAATGGTCAAAATCATTGACAGTGTCCTCCTCCTGAGAGATTTGCAATATTCAGATGTATCCCCTGACACCCACACTCATCATGGTTGGGGCACGGGGAAGCTGCAACTCCAGTCCTGGATGTTGCCACCTGGATGCCAGGAGTGACCCAGGACAGCCCCTTGTGCTTTTTGATGACCCCTCTCCCCGACCCCCAGCAAAGCTCATGGGAGGTTTGCTTTTTAAGAGAAAGCAGCTGACCTTTCAGGACAGCAATGAGCACCACTGCAGACACCCCAGGGGCTCCTGCAGGTGTAGACCATCACCCACGGGGCACCATGTTCTGGGCCCCCATGAGGTTTCCCTGAACTTGTCCAAGGTCAAGGAGAGAAGCAGGTCCCAGGTTCCAGCACTCACGTGACACATTTGCCACTTGAGGATCTGGCTTTGTCTGCCATTAGATGACATCTGTCTGTCATGGAATTACCCACAACACAGAGCGACTGGGCCCAGATGTGGGCAGTTCCCTTGGGTGCTGAGGTGCAGAATGTGGGAAGAGAACAGACAGCATCAGACACACAGCATCTAACAGCTGGTCCCCCTGAGCTCTGCAGTAGAAACCGGAGACCTAGGACCACGTTGCCTCACAGTGGCCTCAAGCTTTAACTCCTTCTATCACAAAATACTGGGGCCCAAAGCAGAAGATTAAGTCAGTAACACAGGGATTGGCTCCAAAGACTAGGCTCTTAACCTTCATGGAAAGGGTTGCAAACTCCAACACCCATCTACAGGGACAGACTCTGTTCAGCTCCAGCGACCCTGGCTGTGTGGGAACAGGGATCCGGAGGCCTGAACTTTGATGACTGAAAAGAAACTGCACATCTGGATTTCTGTGAACACTCCTGATTTTTAAACATTGGCTTGCAAATTTTTAACCAGTGCATTTAATGTCCCTGTGTTAAGTTATACCCCGTTTATAGGGATGTTGCTCATGGCCAAGCTTCTGAACATTGACCTGGTGTTGTGGAGGTGACCGATGTCCCTGGCGCAGGGTCCCTGGCGCAGGATCCCAGGCCTGCAGGGCTGGATGAGGCCTCGGGGTTGTCCCAGCCATAGCAAACTGCAGGTGGCCCCACATCCCAAAACACACATGCTACCAGAGAGATGGCCTCTCTGGGAGCATCTGTAGGCAGCTAAATAATGCGTGTTAGTGCGTCCCTTTCCAAGGGTTGTTTTTGACAATGAAGACAACAGATGACAATGACGATGACAACGATGATGGTGAGAGTAACAGTGATGCTACAGTAGCAGCAGCAGACACTTTCCAAGTGCTCGGTGTGGGTTAGGAGGGAGATAAGTCTTTCCTGGGGATCACTTAATTTAATTTTAGCGACCCTGGGAGGTCAGTGTGACTACTATCCTCATTTTACAGTTGATCAAACATAATCAGAAAGGTTAAGTCACTTGCCCATGGTCCCACAGCTCAGTAAGGAGTTCAGCCGTGTGTCTCAAACCCAGGTCGGCCTGATGTCAAAGACATTGCCCTCTGTTTCCAGTCATTTGGACCAGTTATTCGACTTTTGTGCCAGCATTTCATCATGGGCGTGAGATCTCCGGGGGCTGCTTCCAGGGCTAAGTAAGCTAAATGAATGTGCAGTCATTAGTAGAGCACGCTCCCCAACCCTGCATGCAGGCAGCCACTTGTGTCACCTCTTGTTATCCCCAGCATGATGACAAATGTCACTAACTGCTAATAAGCCAGCTGCATCCCTAGGGAATGGAATGGTCTTTCTTAAATCAGACTTGTGGCTCCTGCTTTAGACATTTTGGACATTCCTCTGTACTTTCTATACTTTTGTTTGCTATATTTTACTTTAAGTGAATTTATATTTTTATCTCTGTTTATAAGAAAAAGCAAATCTCTATCATTGCCCAAAATGAGAAGCCAATACTACTTGCCCTAATTACTGAAAAGTATTTTCATTATTAATGTTTAAACTTTTTCATTATTAATTGAACATTAATAATGTTTTCTCATTGTCTGTCCACATGCCATTCACAAGAAGTCATCTCACAAATCCCAGGAGCACAAGACCCACACTGGGGAAGCTGGGAATGAGACAAGTCCCCAGGGAACCATGCACGGCTCCAGTCTCCCCCAGGTCTTGCTGGGTCACCAGCAGAGCGCTTCCTACAAGGCAAATCCCATCGACTCTCCATCCCTGGGGGGTTCCAGCTGCCCTCAGGGATAACCTGCCAGGTCTCTTCTCTCTCTCCATTCTGTGGGCTGTTTATTTTGAATTTTTTTTGAAGCAGGGTCTGGCTCTGTCGCCCAGACTGGAGTGCAGTGGTGTGATCACAGCTCACTGCAGCCTTGACCTCCCGGGCTCAGGCTATCCTCCCGCCTCAGCTTCGTGAGTAGCTAGGACTACAGGTGTGTGCCCACACACTCAGCTAATTAAAACCAAAAACAAAAAACAAAACTTTTTTGTAGAGATGGCGTCATGCTATGCTGTCCAGGATGACTTTGAACTCCTAGGTTCAAGTGATTCTCCTGTCTTGGCTTCCCAAAGTGCTGGAATGATAGGTGTGACCCACCTCACCGGGCCCTGGATTGTTTTTAATCACTAAAGTTCCACCGACAAGAGCCCCACCCTTTCACCACCGACGCTGCTTTTGTGCTACCAGGGGGCAGAGGCGAGTGGCTGTGTCAGACACCTCCAGCCTGCAGAGCTCATGCTCTTTCCTCTCTGGCCCTTTACAGAAAACGTGTGTGTTCCTGTCCCCTGTCTTTGCATGTCATTCCCCTTTCTGGGATGCTCTGCACCTCGCTCTCTGCCCAGCTGATTCCCACTCCTCCCTCAGGCCTCACTCAGGAGAGGGTCCCTGATACAAATGTGTAATCTCAACAGACCCACTCTGCTCTCAGGAACCCATCCGCACACCCAGCATCTGGAGAGAGAGCGGGAGCGTGTCTGAGGTCAGAAGAGGGCACTGAGGGGAGCAGGCACAGGCCCTGAGCTGAGCTACAGAAATCACTGCCAAGGAGAAGCGTGACCCCCATCAAGGGCTGGGAGCAGCAGCCCTGCCTCCCTTGGGGAGGCTCACAGGCCACACACAAGGGCTGGGCTGTGGGGACCACACCACGGCAGGAAGGCCAGGCTCTGCTCAGCCTTAAGAACCATGCCAGCGGGTTGCATAAATATCTTCTTTTGAGAAGTGTCTGTTCATATCCTTCACCCACTTTGTGGTGGGGTTTTTTTCTTATCAATTTGTTTGAATTCTTCGTAGATTCTGGATATTAGCCCTTTGTCAGATGAGTAGATTGCAAAAATGTTCCCCCATTCTGTAGGTTGTCTGTTCACTCCAATGGGAGTTTCTTTTGCTGCAAAGAAGCTCTTTAGTTTAGATCCCATTTGTCAATTTTGGCTTTTGTTGCCATTGCTTGGTGGGGGGAGGGGGAGGGAAAGCATTAGGAGATATACCTAATGTAAATGACGAGTTAATGGGTGCAGCACACCAACGTGGCACATGTATACATATGTAACAAACCTGCACGTTGTGCACATGTACCCTAGAACTTAAAGTATTAAAAAAAAAAAGAACCACGCCAGCCCCAAAGTCAGATGCCTGGGGCACACAGAGACCTGTGTGTGTGGAGGGGGCCTCTGCGTGAGAGCTGGGACCCTCCAGAAGTCACAACTCTCAGACCCCAAATTCCAAGCCAAGTGAAACTGGAGAGACACGGCCACCCCCGAAGAGGGCTGAGCATGCCTCTGGGCAGGTGCCGCTAGCGCTGCAGGGGCGTTGTGGACGGGCGGCCTGCGAGTGTGTGGTGCCACCCTTGTGTGGCAGAAGGAAGTCCCGGGCACGGAGGACCAGGTGTCCACCCGCTCTGAAGCAGAAGCCCAGCAGGCTGTCCTGGGGCCTGGATTTCCAACCTCCCACACTCACGGAGAGACGCGTTCACCTTCCCACCCCCAAACCGTGTGAGACTCGCTTATAGCTTGAAATTTTACGAGACATCAGGATTCCAAGTCAACAGTGAAGCTCCGTAAGAATCACTCTGCCAGGTGGGCAGGAGGAGGAGGAGCTGGTGAAGCATCTGCAGGTGTCTGTGGCCAGTTCCTGCTTTCCTCCCCTCTATCCTTCCTCCCTTCTCCCCTATCCTTGGGAAGCGCCCTGGTCTATTCAATTAAAATAAAAACCACCACCACTACGCAAAGCCCCTACTGCCTTTGATAATAGTCACTCTACACGTCAGACACTGCTAAGTTCCTCCCACCCTCCAAACAACCCTGATGTAGGTCCATTACTTTTCCCATTTAACAGAGGGAAACTGAGGCTTGGAGCAAGGCACCAAGCCCACCTCCCCTCAAGAAGCAGCGGAAGAGCCCCACATAGGCTGCAGCATGCTGAGACTGCATCAGCACCGACCAGCTCCCAGGCATGCACACATGCAGGGACTTCAGCATCTCTTAGGCCAAGAGGCCCCCTGTGGCAGGATTTCGGCCACAGAAAAGTCCCTCAACCCTACCTCCTACCCTTTTAGGGTCACTAAAATCCCCCCACTGGGCACTTGCCCCTCCAGAGAGCACTTTCCTGCCTAGAAGTTCCCAGGGAAACACAAAGACGCCCTGGGAGGGGGGGTAGGTGTGCCAGGGAGATGAACATCGTTAAGTACCTTCACTTATCAGCCGTGCCAGACTTGGAAAGAGACAGTAGAGAAAAGTGCCCCAGCAAACACTTCAACCCAGCCAGGCAGCACAGCATGGCAGCGCTTAGAGCACGGGCCCAGCTCTCTGGAGAACAATGTTCTACGAGGGCTGTTGCCTAAGCTATAGCCAAGGACAACAGTGGGGACGTATGGCCATTCTAGGAGCAGCTCAACTTCGCGTGGTCTCCAGCCAGTACCTGCATCGTCCAAGTGGGCAGCTGAGGACAGTGGCTTGTCCAGGGAGACCTGGTCCGTCCCAGTGGCCAAGGGGCTTCCGGGCTGGGCATCTTCTGAAGTCAGCGTCTCCGACTTGGGAGTGGGTGGTTCACTCTGTACAGATCGGGGTCCTCCATCGGGGTTGCAAGTTTTGCTTTCAGCATCTACAAGGAAATGTAGCTGTCAGCTGGGCCTGCACCTCCCTTCCTTCATCCCTTCCGTCGTCCCAAGAGTCTTTCTGAGAAGTATCCATTCTAGGCTCTGGGTGGTCCCCCACCCCTCTCCCCCTCACCACACACCCTAGGAGTCCCTCTCCAAGTCTGGACTTTCCAGGGGAGCCCTGGGCACCTCAGCACACCCTAGCCTGGTTTCTGCTCTTACACTCCACTCCCTGTGTGCACTCTTCCTCCGACACCTGTGGGAGACTGCAGTGCCCCTGAGCCACGTCCACACCCACTGCCGTGCACCTTTGCAGTAGCCCCACTCTGACCCCGGCCTCTGCCCTGGAGCTTGCTTTGGTCGATGGGACACAGTGGGTATGATGCAGCACTGGCATGAGAAGTGCTTGCACATCCCTGCTCGTCCCTCCTGTTTCCCTGGACCTTTGTCCTGAAGACATGCCCAGCAGCTGGCTGGAGTCAGCAGACCCACGGGGCAGATCACAGGCCAACCCAGACAGGGGACAACAAACGGTGATTGCTGTAGGTCTCTGAGATGCAGGGGTTGTCATGGCTGCAGAGAACCAACTCACCTCTGCACCCACCGTTTGACCCTCAGCCAGGCATTAAACAGGTGTTTACTGATCACCGGCTACGTGTCTGGCACTGTAATAAACCCTGGCAAGGTGGAGGTTAGTAAGATACAGTCCTTGCCCCCAGGGGTCTCACACTCTGAGGAAGCCACGCAGATGACCACACATGGCACCGTGAGCCCAGGAACGGGGCACACCCATGGATGGAGGGGCCACAGAGCCGGGGGTCCCTAGGTCTGACAGGCAGCCTTCCCAGAAGAGGAGGCACTAGCAGGGCATAAGGAAGGACCTGGTGCTTTCCGTCTCTTGAAGCTCGGCTGCTGCAGCCTCTGAGGGTCTGGCCCTTCACTTGCCATCCCTGGGTTTGCACCTTAATGCTGAGGGGCTCAGCACTTGGAGAGCAAAATAAATGGCTCAGTTACCCAACTGCAGGATGGCAGGGCCCTCGGCCAGCAAGTCACAGTCACGTCACTGAGATGCACGTTACAGCCCCATGCACAAAGCCTCCACATAGCCCTGCAGGACTCCTCTCAATCTCTACAGCAGTTCCTGGAGGCCCGGTGCAGAGGGCAGTGTGACCTGCACATGTCGACACAGCCACGAGGTGGCCGTTTGGGGATGCTAGCCTACGCTGACCTCCTTCCACACACGTCCCATCCTGGCAGTGGAAGGAGGAGGCAACATTTACTTCAGGGTCAGGGTCCATAGGACCTGGTCAGTCCCGATTCCTACCTGCCATCCCTGTGTCCTTCAACAGTGTCCCTTTCACTCCTAAAAGTGTCCTGTTTGGACAAACAGTATACAGTCACCCCATCATGCGTCCCACCACCTGCAAACGGTGTTTTGTGCCCAAATAGCAAATTCCTCTGGATCTCAATTTCCTTATCTATAAAATGGGGATAATATTTCTGCTTGCTTCATGGCAACATAGTGAGAATTAACGGAGCTAGGGTATGGAATGTGTCTGGCATAAGGTAGGCACTTTACATGTGCTTTCTGTCATTGTTGTTGGTGATGGTTTCTGACAACGAGAAGAGGAGGGTGACAAGAGTGATCTGGCCCCTTGGTCTGCACCTTTGGGCCCATCTGCTAACAGCAGGCTTAGGACAGAACCGTTTCTCCCTCCAGAGTCCTCACCACACCCAGGACTCATGCCAGACCCATTTCCTGCCTGGGACCCTGGAAGAGATTTGAGCTTGTCATCGCTGCTGATCATATTCCCTCTGCCGCACACGTCTCCTCCGGGGAGAATGAAAAGGTCAGCCATGCCAGAAGTCTGGAGATTTAGGGCTGGACGATCTCATCCATGCAGCCGCGTCAGTTGCCCAGAGGTCCAGGCGAGGCTGGCAGGCTCTTCCCATAAGGCGCAGATGGCCATTGTGACGGGCTCTGTGGGCCACGTGCTGTATCCCCCGTGCTGCAACCCTTGATTTTTTTTTTTTAATTTTTATGAAAGTCTTTTCTATTTAAAAAGCATTCTTAGCTCAAAGACCACATAAAAACAGGTCCTGAGCCACATTTGACCCTTGGCTATAACAGCCCACCAACCCAGATACAAGCCAAGAGAGCTCACCGAGTAGACAAAATTAGAGGTCACAAAGCTGAAAACTGAAACCAGCCCCTTCTCGTGACCGACTTACTCGCATTTGACGTGCAACCGTGACAGCACAGCTTACCCAGCCCCTGGCAACACACAGGGAATGTGAGAGCTGGCGTAGGGGAGCACAGGGCTCTGCCAGCTTGAGCTTCACACCTACCCTATGTGACAGGCAAGGCTGCCACCCACCACTTGCAGTTATGGACACCAAACCTTAGAATGCACAGGTCTTTTGCTGCCATGACTGTCACTGCTGTTAATAATAAGGATGCCTCCATCGTCATCATCAAAATCATCACAACTGCCACTATAAAAAGGTCAGAACATAGAACCTGGAAGGCCCAGAGGTCTCCAGACTCAGAAAAGCACCATGCCCCTCCACAGTCTTTGAACCTTCCCCTGCTTTCTTGCAGGTTTTCTGCAAGGACTTCTTGCAGGACTTCTCTGGGCTGCGGTCAGAGCTCCAGCTCATAATCATGTTCAGTGAAAAGTTTCAGTTCCCAAAATAGCCCTGGTGGCAGGGCCGTTGCTAAGAAACGCTGGTTGGGGAGGGGTTGGGGGAGCGGTGGGAGCCCAGGCCCTGCTCCTCTCGCTGGAAGGCCAGCCTCCGCCCGGCCACTCTCCTTCTGAGGGCTGCAGAGGGGAGCGCGGGGCAGTGCACCTGAGCAGCCACAGTGAGAGGGAACGTGTTGCAGACATGCACACACACTCACAGATGCACACGCAGGCACACACGTGTGTCGTGGCACATGTGCACAGTGCAAGCACAGGTGGGTGCACACAGGTGCACGTGCATGTGTGTGCACACGTGCAGACATGTGTCCCCCGGCGTTCCTACCACATGGAAACCAGATAGACTTGATTTGTCACTGTCCAATTCCCTGAGGAAAGAATGCCTAGTCAATCTCAAGTCACTGAACACAGCACAGAGTAATAAACTCTCTTCTTTTATACCCAATGACGGGGTAGGAAATTCCTTAAATTATTTAAGAAAATGCCAAGTCAACGCATACAGGGAGATGGAGGAAAGTCATTCAGAACATAAACAGTGTCTAGCACAGAGAAACGTGGGCTGGGGACCAGGGCAAGGGGGCTGGGGAAGGGGACCCCTTGTACCAGAGATTTGGTCTGGCCTCACTTAGTCACGGATATCCGAGACGAGGGTGGAAGGAGCACTGAAGAGATCAGAGGGGTCCCCTCTGCCCTCCCCAGGGCACAACGGGCTCCACTGCACACATCTAGTCATGTAATAACGCCACCAGCAGGGTCCTTCCTAGGTCCAAGCTGGCGACTAGAGTCACAGGAACGAGAGGGGAGGGGGTCACAGTGGTTCATAAAACAGACCATCGATCATAAAGTAACACCCCAGAGGGAGCAAACTCATGCCCTGGATGCTGCCTCACCCCCGGGAGCTGGCGGGCTCTCTTCTGCTGGCCCTGCCCAGAGTCCGGCTCACTCCACCAGGCTGCCCACCTGCTTCAGGGCAAGCTCCAGGGTGTCCAATGTGTATGTACATGTGTGTGTGCATACATGCGCGTGTGCAGGGCAGAGGGCAATCCTGGGGTTTGTCCTGGCCAAGGAAGTTCAAATGTGAGTTTCGAGGGGGCTCAAATGAGGCTCTGGAGTCCCTGACAATCCACTCCCACAGCCTCACAGGGCCTGTCCTGCATGAAGTCCCGTCCACCTTGCAGGGAGGCTCATGAGCCTGGCCGGCCACAGGAGGGCGCCCCCGGCTGCAGATTCGTCCCTGCCAGCAGTGGAAGGCGGTGGCTGAAGCCGGTTCCTTAACCCTGAAGCCGGTTCCTTAACCCCAAAGCCAGGAAAGCGCCTCTGCTCCTCACCCTGGAGAGTCCTCACATCCACAGCAGAGGCGGCGGCACTGCGTGCCTACCCCAGAGCAACAGCCCTCAAGCCTGATCCTCCCCTGAGCCGGAGAGGGCAGGTGCACAGCCACCGCCAACAATTCCAGTCATCCTGCAAGAGGACCCGGTGACCCAGCACCAGGAGGATTAGGGACAGACAGGGTCTGACCTCAGGTCGACCCAGTGAGAAAAGACATTTTTGAAGCTAGTGCAGGACGGAAACTGCGGTGCAGGGAAGGATTTAGCCGGGAGCCTGTGGCCAAGCATCTGCGTGGATCCCGTTATTACAGCACGTTGATTACAGGTTGATTACAGGTGGCACACAGTAAAGGATTCAAGCAGCACAGAAGAGTCGACTGCGAAAAGCAAGTCCAAGTCCCCTCCCAGAGCAACCCCTGCTGCCCGGTCCCTGATATTTCCCTGCAGAGACACTCGGGCTCCTCGCAGATCCCACCCACTCGCACTGTGGCCGCCCCAGGCTCCCGCAGCAGCGTGGTCATGCCTCTGCCACCCCAGCCGGTGTGTGGGCAGGGAAGACGGGAGGCGTCTTGACCCAAGCCCCTCTCCCTTTCCTGCTTCCTCCTTCCTCCTTTCCTCCAACCCAACCCACCATCTCAAGGTCCCTTCCACCGCGGGGACTTGTGCTTGCTGCTCCTGTGGGCTGGAAGTCACTCCCCGCTTCCTTCTGTCTCTTGGCTTTTCAACCTTCCTGCATCAAAGTCGGAATCAGCTGTGGAGGATGAGGAAGCACTGCTGCCTGGGTCCCACGCCCAGCGCATCTAATTTAACTGCTGCCTGAGCGGTGGAGGGTTATTAAATCTCTCCAGGTGATCCTAATATGCAACAGACTCTGAGAACCAGCCTAGGTCCTCCTGCCCACCTTTGGACCTGACTCAAACATCTCCCGGCCCCCCGAGAACCAGGTCAGGTCCTGTCTCATGATCTTAGGGTGCTGCATCCTTCACTGCACTCACTGTGGTCGTGAGTTGCCGGCTTTTTGTGGGATTACCTAATGGCCCCACTGGATGTGCGTTCAGAACAGTATTTTGCTCACCTGTGTCCTCAGCAGCTAGCACAGACCCTGACACAGAGTGGGCCCTCAATAAAATGTCATGGCATCAATTTAGGAGTGCATTTTCCCTCTCAAGGAAAGAGACTGTGTTTCAGGCCACTCTAGTCCCTGGTCCACAATCATTTAGCAAGAGAGAGAGTATGGAAGGTAGAGATGAGCAAACCACAATGTGGGGACCAATCCAGCTCCCCCACCTGGATTTGACATCTTTAAATGGTTGACAAAAGAAAAAAAAATCAAAAGAAAAATAATAGTTTGTGGCACATGAAAATTATATAAAATTCAAAGGCCAGTGGCCATAAATAAAGTTTTCTTGGGACACAGCCATGCCCTCTCATGCATGTTTTGTCTCCGGCTGCCTTTGCGCTACAAAAGCAGAGACAAGTAGTTGCAACAGAGACTGCACGTCCCCCTGAAATATGCACTATCTGACCCTCTCCAGAAAAGGTTTGCCGACCCTGATCTAAAGTGATTCTGTAAGCCTGCGGGTGTGTGATGTCGCCGTCAGAGGCACGGAAGCCAGAGACCAGGCTCCCACGGCAGCAGGGTGAGAGCCACACTGTCAGCCTGGCCGCGGCCAAGCATTCGTCTCCAGCCTCTGCTATGACTTCATCAGACAAAGTCATCTTGCAAAAATTCAGAGTGGAAAAAAGCCAACGCTCCTAGAAGTTTTCCCCTTTAATTAGTCAAACTATAGCTTCATTTTTGAGAGGAACCAAATCTATATACTTACTCTTTACTCAACAAAAGTAGTGTTTTTTTTAGAATAGATGAGAAAAGGCCTTAGCATTGTTTTCATCTTCCTTTCTCCTTCCCTAAGATCCAAAGGTATGCTTGTTGGCAACATATTCAAAATGCCGGAGTTTGACACTTTTTTGTCCCATCCCAGTGAAAATCCTCCAGATTTCTAGCTCAGCAACCGCATTCCGCCAAATCCGAGCGTCACGACGGCGTTAACCATCTGAGTGCCACGGGACTTGACACCAAGCTTTCCTCGCACATGTAAGGTTTTATTATCACTATGAAGCAATTTCCCATGTAGATTTCCCCTAAAAATAGCATCATCAAAATACTTCACTCTTCGAGTCTAAAGAGAGGAAACAATGACAAAAGCCTGGGCCCACAATCGGGTTTGTGTGCTGACAGGCCCGGCTGCATAAAATCTGGATTCGTTTATTTCATGAGCTTCCTTCCTAATTCCTGATATTTGGGCCAAATTACAAAGACACTAGTAATATTTTAAGGCTGAAGTGGGGAGAGAGGAATTCAATATATCCATGCAAGCCTCAGGAAACTGGCTATGCATGGCCAGATTCCTCAAATCAGCAGGCCAGAGCTTGGTCCAGCTCCAGAGAGTCTTCCAGAGGCAGTGAGGTGTTGTGAAACCTCCTAACCAAGATTTAGCCTCTCAGGGAACCGGAAGGCACCAAGGGCTAGTGTCAGCATCTAAGTCCTGGGCCTCACACCTCCAGGAATCCATCACAAAGAGAAAGACTTGGGAATTAAAGAACTCTGTTCAGTTAATTGCATGAGTGATAATAACTGGCCTTTCTGAAAGATGGAAACAAAGATGATTATGTAGACCCCACTGAGATTAAGCTCTCTAGACCAGAGACCAAGAGATCAGGATTTGTTCTGTGTCTCTGCTCTCAGGCTGCAATGACTTGGGGCAGTCACCACCCAGACCCTCCCACGCCTCGTCTGCAAGTGGGATAGCCGCTGCCTCTCTCCCCAGGGATGCTGGGAAGACCAATGAGACAGGGCGTGCACAATATCCCACCCCGCCCCAGCATGTCCTGAATGCTTCCTACATGGTGGTAGGGGGAGTAGGTAATAGTGGAATTAAAAATAATTTGCCCAAATGGAGGACTGAAATGTGAATATGAAAAAAAAATTAATGCTGAAAAAACCACTGCTACCACTTTAAAGGAATTGGGATAAACCACCAGATTCATGCACACCCAGCTCTGTTAGACATTCCCCAGAGAGGAGTGGTGCCATGAGGGGGAGCTCTTCAGCTCAGTAATGGGGTCTCCCGTGCCCCTGGGGGCTGGACCAATGGAATGGCTCCTGACATGGGGTGTCTCTCCAACCTTGCAGGCTTCATCTGAACACGGCCCTCCTTGGATTCTACACTGTTTCTGATGGGCTTCCTGGGCTCATGTGAGACTTTCCATTCTGCATTCCCAGCACCGTGCCCTTCCAAGCCAGGGACGGGTCCCACTTACCCTGCTCCATCATCTCCAGCAGCCCCTTCTTGATGAGCTCCTCTCGGCCTTGCCTGCCGGCCATCTTCTTCTCCAGCGCTGCCCAACACACAAACACACAGGTGAGTCTCAGGCAAAGGTGTCACTGGGCCCTGTCCAAGCCACAGCCAATGCCAGGCTCAAGTTTACAGACCAAAAACACTGAGCTAGCAGGCGCCTCGGGGTTAGGGGGCCTAGTCCACTGGCGAGGCCCAACTTTCTTACCAAGAGTGCTGCTAAGCAATGTGCATAAACCACAGCTAAAGAGCAGTGCACGCAGTAGATATTCTACAGCGATCATTTCTGTGATTTATCTGGAAAGCCCCTGCACATATAACGCCCCTCTCTAAGCTAGCTCTCACCAGCCATTCCTGCCCTTCACCAAATGTTCCCTAAATTACCAACCAAGGAAAGTGCCCTCCCTCTGCCGCCAACACCCCGGGCTCCTTTCCGTGGTTCCTGTTCGCCTTTGCGAAGTGCCTCCTGGCCGCTCTTAACATCCACTCACAGATGAGATTCTCCTGTGCGGCTCTCCCACTAGAGCTTCTTCCAATAAACCCAGGTTAAAAGCTTCCAGTCTACCAGATGGACAGGAAGGGAGGAGGCCAGCCCCCAGTCCCCTTCCACCAAGCCTAATTTGCCAAATCTTTGTCAATTCCGCCTTCAGAATAGCCCTTTCTGCCTCCCCTTCCCGGAGCAAAACACTCTTGAGCGACGGCCACCACCTTGTCCCATTCTCCCTTCTTTCACAGGCAGGCCTCGGGCTGCTCCACAATCATCTTCTTCCTTCCGTCAGGAAAACTGTTTGCCTACAGGTGAGCCCCAATTTCCAAATACAAGACTACATAACCACCTCAACCCTTTCTTTGAAAGATGCAGCTTTGCAAGGGCTGTTTCCACTGCTGTGATGATTTCCCCGCCTTTCCCAATGAACCAATTACATCTCAGCTCAATGCAGCCTCCTCACCTGGGTCTTCTCCGACCACTGGGCCCAAAGCAGTGCCCGCCCTGCTCATTTCCACCCCAGGGCCTGCTCCGTGATCCTGCCATTAACCCTGGATCACAGAGAGTCCATCAGTGTTCTGTGTGTGCAGGGGGCCCTGCCAGCTGCCGGGGAACAGACAGAGTCAGCCCACCTGGCTTAGCTTAATGTCTAGTTGGGGAGGCAGATGACAAACAGGCACTGGCAATGGAATTATTTCACTTACTCAAAAGCATTTCCTGAGCACCTGCTATGTGCCAAGTGCTGAGCTGGGTGCTGGGGAGTCACGGAGGGCAGAAGCCCTGCAGCCTTCACAGGTGGGGCTCCACTGGGGGAACAGGCCATGGTGATCAGGTGTTCAATCTATGGAAACCCCTTACACATTTACTGAGCACCTACTGTGTGCCAGGCACCATGTCAGGCACAGGAGATTCTGCCATGAGCAAGACAGGCACAGCCTCTGCCTGATGCCAGCACAGGTGGGAGGACAGATGGCAAGTGTCTAGAAGTGGGCGAGGAGGAATAAGTCAGGCCTGGGGCGGGGGACTGACTGGGGGGCAGTTGTCTGGGGAAACCCATCCCATCCTTGACCTCCCGGGTGGCTTCCCTGAGGATATTTACCCTAAAGCCAAAGGATGAAAAGGGAAACCCAAACACAGCAGGGTGGGGACATTTTTGGGCAGAGAAAACAGAATTTCCTTTCTGTGGTCCCAATTTCCAAGCCAATTTCCAGGTGCCAGAATTGTGGATAAAATTGACAAAGTGAATGCTGACCTTGGGAGGTGTCAGCAAAGAGGCTGCAGCCAGGCTCACAAAGCAGATAAGAAGAACAGGGGTGGAGGCCTCGAGCTCTGTGTGGACCCCGTCCCCAGGCCGGCACCAGGCGGTGCTCATGGTGGCTAGCCTCAGACATCACAGGTCTTTGCCTGCACTGACTCAAGGACTTCCCGATGACCCAAAGATGCAGCTGCGAGGCTCTACCCTCCCCCTCTCGGGGATGGGGACGTCAGTGGTGGTGCAGCTTGTGAAGGTGGTACAGTGTGTAAATGGCTGAGTGGATCTGAGCCACCTGCCAGGGCAGGCATGGACTGAGATGCTGGTCCACCCTGCAGCCCCTGAGAGCCATCTTCAGCCGGTTCCCCCAGCCTCGCCTACCAAAACCACTGTTTGCTACATATTTCTCTTTCAATCATCTTTGCATTCACTTCAACTCATCCTAACCCGTGATGCCCGTGAAATCAGGAATTTGATATGCTGAAACAAATAACACCCCCTGCTTTAAAGGAAAATAGTGGTTTGGAATAAGTAAACAAAATGCAGCACTGTTCCTCGAATTTCCAGATGCCCGAATGGCGGTCCTGAAGGTGGGGATGCTGCAGGTAAAAACCTCGAGACCTCCAATGCCCTTGCAGGGTCCCCAGAGCATCTTGCTGGTGAACTCACACGGCACAGCTTGGAGTAGGCCAAAGAGCCCAGAGTCCTCAGAAGACAAACCTCAGCCTTCCAGTTCCACTGCTGGGGTCAGCAGGCCTGGAGAATGTCAGAGACCCCCCTGAGGTCACGGAGGTCACTCTGCTCTAGTCCCCCGGCCTTTCACTGCTGCACAGACGTGCCTTCCCCAGCTCGCTGCCTTTTCGAGGGCTGTTCCCACTGCTGCCATGCTCTTCCCTGCCTTTCTCAATGAACCAATTACATCTCAGCTCAATGCAGCCTCCTCACCTGGGTCTTCTCGGACCACTGGGCCCAAAGCAGTGCCCGCCCTGCTCATTTCCACCCCCCAGGGCCTGCTCCGTGATCCTGCCATTAAGCCTGGATCACTAAGAGCCCATTAGTGCCGTGTGTGTGCAAGGGGCCCTGCCAGATGCAGGGGAACAAATGGAACCCGCCCACCTAGCTGAGCCTAGCATCCAGTGAGGGAGGCTGCCTTGCAGCCTCGCCGGAGTCTGCAATCGACTCACGTGCTGGTTCACTTGGTGGCTTCCACACTTTGTCACTCGACTCCCTACTCTGCGGAAAGCTCTGGGTGGGCAGGGCCTGGGCCCCTCCTGTTGGTACTGGGCACACAGGAGGTGCTCAAGATCTGCCGAATGATGATGCTTGTTCTGTTTCCACTTCAACAAGAATTCATCTATCAACTTCTTGGTTGGTAAAAATAATAATAATAATTTTGTAAAGCACACAGAAAAGCATGAGTGGAGGGCCTGCTGTCGGTGTTGGCCGCCTCCCCTGCTGTGGGCCTGGGCGCTGTAACACCTGGCCTTCGTCTCCACCATCCTCAAAGCCCTGGAGCCTGCGCCTCTTCAGAGCTGGAAAGGAAATGGGACCCCAGGGACCCCCCGAGGCAACAGCCTGAGACGGGCACTCGCCAGGGCTGGTTCCTGAGGCCTGGGACTGATTCCACAGCAGCAGCTCCCTCACTAATTGTTTTTAGGTGTGGCTCACAGGCATGTGGCTGGAGGCGGGGCCCTGGGGTGGAGATGCGGCCTCCTCCGGGCTCTCTTCTCAGAACACTGCCATCTGCAGAGCCCAGGCTGACGAGCCACCACACCCGGCTGCCAGGGTCCAAGCCTCAGCCCCGCCACCTGCTGGCTGTGTGACCCTGGGTGAGTGATTTCCCTTTCTGGGCCTGTTCCCCATCCCTTCCGATGGGGCAGGATCCTGCGGGAGTGCTGGCCTAGCAGGAGGTTCTGAGGGTTGAGTTGGCTCCTCCATGCCAAATGCTGGGGGGCCGTGTTCTGCCGTTATGTGCCTTACGGCTGCTTGTCCCGTCATCACTGCCTGTGTCCACCCTGTCTGTGGTTCAGCCTCATGGCTGCAGTTCCCAAGCTGGATTCCGAGGAGGCGGGGGCAACGGGACCAGCCATCGCAATCCCGCTTCCCACAGAGCCAGGGCTGGCAGGGTGTGAGGGGGCAGCAGGAGGTGAGTGGAGGAACCTTCTGGATGCTTTGGTGGGAGGGTGTAGGGAAGGCACACTGAGACAGCTTAGGAGCAGGGGAGCAGCCTCTGTCTTTCAGGAAGAAGAGAGGCCCAGAGGTGTCAAAGCCAAACCGACGGCCTCAACCCTGAGTCACCCAGGAGGCTCTTGGCCAACTAAACCTGCATCTGTGGGGGTACGACCCAGGCCCCAGCATCCTCCAAGTGAGATTGCAGGTGTGGGAGGTGAGGTGGTGCGGGAGTCGCGTGGGCTGGGGGCTCACCACCCAGGTGAAGCCAGCAAGTGAGACCTTGCTCCAAAGCCAGTGTCTCGGCCCAACCCAGCCCTAAGTAAATCAGAGGCTTCGTTTTTAACAAGGTCCCAGTGGACTTGTGGGCACCTTAGGGTCTGGGCAGAGCGTCCCACATGGGGTGCCTGGTGCCAACTCCACCCCAGGGCTTCAGGGAGGCCAGGTGGGCCCTGGAGGGGCCAGCGGGGTAACTTGCATGGCTCCTGGCCATCACAGGCCATGAAGCACATCTGCCCCTCCTGTGTAGGGGCCAGGAAGTCACAGATCAGCAGGGGCCGCAGCACCATGCCAAGGACGCTGGTCCCAGCCACAGCCTGCCCGCGCCTGTCACCAGGCCTTTACCTGACGTTGTCTGCTTCAGTTTTTCGTTTTTCTTTTTCCTCCATTTCCAGGGTTTGAAGATCCTGCCCAGGGTGGCCAGTTTGCTGTTCCTCCTCACAGGGGGAGTTCGAATCCCTGAGACCAGATATTCAGGACGCGCCGGGGGCGTTTGGTCCATCTCATCTGGAAGACGAAAACCAAGGGGGTCCTCAAGTGGCCACCAAACCTATGTGACTCCTGGGGGCCCAAGGTGATGACCTCTCACCCTAAGGGGTCACCAGTGATCCCCCCAAAGCCTGGACCCCAGGATGGTTGTCCAGCAGTGCACCCACAGTGGCCGCAGCAGCTCAGCAGCGTGCGCTGAATTTCCCTCTGTGAGACCCTCCCTCCTGCGACCCACTCACGGCCACCAGAAGCCTTCGCCTTCCGCCATATGACGCGCCACGTGTGAAGATGTTCCTAATTCCAGCATGAAACGCTGCCTGCCCAGGACCCTTGCTCGTGCTCTGCCCTCCACCCACGCTGCTCTCCCTCCCAGCCGCTTCTCTGCCTCATAAACTTCAGCTCCTCCATTGAATAGGACTTTGTCCAGAGTCTTTACCTTCCTCTTGTCCCAGACAGGGTCACTCCCTTGTCTTACGCCCATGAAGCTACCTATGCAGGCACCAATGAGCCGCAAAGACCTCTGCCTGCCTGCCCTCCCACCAGGCTGCCACCTCTTCTAGGGTAGAGCCCAGGCCTGGGGCAGCCTTGGAACCCAACGCAGAGCCAGGCCGGTGAGAATTCTGAGCAAACGGCTGCAGAGTGAGCACGTCTGTGAGCACGTCTGTGAGCAGGCAGAGGAAGCAGTGCTCCTGGACCCCTTCCTTGTCCATGAAACGGCCATGTTTGTAGACTCTGGGACACGTGAAGATGAACGTCCTAGGAAGCTCATGGCAGTGCTGTTTGTTGTAAAAGAGACTCATACCGACCTACATACCCGTCCACAGGGGGACTGGGTAAGTCATCGTCTGTCCTGTCAACCACCTGTGTGCAGATGCAGAAAGAAAGAAAGTGGATCTCCAAGCACGGACAGGAAACTGATCTGAGATAATCAGGCCAAAGAAAACCCCAGCGCACAAATTCACACGCACACGCCACCAGTGTGCGAACAGGGGTGGTATACAGGCACACACTGGTGTGTGGAGAGAAAATGTCTGTGGGCCCTCCAAAGAAATGGGGAACCCCGGGGCTGGGCACAGTGGCTTACGCCTATAATCCCAGCACTTTGGGAGGCCCAGGCAGGCAGATCACAAGGTCAGGAGTTCGAGACCAGCCTGACCGACATGGTGAAATCCCGTCTCTACTAAAAATACAAAAATTAGCTGAGTGTGGTGGCGGGTACCTGTAATCCCAGCTACTCAGGAGGCTGAGACAGGATAATTGTTTCAACCCGGGAGGCAAAGGTTGCAGTGAGCCAAGATCACACCATTGTACTCCAGCCTGGGTGACAGGGTGAGACTCTGTCTCAAAAAAAGAAGAAAAAAAAAAAAAAAGAAAGAAAGAAATGGGGAGCCCTGGCTGTTGGCAGGCGGGGGAGAGAGGGAGATGTGCTTCACAGGCTGTTTTTGTAGCACAAGCCGTGTGTCCCTTAGTAGGAAAGATTAGTTAGAATGAAACAAAATGCAACTAACAAAATGGTAAAGTTAGAGAAGCTCACAAAGTAAGCCAGCGTCACCTCCATCCTAGGGTCACAGTGTAGAGCAGAGTTCAGGCCGTCACCCAGGCAGGACTGAGAATAGATGAGCACATTGCCCCAGATGCCTCCTGGGACAGGGAAGGGACGTTTCTTCTGGCAGCAACAAGGACCTGAGTCCCAACCAGGCTCCGATTTAACCTCCCAGTGTCGCTGGGGGAGGAAGATCGCAGACCCGTGGGGTGCTCCCCAGCACGGCTGCTACCACAGGAGCCCAGACCTCTGCCAGGACCCCTCGCCCTGCGAACATACACACTCCCCGACAGCTGGCTCAGCCTCCCATGGTCAGCGCGTGGTCAGTTCCACAGCCAGCAGGTGAATTTGCCTTGTTACCTGTGGAAGGGGCTGGGAGCCCTAAGCTGATGCAGACCTCAGAGCCCCAGGAAGCATGGACATGCAGGGAGAAGGGCTGGACGGTGTGGCTAACACAAGGGCTCACCTGAGGAAGGAGGTCACCTTTGTCAGAGAGGACAGGGAAGGAGACCACCAGTGTTCGAGGGGAAGGGGCATTACCAGTGTCCAAGGGGCCGGGGATTATGATGGGCCAGGCCCCTCAGACCCAGGGAAGGGGTCACACTCCCGCATTTCCCACCTAAGGCACCCATGCATGCCACTGGCTGCCCCAAGGAGGCCCAGGACGGCCTGCTCTGAATCTGGGCTCTGCAGAGCTCAGCCTGAGAAGAGCCATATGAGGCAGCACCCGAGGGCCCAAGGCCCCACATGGCAGTGACCTCTGTGCCCCCAGTGACAGGCGGCCTGCCTGGCAGCCTCTAGAGCTTCCACGGGGTCTGGCTTCCAAAGGGCTGCACCTGTCTCTAACCCAGGGCCTTTGAGTAAGCCACCCGGCCCCTTGGAGCCTCGGTTTCCACATCTGTTGATAAAAAAAAAAGATGCCATGATAATCATCCCTGATAGGTAAGGTTGAGGGGAGGACTCAGTGTGGTCATAAATTCTGGGAAGGCCAGTACAGTGGCTCATGCCTGTAATCGTAATGCTTTGGGATGCCAAGGCTAGAGGATCCCTTGATCCCAAGAGTTTGAGACCAGCCTGGGTAACACAGAGACTCCACCTCTACAAAAAAATTTTTGGAAATTCCCCAGGCATGGTGGTGCATGCTACTTAAGAGTCGGAGACAGGAGGATCACTTGAGCCTAGGAGGTCAAGACTGCAGTGAGCTATGATTTGCACCTGTACTCCAGCCTGGGCTACAGAGAGAGAGACCCTGTCTCTAAAAAAAAATTAAAATGAAAAACAATCTGAAAACAAAGATAAACATCCACAATACACAGTTTATTAATAGTTCATGTTATCATCCATGTAAAATAATATTATCTATATGTCTAGACTTTATCATCACTCTGATTAACATACCATGCCAGTGCAGGTAACTTTTGGTCAAAATTTATATTATAATAATTTCTATGATATGAGCAATAGAATAATGATGATGGAGTAAACGCTGGTCACTGCCTGTGCAGGGCCAGGACTATCCTAAGGCATTGTCCTATTTTACCTTCACAATAAATCTATGAGCTAGAGATCATTCCATTTTATATCCATTTTACAGATGAACAAACTGAAGATCAGAGCCCTGAGCCATTTTTTTGTTGGTCTCAGAGCTGGGAAATGCTGTGGCAGGGCAGGACCTTGAGCACCCTGACTCCAGAGGCCCCTCTCACCTTCCAAAGCTGCATCGAGGGGACCCAAAGCAGAACACAGAAGGATGGGACACCAAGACAAGAGGATAAACCAGGCCCACCCTAGGTGGGTTGGGGCATGAGGTCATTCTCTCCAGGCATTACTAATAGAGTGCTGATATGGTTAGGCTTTGTGTCCCCACCCAAATCTCATCTTGAATTATAATCCCCATAATCTCCATGTGTCAAGAGAAAGACCAGGTGGAGGTGATTGGATCAGGGAGGTGGTTTCCCCCATGCTGTCCGCATGATATTGAGTGAGTTCTCTTGAGATCTGTTGGTTTTATAAGGGAGGCTCCTCCCCCTTCGCCCTGCACTTCTCCTTCCTGCTGCCTTGTGAAGAAGGTGCCTTGCTTCCCCTTCACCTTCTGCCATGATTGTAAGTTTTCTGAGGCTTCCCCAACCATGCTAAACTTTGAGCCAATTAAACTTCTTTCTTTTATAAATCATGCAGTCTTGGGCAGTTCTTTTTTGTTTTATCGGGGGCACTTTGTAGCAGTATGAAAACGGACTAATACAAGTGTTAACTGTGCTAGGTGCTGTGTCCACAGATGCTCCACAAAGCAGCCCCATGGGGAAAGACAAGCCCAGGAATGTCTTGTTTGACATTCTGGGCTCTGCAAACCATTAAGGGAGCTACAGCAATGGCATCCTCCACTGTGTTTTTGAGGCGACCCCAGCACCTAGTGCCTGGTACCCAGTGGGAGCCCAGGAAATGTGTGGAACCAGGGCAGCTGCAGAACACCAATTAACCACAGATCCTCCCGGCCACCCTCTCCCCAAGGCCACGGGAGGCAGAGGGATGTACAGGGATCCTTCTCTTCTCAGAGACAATGCATTCCATGTTCTCATCCTCTCCTTTCCTTCCTCCACCTACAGACACCAGATGGGAGCAAGACTGTGACTCCACATGGCCCTGGGAAAGCCTGCTGTCCTGAGCATGCTTTGCACGAGGGGAAGGATGGGCTAGGTCTCCCCAAGCCTCCAAGCTCAGCTGAAGATGAAGACGAAGATCTCCAGGGATGAGCAGAGGAGACGAGGATGGAGCATAATCATTGCTTTATTTATATCTCACCTCCTTCACAAAGGATCGGCAGCAATCACCAGAAACACACATACACAGCTGAAGGATGAAGGGAGTGTCAGGAAGGATCTGGAGGAATCAGGGTCTGCTGAGGGCCACAGCATCAAGGAGTTAGGTGGGTCCCCACGACAGACACCACACGGGCTCCAGAGGAGGGTATTTGTGTGCCCTGAGCTTCCTAGCAGCCAAGGCAAAACGGAGTAGCACACAGAATAAACTACAGATCAGACCCTGAACCCAACTTTCTTTGCCACCTGCATCATAACAACCCTGGTCCAGTACCAGCATCCCTGCCCCAGCAACTGGTCTTCCTGTGATCCGATGTCTTAGAAATAGAGCTCTAACCCTATCACTTCCTGCTCGCTTCCCTTCTCATTTAGGACAAAATCCAAGTTAATCACTAAACTTGTGCAGCTCTCTGTGCTCTGCTGCTCCCTCCCCCTTATTATCATCCTTATTGTGCATTAGTGCTTGCCATGTGCCATGGAAGCCAGTGTGACGTAGCTGTGAAGAACATGGGGGCTGGGACCAGGCACCCCAGGCTCCCCTCCTGGCCCTGCCACTTACTAACAGGAGGTTGAAGCATTGACTCCCTGCATCCCCTTTGCCAGGGCCTTGCTGGGGGGTATGGTGTCTCCTTCTTGCTGTGGCTATGTGACTGCTTCCACTGGTGGAAGGTGGGCAGGAGGGGCAGTGGCGCCTCCCCCTCCCTACCACCATCACTGCCAGGACCACCGTCACTACCTGCACTATTTTAATCAGCTGCCTCCCCCCACTTCTGCCCTAGTGGCTGGAGCAGGTTCTGGGGTTCCCACCCCGTCTCTGACACACAGTGGTCCTCACAGCAGAGCTGAGGGCTGGCGAGGGAGCACTTTGGCCACTGAGGAGACTGCACTCCTCTCTCCCTTTAAGAATTCACTCACTCACTCACTCACTCACTCCACCTTTCAACAAATACGTACTGACACCAACCATGTGCCATGTATCCTAATAGGCACAGGGTGTGCAGAGGTGAACAAAAGAGACGATGCCTGCCTTTGTGGGGCTGTACTCACCTGCAGGAGATGAACAATGAATAAAGGTATGAATTTAGACAGTCCTGGCTCACCCCATGTGGGATGGCACTCCTCACTATTTCTTGCCTTCCTCTTTATTTTTCTCATCACAGGTATCAGCTGGTGTGCATGCACACACACGCACACACACATGCACACAGAGACACACACATGCACATGCACGCACACACATACACGCACACATGCACGCACACAGACACACACACACGCACATGCACGCACACACTCATTTGTTTACCTGTTTGTAGTTGTCTCCACTCCTCCTGCCCATGCCCCGAGCTGAAGCTCCTGACTGCAGGCCCTTGATGGATGTTTGCAGCTGTATCTCCAGTGCCAGCAACAGCTCAGGCACGTGCCAGGGGGACATAGAGAGCCCTGAACCAGGATCCCCACAGACGCGAGGAAGGACAGGACCCAGGGCCTCCTCAGGGAGCCTCGAGGGCAGGTGTCGACTGACCGACTGTGACAGGGTCAGCACTGGGTGCTCCAGAGGGCCGCCCCAGTGGGGAACAGGACAGGGGCTATGATGGGAAAGGGGCAGGCTGTCCAAGACAGGAGGAAACAGTGGTTGAGAGGCGTGGATGTGCTGGGGAGGCAGGCAGGGTCGTAGTCAGGGACTTGAACCTGATTCAGAATTCAGCAGGGAGCCACTAGAGGGTCTTCAGCTCAAAAGACCCTTTGCTCCTAAACCAAAAATCCAATGCATTGACCAGGACAGATGCCTTAGTCTAAGCAGCTCCTCAAGGGGCTCAACTGTCATCAGAGGAGTGAAGACCCCATGCCCAGGGGCCCCAGGCTGTGCTGCTCTGCATCCCCCTTGGGAGGAAATTCCCTCTCCCCTCTGCCTTCCCTGGGGTGGCTCAAGCCCAGGACTGTGCCAGGGGAGGGCTTGTGAGAGCTATGACTCTCCGCCCAAGAAGAGAAACTTCAAAATAGTGCTGCTCAGAGAAAACTACTTACAAACCCCTCCAAGGGCAGAGGACATGAGCCCATCACTGCAGGTGTACAGCGGGGCAGGTGTGGTCATCCACGGCACGGTGTGGCCTGCGGATGCTGGTGGGCAGGTGTGCACAGAGTGGGTAGGTGTGTATCTCTGAGGGTGGGTGGGTGAGCAACTGCAGAGCCAGCATGCATGGGCATGGGTGGGTGTGCACCTACACGGGTGGGCGGGTGAGCACCTGCGGAGCCAGTGTGCATGGGCGTGGGTGGGTGTGCACCTGCATGGGTGGGATGCCATCTGTGGGCGGGTGCATGTGGCCCATGCACACCTGTCCACAGAGGGAAGGGACAGATGGGAGCACCTCCCCCCACTCCAGGAATTCTCTCCCCGTCTCTCCCTGCAGTTCCTGAGGAACTGCCTTCTCACACTGGAGAGACTCTGGAAGGTGCAAACACATTAGCAGCCACCCCCCAGCCTCTGAATAACAGTAGTGCCAGGTTCCACTGCACCTCTGCCACCTCTGAGGCATTAGAGGTTAATTAATGGGAAATGTCTGTCACACCTGGCATCTGTGTGAGGAAGTGCTACACACAGCCTCAGTCCTCAGATGATGGATGGGGCAGCTGGCCCTCCCCTGCTGATGTCACATGCTTGCAACTCAAGGGACAAGCTCCAGCCTCTTTGGCAACTCCAGCCAGCCCTCTCCCAGGCCTCTCTCAGGCTCACAGTAGCTGGTATACTTGTCCCTGGGTAACTAACTCCATCCCTTTCCCCCATCAACAGCCACACAGAGCTATGAGGCAAGAACTGTTCTAGGACTGACGGAACACTGACCTCATGGAGCTTACAGGCTAATTTCCATGCCTGGTGCAGGGCCAATCCCTTTATTCACATTTCCTTCCATCCTAGCTCTGATTACTCTCAGATTGTGCCCTGGGATTCACTATTTATTGACTGTCATCTGCATTTCCCATGAGAACAAACATAAGCTCCATGACAATGAGAACCGTCACTCTCGTGCTTGTTGCTGGGTCTCGCATCTTTGCTGGTTCCTGGCACCCAGGGGCTGCCCAAATAAACACCTGCTCGACCCTGTGAATCCGGAGTGCAGGGCTGCCAAACGCTGGAGCCAGGGTCTGTTCCTCGTCCATCTGACTTTGATGTCCACCCTTTAGTGACATCAGGTATTTTTTCATCCTCATCTTTCATCCACTAAGATATCTTATCTTATCCTTCCACTTCACGAAATTCCCCAAAAACATATTGGAAGGAAAGCCCCATATCTCTGGGGGAGTGAGGTCAGGTACTCAGTGCCATGTGCTACATGGCTGATTTCTTAGAGAAGAAAGGTGCCATCTCTATCAGATAATATTGCAAAATAATTTTTTCCTTGTTTGTTTTATTCATTCACTCACAAACCCATTCATCATATCGGCTGAGGGCCTGCTGTGTGTCAGGACTGCTCTGAGTTTTGACAGAGCAGTAAATTCCATCAACATGCCTGCAGTTTCCCGCTGCATGAAGCTCATGTATTTATGGAGGAGAAAAGAAGGAACACAGAAAGTGTAAGGCAACCTCATAATGTGACATGAGCCACAATAGAAGCAAATAAGAAGCTGAGATATGACCTCTATTTCTTCTTTGAGTCCTTACCTGTAACACCAATACGTGGAGACCATTGTCTTTGAACAAAGCACAGTGTTAGGCCTGAGGGACAAAGTGGTGCTAGGTACCCTCTCTCCCGGGGGACTCAGTGACCACTGAGAAAACTAAGGTACCTGGAACCACCAGGAAGAATCAAGAAAGAGGATTATAATAGCAGAGGAAGCAACTTTTCCTGCTTGAGGGTGGGATAACTCTAAGAAGGCTACTAGAAGCTAGGGGAGGTAGTAGGTAGTGATAATTGAGTTGGGTATTAGAGGTTGAGTAGGATTTTAGTAAAACGTGCAAATTCATAAATGCATGGCAGTACATGGTGTTTGGGGAATGGGGAGTCATTTGGGGAAGCTAGGTCTGAGGTCCCCAGTCTCTAAGGCTCAGAAACCCAGTAAAATTTCCACATATAAAATTGGGATCCACACAGATATGCTAATGTTCATTATGGCAGTAATGGCCAACACACACACACACTACACAAAGCAATCATCTATGTTCATCACAACTTAGTACACATAATAGAAAAAATATAGTCTCAGAAAAAAACAAACAAACAGAATTTTTAGGCCTGGGCTCAGTGGCTTGGGAAGCCAATGCAGGAGGGCTGCTTGAGGGCATGAGTTCAAGCCCAGCCTGGGCAACGTAGTGAGACCCTGTCTCTACAAAAACGAAGGAAAAAAAAATTAGCTCGGTGTGGTTATGCACACCTGTAGTCCCAGCAACTCAGGAGGCTGAGGCAGGAGGATTGCTTGAGCTCAGGAATTCCAGGTTACAGTGAATTGCACCACTGTGCTCCAGCCTGGGCAACAGAGCAAGACCCTGTCTCTTAAAAAAATTAATTGATTCTACATTCGTAAATGAAAACCCAACTGCATTGCTCTTAGTGTTCTTAATTTGCTGGTGTGGGTCTGTGCACTGGAACTTGAGGACCCTTAGGCTGGAGCTTATGGTCTATGGAACAGAGTTGACATAGGTGAGCTTAGGAAGGCGTGTGGGGACCTGACCAAGAAGAGCTGTGTGGCTGTGATAAGAGTCCTGGGGACAATGTGGAGTCATTGAGGGACCTGGAGCAAGTTCAGCCTTGTGAGAAGACCACGTGGAATCTCGGTGAGGATGGCAGACTGTAGGGGGAACAAGGCTGAAGGCAGGAAGGCAGAGGATGGGGGCACTCACACATATGGAAGAGCCAAGGAATACGAAGGTTTGTTTTTGTCATCACTGTCATCAGCAACGGAAGCATCTACTGAGCATTTGCTGTGCAACAGGCTCAGTGCTGAGCACCTGGCATGAATTTGCTCATTGTATTCCATCAAGACCCTAGCAAGCGAAGAACTATTTTCATCACCTACATTACAGATGAGGACAATGGAGGCACACAGATGTGAAATAATTACCCCAGGGCACATGCTAGTTAGCGACAGAGTGGAGCTTAGAACTCAGGTCATCTGCTGTAAAAGCCCTGATCTTAACCCCACAGCCTCTTTGACAACTCCGCCCCTCTCCCAGTCCTGTGCTAGATGACACAGAGCAGATGATAACACTGCTGTCTAAGATCTGGGAGGAGGAAGGAGAAATAGGGCTGGGAGGAGGAAGAAGTTAACCTTTAAAGCAACATACAATAACCTCACACGGAAGCACTGAGCACTGAAAATCCAATTGCCTGTGGCCAGGCTGCAAGAGATGTGGCTTGACAGCCATCTACAGAAAAAGTGCTGGGCATTTTCAGAGAGTGACCACCAGAATGGAGCTGAACCTCCAAAATCAAGTTTTAGAAATAGATTTCAATCTCCCAAATGTAAAAGTTCTTGGTTTGACCTCCTCCACCCCTAGAAAATTCCTAAGTAATGACTGAAGAGCATGATATTTTGGGTGTGCTGATCAATAAAAACAAAACAAGGGTCATACCATCCAAGGACAAAGTGAGACCATTTGACAAGTGTCTTATAGTCACACTGCTTATAATGGAGGAATAAACTGCTTGCTGGTGTTGGGTGGAGGGCAGGGAGGGATGCAAAAAAAAAAAAAAAAAGGAGTGAATTTATTCAAAAAAGGGAAGAAAATACTGCTAAATGCCTATGGCTCTATTCCTAAAAGCTTATAGGCTTTTTTCTACAGCCCTGCAAGTTCATTCATCAAAATCTGTAATCTGATTATAGCCCTTGTTTGATGGACTAACTGCTGACTTTTCCAGTATAGGGGAAACAGAGACCTCAACAACTGCACAATGCAATTCCTAGACTTAGGGTCCGCTTCCTCCTCCGGCACCTAGCACAGTGCCTGGCAGGTGGGTTGAATAAATGAGTGAGCGAGTGAATAAATGAATGAGTGGATTGATCCCATGATACAAAAATGGAAGCAGAATCAAATGCAGGGCAATGGTTTTTAACAATGGCCTGGAGCTGTCCCACTGACTCCCGACAGTGGAAGGTAACTGCAATTCCCGAGCCACCTCTAGACCTCATGTTGGCCATGGCTTCTTCTGGCTGCCCCCTCAGCAGCCCTTAACTCAAAGGGCATCTCCTTTCTCTCCTTTACTGGTTAGTGGAGGTGCTAAGAAGCACAGAGAAGAAAAGACAAAAGCCTGGCTAAGCTTCAGAGTGAATAATTGGCCCCTGGAAAATTGTGAATTGAATAAATACTTAATTTTAGGAGAACTTATATTTTAATGCCCAAAGGGAGGCCACCAAAACCTTCTGCATGTTCATTCCAGGCAAACAACCCTAACAGGCAGGGCCTATATTTTCAGCTCCATTTTACATTTAAAAAGTAGAGGCTCAGAGCACGAAAGCACTCGTTCAAGGTCACACAGCTGGTAAATGGCAGGTCTGCCGCAGCCTCTCTGCTCTTCAGTTTACCATCTAGGCATGACACCGGTGTTTCCCAAAGTGTTTTCCATGGAACTCTAGCATAGGGAGATGCTGAGAGGATTAAAGTAGTTAGAAAATGCTGTCTGTACTAAAACCCTCTTCATGAGAGCCCCAGTGCATATTAGCATAGTATAGGCTCTGAGAAGTTCTGCAGGAAGAAATCGTATTCAGTTGTTTAGCTAGATTTTCCTAAACAGACCTATCAGACAACCGCTATTTACACCTTGCTGCCTAGACTGCAATAACCCCACAAAAGCTGTCAAATAGTTTGAGCAATAAACCCAGGACTAAGAACTTTGAATGTATTCCTGACAAATAGTGTTAATAATTTATTTTTGGACTATAAAAGTCTTTTATCCACTATCTGTATTCCAAAGATAACAAGATTCTCTAAGATCTAGGCAGAAGTTGGGCCTCAAAATTTCCCAAGTCATTAAGCTTCTTCTAGCTGTCTAAGGCACCCTGCACGCAATGATGCTGAAATTAAGACTACATAAATGGGCATCATTGATGACTCTGACACCAGTGGAAAAATCAAGACATTATTAAAGTGGCTTCTTTTCTTTCTCATATGTATTGTGGAAAAAACAGCACATCTAACTAGAAAGCCCATCTGTTTAGTATCAACCCTATAGTACTGCCAATGGTCGCTGGTGCCTGCCAGACATATGGTCAGTTTTCCAAGTGAAATTCAGCTCAAATCTGTAAATCAAGTGGATCTGAAAATGCTCTATAGAATTTGGCAGCACAAATTCAAACATGAAGAGGATGAGGAAGGAGAAAGGTGGAATCTGGAAAATTGGCTTTGTTGTTGTCATCATTGTGATGATTTTTTTGTATGTGGCTTAGTAGGATGCATCTGCATTTGCAAAGAACAAACTCTTATAAAAATTATTGTACAAGAGGCCCACCTATATCTTTGCAAAGGCTAAAAGCTGCTTTTACAAACTTCTTCCCTGAGATTATATTTTACAGAAAAGGAGGAAAATGAGCATTTCAGAGAAAGGACAAAAAGTGAAATAACACATCAGGAGACTTTAGTATTGTAGTAGAAATTTAGAGAAATAATATCACACAACATCTTCAAAGTCTGAGTTCCAACCCTGACTTTCTAAACCTAAAGCATAAGGTGAGTTTCTTATATATAATATCAGCAAAAGGTTAAAGAAAAACAAAAGTCAATTTAAAAACTGTGTCTACTCTAGCATTTTTCAGAGGGATTAAATGCATTTAAGTGCTAGGAAGACTTTAAGCCAACAGATTTGTGTTTTGAAAATGCGTCCCTCACTCACTTTGCTTAGGTCAGGAATTGGCAAATGTCTTCTGTAAGGGGCCAAATAATAAAACTCTGAGGCTTTGCGGGCCACACAGTCTCTGCTGCCGCCACTCAGCTCTGCTGCTGTAGTGTGAAGCAGCCACAGATGGGACATAAATTAATGGGCATGGCTATGTTGCAATAAAACTTTATTTGCAAAAACTAGTAGAAAGTGCATTTGGTTTGTGCATTTGACAGTTCCTGGCTTAAGTGATCCTTTAAGAAATGTCTTCTGGGAAAAAATACTACTGGGTGCCCCAAGAAGAAAAAGGGAGAGAATAAATGGTTTTGGATCCTGATCTCTTATCTTCATTTCACTTCTAACCCCTGGGGGCAGTCCAGCATCACTTTCACCTGTACAGTTCTGCAGCCTCTGCCCTGGTTTCCCGCTTCCACTCCTGCCTACCCCGCAAGCAAGCAAGCAAACAGGGCCTTATATTGCTCCCCACATGACATCACAGTGGCTCTTAGGATGAAATATAAAACCCCCACTGTAACCCCAGAGCCCTGGCCTCCATTTCTTAAGCTTCTCTACCACCATGGCCCTCCTCGCTCATTAAGTGCTTTCCCACAATAGGGCTGCCTTCTGTGCCATTCCCTCTGGAGGCAACACTTTTCTCTGATGAACTCCTATTCATCCCTCATGGTCTCACCCTTCCTACCCACCTGTTAGGTTTCCTGTTATTTTTCCACCATGGCCTTCAGCACAATTTTTAATTAGCTCTTGATGTATGTGTTCATTAGTTTTATGTCCATCCTGGCTACTTGACCGTGAGAGCAGAGACCAAGTGTGACCTGTACAGCAGCCTCTGCAGGCCCTGAAACAGAGCTCAGGAGGGCCTAGCCAGGGCTCAACAAGTATATGAGAACCAAAAGGAGATGGGCTGAAGGTCCATCTGTGCTCAAGTGCACAGTCCCTACCTGTGCATACCAGTCTAGGCCCATCTGAAGCTTAAATCCTGCAGAATAGAGCGTGCTTCTGAAGATTTACCAAGTCCGGGTCCAACGTGAATTCAATGACTTTCCCTGACACACCGAGGAGGATTTTCACCCAAGAGCCAAGGACATCATGCTTGAATGTCTGGAACTGTCTGCATTTCTGATGTCATCAGGGCTGCTCGCTTCATCACAGGCCCCTTGCCTGGGCCTGGTTCCTCTGGTGATTGTCATGGAAGTGACACAGCAAGATGGAACCATTCCAACAAACCAGCAAGTCATGCAGTGCGGGCTTTCCGGGAGCAGCTGACAGCAGGTGACAGAGCCAGTCCCTCTGGGACCCTTCTCCTGAGATGGCACCATCTGTGGGCATCCTTAAAGGTCACCCATGGCTGTTGAGGAACCACTTTCTCTGTGCCCACAGGGAGGGCCAGCCCGGCTAGCAGATGCATCACTAACTCCCCTAGCTCTGGCCCCTCGCTCTTCATCATCCTGGGACACTAAGGTGTCTCTGGTCTCCAGTGAGTGATCTGGGCCATGCAATTTCTTTGCCCACTGCCCCCTCACTCTGCACACTGCACTGGCTCACTCGTGCCCCGGTCTCCTTTTCCTTTTCTGAGCATCTTCTCTGGGCCTGAGACCCAGTGCCTGCCCTCACAGTCCTGAGGCCTGGGAGCGGGGACAGCCAAGTGAATGGTCACTCAGGACAATGTGACTTTGCTACATCCGCCCTGCCCTGACTCCCCCGGCCCAGGTCTCCCTCATCGCTCCCAGGTTCCCGCAATGCCCTCCCTTCGGGTCACATGGCATACACCCCTGACCCCGCCTTACCCTGCCTCAAACCCTCCAGTGGCTTCCACAGGAGTTAGGCCTCCCTTTGGCCCTCAAAGCCCTGTGACCTCTCCCTGTGAGCAGCTCCAACCTCACAGTTCTCTGCAGCCTCCCCAGGCTCATCCCCACCTCCGGATCCTAGTAAGCAGCCCCTCAAGGGAGGCTCTCCTCCACCTTTGCAAAGCTGCCTCCTTCTTATCACTTGGGTTTCATTGCAAACATCTCCTCCTGGTCCATCAGAGCAACAGTGAGACATCCAAGCACCCTCCCACCCAACCCAAAATTCTCCGCATGGCACACACTCCCTCCACGGTGCTGTTATTTCAGCTGACTTGGTGTTGTCGGTCCCTCCCCACTGGAGTGACCTTGTCTATAGCAGGCACCCAACAAATACTTTGGAAGGAATCAGGGAATGAATTAATGAGTGGAAGAGGCAGGACAGAGATTAAGACGGGGTTCTGTGGTCAGAAAAAGGAATGGTCTCCAGACTCAGGTAAGACTCTTTGTGGAAAAGAGATGACAGCTGAGGTCACTTTTGAAAAAATCAATAGGAGTTAAGAAAGCTATAATAATAATAATAATAACAAAAGGTAATAGTCCATTGTATGGAAATTGTTAATCCATCGATCTGTCGATGGGCATTTAGGTTGTCTCCACATACTGGCTATTGTGAACAACAGTGCTGCTATTGGACATTCGTGTGCAGGTTTTTTTCCCCCTAATACCTGTTTTCAGTTGTTTTAGTTAGATACCCGGAAGTGGAGCTGCTAGCTCATACAGTAATCCTATATTTCACATTTCCAAGAACCACCCAATTGTTTTCCACAATGACTGCACCATGTTACGCTCTTACCAGGAAGAAAGCACTGACACCCACTGCAGCACAGATGACCCCCAAGATCATGGTGCTAAACGAAAGGAGCCAGTCACAGAAGACCACTCAACAAGGCAGAGTGGTGGCTGCCGCGGGATGTGGGAGGGGAGAATGGGCATGGGATCTCCTTTGGATGTGATGTGACAATGTTCGGGAACTAGACACATGTGGCAGATGCCAATATCATGAATGTACTAAATGCCACTGAATTGTACACTTTAAAATAGTTAATTTTGTGCTATATGAATTTTACCTCAACAACAGTAACAACAAAATAAACAAAATCCCCTATCCATTGGGTATTTGGTGCCAGACGATTTTGGGCTGAGCCCTTTTCATGTCTCATTCCACGCAATCATCACACCACTAAGGAGGCAGGTGTTACAGGTGCAGTATTCTTGATCCGAAACACTTGGGACCAGAAGTGTTTCGGATTTCAGATTTCTTCTGATTTTGGAATATTTGCATTACCAGTTGAGCATCCAAAACTTTGAAATCCAAAATGTTCTGATGAATATTTTCTTTGAGCATCATGTCAACACTAAAAAAGTTTCGAATTTCAGAGCATTTCAGACTTAAAATGTTTGAATTAGGCTATTCGGCTTTATAAGTACCTCATTTAACAGGTGAGAAAAGTGAGGCTCAGAGGGAGAGGTGACTTGCCCAAGGTCACATGGCATCAAGTGGCACAGCGAGGCCTCAAACCCAGGGACCGTGAATTCTCAAGATTCAAACCTGCCCAACACAGCCACTTCTCCTCCAGGAGACAGAAAGTCTCTGAGGGTCAAGAACGGCGCCTCTGACAACCCAGTAGTTCCCCCATCCCTTCTCTAAGCTGTGGCATGGTGGCGCTGACTACAGTCCTTATACACGACTGGCACTTTTACATCAGGCAGAAAGTATGACCTAAAGCAAAAACAGCCCAAATGTCCATCAGCGGACAAATGGACACATCAAGTATAGTCTATCCAGACCATGGAACATTCCCCAGCCATAAAAGGGAATGAGGCCTGGACACCTGCTACAGTGTGGAGGGACCCTGATAACATGATGCTGCATGGGGACAGCCGGCCACAAAAGTCCATATAGCGTCCGTACAGCGTATGATTCCATTTACATGAAATGTTCAGCACAGACCAATTCATACAGACAGAAAGTAGATGCGTAGTTATCAGGGGCTTGGAGGAGGGGAGAATGAGGAGTATCACACAATTTCCTTGTAGGTGATGAAAGGTTCTGGAATTAGACAGCAGTGATGGTTTTGCAACAATGTGACTGCACTCACTGCACAGAGCACTGAACTGTACTCTTTGGTTATTTAAATTAAGAATTTAATCAAAAACACTGTAAAATGAAAAGACAAAACACAGTGCAGGAAAAGATGTTTGTAACATATTTAACTGGACATAGTCCAGTTTCTAGAATATCAAAAGAACTCCCACAAATGAACAAAGTCAAATAACCCTGTGGAAAATATGCAAAGTCCGGGAACACCTTCCAAAAGGAGGTATCCAAACCGTCAACAGCATATAAAAAAGATGTTCCCCCTAATTAATATTCAGGAAAATGCAAATTATATCTAGCATGATTGGCACACATGAATCGTACCCTTTAAAAGGGTTGAAATGGTAAATTTGATGTTACACATAGTTTAGTGCAAAGAAAAACACAAAAAGCATGTCCTCATCCTGTGGAACTCCCTACCAAGTCAAGAAGCTGGGGCTGGACCAACAAAGCCAACCTATAAGAGCAGGGGTTTCCAGGGAGGGAGAAGGAGCAAACAGTTCTGCATTTTTCCGTTTGCCTGCGTCTTGAGTCTGGCTTGACCTGGTGGCGAGGAGGCCCAGTGTCATGGGGAATAAGTGGTGCAGTGATTCCAGCAGCAGCAGCTCTGCACTGAGCAAAGCACTTCCCATTGACTTAGTGCTGGTGGCTTCTGGGCCTGGCATTCTGGTCACACACACCAGGCCAGCCCTTAGCAGAAGTAGGATTGGGGGGCCAACAAAAAGCTGGCCAGTATGCCAAGTGACAACCCAAACATGCAGCATGACTGTGATTTATGCAGATTTCAAAGAGCAGTAAAGTCTCATGCAATATGCAAACTTAAAATTACCCTAAATTAAAAATTTATCAAGGATCACATATTTCAAAGCATCTGGCTGTGGGGATTGTCAACTGGGCTCGTGCCATCGACCCTGGAGGCACTGCTATAGCTGACATCAGAAGCACGTCTCCCTCGTGCTGGAGCACATGGTACACCCTGTTCTGGAAGGCCTGTCGGAGAGGATCGGAGTAGAACACTGGATCCACATGGCCTGACCCCAAGCGGATACTGTCAGTGCTCTGCCCACCCCTCCAGTCCAAGGCTGTGGAGCCTCCCAGCTCCCATGTGCTTTTGCCCCTAAGGGCACCCCTACAGGCCAACTCCCAGCCTCTCAGCCTCTCTGTCCTCCTGCACAGAGCCGAGAGCCAATGACTGGTGGTGGCAAGAATGTAGCCTAGCCCCTGGCCTCAGCAGAGACAAACTCTGACACACTCATGCTCAGAGTACCCTCAGGGTCAGGCTGCAACTGCCCCTGCACAGCTGTGCCTGATACTACCCCTCCTTGGCCTCCCTGTGCCACTTTCCCAGCACTGGTGCCAGCTTCTCCTGGGACAGCTTTCTTATAAATTACTTGCTCTCAAATCCTCATTCCAGGGTCACCTCCCCAAAACCCAAATCAAGACAATCATCTGCTCTGGGCCAGGTACTGGGGTGATACCCATGAGCAAAACCAGGTGTGGTGTCTGTCCTCACTGAGCTCACAGCCCACCTGGGTTCACAGCCTCAATAAGGCACACAGCCCACCTGAGCTCACACCCACCTAAGCTCATACCGATCTGGGCTCACAGCCTCGGTGGGCACACAGCCCACCTGGACTCACTGAGCTCACGGCACACCTGGGCTCACACCCACCTGAGCTCATAGCCTCACTGAACTCACATCCACCTGGACTCACAGCTGCCTGAGCACACAGGACACCTGGGCTCACAACCTCACTGAGCACACAGGACACCTGGGCTCACAACCTCACTGAGCACACAGCACACCTGGGTTCACAGCCTTACTGAGCACGCAGCACACCTGGGCTTGCAGCCACCTGAGTGCATAGCCTCACTGAACTCACATCCACCTGGGCTCACAGCCTTACTGAGCACACAGCACACCTGGGTTCACAGCCTCACTGAGCACACAGCACACCTGGGCTCACATCCACCCTCCTCTCAACATACCTGAGCTCAAACCCACCTGGGCTCACAGCCTCACTAAGCACAGAGCACACCTAGGCTCACAGCTTCCTGAGCACACAGCTTACCTGGGCTCACACCCACGTGGGTTCACAGCCTCACTGAGCACACAGCACACCTGAGCACATACCTACCTGGCACACAGCCACCAGGGTTCACAGACATCAATTAGTGAATGTTGCACATCATAGCTGCATCATGAAAATGCAGGTAAGCATTTTGAGGAGAGGGGGAGAGTCGCTTGAGAGCGTGTACTGGAACTGGAGAAACTTCCTGAAAGAGATGCCTCAAGCTGAGGTGAAAACGATCAGCTAACTGCAAAAGGCTAACTGACTGGCCCAGGATCACACAGCATTGGGTGACGGCCCTGGTTATATGCACTAGGCTTCAAATCTCCCCAGGTGAAGAGGATTCCTACAGGTCCCTGCCGGCCACGCACGCCTGAGGGTGCCCAGACCAGAGTATTACAAAGCATGGAACTCATTCAGTAGCTTCTTGCAAACTTCAAAGGCAAAGAGACTGTGGACCTCACAATGATCCTATTCCTCCCCATTCAGATGCCTTTTTAAAAAACATTACTCTCAAACTGCCTTTATGAACATAAAATATTGGAAGTTCTTTGATCACAGTTCCCAGCCTAGCAAGCAACCTCCACGTGGTGGTTTAAATACACTGTTGAAATGGAGTCCCTGGGGACCACTCCGGTCTTGGCCTCAGAAATCATTTCCTCCTTCATGCATTAAGTAAATGAAATTAAGCCTGAGAGCTCAAGTCCTTTTGGGGGTTGAAATGAACATGGGCAGGAACAGAATGAGAGAAGCCCTGCTCTAGATCACATCCCGACCCTGAGGGTGCACGTTGGCCAGCCCAGGCGCCACCTCTCGTGGCCAGGGATGTGTTGGCACTATGGCCGGGCAGCTGCTCAGGTCAGGTGTGACCATGTGAAAGGTGTTCAGGCTCAATAAAAGGTGTGGGCAAGGAGGTGAGAAATCAGAGCCTTCACACACAGTGGGGAGGATGCAGACCAGGCAGCCAACATGGAAGGAGTCTGGCAACTCCTCAAATAATTCAACATCGAGTCACCATACAGTGATTCTACTCCTGAGCAGACCACAAAGACCTAGTCGCCATGTAACCATTCTACTCCTGAGCAGACCTTGAGGACCGAGTCACCATGAACATTCTACTCCTGACCACACCCCAGAGACCGAGTCACCATATGACCATTCTCACTCCTTACCATTGCCCAAAGACCGAGTCGCCATATGACCATTCGACTCCTCAGTAGACCCCAATGACCGAGTCACCGTACGATGATTCTGCTCCTGAGCTTGCCCCGAAGACTGGGTCACCATATAACCATCTGACTCCTGAGTAGATCCCGTAGAACTGAAAACAGGTGTCCACACAAAAATGTGCACGTGAATATGCACAGCAGCTCTACTCATAATAGACACAAAGTGGGAAAGAAACCCAAATGCCCATCAACGGATGAATGGATAAAGAGAGTATGGTCTATGTATCATGGAATACTATCAGCCCTAAACTGGCAATGCCGCAATGCAGGTGAACTTGAAAACACGGTGTTAGGTGAAACAACCCTGCCACAGCACACCCCACACTGTACGATCCTATTTGTATGAAGTGTCCAGAGAGACAGAAAGTAGATTCACGGTTGCCAGGGGTAGGGAAAGGGGAAGTGGGGAGGGAGCACTTAATGGACATGGGGTTTCCTCTTGGGATGATGAAAGTGTTTTAAAATTAGACTGTGGTGCAGTTGCACAAACCCGTGAGTGTAGCAAAAACCACAGAACTGTGAACTGTATAAGGGTGAATTGTATAATATGTGAATTATAGTTCAATAAAGCTGAAGAAAGAAAGAAAGAAAGAAAGAAAGAAAGAAAGAAAGAAAGAAAGAAAGAAAGAAAGAGAAAGAAAGAAAGAAAAAGAGAAATAAATAAAAAAGAAAAAAAGGGAAGAAAACCAAGATGGTCAGGGCCTGCCCACATCCTCTCTCAGGGCCATAGGCTGAGCTGGTTGAGAGCCACAGGGCGTCTTTCCCAGCACACCATATAGGAGTCCATCTGATAGCACGTGGGACCCAGCAGCCACACAAGCTTGCCTCTTACAAGCTGCGGTGCTCACCACCACCCCCATGCCCCCACCGTGAGCAGAGGCTCCTCCCAAAACAAGCATGAGTATTTGCTAACCTCTCCCAAACCCCTGAGGGCTCCTCTTCCGCCATGGCTGCCCCTCAAGCCCACTCCCCATCATGTGTGGCATGCATGATGGCAAGAGTGTCCCCCTCATCCCCTGCCCATCCCAGCTGCCATTCTGGCCACTTCCCGGTCCACTGACCTTATGGAAGCAAAGAGATCCCCAGCAATGCACAGCAGGCCTTGCCGTCCTGTGCTGAAACCCTCCAGGGCATCCTCCCACCCCTCCATTAAGGATCCAATCCAAACCCCCTGAGGAGCCTCTGGCCTCACTTGGTGCCTTCTCCATCATGCTCCCTCCATTCCAGCCACGCTGACTGCACAGGGAAGTCCCTGATCGTGCCCTGTTTGTTGCTGCCTCAGGGCCTTCCAATCAGCCACCCTCTCTGCCAGGAATACCTTCTCCCAACACTGCCACAGTGCTGACTCCTCACCCCTGAATGCCCACTGCACAGAGGTGCCCACCCTGCCCACCCACTGTAGTGGCTTCCTGTACCTTCCTCAGTTCAATCTGAGGTGCCACCTTGTTTTACTTTTTTTTTTGAGACAGAGTCTCACTCTGCTGCCCAGGCTGGAGTGCAGTGGCATGTTCTTGGCTCACTGCAAGCTCCGCCTCCCAGGTTCACACCATTCTCCTGCCTCAGCCTCCCGAGTAGCTGGGACCACAGGTGCCCGCCACCACACCCGGCTAATTTTTCTGTATTTTTTAGTAGATATGGGGTTTCACTGTGTTAGCCAGGATGGTCTCGATCTCCTGACCTTGTGATCTGCCTGCATCGGCCTCCCAAAGTGCTGGGATTACAGGCGTGAGTCACCCTGACTGGGCCCTTGTTTTACTTTCTTTGGGCCACTTGTCACTCTTTGACGTCGTCTTGTGTATTTCTTTTCTTTTCTGTTGGAATACAAGTTCCTTGAGAACGGGGACTTTGTCTGTTTGTCCAACCATTGTATGCCCACAGAGCAGCAGGGGCTCAATACATTTCAGTTGATAGCAAATAACTACTGTGTTCAAGTTCCTCCGCCCTCAGGATGGGAAGCCCCCAGGCAGCAGTATCCTCCCCACGCAATCTGGTCCTTGTCACTCTCCAGCCTCCCGACTCATCACCCTTTGCTCCAACCAGACTGGCCTCATCTAGATTCCTTAGGTATCTCTAGTTTCAAGAACTTTACACGCACTTTGCCTTCTAGAACCCCCTTCCCAACTCCTGGCCTGGCCATCTTCTACTCTGGGTAACAACTTACACTTTTCTTCCTTCAAAAGGCGTTCCCGACATCAGTGGACAAAGTTGCTTTGTGCTGCCACATCCCCCACCATCGCCCCATCATCATGTCTCACCCAGAGCTGGGAGTCACTGGTTTCATCAGGTTTCTTGCTGGACTGACTCCTTCCAGGGGGAGAGACAGGCGTGTCTTGCCCCGCCACCTACCAGCACAGAATCTCCACAAAGTCAGTCCTAGGAAGGACCTCTGGAGAGAAGAATGGCCACCGCAGATGCATCCTACACAGCCTGGGGCAGCAGAGCAAGGCTTGGGCCCCATGAGCCAGAATGGACTGGGTTTGAATGCAAGCTCTTATTAACTGTTCAAACTTGGGCAAGTTACATAACCTCTCTGAGCTTCCGTTTCCTGTCATGTGCAATGGGGATAATACTAGTACCTGCCACAAATAGTGGCTGTAAGAATTAAATGAGCTAATGCATAGGAAAGGGTTGACATGGTGCCTGGCAATAACAATGTTAATAAATGCTAGCCAGCCACAGCACCACCTCCATCATCCATTTTTCTAAGCACCGTGGTGTACCACGGTCCCTGACACCCAGTACAGAAATCCACGGTGCCTGACACCCACTACAGAAATCCTGGGTGAAAATCACTCGATTTTCAAGGACACCACAAAAAGCAAACATTTTTTATCAAGTCTTTAATTTTCAACACAATAAATGTTCCCTTCCGAAAGCAAATGACTGAAGATAAATTAAAAAATCAGCAGTTCCTTCTGGAATCTGCGAGGACTGGGTTAGATGTTTTTAGGAGAAGTGGCCACTTTGGCAAGATTCTTAAATCCTTCTTAAGAGGATTCTGGAAAAAAAATGCACGGCAAACACAATTTGGAAGAGCTGATGTACTTGGATCAAAGGAGACGTAGGGGATTGTGTGCACCTTCGGCTTCCCCTTGAAGTGGACTTTGGCAGGAGGCCTCGGGCTGCATGAGGGAGACCAGCCCTGAGTGGGCACACTCAGAGGGTAGAGTCAAGCACAGCGTTGCGCTTAGTAGGTGCCATCAGCACCATGGTCTCTGGTGGAGCACCATGAGATAAAATTACTGGACTACCCCCAGCAAGTGCCCCCCCAGTATGCAAAGGGGACAGGAATTGAGAGACAGAAGAGCCCGTGGCCTCTGCCTGTCTGAGTTTCCCACGCCCATCCGGGTGAACACCTGGATTCATTGATGGGCAGCTTTTGTGTTTATTGATCATGTATTATGGACACAACACGGGCCTGCAGAGCCCAGCAGACCACCCTGTGAGATGTGGACCACTTTGTACAAGCCCACCCAAAGAAATGGCGACTTTTCGGACCAGATATGCTAGCCTGCTCGAGAGATGTTATGGTCTTCAAGATAGCACTGTGCCACACCGCAAGGTAACTGGTCACGGTGCCCCTTCCTCGTTTTAGGTCTGCCCAGCACAGATGCCTGTTCCCTGTGCTCATCATATGCCTCCTATGAGAGAGCTGGAAGGGCAGGAAAACCAAGAAATGGAAACACAGGCCCCACTTTCTGGCATCTACAATATCATTTGGAAAAACAAAATGCAACCAGCTGGCATTTTGAAAACATGGAGAAAGCCTGGGCTTCAGAATGAGGAGACGCAAGCCCTCGGACAGGCTCCATTTCTTCCTGGCCTATGACCTTAGGCAGCCCCAGGGCCCTCCAAGCCTTTCCAGGGTCATCATTTGTAAAACGGGGCAACAATAATGTTAACATCAGTCACACCAGTGATGCAACGGGAAGAAGAAGGGGTCACTAAAACCAACTAGTTTGGGAAGCCGAACTAATTCCCCTGAATCTTTCAAATTCCCCAATCCTTGCAGATTCCAGAAGGAACTGCTGATTTTTTTCAAGTCCAATCTTTCAAGTAAGCTAGGGGTTGCATGTTCCATGCTACCATTGCCCTGGGGGAAGGTGGGCTAAAGGCTACTGAGACATCCTTTTGGCTGAAAGCACAACAACCCTTCAGGTTCTGGCAAATTTGAAACTCTCTCAAGAAGAAAAATAAAAGGTAGGAAATTCCCCTTAAGAATAAGCTAAGAGACCGGGAGCGGTGGCTCATGCCTATAATCCCAACACTTTGGGAGGCCGAGGTGGGTGGATCACAAGGTCAGGAGTTCAAGACCAGCCTGGCCAAGATGGTAAAACCCTGTCTCTACTAAAAATACAAAAATTAGCCGGGTGTGGTGGCAGGCGCCTGTAATCCCAGCTACTCGGGAGGCTGAGGCAGAGAATTGCTTGAACCCGGGAGGTGGAAGTTATAGTGAGCTGAGATCGCACCACTGCACTCCAGTCTGGTGGACAGAGTGAGATTCTGTTTCAAAAAAAAAGAAAAAGCTAAGAATAAGAGAAAGGGAATTTCGCCCCAGCATGCAGTTTAGCAGCCCGACAGCCCCGGGGGAGGTGCATTCTTAATTCATTCATCTGGTGTTAGCAAGGGCTGCAAACTAATTTATTTAAAAGAAAAAAACCCTCATGCAACTGTACACTTTCACACATTAAATTTTCATAAGATCTGATGGATTCTTGTCTGGATGAGGAATGGCTCTCAGGAGGGGCTTGCCACCACTTGGAGGAGCAGAGACGCTTTCTGGTGACAACACGCCCATGCGTAGGCCAAGCAAAACGACGCAACCATTCACAGCTGCTTGCAACACAGGATAGACATACGCCGCCATCTCCGCAAGGCTGAAATATGTTGACACCCTTTTTAAAACAGAGCCGTGTAAAGTGAAAAGTTGCATATTCCTCAAGGTTTTAATTTAACTCGCATTAGATTGAACCATTTAAAACTGCCAATATTCAGCTGTCATCGACCCACAAAATTGGCAATTTCAAACAGGTCACCTTAATATAAGTCAAAACCAGATCTCATTCCATAATGAAATATAAACAAAGATAGGAACATGATTAAAATTATTTTGGAGGTTTTTTTTTTTTCTATAGCATCAAAAGGGGCCTTTCACGATGCTGTACCTGCATGTCTCTTTCCTCTAATTCCAGGCACTGCACACACTGGATTTGACCCTTGTAGATGGTCCAGGTGGGTGAAACCACTGGCCCTGGGGTCAGAGACCTTGGAGGGGTCTTGCTGGAGCCCAGCCACAGATACTGCATCTGCATTTGCCTCTGCATTTTCTTCCTCCCCAACAGGACCAGATGGAAATGATGGGCTGGGCAGCAGGATGCCTCATGATCCAGGGTCAGTCTCAGCCACACAGCAACCAGGAGAGGAACTGGTGGCTCTGGGTACTGTGTGGCAACTTAAGAAGTTGTCATTCTCCAAGCAGGGCAGAGCAAGCAGCCTGGGAGGTGGGCACCAACAGTGACACAGCTGCCCAGGACTCAGGCCTGGGGGAGCCATTTCAAATCTTCCATGTGACAAGGTTTGGGGAAGAAAGACAGAAAAGGGAGAATCTTTTTGCCCTTGACCACCTAACTTCTGGGTTTCCCCAGCCCCTAGCTTCTAAGAATATGTGAGGAAACTACAAACCCAAGCTTCCTTCCACTTGCGACCTTTTCCAGCCTCTTAGCTGTATCTGTGAACCTGGATGGGAGGTCCATTCCAGGACATGGAGCTACCATCACAAAGGACATAAATCTGTCTACAATGAAACTGAAAGACTGGATGATAAATGAATACATTTGAGTGCTTCATCAAAGATTTAAGTGCCTTGAATTTTTGCAGAGGTTTTCTTAGACTTCAGACTTCTAAAAAATGCCATTCTGGAGGAATAGTCAAAAAAACCACACCTTTATATAGCAAAGTCATTTTTGTTAAGCAAGTAGTTTTCTTCTTTAGAGATCTCTAACAAGGAACAGATCTATATATCATGGTTTACGCCAGCACCAGGAAGAACACGGGCTGGGGGGTGGGTTTCCAGTGGGGATTCCAGCTCCACCCCTGAGCATGCACCAGGCTGTGAGCGAGTTGCTCCACCTCTCTGAGCACGGGTGTCCCAGGCTCTAGAACCTGAGTGATAATGCTATCCCCCTTACAGGGCTGTTGTCACAGTTAAATGAGATAAAGCACTCAGCACAGTGCTGCAAATGTGAATTAAGTTAGACAGTGGGATAAGTTCAGTGGATTTCATCCGTGTCAGTATCCCAATTAGGTGTGTATATTCTAGTTTAGCACTGGGGGAAAATTGAGGAAAGGGTACACAAGATATCTCCCTGCCATTTGTCATAGCTGCATGCACATTTACAATTATCTCAATAAAAACTTCAATTTAAAAAAGTCACCCAGTGCTGTTTTCATTATTAAGATCATTAATTCTGCCAAAAAGAATACACTAAATAAACACTCAAGGGCCCTTTCAATTTTTCATGAATCCAAGAAATAATTATTTTTATGTACTGTTTGTGTTGGAAACAAAATGAATGTAGGAATAAAACAACTTCTTAAAATAATCTTAATGCAGTAAATCTATTTAATTTTTGTGTTTATGAGCATAATAAATTTCAATTGCACTTCATCCATCCATTAATTCACTCATTCATTCATTCATGTATTTTACTAACACTAAGAGAGCACCCAGTGCTGGGCATGGGGACCCATCAGGGAGCATGATAGATTCAGCCTTCACCCACGCTTGCGTTTTTTGCCTATTAATGGCCTTCTGGAACCCTTTAGAAAGGAAGGAGAGCAAGGCGCATTTATTGAGCACCTACTGTGTGCCTGGTTTTGCATTGGGCACAAGAGTATCATTGGTGAGTAGAAGAGGTGCAACTGTTTTCATCATGAAGCCCGCAATTTGGTGACAACAAATGACATTAAAACAAAAATAATCATACAGATAAATGTGTGAATTATGAACATGTAAATGCTAGGAGAGAAGAGCATGGGGGCTCTGAGCTTAGGGGACTGGAGAATCTCCTTTAGCCCAGGGACCAAGAAAGTCCTCTCTAAAAAAAGTGACATTAATAATGAGCAGGACTCTCAGTTGAAGAGTGAAGAGGGCCGGGTGCAGTGGATCATGCCTGTAATCTGGGTGGCTGAGGTGTGTGAATCATCTGAGGTTGGGAGTTCAAGACCAGCCTGGGCAACATGGTGAAACCCCGTCTCTAGTAAAAATATGAAAATTAGACAGGTATGGTGGCACACACCTATAATTCCAGCTTCTTGGGAGGCTGAGGCACAAGAATCGCTTGAACCTGGGAGGCAGAGGTTGCAGTGAGCTGAGATCGAGATCGCACCACTGCACTCCAGCCTGGGCAACAGAACGAGACTCTGTCACAACACACACACACACACACACACACACACACACACACACACACACACACACACACACAAAGGGTGAAGGGAAGAGCAAAGCAGGGGCAGGGAACCTCATTGCTGAAGGTCCCGAAGCAATGTCTGGGTGGAGACTGAAAACATGGGGTGGAGCCCTGGAGTGGAGTGAGCACCATGAGCCAGAGGAGGGGCAGGGCCAGCACACAGGGACCCAGAGCTCACAGCCAGGTGCATGGACACACACTCTCAAACTGGAATAGAAAACACTCCTTGGTCCAGAATGTGAACTCCTAGAAGGCAGGCATGTGTGTTTCACTTCTGCTGTATCCTTAACTGCTGCAGTGTCTGGTGTGCTACAAACATTTAGGATATTTTTTGCTGAATAAATAAATATACAAATGAATCATTCCCACTAGGAGAAAATATGGACAGGCACCTCTGCTTCTACCTTTAACATTTTTTTTCTTAACTTGGAACCTCACGTAAAGGATGTCACCTCTTCTAAACATTTGAGTATCTGATGAAGGATGTATGGGCCCCACAGTAAATTCCTCCAAGCTCTCAAGGAAGAAATAATACCAGTCTTACACAAGTGTCAGAGAGAATAAAAAACATGAGGGAATCAATTTTAAGAGGCCAGCATAACCTTCATACCAAAGCCAGAAAAGGGCATCACTAGAAATGAAAATGACAGGCCTATCTTTCGTGACCATAGATACAGAAATCCTAAAGAAAACATTAGTAAACCAGAGGCAGAGAAATGCAGAAAGACAAAACATGGAAAACAAGTTAGGTTTAATCTAGAAATGCAAGATTAGCTTGACATTTAAAAATAATCAGTGGAAATCACCACATTAACAGAATAAATTAGAAAAGTTATAGGATCACTTCCACAAATACAGAGATAGCATTTGATAAAACTCCTAACACACTTATGATTAGAAACTGCCAGCAGATTAGGAATAAAAGGAAATTTCTTTAATTTCATGAGGAATATATACAAAAAATCTATTGCAAACCCATACTTAAGGATGAAATATTCAAATCTTTCCCTCCGAGATTGGGAATGAGACAAGAAGGTCTTTATTTAAAATTGTATTAGAGGTTTTAACCAGAACAACAAGGAATAAAATGTTTAAGGATCGGAAAGGAAAAAATGAAGCTTTCCTTTTTTTCTCCAGAGAAATGTTTTTAGAAAATCCAAAATAATCTTAATTAGAATAATTTAGCAAGTTTCTTACATAGGAAGTCCATATACAAAAATAAATTGTATTTCTATATGCCAGAACCAAAGAATTAGAAAATTATATTTAAACGAGATAACTTAAATGTCATTAAAGCAGCATAAAATACTCCAGAATAAATCTAGCCAAAGATGTGCATAAGACCTATACATAGAATACATTATTGAGAAAAAAGAAAAATAGCCTAAATACAAGGTGGGATATACCATGTTCACAGACCAAATTACTGAATGTTTTAAAGATTTTATTTGTTCCTAAATTGACCCACAAGTTCAATGTAATTCCAATCCAACTTACAAAAGGTTTATGTGTATGTGTGTAAATTAATTCAAATTTTTATATAGAAATGTCTAGAACCAAGAATGACTAAGATGATCTTGAAGAAAAAAAACAAAGTGGTAGGATTTCCACTATCAGATATCATGACTGATTTTAAATCTCCAACAATTATGATGATGTGCTATTGGAACAAGTTCAGACAGGCCAATGGAACAGAACATGGAGCCCAGAAATAGACCCACGCAGTGTACTGACTGATTTATGAGAAAAGAACACAGCTGTGCAGTAGGAAAAGAATGGTCCTTTCACCAAATGGTGGAGGATCAATGGGATATCCATATGGGAAAATTGATTCCTGATCCCTCCCTCATACCATACATAAAATTAATTCTGATTCCAAATTTCAGAGCAAAACAAATAACACTTCTAGAAGAAAACAGGAGAAAAGCTTTATGGTTTGTGGGTAGGCAAATACTCCTTACATAAGATACAAAAAGGAAAAAAGATTGCTAAATGGACCTACATTAAAATTAAATATTTCTTTTCCTGAAAATATATAATTAAGTGAATGTAAAGGCAAAGCACATTGAGGAACTTCAACCAAAGACTCATATCCAGAATATATATTTTTTAAATTCCTAGAATTCAATTTTTAAAACTTTCAAAAAACTCAACAGGTACTTCATAAAGAAGACATACAAATAGCCATGAAAAAATAAAAAGGAGCTCAACCTCATTCGTTTTCAAGGAAATACCAATTAAACCACAATGCAATATTTCCATACAAGTATCATGATGTCTAAAATTGTTTAGAAAAAGCTGACAGTATCAAGGGTGGGTGGGGGAGATTAAAGAGCAACTAGAACTTCCATGCTGCTGTGGGAGTTGACCGTGGTTCAAACATTTTGGAATACTGTTTCACAGTATCTACTAATGCCAAACATATGCAAGCCATATGACCCAGCAATTCTTTACCAAAAAAGGAGAAAAAAAAAAAGCAAAAGACAAAAACGAGCTCAAGAAGGTTACCAGAGGTATCACTCATAACAGCCAAATACTAGAAATAACACAAATGTTATTAACAGTAGATTGGATAAATTGAGAATATATTCACACATTGGAATACTATACAGCAAAGAAAATGATGAAATATTATCAAACCCGGTAACATGGACCAATCTTAGAAATGTAATGTTGAACAAAAGAAGACAGATACAAAACATTACATATTGTTCAGTTCCAATTATGTAAGACTCAAAAACAAGTAAAACTAATCAAGACGATGTAAATTAAGACAGTGGTTCTCTCTGGGAATACCTGGGTGGGGGTACACAAGGGGACTACTGGGCTGCTTTGTTATGTGAGGGTCATATTCAATAAATTTTTTTACATTAAAAGAAACGTGTCTATTGAACACCTGCTCTGTGCAAAGTAATGTCCTATGCCTAGTAGAAAACACAAGAAGTACCAGATATGTCCAGGAATCGACTTAAGTGTTAAAATGTAGATAGAAAAAAAAACTCAAGTAGTTGGAATTTCTCTGGGCCTCTGTGGACCCTCATGAATGTAAACAGATGCCCAAAAAGGCACACATTCAACAGGCACCCAGGAGAGCTGTTTTCCCACCTCCACCCTGATTCAAAATGAGAACTCAGACCCTAGACCGTGTTGTGAGAAATGAGGCAAACTCGCTTTGTTCACCCAAGGTCTCCTTCCAGGCTGATCCAATATTATTTCATATCTCAACGGAATGTTTTGGGTTGAAAATAGAAATGAGAGAATCCAGAAATTAGAATGATAATGTTTTTGGTTTGAAATCAAAAGTAAATCATTTTTCAAGAGTAAATATAAATGGGCTACTGGAAAGAAGTCTTCATTAATGTACTAAATGTCTGGTAATTACAAACAACACTGAAAGTTGAATTAACTTGGGTTGAAGCTGAGAAACACAAGCCAATTAAATACAGCATATATTTCTTTCCTAAATTTAATCAAATAATACACCTGATTGTAGGTTTTCTAAAAATACAAGTCACCCAGAAAATGACCAGAAAGAAATTGCACAATCAACATAACAAATGTGTTTTCAGTGAATTCTATCTGGCCAATGCTATGATGGGCTATGATACAGAGGATGTGTAGTTGATTAGGACAAATTGAGTCCCGTCCTCAAGAAGTTCACAGTGAGCTGAAGAGTTAAAGGCATTTGCAACAGTCACTGGAACTCTCGAGAGTGTGCAAAGTTATGGCTGGGAGGGGACCACAGTATAAAAAAATGACAAGGAAGAGTATCTAACAGACCTGGAAATGCATCTCAAAGCTATAATAATCAAAACTGCATGGCCACAGTGGAAGTGTCATTACTCAGATCATGGGGTGCATCTACATGAAATATGGGATAGGTTAGGTCAAGATGAACAAAAGCACCATAAGCCAATGGGAAAAGCATTTCTCAACAATGCAACGCATAGCAGAATCATAATCAGATATTTGGGGAAAAGTCACACTGGAAATCTTTCATACCCCCACTAAGATAGATTTCAGTTTAATTTGAAAAGTACAGTTGTAGAAAATCTAGGGAAAAAAACTGATTCAGGGTTAAGATAAAATTTTTAAGCTTAAAAGAAATAGAACCAATCAAGAACAAAAGAATGGCTAGTCCAAATTACATAAGAATTTTTAAAACTTTTCATTCAAAATTCATATAAAAAAGTAAAATAATGAACTCTGGAATATATTCACAATCAATGAAAAAAAAGTCCTTAATATATAAAGACCTCTTTAAAATGAACAAGAAGCACAAAATCTTCCTCTTCTCTTAACCCCATTGAAAAGAGTACAAATGTTTTCAATCGTTTTCAGAAGAAAAAATATAGCAGTAAACAACTTAAAAAAGAAAATTAAACTCTACAAGTTACCCCAAAAGAAACAAATTAAATACAGACTATCCCTGACTTACGATGGTTCTACATAACACTTTTCAACTTTACAATGGCGTGAAACCATTGCAATTTTGACGGGGTAAACAGTATTTGATAAATTATATGAGATATTTGATATTTTATTATAAAATAGGCTGTGGTAGATGATTTTTGCCTAAATGTAGGCTAACATAAGTGTTTTGAGCACATTTATGACAGGCGAGGCTATGATGTTCAGTAGATTAGGTATATTAAATGCATTTTTGACATGATATTGTCAACTTAAGATGAGTTTATCAGGACAAAACCCTACTGTAAGTTGAGGGGAATCTGTAATGAGTTTCCATTTTTGCCAAACTGGTAGTTGATTTCTTAAAAATCAACTCATCAGATTGGAAAAGATTTGGAAAGATGAGCTTACAGTACATATGGGAGTGAAAACAAATACCACCTTTCTGAGAAAACGTTTGGCAATGTGTGTCAAGAGCTTAAAAAAGTTTACGCTGTTCAAAAATACTTATATTTCTACATACATAATCAGAGATAGAGACAAAGCCTTACGCACAACAATGTAAACAACCAAACAGTAAGAGGAATGTTTACATAATTGTAGAAGAGAGGTAGAACAGAATTTCAAGTATCCAGTGAAAATTATGTATTTGAAAAACATTTAATGATACCAAAAAATTTTCAAGACACATGCTATATTTAAAATTGGGATATGTAATTATATATACAATATGGCATCAGTATTATAAATATTTTCTGTATATATGTATACATGAAAGATGAATGAAAATATGCAAATATTTGTAGGGATTAACTGGTTGATATGACTGGGAATGACTTTAATTTTATTTATAAATATTCTATAATGAGTGTGCAATACTTTTAGACTCAAAAAGAAAAAAGACTTTATTTTTCCCCCAAAATCTTTCTGAAGGTGTAGCATTTGAACCAGACCTTGAGGGGTGGGTAGGATCCTGACAGGTGGCAAAGAACATTCCCATAAAGGAAGGTATGATGCAGGAACATCAAGAAGTGGGTGAGGGAAAGCCATGGTAAGAGAGGTGAGGAAGAAAAAGGAGGAGGAGGCCTGGAAGAGGCTTGAATGCCAAGGTAAAGGTTAATGAGGATGAAGAAGATGCAGTTGGAATTTAGGGAGTCATTGATGCAGCTGTTCATTAAAATAGCAGAGGGGAAGGCTCTGTAGAAAGAGGTCAAGTGCCTCCAGGAACCACACATGAATTTAAAAGCAAGCAAGCAAGCTGGTTAAAAATAGTGGGAAATTTGAAAGTGTGTGCCTGCCTTTTAAAGGGCCTAGCCAGTGAACTCGCTGCTGTGGTCCCCATTTTGCTGGTTACGATGATGCTTTGAGCCCCAGCTTGACCTTATTGCTGCCTCCCAAGAAACAAAACAAGCTTCAAAAACCAGGACCCAGTCACAGTCCAATGAGGACCACTAACATCTCACATCTGACAGCCCCATCCTTCCTGAGGTCTGCTTAGAGCCTGGTAGACTCCTGGTGTGGGATAAAAAGCAGGAGAATGGGATGAGTAAATGAGGCCACATCTATCTTTTCCATTCTTGTTTATAATACCTGAATAAATGGGGCTTTTTGTGCTTGTTAAGATAAGCCTTTTGATTCAAGAATAGGGGTGAACTAGAGAGGATTTAAATAAATCTTTCCAGAAACCAATCTGCAAAAATAGAAAGAAGAAAAGACCTCAAGCCAGGAAGACCTGAGCAACAACCCTGACTTTGCCACTTACCAACATGTTCCCTGAGACCTGATTTTTTCCTCTGCCAACTCAGGAATGTCAGAACACAACAGGTTCTGCAAAAGGACCAGATGACAAAATACACATGACCCCATAAAAGACCATGTCCCATATCACTACAAGTAGCCTATAAGCTGCACTTCAGAGATGCCAAGGGATGGCTTTACCTAATCAAGGAAGGCACCGAGACTCTGACTCAGCAGAATGGAAAGTGCTGAGTCAACCTCAGGAAACTAGTGTTCCACCTGCACCATCTCCCCCAACACCACCCAGAATTCCCATCAGGTCCTTCATGCATCCTGGACAAAGGGGAGGCTCAAGGCATGAAAAATCTAATTTCTTCCTAAAACATACTAAGGACAATTCCTACTCCCAAGTAGGTGCTAACTCTCACATTTGAAGTCACCAAATTGCCCTTCCTAAGATGAAGGTAACAAACTACTCTCTTTATTCAATAATATAACCAGTACTTCTGGGAAAGTGTCTATGCAGATAACAGGGTCTGGCAAAAATAAAAGAGAATCTAGAACTTCAAAGTTTTGTAAGATTGGAAAAAAAACCCTGGCTTCTTAGAACCAATGAGAAAAGCAACAAAAGAAAGCCAAAAAGGTTTTAACTGGCAAAGGGTGGTTTAGAATTGGTCTGCTGTCACACCTGTGGTTAAAAATCCCAAATGGATTTATGTGGTGTTAGCAAACTAGGACAAAATTCATTGGCAAAGGGACCATGGTTATAGCTCTTTTATGGGAGCCTGACAAGATCAGGGTCTTAGATCTATGGAAAAGGTACATCTCAGAAAAACTGTAGGTGTGTTTTGGCAGATGAAGCCAACTGGGACCAAAAAAGTTTTGAGAGATTTTTATTGTCCAAGCCATCACCAGATTGAATAAAAGAGACTGAACGTTGTAGAAAATAATCCCTGGGTCTCCATTTTTCTAGGCTGAGACACCTGCTCATACTCTATGAAGAGCATGTCTTCCAATATCTTCTTTTGATTCCGCCAGCAAGGATAACCAAAAAGGGAAGACTTCAGAAAGGTGGCGCTAAAGCCAATGAAGAAGGCCAATGAAGACTGGAAGGTAGTCCCATGGAGCCAAACCAGCTCAATGAAGGAACTCTCTTTCCCCCAGAGAAGGGAATGTCACTGTATTTGCATGGGAGAACTTCAGGGTAGCGATCATTTGACAGTTCATCGTCCCTTTTCTGAACGTTTACTGCAGTTATCCTATCCCTGTTTCAAGATTAAATCTTAGGTGTTTGATGGTGGGGGCAGATCACTTGTCATAAGTCTCTGAATAAAGAAGAGCCATGTCCAAACACGATGTAAAGATAATGATTCATCACCCAAAGATCCTAGACAATGAGCTGTGAGTAGTGACTGAGTGGGACTTTGGGGCTGTCTCCCATGAAGCAGGACCTAAATATCTGGGGACCAGCAGGGCAACCGAAAGCAGACTCTATTATGACTCACAAATGCTCTGTGCCTCTCAGCGGGAGGGAATTACACATCCCCACCTGTAGAACCCAGGCCTGCACATGGGACTTATTCTGGCCAACTGAATAGGAGTGCAAGTGGCATCTGCCCCTTCTGGGCGGATGCTTTCCCAGCCAGGGCACGGTTCTCCATGTTCCCCCTTCCTGCCTCTGTGATTGTGGAGGATATGTGGATGTGGTGCCTCGGTCCAGCTGGTGCCCAGAGAACTTCCATAAGCAGCGTCCCTTTGCTATCCCATGATCAACATGCCGAATTAGAGAGACACAGGCACCATGGTTGTGAGCCCCTCAAAAGTTCAGATCACTACAGTAGCACGTGCCCAGCTTATCCTGATGAACTCCCCCTGTCCCCATCAGCAGTCCATTGGCTTGGATGGAGCTGATGCTCCCATCTGTCACCCCAGTGACCCAGCTGTACAGACAGAGGTAGGCCTGGCCAATCAAATCAGAGCATCACATTTCACTGGCCACCATGACTGGTTCAGGGGATGGACATGTGACCAGGCTGGGCCAATGAGAATCCATTCCAGGACTTTTTCTGGAACTGTTAGGAAAATTTAAAATATGTGTTTTCCCAGGTTAGTCCATTTCACATTGTTAAAAAGGAACACTTGAGAATGGGTAATTTATAAAGAAAAGAGGTTTATTTGGCTCATGGTTCTGCAGACTGTACAAGAAATACGGCACTGATGTCTGCTTCTGGTGAGGGCCTCAGGAAGTTCCACTCATGGTGGAAGGTGAAGGGGTAGCAGGCACGTTCGATGGCAAGAGTCGGAGCAAGAGCTGGGCAAGGGGGCTCACGCCTGTAATCCCAGCACTTTGGGAGGCTGAGGTGGGAGGATCGTTTTTTGCTCAGGAGTTCAAGACCAGCCTGGGCAACATAGTGAAACCCTGTCTCTACTAAAAATACAAAATTAGCCAGGCTTGGTGGCATGCCCCCTAGTCCCAGCCACTCGGGAGGCTGAAGCAGGAGAATCACTTGAACCCAGGAGGCAGAGGTTGCAGTGAGCTGAGATTATGCCACTGCCACTGCACTCCAACCTGGGAGACAGAGAGAGACTCCGCCTCAAAAAAAAAAAAAAAAAAAAAGAGTGGGAGCAAGAGAGAGAAAGAAGAAGGGAGGCCCCAGACTCTTTAGCTACCAGCTGTCAGGAACTCATCACCATGGGGAGGGCCCCAAGCCACTAGGCCCCACCTTTAACACTGGGGATCACAAATCAACAGGAGATTTAGAGCGGACAAACTTCCAAACCGTATCACTAAGTAAGGATTGCTAAGCTATGAGAATATGAGTCAGGGGCTCTACACAGTCATTTCCTCCCTTATGGGGAGAACCTGATGGGGGATGAAGCCAAATCAGATGGACACAGAGCCAGGCACAAGACAGCAGAGCCCTGCTGGCGTGGTCCACATCACTGAATGCAGCCACCTGCCTGATGCCCTTAGCTTTTCAGCTCGGTGAACCAATCAATGCCTCTCTTCATTTACACCAGCTCAAGTCGGACTATTTTTTTTCCTGTACTCATTACTAAAAGATTCTTTATGCAAATAAATTTCATATTCTCTTTAGTTAGAAAACAATAAGACATTTCTAGAGAAGCACTGAGGATAAGGTCCACAGATGATGTGAGGACTTGAGAGGTAGAGGGTGTTTTAAATCCAGGAGAGAAAGCAGGTTGCCTCCTCCTCAATCGCAAAGGAAAGAACCAAGAGCCCAGACCCCAGGGAACCAGGCTGGGCATGGTTTCCCTGCTGTGCGTCTAGTCTGGGTGCTCAAACAGAAGGTCCTCTGGTTGTTCTGGCTTTTCATGTATGTGTGTGACCATGTGTGTTCATATTCTAAGCAAAAACACAAGATTGGAACAAGCAAAGCAGAAAAAAAGCCCTTCTTTCCCCAATTACCAGCTCTTGGGGAGAGGGCTCTCTTTATAGGAACAAGCTTAACAACCATGAACACTAATGTGATCCAGGCAGGAACCGGGAGCAGCACTGGCTCCTGGGAGCTGGGAATGCATGGTCTGTTCTCTGGGTGGTGGGTTGATGAGTAGCCTCCAGGCCCAACCACCTAGATGGGGTCACAGTGCCATGTGTCCCCATTCCCACCTTTGCAAAAGTCTCCAGAAAACACTGGCCACATTGAATCAGAGAGACACAGAAAGGAACACACAGCTGAAACGTGCTGCAGTTTTGGTGCCTCTCTGTCATTTCCTAATTTGTTTATGCAGCGTCCTAGACCTCACTTGCCCTCTGGGTGGCCTTATCAGACTCTTCTCATTAACTAGGACAGAGTTCCACAGTCTGAAACTCCAAAATCAACCCTATTGTCTTTTGCAGAAATCCAGATACTACAGGCCAGTATGGGAAAAGTTTGAGTTCGTCAGGGAATTCAGAGGAAGCCAGTGGGGTCTTAATGTCACTGTTTTCATCTGGAGGCCATTGAGTTAATTATGTGAGAAACTTGTTTGCACAATAAAAGTTAAAGCCTATTGCACAATTCTTCTGGAAGGTCACCTGCTGACTTGGAATTGGTGCTTTGGAAGGTGGTGTGGGCTCTTTCTGCTCACTTCAGCTCTGGCCTCTGAGTCAACCACACCCCCAAAGTCTTCATCCACCACTTGGCTCAAAGAGTAACTGGACACCCAGGGTAGATCCTCGTCCCTCCTCAGGCTCAAAGGCCAAGCATGAGGGGGCCACCACCAATTCCTCTCACAGCAAAACAGAAAGACCAGTGATCCAGCAGCCCTTCATTCTTGGGCTCACAGCCTGCAGGAAGGGAAATGGCAGTGAGAGGTTCAACAGACAAGCCTTCTCCACAGACAGAGGGCAGCAGAACTGCCCTTGAACCAGGAGTGTCTCGGCTCAGGTGCACTATGAGCCCCATGGGAACATTTCACAGGAAGCACCCCTTTCATTGTTCACCCTTTGAGCAGCTGATGAACCAATCTACACTCAGAGAACTGAAGAGAACCAACTTGAAAACTATTTTATTTAAATACTAAGAGGGTATTTAACATAAATATTAAATAATAAGTAATAAGATAAATACTAAGAGAGTAAGATGAATCACTCTTTTAAGGTTACAAAATGAATGAATCCAAATTAGTATTTTTTTCTAGTGTTAGCAAAATCACCAGATAGTTTAACAGGAAAACAAAAATCTCATCTGCAATAACCAATGCAAAACATTAAACACATAGAAATAAAACTCGTAATAAATTGTTGTGCTCCCTGGGAAGAAACCATAACGTTTAAACTTAGAATTATATTGACTTTAAAATTCTCAAATACTGGCCAGGAGTGGTGGCTCATGCCTGTAATTCCAGCACTTTGGGAGGCTGAGGCGGGCGGATCACTTTTTGTTCAGGAGTTGGAGACCAGCCTGGGCAACATGGCAAAACCTCGTGTCTACCAAAAATACAAAAATTAGCTGGGTATGGTGGTGCACACCTGTAATCCCAGCTACTTGGATGGCTGAGGCAGGAGAATTGCTTGAACCCAGGAGGTGGAGGTTGCAGTGAGCCCAGATGGCACCACTGCACTCCAGTCTGGGCGACAGAGTGAGACCCTGTCTCAAAAAAAAAAAAAAAAGAGAAAGTCTTAAATACTAGGACAGACATACTAGGCTTTTGAATGGGATTACTCAATTTGGTAAAAATATCAGTTCTCCAAAATGATTGTATAACTTTTATGTAATTCTCATTGTATTTTATAATCTGATCTGATATAACTCATAATATTCTTCTTGTAGCATACACATAATAGAATGGCTCTCAAAATTGAAAAAAATATAATAAAGGAGGTGTTTGGCTGGATATTAGAATATATAATAAAGCTGTAGTTATCAAAACAGTTAACATGAAGACATGGCAGATCCAGACAAATAAAATAAAAAGTCCAGAAAGAGAATTTAGTATAATGTAAAAAATGGGAATACTATAAGACGTGCATTTCCAATCAGTGGCAAAAAAAAAAAAAAAAAAAAAAGACTATTCTCAGGAGAGTGCTGAGTGACTGGGCTACCCAGAATGATCAGGAAGCTACACCTCACATTCAAATGCATTTCCCATGAGCTGAAGTGGAAAGAAAAGGAACCTACAAGAAAGCCAGAAGAAAATAATCCAGGAGAGAAAGCAGGTTGCTTTCTCTTGGTGATGGAGACCTTCTTAAGTATAGGAGCAATTAATGAAGTCTTAAAGAAAAAAATACTAAATTTGACCTAACAATTTTTCAAACTTCTGAACATGAAAACATACCATAGCAAAATCAGAATGCTACTAAGAAACTAGGGACAACAAGTCTAATGTAGACAACAAAAATGCATCATTACAAGAGAACCCTTAAAGCCACTCTTAATGGGAACATAAAAAGATGGGTCATTTTATTCCTTGCCGATGGGAAGGCCACTTGTTCCCTTCTCTCTGGAGGGTTACTTAGCAAAAATGTATGAAAGTCTTTAAAGTGTTCAGGCCCTTTAACCCAAGAATTTCACTGCTAAAGATTTTTTGTAAAGAAATGAATGAAGATGGTTTCAAAGATTCCAGTGTGAAGGGGCTTTCCAACACAACTTTTCATCCCATGAAATAACAGCCCACTATTTAGAAATCATGTTTTCAAAGAAAAATTTAAAAATGAGAAATTGCTGGAGGGACACAAAATCAAATATAGAGAACTATCTAGACTTTGTTTTGAAATATGTGACACACACACACTTAACTTTCATTCAGTCAGTAAATTGGCACTGAGTGTCTTCTCAGGAGTACTCTCTATAGAGCAATGAGGACGACAGACAAGAACTCTGACTGCTCAGAGTTTCCAGTCTGATGAAATTACACACACACACACTCACACACACACACCCCAAGGAAATACACCAAAATATTAATGATATCTAGAAGAACTATGGGTAAAAATTATTTTATTTCTTTCACTGATCTGAAAATATTTATCATGCACATGTCTTATTTTCATAACTGGAATGAAACTTTGGTTTAAAATCTCACCATTTTCTACACAGAACACAAACCTTACAAACCTTCCCCCATCAAATTACACAACGATCTCACTAGTGTGTCTATAAAGCTAGGTTTCCCCTGGGCTGGTTGTGCATTATCTGAAGATGCTTTCCTTGAAAATAATTTCCTTTGTTAAAAGCAAAAAATGGGCAAGGAGAAAGAATATGAGACAACGATACGACTACTATTTTTGAAAAATCTAAATGACCTTTCAAAAGACTTAGACTTAAAATAAATGCATGACTCAGGAACAAGTGATCCCAATGACTAAACGTCCTCATAAAAATACCTTTAAACCATCCCTAACTGTAGATAATTCACCATACCGAAAAAAAAGGCTATTCATGCTTGGAAGTACTGACAAGAAAATGGGAATTATGTCGGCAAATTTCAGGACCTGTTCAAAACTAACATATTTATGATGCTTATCTGTGCCTCAGGAATGGAGAATGGCAGAATCAACATAAACACCTTTCAAAGGCTAGAATAGATGAAGAGGAAGGGAGAGAAGTAGCATTTAAAAGAGGATCTCTTTGAAATGGATTCTTGCAACAACACGCTTGTTTAGAATGATACATCACTGTCAGCTCCATCTTAGACTCCATAAGTAGGGCCATGTAGACGAAACTCAGGCAAAAGCTACAAGAACACACACTATGATCCCACCCAGGTCCAAAATACAGGCTGCCAGAGACATAACCCTCATCATTGGAGATGTGCTTTTCCTGGTTTCTTCTCTCTTTTCACGGATGAATACAATATGTGTAGATGGAAAGCCATCAACTTGAGAAGCACTGGAGTAGTCAGACTAATCAATCCATCACTTACTTATCCAGCAAATATTCTGTGAGGCCCCAGGCACTGTTCTAGGGCTAGGATACAGCCAGGGATAAGCCAGATGTGGTCCCTCCCTCTGCGAAGCTGACATTCCAGAGGTGGGGGACAGATGATGGCCAGCTAAACAGGCAAGGCCACTTCAGAGAGTGAAAAGTGCAGTAAAGGAAATCCCAGAGCAGTCTGTGAGGGACATTTGCTTGGCAGCATGCAACCCTTTCAGTAAGGGGGTCAGGAGGGCATCTTAGAGGATGTGTCATTTCAGCTGAGATCTGGATGTGAGAAGACTTGGGGTGAGAGTCTTCTGAATAAAAAGAAGAAAAAAGGATGAAGGTGCAGGATCCAACATGGTGCACAAAAGAACAGGAAGGAGGCTGGAGGGTCTGCAGAGTGGGGAAAGAAGATGGAGTGGGAGAAGAGGCCAGACAGGGAGGTGATGACAGTGGGTCCAGGCCATTTGGGTCCAGGTCAGGAGCACATCTGAATGACCTTCTAAGAGCAATGAGATTCACGTATGAAATCTAACCATTTGGAAAATACTGAAAAATGACCATATGCCAAAAAATGGGATGAAGCCAAGATGTCCTTCCACAGGTAAATGGATAAACAAATTGGGGTACATCCCGACAATGGACTATTAAGCAACAATAAAAAGAAATGAGCTATCGAGACAGGAAAGACATGGAGGAAACTTAAAGGCATCTTGCTTAGTCAAAGAATACAGTCTGAGAAGTCCACATACTGCATGATTCAATCTATATGACATCTTGGAAAAGACAAAACCATAGTGACAACCAAAAGATCTGTGGTTGCCAGGGGTTCTGCAGAAGCAGAGGACAGGGGATTGGGGGGTCGGTGAAACTATCCTCTATGATACTGTAATGGTGAATACATTCCATTATGCATTTGTCAAAACCCGTAGAATGTAAACAGCAAGTGTAAGCCCTGATGTAAACTGTGGACTTGAGTTAATAATTCATCAACATTTGTTGATCAGTTGTAACAAATGTGCACACAATGCAACACGTTAATAATAGGAGAAACTGGGAAGGGGAGAGGAGGTATATGGGAACTCACTTTTTGTAAGATTTTTGTGTAAATTTAAAACAGCTCTAAAAAATAAAATCTATTTTTTAAAAAGAGTTGCTGGTGTAATGTTCATAGAATGCCTTTATTTCTATCCAGGTCTTTCCCATCTTACTGGAGCCTATCTGGTAGCTAGACTGTCAGAGTAACTAGTGTCCCCAGAGACTGGCAGACAGATGGTAGCCAAAGAGGCAGCAGCCAGGCAAAGTGATGGTCAGGCAGAAGCAGTGTATTGCTTTGTGAGAAGTCTGCATTCCCTGGTTCTGCTACCTACTTAATCTCTCTGGACCACTGTTTTCTCATCTGTGAGACAGAAATAAAAACACTGATCTCAGCCTCACAAGGATACTGTGCAGAGTACGAAGACACGGGCCAGGCACTCAGCCTGCCATGAGCACAGGAGGAGCTTTTGCTAAATACAAGGAGAAAACAACTCGTGATGATTTATGGTCCATATTTTTATTATGTGGGTCGGATCTGTTTCATATATGGCTTGGACATTCCTGTTATAAAAAGGAAAAAGAGCTGGACGCAATGGTACACACATGTAATTACAGCATTTTGGGAGGCTGAGGCAGGAGGATCACATGAGCCCAGGAGTTTGAGACCAGCCTGGGCAATGTAGTGAGACCCCGTCGCCAAAAAATTTTTTTAAAAATTAGCCAGACATAGTGTGGTGCACCTGTAATCATAGCTACTTGGGAGGCTGAGGCGGGAGGATCCCTTGAGCCCAGGAGGTCGAGGCTGCAAAGAGCCATAATTGTGCCAGTGCACTCCTGCCTAGATGATGGAGCAAGCCCCTGTCTCAAAACAAAAACAAAAAAACAAAACAAAAAAAGTAAGCACCTACAAAAGTACAGAGCATGGAAACGTGAACTACCATGCACTCATCACTCAGCTTCACTTCAACAACTACCAAAGCACACTGATCTCTTTCCAGATATGCCCCCACCTGCTCACTCTCATACCATGTAAGATATCATACCATTTCAAGTGTAAACATGGCTTGAACCTAAACCAAAAATGATGTTTTTAAGCACTACCCTTGTAGACCCATCTTTTAGAATTGTCAATGACCTAGTTTGGTGAGGGCATTGACAAACAGTGCTGCCATTAATTTTTCTTTTTATAAGTTGATATAATATCTTTGCAGGCCAATGTTTTACATCTAGACAAACTTAAAATGCACATATAATTTGGTCTTGCAGTTGCAGTCATCAGAACATATGTTACAAATAAACTCAAACCTGAAAATAAAGATGCATACATGGTTAAAAGATTATTCGAGGTAGCACTGATTCATCGATGAATGTTTGGAAACAACCCCAGTGTCAACCAACAGGGCAGTGGAGAAGAACCTTTTCCACAGATTATCAGGCAACACATAAAAAACTGAGAAAGACCAACATCCATCTCCATGAAATGATCTCCAAGAAATATTACAAAGTAAGAAAAGGTACAAAACAGTATGTGTAGATTGCCATCATTCATGTGACAAACACACATATCGTGAATAACACGAATAAATCCACAAGAAATCATGAAAAAGAAACTTGTAACAGTGGTTGCCTCAGGGAAGGAGAACTGGTCAACCAGAAAGCAAGTTTAGTATGCAAACTTAACTTTTCCCTTCTCTTCTCTCATCTTCTTTTCCTTGACGGAGTTTTGCTCTGTTGCCAGGCTGGAGTGCAGTGGCGCGATCTTGGCTCACTGCAACTTCCACCTCCCAGGTTCAAATGATTATTCTGCCTCAGCCTCCTGAGTAGCTGGGATTACAGGTGCCTGCCACCATGGCCAGCTAATTTTTGTGTTTTTAGTAGAGATGGGGTTTCACCATGTTGGCCAGGCTGGTCTCGATCTCTTGACCTCATGATCCACCCACCTCGGCCTCCCAAAGTGCTTGGATTACAGGTGTGAGCCACCGCGCCCGGCCACAGACTTTTCACTATCCAATAAAGGTGATGATGATGATAAGAGTATTCATGATGGCAGTGTGCACCTTTTCATGCTGCTTAATTTTGTAACCATATACATGTATTGTCTATTAAAATATTTTTACAATAAATGTAAGGAGAAAGGGGGTAGAAAGAAAACCATTTGCCAGACCAAATATAATCTCCAGCCTCTCAGGAGATTCAAGGGGAATGACAACATCTAGGAGACTGGAGTAAACAAAACTAGAAGCCTTCTTTTAATAGCATAAAAAGGTATGTCCAGGGTTTAGGAGTCACAAGGGGTAAATGAGGTATCAGCATATTCCTCAAGGATGAATGACTTAAAATTTGAAGTTTTTGGTTTGGGGCCATGTTTTCTGTAGCTCTGGGCCCCAAATCTAGGAAATGTCATATTTGTCTCAGCCCAAGACTAAAACAAGAAAGGAAGCATAGCTGTCTCCTTGCAAACAACATCGCCAACTCCTGGGGTTTCAAAGCAGATAACGGCAGTCACCAATGGGCTCTGCACTTACGTCCTTTTCTGACTTGGTTTTAGATATTTTCCCTGTTCTTGGAATCTTCTGGGCTTATAAAAAGTAAGAAGCAACAACACTCCTTTCCAGTTAATACTCCATACATTTGCTGATGTTTTCATAGCTGACATGACCTAGGGATTTGGGCATCAGCAGAAACACTGGAATATCTGGGGGAAGTTGTGTTTCTGAATGTACTTACCAGGCAGCATTGATCTTCTTTCAACATCCTGTGGCTCAGCTAGGCCAGAGGATGGCAAGCTGAATTCTTATCAAACTGAGAGAAAAAGTCATCCAAGATAAACTTACTTAGCTGAGGATTTATTTGTGTGCCTGGTAGAGAACTAGTACCATGGAGAGTTCTGTGGGCCATGAACATGGTAGCTAATTAATAAATGTTTGCTGCAAACATTCTCCCGGAGAAAAGAAAATTGCTTTACAGAGCAAAGTCAAATCATACCTTGACCTTAAAATAAAAATCATTAGATATCCAAACTTTTCCCCTTCTCTAAGCTCCTCAAATAAATCTCTTGTTTTAAAAATTATTTCTCCAATTTCTTTGAGTAACATTAAGAAAACCTAAAAGCACAAGGAATCATATATCAAATGCACAAAACTGGAGGGTATTGAAGCTATCATCTGGTGTGTGTTTATATGTATAACTATTATAATATATAATGAAGCATTCCTGATAAAGGTGAAATCCTTTTTTTTTTATCATTCAACACTCCCAGAAGGAACAATTATCAGAGATTTGGTATGTGTCTTTTTAGTCTGATACCTACAGCTCTCACATTCTCTTGCTTGCTGTCTCTGTCTTTGTCTCTCCATCTCCCTGCCCCTCTCTCTCCATCCAGTCTTTTTTTCATTTCACATTGACATGCTATATATGATATTATTTTGTTGGGGTGGGTAGGTTTACAAACATGGTATTATACTGTCCACTTCATTTTCCTCCCATAGAAATTTAGTTCATTACTTTTAACTATTGCCAAGTGTCCCATTGTAAGAATATGCCACATTTGATGTATTCAGTCCCCTGTTAATGGTCATTTAGGATTTTTTCCCAGTTTTTCATAATTACACACAATGTTGATATTGTGATGAACATCCTGGTCCAAGCCTCCTTACCTAGAAATAGTCACGGACAGTCAAAGCATTTGTTTTTCCAATTTTACTTGATATTGCCAAACTGTGTCTGCAAGATGGCCATACCAATTTATATCTGAGACTTGTAAGAGCTGTTTCCACATGTGTTTGCCAACACTTGATATTGTCAATGAGAAAATGCTCACAAAATAATGTGAGTTAATAAAACACAGGATGCAGCATAAGTTGTTGCATTAGTTCATTCTTGGATTGCCATAAAGAACTACCCAAGACTGGGTAATTTATTGATTAAATTAAATTTTTTTGTCAATCTCTTAGGTGAAAAATGTCCTGCTTGTTCTTTTTTCCTCTTTTCTCCTTCTAATCTCTGCTCCTTTCTTAGCTTGTGCACTGTCTAGAACATGACTATTCCTTGGTCATGATGAAGACTATTTCCTTGGTCTCATGGGTAACAAATAGCAATAGCAGCTATTTGAGGTTCAGGAAGGTTCGATGAGTTACCAATGGTCTCATGGCTAAGAAGTGGTAGAGGAGATCTACAGCCAAGTCTCCTGGCTTCCAAAGCCCCCTCAGTCATCCTTTGACATTTGTTAGGGGCCTCTGCCTGCAAGGATGGGGATAAGAAGTAAGTCTGAGCCACCATGAAAAATACCTTTTCTTTTTCTATTTCCGTAAAGTCATGATATAGATCTGTGAGGCCTCTGAATTCAGTCTTCCAGTAGCAATCAATACAATATGATGCAATCGCATGCTGAGAAGAAAGCAGGCGGAAGATAACCCTGAGACAGGCACATGCCTGCACTGTTTGTCAACAGGCTCTGGGGAAGGGCTGCTGGGCTCCTGGTCAAACCCGGGAGATTTATTTCCACCTTCTGAGCCTTCTGAGCCTTTGTTTCATATCCTGGTAAGTGGGGCAGTCCTTACCTCATAGAGTCCTAGGGAGAATTAAAGGGGCCAATGCTTGCAGGGCTTCCTATCACATCATTATTTCATTCTGTTTCACAGCCTGTCTCTCTCCCTCTGCCCAAATATTTGGGGTGAATCCCAGCACCCTCTGCTGAACTCTGAGACCCTTTACTGGATCATCACCAATAGATTCAGTCTCCATCCCCCAGGCAAGGCACAGCCTCCACAATAGGAAAGCGTGGACTGTCTCAAAGTCCCAGCAGCAATCCAGGTAAAGTAAGAGTGGGGCTGGGGAGGAAATGCATCAGCCTTCAAGGTCTCCCAAAAGCAGAGCCGAGGCCCTGCCACCCAGGGTCCATCAGCCTCAAATGGTCAAATGCTGGCCTGGCTCTCCTCAAAGGTTGCTGGCTTGTGTTCTCCATGGGCAGCTGCCCAGAGAGCCTGGTGTGGACAGAGCCAGGGCAGGAGCTGCTCCTTAGTATGCACCAAGCTGCTCCCCGGCCTTCTCAGCAATGCTGGCTGGAATACAAACGGCCCATGTTTGAATGTGCAAACCCTGCTTAGGTGTGAAGAGCATCCCAACGAGACCAGGGAGAAAAACCCCATGTCCCGAAGCACAGCCCCAACATGCTCAGACACTCAGGGATGACACAGGTCCTTCCTTCTGCCATGGGTCAACCACATGAAAAGTATCTTCCCGACGGGCCTGAGATGGTCACTCATGGCCCCACTCTTCATCACTGCCACCCTTCAGAGGCTCTCAGTAAAGCCCTGAAAGAGCCTGGCCATCCACTGCCCAGTACTAATTAATGCTGTACTTCGTCTTGGAGGCAGCGTCATTGTACTATTGCTGTCCTTTATAACCATCTACTGTTGTTCTGGACGCTTTGGGAATCCCTAAGTGCTCTCTGCTTTGACCTCCGTTTAATTTTATTGTGTGCTAGCACCAAAGCATGCAGAGCACTGCTCTCTAAGTAAAACTTGGCACTATGTTCACTCTTCCTAAATAAAGGAACATATAGAAAAGCTTACAGTGGATGTTATGGAACTGGGCTAAGGATATTAACTCATTTAACTCTCCCCAGGTCAAAACAAAATAGTCTGGGTGCGGTGGCTCACATTTGTAATCCCAGCACTTTGGGAGGCAGAGGTGGGTGGATCACTTGAGGTCAGGAGTTTGAGACCAGCCTGGCCAACATGGAGAAACCCTGGATCTAGTAAACATACAGAAATTAGCTGGATGTGGTGAGGTGAGCCTGTAGTCCCAGCTACTCAGGAGACTGAGGCAGGAGAATTGCTTGAACCCGAGAGGTGGACATTGCAGTTAGCTGATATTATGCCTCTGCACTCCAGCCTGGGCAACAGAGTGAGACTCCATCTCAAATAAAAAAAAAAAATAGACAACTTCTAGGAGAGAGATACTCTTACTCTCCCCATTTTCTAAACAGAAATTGAGTGTCTAAGCGGTGAAGAGAAAAATGCCTGACCCCAAAATTCTCAGGCAGTGAGAAAATACTCACAAAATAATGTGAATTTTAAAAACCCAAGATACAGCAGAAGTGGTTGTATTAGTCCATTCTTGGATTGCTATAAAGAACTACCTGAGACTGGGTAATTTATAAAGAAAAAAGGTTTAGTTGACTCACAGTTCCACAGGCTGTACAGGAAGCACGACTGTAGAGACCTCAGGAAACTTATAATCACGGCGGAAGGCAAAGGGGAAGCAGGTACATCTCACAAGACATAGCCGGAGAAGGAGGAAGAGAATGAAGCAGGAGGTGCTACCCAGATCTCATAAGAACACACTCACTATCATGAGAACAGCAAGGGGAAATCCACCCCTAGAATCCAATCACCTCCCACCAGGCCCCTCTTCCAACACTACGGATTACAATTCGACATGAGATTTGGATGGGGACAGAAATCCAAACCATATCAGTGGTACAATTCCAATTTTGTCTACAGTTTCTATATTTACACAGGTACCCGTAGGAAAAATTATGGTAATAAACTCAGCCAGGATGTCAACCAGATTGCTCTCTGGGTGGTGGGGTTTTGTGTGACTGGGAGTTTATTTCCACCTGTCCACATCCTTGGGGGAATTATGAAAATGCATATCACAGCATCTAGTTTGCAGAGAGTTCACAGTCCACTTGTTCTGAAGTTTCTGGAAGCCTGGCCAATTGCTGCTCAAAGCCATGCCTAGAAGAAGCACTGAATGGCATAGCACCCGGCAATCATTGGGCTGCTTCTCTCTCTCCATGACCCTCTGAGCACCTGCACTATCTCCTTGGACCCACAGCATTTCCCCCTGTCCCTGCTGCTGTGTCTTCCATGCTGAGGATCCTAGTGCCTTCATCAGCTGAAACTAGAACAACTAGAGCAGCCATCAGTGATGGTCCCTATTCTAAAAGCTTCTATGTATTATTTCATTATAAGCCAGGTAGGTGCTACTATTACTCCATCACACAGATGCAGTCAATGAGGTTCAGAAAGGCCAGTGCCTTGCCCCATACCTAGCTTGTTGAAGAATAATTTAAATTCCTTATATCTCTTCACCTCCTTCTTTCCCAACTGTTTACCTCCAGTGTCTTTCTTTCCTTCTTCCATCGAGGCTTTCTCTCATTTCCTTCCTATCTAGATGCCTAACTTCCTAACTCATTCACTCCCTTCCTGCCTTCCTGCCCTCTTTCATTTTATACTTACAGTGACCTACTAGGTGCCAATGATATAATAGTGAGTCAAGGAGATTCCTGTCTTCACAGAGCTTACAGTTTGGGAAGGGAAGCAAACAAGTTCACTTCCACCTGTGTATGTGATCCCTGTGTGACAAGCAGAGGGAGACAGAAGCCAAAACAATGGTCTGTGGATCCCTGAGGAGCCTCTCACCTGAAGGACTGAAAAGGACACTCATTTCAGGAATTTTCTGGCCTTTTCATGACAAGGTAGAAAGCCCACAACAGAAAGACAGATAGAGTCTGCATCTCTGCAAAGCCCAGCTAGGAGACACATTTCTATAGAGTCACATATGACATAAAATACAGGGCCAGTCACCCTCTATGTGGTCAGTGAGGCAAATTGCAAAAACGGCCACATTTCTTCATCTCCCCAGACTAGGCCCCTCTGCAGTGAACTCTGTTCTTCCCATCAAGAGAAGATGTGTGCCCCCTTCCTTTGAATCTGGGCTGGACTGGGGCTTACGTTGCCAATTGCCTGCAGAAGAGATGGTGGGCCCGATTTGAGCCTAGGACTAACGGGGCTTTGTACATTTCCCTCTTGCCTGGGGCTCTGCCTCCACCATGTGAACAGGACCAAGATGAAGAGTACAGAAGAGGGTTGAGTCATCCCAGTTATCCCAGCTGACACCAAAATCTGACAGTGTTATACCCAGCCTGCAGTTGAATACGGATGCATGCAGGGGCCCAGCCAAGATTGGAAGAACCACCCAGCTAAGTCCAGCCTAATTGTCAACAAAATCACAAGCTAAATTCTGGAATAATTTGTTGCCAGAAACAGGTAACTGATACACCAGGTACCACCTCAGTCTCAGAAGTAGTGAAGCTACAGACAGGGCTGGTGCCTCCCCTAAGAGTCTATTGAGTCTATATAAATGATTCTGTGTCATCTCTGATAGATGGGGGAATGGAAACATCATATTCAGAGCTCAGTGAGAGCACATGAATAGATGTGAAGTCAAACATCACTGTCCCAATGTCTTAGAAACCTAAATGTTTACCCCAAATGAAACAGACTACCCTAAAAGTAGGTGATGATTCTGCAAACCGACCCCAAGCTCAACAAGTGTTTTTAAAGATTCCCAGAACAAAGAGAAGAGAAGGGAGATGGGGACGGATTGTGGGCTAAGTCAAGCACATAGATGCAACAAGTCACAGGATCTTGGAGGATGAGGACGTCTGTGCCAGACGCCGATGCTTATTCTCTAAGCATCTCTCATTTGATTATCACACAACCCTGAGCCAGCCACTATCAGGACCCCCACTTCAGAGTGGAGGCAACTGCAACATAAAGGGGTTAAGGAATCTGCTCAAGGTCACACAGGTGGTCATGACGGTAATGTGACCCCGACAAATCCTCAAACCGAACCAAACCAAAAGAGAAGACAGCCACGCACCATATATAATGACGCTTTCATTTTATAAGTGGAAAACCTAAGGCTTAGAAACATTAAACAAGTTAAAAAACCATTACCTTTTTTCATTGAGTACTTACCCAGTGCCAGACAATGCCCCAAAAGTTTTATGTACATTTTCTCATTTAATCCTAACACCCTATAATTGACATACATTATTCTAGTTAAAAGGTGAAAATACAGATTTGGAGATTTGTAAGTTGCCCAAGGTCATAAGGGATGGAGCTGATATTTTAACCAAGGCTCCCTGGTTCCAACTCTTTCCATAGAGCTCCAGCCAAGAGGAGGCACGGTCTAGCAGGGAACCAGGCCTTTTGTGCTCACACTGGCTCCGCATTCACCTTTTTAGTGCTCAGTCTCCTCACCTACCTCAAAGCGTTGTTTGAAGCCTGAAGGGTTAACTCATGCAGAGTACAGAGAATGGTATTGGGCACATTGTCCAAAAATGTTTGTTGCTTGCATCACTAGAAGCATCCATCATCATCTTCCTTCCTCCTCCTCTGAGGTCACAGAGACCATGACAGACTCACAACCAAACCACAAGCCCAGGCCCCTGGCAAGCGACAGTCAAAATCATCACTGGGCAATTGGCCTGAGGCTATTTATAAGTTGATGGTTACTCAAAGTGAGTACAAACAAGGACACCTCCAGAGCTGAACCACGGGTGACCTTCAAGGTTGTCACCCAATTCTATTTATTACCATTCTAGGCCAGTGGCCCCGTTGGGTACAGGCTTGTAGGGCTTTTGTTCTTGAGCCTGGATTTCACACCACTCACTTCCTTATCAAACACCATGCCCTGGGTACTTGTAAGATTTTCCCCACAAGATCAATGAAGCCAACCCCTCTGAAAGAACTTCCTTCCGACTTTGACCATGGAGACAAAGGAGTGGTGTTGGCTACATTGCGTCCTGTCTCGGAAGGCTAAGAGATAAATGGAAACAAAGGTTGAATTCCTCAGCTTTGTCCTTTCTTCTAAAAGCAACATAGCAGAAGGAGGTGCTTGGATTTAAAAGGTCAAATTTAAATCGTGGCAGTCCACTAAGCTAAATATTAAGTAATTTCTGGGTACCTAAAAATATGCAGGGTCAAAAGCTGGAGGCTTGGTGGGGCGAGTGGATCTGGAGGTGGGTTCAGGGTTGGGGATTCCCTGGTTTCTCACTGCCATAAACTCACAGCATCACTTTGATAAAATCATATCCTCTCCAGAAAATGAGAGAGTTAGAAACCTCCTCAGCATCCTTCCAGGATTAAAATTCTGTAATTCTTACACAACTAAAATCCTGCTAAAGTTATCAGATATTTAAAAGACATATAGCAAATAAGATAAAATTTATATAAAAAATAAACAAGAAGAACTAGAAAAAGCTGCAAGAGGAATAAGGTATGAGGGAAAGGGACTTCTGTTATTAAAACATATAATATAGTGATAATAATTAAAACAATGTGGCTTTGTTGCAAGGATAGACACAATTCAATGGGACAAAATGAAAAGTCCAAAAATAGACACAAAATTGTATAGAATCTAATATATTTATAAAGGAGGCAAGAAAATCAGAGAAAAGCGATTATCATTCAATAAATGGAGTTGGGACAATTGATGGCAATCTAAAATAGAAAAGTAGGTTGGCTCTGTCCCTCACATTTTATATCAAAAGAAATTCTAGACTGATCAAAGTTTTAAATATGAAAGATGAAAGCATAAAGAGTAAAATAAAATCATCCCTGTTGACAATCAGAGGAAGCTTCTGACAGGAGAGCCAAGGTCTCCGCCAGGACACCCGAGGCCACATGGAAGCTACAAACGTGACTGATGTCCCCTCCACGGGCAGGGATCCTGCACTTACCCAGCCTCAACTAGTTCCTCCAACCTCCTGAACAAAGACCACTGAGATATCCTATAGTGGGAGGCCTCTTTCTTGATAGTATCAGATAGAGCTGGCCCTTGCTTCTTTCATTTCTTCTAGAATCATCCAGATCATACTCAAGCCCTGTAAAAAAGCCTCTCCCAGTCCTGTATATTGGGATGTTGTCATGGCCCTCAATACTGTGTTACCCTGTGATGCAGGAAGCTCCATAAATCTAATCTGATTTGACCCCAGGAATGTCTCTGGTGGCCTTTGGCAGGGAGGCTTTGGTAATATGAACAGGTAGCAACTCATTAGTTAAATGTTCATTATTAGTAGCATAAGCACCAGAGACCTCCCAGGAAAGGAAAGGGGATGGGGAACTGGAGGTGGTTCCCTTTCCTGGGAACCCTGGATCTGAAACTATTCCACCATGAGATGCTTCATCCAGCCAGTGAGGAGGAAGGAGGATTTACTAGCAGAAAGAGGAGGAGAAGGAAGATATTTCCTGCTTGTTCTTTGGAACATGAAACTACTTCTCTATAATACAGTCTCCCCACCAAATGAAGGTCTCCTTCCACTCTGCACACACCTCCTGTGCCCAAAGAAGCACCATGCTGAAGGCCTGGGACACAGGCTAAAGCTATATGTGACCTTGGCTCTCAGGAAGTTGACAATCCAGTAGGGGAAGAGAGAGAGCAAACCAGACAACTAAGACAGTGGGGACGGCGTCTGAGGGCCCCAAAGGATTAGCCCAGAGTGCCAAAGGGCATCAGACAGGATGACGTGATGGGCCCTGGTGAGATTGGAAGGGGCCTTCCTGCAGAAGTGATGCTGAGGCTAAGATGAGAGGATGAGCTGGAGTCAGCCAGCAAACATCTGTGTTTGTGCATGGTAGGCGGTGGTGTGGGTTAGAGTTCTAGCACAGCTCAGACCATCTGCTCAGGTCCCCAGACTCAAAGAATCATGCCATCATGAGGCCAGAGGTGCAGGAGGGGGCTTGGTGAGGAATTTGGGTGTTTTGTTTTGTTTTGTTTTGATTTTACAAGCCATGAGCAACCACTGAAAGATGTGAAACAAGATGGGAACATTGAGGAAGGGATATAGACTGTCATAATGAGATTTGAAGTTTCAAATGATCACTCCCATCGCCCAGCAGAAACCCAATTAGATGGGCCCAACAGAGGAAGCTGGAAGGCTCAGGATGCATCTGTATCCTCCCAGCGCACAGACAAGGGGGCCTGGACCTTCCTGGTGTGGCTGGGGGTAATGAGAAGCAGATGAATTGGAGAGGTGCTGAAGGCTGGAGATGCCAGGATACAGGGATGTGGCAGGGATGGGGATGAGGAGGAAAATGGAAAGGGCAGGTGAATGCCCAGGTTTCTGGCTTCAGTAGCTAGGTAGAGGTTGGTGCCCTCCCCTGGAACTCTACAAGAGGGATTACCACTTTGGGATCCCTGGCAAGGCCTCAGTTTCCTTTATGAAATGGAATGATGGGGCTGGACTATTGCAGGGGGTTCAATATTGTTTCACTGGCTATGTCTGGACTCCAGGAGAATCCACACAACATCCTAGTATCCAAACCAATCAGATGGGAGGGGACAGTGGATGGCACCTGTAACCCGGTCAGCTTGGTTTGCTCCTCAACAGGCAGACCCTGCGGCACCTCTACGAAACTCCTCAAGATCCCCACACAAGTGTGAAAAAACAGGACTCAACAACTCCTCAGCCCCTGCCATTTCTGTCTCACTCTACATTTGACACACCATCTTCCTGCTTCTGGGTCGCCCCACTACCTGGCCTCAGACCTGCCCCACAGTCCATTTGGCCTTCTGGCCAACCTGGAACTGAGTTCTGCCCTGCTTGGAGAATGACCCTTCCTCCAAGGCCGCCCCACCAAGGGCTGAAAGGACAGTGGGTCCCACCCATTGAGCTGATGCTGCCTGTTCCTTGTTTCTGCCCTCAGCGCCTGCAAATCCACGTGGCAACTCTCCCGGCATCATGAAAAGCCTGCACACAGCAGAGAAGTTGGCTCTTAAGACACGCATTTAAAAATACCCATGAGATAGTGTGGGTATCTAGAGAAAGAATGAAGCCAGGCACCTCGGCCCACACAGGATGCAAATATGTGCCTTGGAGGAATCTATGTTGTTTCTTAAACAGAGGCCTGAGATATGAGCACCACCAAATAACAGAAATTAGCGTTCCCAACAACCACAGCGTTGCCCAGCCCAAGCCCACGAGAACAAAGCTTACTTCCTACAACACTCTTGGCCTCTTTGTCCTGATCACATTAAAATAACTCTAACAATGGAGTGGCCCCAATCTCACAGTTTGAGGAAAAAGTTTCATCATTATTTATTTATTCAGCATTTATGCATTACCCCCACTGTGTTCCAAACAACGATGTAACACAGCTTACAAAAATGTAACTGCAGTTAAGAAAAAAAAACAAAAAACAAAATCAAAAAAAGGTCAGGGAGAGAATGAGGAGGAAAAATACATGCTTCTGTGGCTTCAATACACAAAACACGTACTGTAGGGTTCTGTGCAAGGATTGGAGGTTGGAGCTGAAATTGGATGCTGGAACTCCTAGCAACTCCAGTGAAGAGAGAAACATGATCACTGACAACATTCTCAGAATCCAAAAGATAAAGCCGACTAGGCTTTCCCAGTACTACTAACAATATAGTCCTGTGGTTTCCCATAAAGCAGATGTTTGGGATGAAGGAGAGGATGTCCTTAATGCTGTTCCACCAGGGATAAGGGGGAGAGGCTTACATGGCCCCCAAATGACCCCAAACATCCATTTGGTCTATTCTCACTCCTCTATCCTGCCTTCCACTAGAGTTCTCTGCAAATTTGTCTTGTACCACTTTCATGATTTTTGTCATATATTCACTCGTAGCTGCATGATAATGTACACTATGTTTTAAGGCAACTCACTTTTTGCACCTAAATTATCTATTAAAGAAACTTTACATCTTGGCTCTAATAGGAAAATCAGAATCAATATCCAAAAATATTAAGTGGCCACAAAATAAATGCAATGGAAACAAGTCAGTGTAATTCCATTCTGGCAAGACCCCATGCCCGTCAAGGGTTCTGTGCCTGAGGCTGCTCTCTGCTTGTTAGAAAAGAGAAATCATCCAACATCACCAGTCAGTGACACATGAGCCACAAACTACAACTTTCTCCTCCATATACAACCACACAACTGAAAGATAATTCACAGGGGAGCAACCAGCTGACCACAGGATTCTGTGAAATTCAAAGCCCCATGTGATGTGATTTTCATCTGAAACAGCACTACTCAAAGCGTGTCCTAGCACAGTGTCCTGCTACGGTGCCCATCTGGAAAGTGTTTCTTGGTGGCAGCTACAAGATAAGTATCTGTTCCAGGTACCAGTCCACAAACCTTCTCTTAGGGGTGAAGTGTGAAAATGTTTCTCTACACATTAATGAAATTATCAGTTTGCAACAGATTGAAAATTTTTAAATGGGTCCTATTTTACAGAGGGTGTGAAAAGCACTACTCCAAAATCATCTCTGACACCTCCCGGAGGCTTCAGTCCACACTCTGGGAAATCATGATCCTCTCATCAGCTTCGGTAAATTTTGGTTTCAGTAAAGTTCATGAGTCTGCTGCATTCAACTGATACTGGAATAAGCTGGACTCTTCCATTTCCTAGCAAACACTTCCTGCGCCCTACCTTTCTTCTTATTAACTCAGTAGTGTTTTCTTTAATTCCACTCTATTCCACTTTTTCAAATCTACTACAAGGTAACAACATCACCCTCATTACCACCATCACACCGTCACATTCACCACCACCATTATCATCACCAACACCACTATGATCATCATCACCATCATCACCACTATCACCACCACCATCACAATCACCATCGTCATCATCACCATCACTGCCATGATCATCATCGTCATCACCACTATCACCACCACCATCACAATCACCATCGTCATCATCACTGTCACCACCATGATCATTATCACCGTCACCACCACTATCACCACCATCATCACAATCACCATGATCATCATCACCACCATCATCACAATCACCACCATCATCATCACCACCATCATCATCACCACCATCATCACAATCACCACCATCATCACAATCATCACCATCATCACAATCACCATCATCATCACAATCACCACCATCATCACCACCATCATCACAATCATCACCATCACAACCACCACCATCATCACAATCACCACCATCATCACAATCACCACCATCATCATCACCATCATCACCATCATCATCACCACCACCATCACCATCATCATCACAATCATCACCACCATCATCATCACCATCATCATCACCATCATCATCACCATCATCATCACCATCATCACCACCATCATCATAACCACCACCATCACCACCATCATCACAATCATCATCATCACCATCATCATCACCATCATCATCACCACCATCATCATCACCACCATCATCACAATCATCACAACCATCATCATCACCACCATCATCATCACCATCATCATCACAATCATCACGACCATCATCATCACCATCATCATCACGACCATCATCATCACCATCAACATCACAATCATCACCACCATCATCACAACCATGATCATCACCATCATCATGGCAGCTCACATTTACATGGAAATTACTATGTGGTGGGCATTGGCACTGTTCCAGGACTTTAAACATAACTGACTCATTTAATCCTCCCTCCAACTCTAGAAAAGGTATTATTATTATTCCCATTGTATAGATGAGGAGACTGAGGTTTTGTGGCATAAAATGAAGTTGGCCAAGGACACTTGGCTAATAAATACTAGGGACCAAGACCACACGTGGGCAGTTAGGCCCCAGCTCCATGCTATTGGCCACTCTTCTCATCCCTTCAGTCTCATTCAATAACCAACAAAATGCTGTGTCCTAGGAACTGGATACCTTGCAGGGTCTATTAAAAGATATGAGCTGAATTCCTGTCTTTAAGGTGGGCACCTTATAAATTCAGAAGGAAAACCGTCACATTGGAAAAGTTAGGTATGGGGGGGGTAGCCCACCCCCATGCCACATGAATGAAACAGTCCCTCATGTCATGGTTCAGCATCTTTGCATTGTTCATGCCTCATTCCTGCATTCATTCAGCCAACTGGCAGTTACCGAGGGCCTCTGGTCCAGGCAGTGTTGATGCAGTGCAGGGGACAACAGGCAAGGCTGCCCCCTCATGATGGGCAAGTTGTGGTTGGGGGAAGCAGAACCCACTGGCAGATACAATCAGGCCAGACTGTAACGGGGAATGTGAGGCGGGGAAGCCACTCTAAAAGGATGGTCAGAGAGGGCTGCTCTCAGCAAGTGACATTCAACCTGAGGCCCGAAGGATAATGGGCTGACCGAATGGTAAGGCAGGGGACGAGTGTCCTGAGACAGCACGGTAGAGGCAAAGACCTTGAGGTGGGAGATGGTCTGACGAGTTCCAGCTATGTGAGCAGAGGCCAGAGTGGCCGGAACTCCAGGATCAACAGGAAAATGGCAACGGCGCAGTGAACCCTCCTGGAGCATTCACCAGCCTTGTGCTGGGTGGTGTTCTCAGCATTTGAATATCTCAACCTTCAGAACAACCCTACCAGACGGGTCCTTTCAACACCACCATCTTACAGATGAGGAAAATGAGGAACCAGGTCACAAAGCAAGCAGGCGGTAGAGACAGGGTTCAAACCCAGGCTGGTAGGGTCTCCCAAGTCCGTGCTGCCAGCCACCTGGCTATGTGGCCACTGTTCCCCAGGAATGGAAGACAAGATGAGGAAGGCAGGCAGGATCTCAGAGGCTGTGGTCCAGAGGCAATGGGAGGCAGGGACAGGGCAAGATCTGATATGCACTTCAGGATGCCTTCCCAGCTGCTGGGCAGGAAGGGGGCCACAGCACTGCAGGGCAGAAGCAGGGGCCCAGCAGGAGGTGGGTGCAGGGCCCCAAGAGCAGGACAGTGGTGGGTGAGGTGGGGAAAGAGGTGGAGGTGGTGAGTCAAGGTTTCATGAAAGAGGGGGCCCTGGAGCCACAAGTAGAATTCAGAGAACTCAGGAAGAGTGGGGAGGACACGCCAGACCAAGGGACCTGCAGAAGCAAAGGAGTGAGAGCTGAGCCACGGGACGTGCTGAGCCATGGGAAGCCAAGGGACGTGCTGAGCCACAGGACATGCTGAGCCGTGGGACATGCTGGGCCATGGAATAAGTTGGGCTCAGTAGCCTGGAGCCCAGCAGTTTGTGTTCAGCAGCAGATTCTTTCATCCTCACAACCCTTCATCGGGCATTTTCAGAGCATCTCCCAAATGCCTGCACAGTTGTGGGCACGATGTCATAACAGCTCAGCAGATCCTCCTCTCTAGGGGCTCCCAGCCCAGGGAAGGCATCAGGCGCTTCCGGATTCCTGCGGGTGAGGTTGTGGAGGGAAACTGCAAATCCACAGTAGGAAGGACCTCAGAGATCCAAAATCCCTTCTCATGCTGAGAGAAGCCTGAGTCTGTTTACATGCTTCCTATGACAGCAGACTCCCTCCCTCACCATCAGCCTAGGGTGGATTGCAGATAACATGGACAACTCCCATCTCCAGGCAAAAAGTACAGGAGCATCCTTGCCTGTCTCCAGACCAGCCACAAAGAGAAGGTTCTGCAAAGGCCCCTCAGCACCAAGGCCACCTCCAGGCCTGGGCAACCTGAAACAAAACCCACCAGCTGAAACACACCGTGAGCACACACCAGCTCTTTGCTGCTTCATTCTGCAATGAACAAGGTCGATCCTGGCTCACCAGGCATTTGAGGAAAGCCTATAATGTCAAAAAGGGACCCCAATATATAAACTGAAAAAGAAACAGCCCCAAAGAAAGATATTATTCAGGAGCAGACTACTTAATTTAAAAGATATGAGCCCCAGTGAGAATTCTCAGAGAGAAAGCCTGTGCCCAGAGGGAAGTGAAACCAACCCACTTGTATCCTTTTATCCTTCCCAGCTGGCTGCAGGGCCACATCCTAGAACCATGCAGGAAAAATCCCACCCTTTCTTTCCAAGGTTCTCATCCCCCAAGTCTGTTCTAGAATAAACAGCCATTGCCCCTCTCTGCGTTCTTGCAAATTGCAGTTTGCCTTTCAGAAAATACATAGTCCTAAGGCAAACCCAACCTCTAGCAGAGGGTCAAGCTGGACCCCAAGCTTCCTTCTTCTACCCACTATAACGGCTGCTCAGCTCAGCATCTCCCCAAGGGCCAGGCACATAACAGGGTAAAAGGGGACTTTAAGGGATTCGTGGACCCAGGACAAAGCAACAGAAGCTAATTTCTTGCCAATTTCCCTCCAATCTTCCAAGAACTTCAAGAGGAGAGTCTTAGTTTGGTATTATGACGACCCTGGCATCTGACACTTGTTGATCTCTGTGTTTGGATAATACATAAGACCCTCTGGCTCAAAATCCTTAGTGAGAGACTATGCCTAACTTGAACTAAATGTTGTTTTGTTGTCATTGTTTTATTTTATGGTTACCTTTTATCAAAGGCAAGCAATATTGGATTTCTACTTAAAAGTGCAACATAGATATCCTTTTAAAATGAGTTTAAATTTGAAAAAAAAAAAAAAGACCTGGTTTAAAAGAAAGTATTTGGCAAATTAGACTACAGGTGGCAGACAAATGACTAAGTCAGGGAGAGAGCGCGTTAGCTCACATTCAGCTTCTGCTCAGCTGCGGCCTCCCGAATGCACAGCTTCAGCCCAAACCTCTCTCCCAAGCACAGAGTTGTGCAGCCAATTGCCAATTTGTCATCTTTGCACGGATGTCAAATAGATGCTCCAAATTCACTGTAGCCAAAATTGAACTGCTCTCTCCCTGAAACCTGCTCCACCACGGCCTTCCCCTCATAGGCCAGGACCAACGCTCTATCCTTCTGTTACTCACGACAGAACCTGAGAGTCCTCCCTTGAAACTCCACTGTCCCTGTTTCCCCATCTGCTCCCTCAGCCAACTGCATCATTCTACCTTCTAGAAGTGTCCACGTCCACAACCTCACTGTGGCCAGTTAGCATCATCTCCCGCCTGGATTGCAGCAATGACTGCTAGGCTGGTCAGTCCACCTGGACACTAGCCTGTTCTCAAGTTATTTGATGAATCATAATTAAATCTCAAACCCTCCAATGTCCCCCCCGACCCGTCACACTCAGAGCAAAAGCCCAAGTGCTGGCAGAGGCCCCTCCCTACAATGTCCCTGCTTCTCTCCCGTCTCCCTCCCCAGCAATCTCATGTGACTCCAGCCACCACGGGCTCCTCCTCCCTGTTCCTGGAACCCACCAGGCCGGCTCTTATTCGGGGCGTCTTCACTGAAGGTTCCCTTTGCCCCAAAGGCTCTTGCCTCAGATATCCACATGGCTCACTTCCTCACCGCCTTCACGGCTTTGCTCAAATGTCACCTCCGTAATGATGCCAATCCTGACACTCCATGTAATACTCAAATGTCTACAGCCTACCACATTTATACCTTCTCTTACCTCCCCCTACTTCTCCTGTTCATTTCCCACAACACTTATTACTAACATGCAGGACGATCCCCTACTGGTTATAGGTGCCGTTCATTGTCCTCTCCCACTAGCACACAAGCTCCAGGAGGCTTTGCACACTGATGTCCCAGTGACTGGAACAGTTTGCACACACTCTAGGGACCCCGCAGACTTTGGTTCCATTAAGAGGCCAGATTTCTTTCCCTTTTTTTTGTTTTGTTTGTTTTTGTTTTTGAGACAGAGTCTCACTCTGTTGCCCAGGCTGGAGTGCAGCACCATGATCTTGGCTCACTGCAACCTCTGCCTCCTGGGTTGGAGCGATTCTCCTGCCTCAGCCTGCCGAGTAGCTGGGACTACAGGTGCACGCCACCACACCCAGCTAATTTTTGTATTTTTAGTAGAGACGGGGTTTTGCCATGTTGGCCAGGCTGGCCTCGAACTCCTGGCCTCAAGTGATCCACCTGCCTCGGCCTCCCAAAATGCTGGGATTACAGGCATGAGCCACCGCGTCCAGCCAAGAGGCCTGATTATTTTTTTCTTTCTTTCTTTCTTTTTTTTTTTTTGAGATAGAGTTTCGCTCTTGTTGCCCAGTCTGGGGTGCAATGGCACGATCTCTGCTCACCGCAACCTCCACCCCCTGGGTTCAAATGATTCTCCTGCCTCAGCCTCCTGAGTAGCTGGGATTAAAGGCATGTGCCACCACTCCCAGCTAATTTTGTGTTTTTAGTAGAGACAGGGTTTCACCATGTTGGTCAGGCTGGTCTCAAACTCCCGACCTCAGGTGATCCACCCACCTCGGCCTCCCAAAGAGCTGAGATTACAGGGGTGAGCCGCCATGCCTGGCCCAGAGGCCTGATTCCTATCAAAGTCTGCTCCTTGCAGGACCTGGGCAAAGATCTTTGTAAATCTGAGCTGGATACCTGAAGCTTATGAACATTAAACTTCTCCTTGTTGACTCAGCCTCCCTAACAGTCTGTTGAGATATCTGTTTGGCTCTTGAATATATGGGACACTTTGTTAATGCTTTTATTGATTTGTGTCATCTACCCATTTGATTAACCTGCCAAGTGGGTGAGGCAAATGTTGAAGACTCAGAACCTGGGATGGACCCCTGTGGCATTCCTCTAGAGACCCTGGGGTGGTCACTGCCACAGTCATCAAAATGTTTTACAAATTTTTTGGACACGTGAAAAAGTAGAAAAAAAAAATGGTACAATGAACAATCACATGTACTCTAGACTCCACAACCCTTAACGTCTTGCTGCATGTCCTTAGTATGAGTATGTATGCACATGTGCACATGTGTGTACGTGTGGAATCTCCAAGACAGCCAGCCCACAGAAACAAATCAGCATGGGCAAATTTTTTCTGCAACAGGCCAGAAGTAAATATTTTCAGTTGTGTGGATCTATGGTCTCTGCCTCAGCTATGCTGCTGGAAAGCAGCCAGAGAAGTGTGTAAGTAAATGGGTGTGAGTGTGTTCTAATAAAACTTTATTTAAAAAACAAGGAGGCAGCCTGAAAACCCTGGGAAAACAATAACTGGCATAATTCAACTTTTTCCTGGGCAGATGCCACAGCATCCTGCAGGGTAAACACACCTGACATCAATATTTTAAGCATACCCTTAGAATGACCCTGTATGACAGGTGCACCTGAATGTGTGTTCCAAACTAGGGAATCCGGGAGTGGCCCACCCAGAGATCTGTTCCTATCTACCACAACATCTGAGCCTCCGGCCTGTCCTGTGGAACACGGGCTGTACAGGGGATTGAGGCCCTGAGTTTTGGGTTACTATCAGGGGTGTCCAATCTTTTGGCTTCCTTGGGCCACATTAGAAAAAGAAGAATTGTCTTGGGCCATACATAAAATACGCTAACACTAATGATAGTTGATGAGCTAAAAAAAAAAATCTCATAACACTTTAAGAAAGTTTACAAATTTGTGTTGCGCCGCATTCAAAGCCATCCTGGGCTGCATGCGTCCCACAGGCCTTGGGTTGGACAAGCTTGGGTTACATGAAGGTTGCCAGGTGAGGGCTGTTAGGAGGAGGGTGCTAAATGAAAATGCTGCGTAAACTGCATGATGTTCGCAGGCGGTTGCAGTTGTGGTTTTCTTGCCCAGTCTGCCACCACCAGACTGTAGGAAGGTGGATATGTTGTCCAGCCTGCCACCACTGGACCGTTTCTGAACATTAAGGCAGTTCTCCTGTCCAGCCTGCCACCACTGGACCGTTTCTGTATGTTAAGACAGTTCTCTTCAACCTGCCACCACTGGACTCTCTTCCCTGCATGTAAGTCCATAATAAAACTGTATGTCTTGTTTGCTGGCTCCAGGTCTCTTCTTTGGCCTCTTGAACCTGGTACCTTCCCTACTGAGGTTAACAGGGGTTCAGCACAACACATCCCCACACGGAACCCTTCTGGACCAGGGTCCTTTGACCCAGAGTCACCAGAAGACAGGAGATGGGGACAGGAAGAAGGAAGGAGGGAGGGAGAGCAGAAGAGAGGGAAGCCAGGGAGGAGGGAGTGAAAGAGAATGGAAGGGAAAGGAGGAAAGAACAAGCAGATAAAGGATCAGGTTGAATGGAAGGAAATGAGAACTCCCTAAAGCGATGCGTGTGCCTGATACAGTTTGGCTGTGTCCCCACCCAAATCTCTTCTTGAATTGTAGCTCCTATAGTTTCCACGTGTTGCGGGAGGGACCCAGCAGGAGGTAACTGAATCATGGGGGCAGTCTCCCCCATACTGTTCTTGTGGTAGTGAATAAGTCTCATGAGATCTGACGGTTTTATAAGGGGAAACCCCTTTCACTTGGTCCTCATTATCTCTTGTCTGCTGCCACGTAAGACATGCCTTTCACCTTCTGCCATTATTGTGAGGGCTCCCCAGAGGCTTAATGTGAGTCCATTAAGCCTCTTTTTCTTTATAAATTACCCAGTCTTGGGTACGTCTTTATCAGCAGTGTAAAAATGGACTAATACAGTACCGATGCCCATGCCACCCAGAGCAACACAGCTGTGAACATGTGGGTGACCTTGATTTACTATTAAGCACACACACAAGAAAAGCTGTCCTAAGCCCTATTATTGTGTTTGCCATGTTAATACAATGTTTGTTATGAAGAAAAGTATTAGAAATAGAAATAGTATGAAATTAGAATAATATGAACACCTATTGTTTCAGCAGTTAATATTTTGCTGAGTTTCGTGTGTGTGCATGTACACGCACTTCATTTATGTCTGTGTGTGCTGTTGGCCATCTCAAAGTAAGTTGTCTGAGTCGTGATGCTTCATCCTCCCTAAATAACATCACAGCATTGGACACTGTCAGGAGCCATCCTCTCAGTCAGCTAATTTTATTTCAACTTTAATTTCTTTTTCAATCAAGTCCATCTTCAACCGCGTGGACAGGATACACAACAACTGAAAATCTCCTGCTCCACCATCTGTATATTTCTTAAATTGGCTCTCTGCATGTAGGCATCGTCCACCCCCTAAATATTTACCAACCCTCTGCCGTGATCTCCATCTGTGATTCAAAGTGCAGTGCTGGACCGGCGTCAGCATCACCTGGGAACTTGTGAGAGATGCAAATTACTTGCCCCCCCACCCCACCCAGACCTGCTAACTCAGAAACTCTGCCAGTGGGGCTGCAATTGCCTTTGTAACAGCCCCTCCAGGTGCTTCTGATACAGGTTCCCAAGATGTGAGAACCACTGCTTGCTGCCTTCTGGTCCGGCAGAAGGAGGAGGAGTGCCTACCCTCCAGGTGCTCCCAGCCAGGAAATTAGCAGTAGAAAGAAAATCAAAGGATCAATTGTGTTTTGCATCTTCTAAAGTTAATTGATAGTATCATAACTTTCCCCCTGAATAATAATGATATAATATGCTCTGGCAAGGACTATTTCTGCCCCACAAAACACAGATTACAAAACACGGTAAGCTCTGCAAGTAGATGAGATTCAGCTGCGACATGTCGAATTATGTCAAGATGCAGGGAAGAAAGGAAGCTAAAAATAGCAGCACAGGCTCAGCACCAAGAGCTTCGGATCATCAACCTCAGGACTGGAGAGAAACTGCCTCCAGCCATTCCTCGGGTCCTAAGAGGCCCTAGACAGGAGGAACGCACTCCCATCCATATGTCATGTGCCTTCATGCCAACAACTCCACGGTGCAAAGCGTGTGGCTCCCAGGGAGGCAGGAGTGAGCAGGCTGCTCTGAAGAGTGGTATTTTATACTTTAAAAATAGAATTTTCTGAGCATCCACGATATGAACAGTCACCCCACAAGCAAAACTACTGCATTATATAACAACGATGTGTTGAAGCCCTGTAAGCCACGGGCTGAAGGTGTATAATATAGACTCAGGGCTCAACAGCTTGGCAACCAAAGAGTTAATACCCAAAACATACAGGAAAAAAAAATCTATATCTATTCCGTGTAGACAGAGAATTGCAAACTGCCAAGCTACCTATGGGCTCGGCTCAGGAACAGAAGAAAATGTATGGGGAAGAAAGAGCGCATTTTCATACTGGCCTCTTATTGCAGCTTGTGGGGTGAAAGTTGTGAGATTCAACGGCAGTACGTTTTCAGAACATCTTATTGGGAATGCTTCCTTCTGCTGAGAGTTGCACCTAGGTGACAACCGAAATGGTGGCTCTGGGACTGCATTCCTCTGATCCTCTCCTTAATTAAACAATACACTCTTGATTATTTCTGAATGAACCTCACCATGGATTTTTCTGACTTGTTATTCTTCGATTGTGTATGTGGTTACCATCATTATACACGCACATAATTCCGTAATTCCTCCTCAAAGAACAACACGCAAACCACACTCCACAAAAGGACTGTTAATTTCCCATATTTCCTGTCCTCTAAAAAGAAAGCAAGCATTTCAGGGAAGGGGTTTTAGCATTCAGACAACCTCTCCTGAAGTCCTTGGGATCCTGAATCGCCATTTTCCACTGGGTCAAAAAAACATAAAACCTTGCAGCTTAAAAACGCAGCAGGCACCTTTGGAAACCAATGTTGCTTCCAAGAACTTAACCATGACCCATATTAACTGTGAATTAGAATTCACTTCTCCATCGCCTTCTTGGGCCCCAACTCCAGACATCCAACTTCACTTGCAAACCATTTTTCAGAACCAAAAGTCCACAAATGATACCAAATGTAAAACCACACAAAAGCCAAGTGTGCCTTCTCCCTCACCCACTCCCACACTCCCACCCAGGGTTCAGTGGTGGAGATCCCGGAAGGACAATGACTCCTGATAGTGGAGCATATGTTCCTGACACTAAATGAAGGCTTCAATCTCCACTGTGGGAAACCTCCTCTACTTTGAATTTTTATAAAACCTGGCTTAAGAATAGGACACCATGCAGTCAAAACGCACATCAATGACAATCTATTATTTCCTGGAAACGATCTTACAATCTACAGACAAAAAGGCATCTGAGGGGAATTTTTATTTTTAGCCCAGAAGTAATAGGTTAAAATACCATTCACATGCAAACAAAAGACCTTCGTGACTCTTTCTGGACTCTGTGCCAGAAACCCAGGGCTGATCCTGGTCTGACTCCCTTGATACATAAAAATGACCCATCTGTGGCTCCAAGAGGGGCAGCCCCCACCCCTCACCCCAGACTCCAAATGCAGTCATCCGATTCAAGAACAAAAAAAAAAAGCCATTCTCTTAGGGCCCTGCTGCTGCTAGAATTTGCAAACCCTTTGCCTTTAAGAAGCCTGCTCCCTAAGCAGAGTCCCTGCCCTCTGCCTCACCAGAGATGTGGGGCAAAGCAACTCACCTTATGGTCACAGAGGGATCCTGGATGAAGGGCTTTATCTTCCCCAGAACCCCTGCTCTCCCCGCGGGCTTCTGGAGTCTTTCTCTCAAATCTCCCTGAAAGGTCAAGATTGGCAAAGAGCCCTCACAGCCCTGGCACTCTCACTTGCTCCTGGGGACTCGCTCCGCTCCCTGAGAAAACCTCCAACCCGGCGCAGCACTGCAATTGTCAGGAAGCTCCTGTCTGCATTTTGGGGCTGAACACCATTATTATCTGTCAACATTTTTAAATATAGATGTTGCAGGAAGCAGAGATGAGGTGGGGGTGGGGGTGAGGAGGGCAACCCAGGGTCTGAGGGTCCGGCTCAGTGGATCAAGTGCTGGCCCCCAACAAGCCTCCCCTCTGCTCAGGGCCAGGCGCCCACTCCTCTCTGTGCCCGAGACGTGTCACTCAGCACTGCCAGGACACTGCCTAGGCTGGCATCTGGCCAGAGCCTGGCAGAAACCACCTGAACCAAAGTCCTGAATCCCATATACAGAACCCACGATGGCAGCAACTTCTCCTGGCCTTAGGCAAGTTCCAGGAACTAGTGGGACTGGAGTTTTTCTTAGGGCCCTCTCTTCTCCTTCCCTACCACAATGACCTTGGTGACCTGGGGCAGAGGGGACCTTGGCCATGCAGAGTCCTGAGGCGGCTGCTGAAGTCTTAGATCAGGGAGGCTGCCTGGAGCCAAGTCCCAAGGGACCTCAGGAGGCAAGAAGGAGTCTGATATGCAACCTGAAAACAAAAAATGCTGAAGCCAGGGACCCTTGGTGCACCTTTTATTCCGGGCCCAGGCCCAGGCCCAGGTGGCAGACAGATGGGGAGGTCGAGGACCTAGGGTCACCTGTAGCACCAACACCTGCTGCTGCAGGTATGTCTACTGCTGGCTTAGTTGCAGGAACATAGGGTCAGCTGGGGAGGGGCCTGGTGCAGGGTTTCTCAGCCTCAGCACTGGTGACATTTGGGACCACACAATTCTCTGTGGTGGGGGCTGTGCTGTGCATTGCAGGAGGTTTAGCCGCATCCCTGACAGCTACATGCCAGAGGCCAGAAGCACCCTCCACCCCAGTTATAACAACCAGAATGTCTCCAGGCACTGCAGTGTCCCCTGGGGGAAAAATCACCCCAAAGAAAGAAGTGCTGCTGGCAAGAAAGACAGCCATGGGTCTGAACCAGGACCCCTACTCCATAACCATCTGAACCCAGGCAGGGGACTTCACCTCTCTGATCCTCGGAGACAGGGACAATAGCCCAGAACCAGGAACTTAACGAATGAAGCTTTGCTATGAAGAGGTAGTTGCCCCCTGACACCCCAAGAGCCCAGATCCTTCCTGCAGGGGATGGAGGAGCTGGACTCAGATCCAGGTCCAAATTCTGCTCCCAGCACATTGTAGTGGGGGCATCTCTCCCCTCTTCTGTGTACCCACCTGTACAATGGGGTACCCTTCCCCAGGGATGGTGTGATATGAGCTAAGAGAGCTACCCAAAGTTCCTATCACAAGGTACAGCCTCAATACAATTAGCTGGGAAGAGGGAGAAGGACAGGGAGGGAGAGGGGTAAGTGGAGGGGAGGAGGGGGAAGGGAAGAGGGAAAAGAATAGGGAGGGAGAGGGGTAAGTGGAGGGGAGGAGGGGGAAGGGAAGAGGGAAAAGAATAGGAAGGGGAGGAAAAGAGAGGGGGAAAAGGAGGAACAGGGAGGAGAAGGGGGAGGAACAGGGAGGAGAATGGGGAGGAACAGGAGAAGGGGGAACAGGAGAGGGGGGAACAGAAGGGGAGGAACAGGAGAAGGGGGAGGAACAGGAGAAGTGGGGGGACAGTAGAAGGGGGGATAGGAGAAGGCAGGAGAAGGCAGAGACAGGAGAAGCGGGGGACAGGAGAAGGGGCAACAGGAGAAGGCAGGAGAAGGCAGAAACAGGAGAAGTGGGGGACAGGAGAAGGTGGGAAGAGGAGAAGGGGGGAAACAGAAGGAGGGGGAACAGGAGAAGGAGGGAACCAGAGAAGGGGGGAACAGGAGGAGGGGGAACAGGAGAAGGGGGGACAGGAGAAGGCAGGAACAGGAGAAGGTGGGAAGAGGAGAAGTGGGGAACAGGAGAAGGGAGAGGAACAGGAGAAGCGGGGACAGGAGAAGGGGGGAACAGGAGAAGCGGGGACAGGAGAAGGGGGGAACAGGAGAAGCGGGGAATAGGAGAAGGAGGGAACAGAAGGGGAGACAGAAGAAGCGGGGACAGGAGAAGGGGGAACAGGAGAAGGGGAACGAGAACAAGGGGGAACAGGAGAAGAGAGGACAGGAGAAGGGGAAGGAACAGGAGAAGGGGGGACAGGAGAAGGGGAAGGAACAGGAGAAGGAGGAACAGGAGAAGGGGAAGGAACAGGAGAAGGGGAAGAGGGCAGAGTGGGGCAAACCCAAGGGCAGGAGTCAGAGCCATGCCCCCCGCCCCAGCACTGCCTGGGGCAGCACATTAATTCTGAACATTCTGGGGGCGTTAGTCCACATTCAGGGTCTCTGGGTCTCTAAACGCAGCAGCCACAGGCTGTCTTGACAAGTTGTTTCCACCTGTTAGAAGACGTCTTGCCCTTGCTAATGACACCTTTAAGCGGGAGGTGGGAGGGAACCAGCCCAGGACACTGACAGCCGAGGCTGGCTCCCGATTCCTGCCCCTTGTCAGGGTACAGAGCACAAAAAACCGAAATCTCAGCTGAATTTCATCAGAAGCTCGACTCCTCGGGCAGGCAGGTCTGGAGACCAGCGCGGGATTTCCTGGCCTTCCCAAGCTTCGGGGCTGCTCTGCCAGGGCCTGCACTGAAACCCTACCAGCTTGATCCGGCCTTCCTGTCAGGCTCTTCTCCTCTTCCACTGTGCAGGTCAGGTGAGGAAACCAAGGCTCAGAGAGGCAGAGTGAGCTGCACAAAACTACCCAGTTCGGACACATTTGGGAGGGGTGTAGATACCACTTGGTCCACCCCAGGCCTGGCTCTGACCTTCTGCAGCTCTGAGGCACTGACAGCCGAGGGCCCATCCAAGAGCTCACTGTCCCAGCCCAGAGACAGTCCCAAGACAGCACCAAGCAAGCCCGGGTACAAGTCGGAATCCTGGGGCCTCCACAGGATAGCAGGGTCCCCAGGGTCACCATCCCAGCTGCCTGTCTTCCCTTGTGTTTGGGAGCCCCAGGTGCTGCCAGGCCAGCTCCCAACCACCTGAGCACTGGCCACATTCAGGGCCCCAGAAGCCCAGGCTGTGAGCAGGTCTAAGAGAATCCAAGGCCTGCCCCTTGTCGTGCTGCTGACCTGGGCGGGGCGAACCGCAGACACCCCGCTTAGCGCCACATTGCTCGGCCATCAGGAAGAGATCCTGCATCTGGTGCCCAACGCCTGTGCTTCATGAGCTCCTCACTTTGATGGGGGCTTCCAATACCAGGTCTTATTGAAAACTTAAAACAACAGGCCACAGAGTGAAGGATTCTATTCCCATTCTACAGATGAGCAGACTAAGACCCAAAGAGGCTCAGCCAGGAAGAGAGGGCTGAACCCAGTCTGGGGTCACTCCTGCCATGCCCACAGATAAACTCTGAGAAGATGCCAAATAAATTGAGGTTGTCCCAGGAAGATGCCCCAAAAGCTCCAAGTCTATTCAAATCCACAAACTACACAGCCTCACACACTAGAGAGACGCTGAGGGAGATGAGGTACCCTCCTGCCCTCAGATTGCTTGCAGCTCACCGTAACAGACACATCCAACCTGCAGGCAACTCCTCTGGGCTCTGTGTCCAGGGCCTCTCTCCAATTCCTTCCCTCTTCACCAACCCCACCACCACAGCCTAGGCTAAGCCCCACTCACCTCTCTTGCCTGGAAGCCCCCAAGGCTCTTCCCACCTCCACAGGAGCCACCCTGGAGTCCATACACCAAAGGGCAACCACAGGCAACTTCCTAAAACTTTGCTGCGGTGTGTGGGGTCAAGGGGGAGGATTAACCTGACTCGTGGATGAGGAGAGAGATGGTGGAGGGAAGGAGGCCGCAAGCTGGGTGTCGGGCACACAGTGGTGTCTCAGGAGACCCCAGAACCACACCGCTGAGTCAGGATGGCGCTGCTCACGCACGTTTATCAGGTTCCATGTGCCGAGTGCAGACATTAAACCATTTAATCCTCACATCCTTAGAGGCTGCCCTATTCCTCTCTTGATGCCCAGATGAGGAAACTGAGGCTCAGGAGGACATACGACCCACCCATAGTCACACAGGTGGATTCCACAGCCCAGATCCTAGCCCCCATGGCTAGGGCCTCCCCAAATATCAGAGCTGCAACCCCGACCACTGAGTGTGATTCTACATGCAGGCCATGGCGTTTCCTCTCCATCTAGCTGAGAGAGGTGCATGTGAGGATCACTCCACTTTAGAGATGGGAAACTGAGGTTCGAGGAGGCAGGAAGGTCAAGGGCAAGTGCAGCATTGGGACAGGGACTCAGGGCACTGTGACTCCAACGCAGGGATGCGCAGCCTCAGCAATACTGACATTTGAAGCTAAATGATGCTCTGTGGCGGGGGCCGTCCTGGGCACTGTGGGGGTACTTAGCAGTATCCCTGGCCTCTGCCCATGAGATGCCAGTGGCACCATGCCTCCCAGCTGCGACAACTGAAAATGCCTCCAGACGGTGCCCAAACTGCCCACATTTGAGAACCGCTTCTGAAAGCTGTGGTTACAGCCACGGGACTCCAGACTTCCTTAGGGAAGAATCTCTAGCTGAGGCCTGATGGGCCACATTTCAGAATAAAGGAGGATCCCTTTCAGCACATTCCTCATGCCTACGGTTGCTCCCAAGGACCAGATGCAGATGTCCTAGAGAGGCCAGGCTGGATACACAGGTAAGTAGGTGAGGTGAACCAGGTGTGGATTCTCCACGTGGGTAGTCAAGGACTTGGCCTAACTGGAGAAGGCAGGTCCTGCCTGGAGCAGGCAGCAGCCACGCAGCCTGGCAAGAGCCATGGCCAGTCCGTTCCTTCATTAAGTGGATGGACCTCATCTACCAGGCATGGTGCAGGCCCCGGAGACAGCCAATATCACAGCTGGACAATTCCATCCTCATGAACCCTCTAGCCTGGCAATAGCCAGCAGTACCCGAGCTCTGAGTATTTCAAGCCAAGCCAGAAAGAAAATCCAGATATTGGTGTGAAATCTCCCTACATTTAAATGTTGGTTCAATGAAACACACAAACACTGTGTTCAAACCAACCAAGTCTGCAGGCTGACCTAGGCCCACGGGCCACCTGTTTTTGACCTCAGGTTTCTACCTTTCCTTTCCACCAACTAAAGCAGAGGAGGGCTAAGCCACCTCCCAGCACTGCCTTTGAATTCTGTGGCTTCCAAGCCAGACCCATAAGAGAAAGAATGCATCATCACTTTGGAGAAACCGACTCTTACTCTAGCCCTTCCCCGGCAAGGAGAGAGGAGGCTCACCCAGCATGGAGCCGCACCCCCAGCCTTCTTGTGAATGTACAGATGCTCACAGCCCCACTTGCCCAGGCCAAGGAAGCCACTTCACCAAGGCCCAAGGAAGGCCAAATATTCTGGAAATCCCCCTTCAGTTGGCTCCTGTGATTTTCCATGACAGGAATTGATGCTAAATGAAGAAAAAAAAGCTCAGAATAAACAGAAGGAGAACCACATGGTTCTCTCTGAAACCAAATGCTCTCTCCCATTGGACCAGGGAGGAGCTGTGGAGGGGGTGGGGCAGCCTCACAAGGTTGCTGAGAAAGCATGCGCACATGAGCACAGAAAGCATGCCTCTAGCCCTTGGTCTGGGAGCAGAAAGTACGAGATTGCAGAGGAGAAGTGGCAAGAACATTTAAGGTGCTGGTGAGCAACGCCCAGGAGATGGCAGTGAGAGTGGGAATAAGTGCCGGACTGGGGAGGCGTTCTGGAGACAGAAACCACAGCACCATCTGGGTCTATGGACCTGTAAATAGCCAAGTGCAGTAGAAGATGGAACATGGAGCAGGCTGTAAACACAAGCACCACGTGCTGTCACAGGTCCAACAAACATAAGCTTGAATGCTCCCTCTAGGACACCTTAACGACAGAAAAGCCTGGGGTCTCCCCGGACCTTGCAGGATGGAAACAGTAAAAGTGCCTGCCCCCCCCCCCCACCCCCGGCAGATGCCTGTCCTCATTTACCCTCCAGAGAAGGTCAAATGCAGAGAGAACATGGAGGCTTCCACGTAATTGAGAATGCAGGTTGGTGGATGTGTGTCCACACTCTGGCCATTCACATGAGCTTGTCCAGGGCAGGGGACGACTGCACCCTGTGAGGCCAAGTCAGACTTCTCACAGGACAAAAGAGAGGTTTCTGCCTCAAAAGGTGGCCCCATCTCCAGGTCTTCAGAGGTTCATCATAGTCCACCCATTTCTGAACTTGACCCAGACCAGTGAAATCCATGGCTCTGCACCCATTGCCCTGCCCAGAGAGACATCTTCCCAGTGCCCACATCTGAAACAGCACCCATCACTCCTTCTTCCCTGTAGGCAGCTCCATTTCCCACCACATTCGTCATCACCGACATCATGGTGTGTATTAATAGCTATTTGTTGTTGGTCATCCACTAAAGATCAGAAGAAAGAGCAGCACCTAAATGGCCCCCACTAGAATGGGACCTTCCGTGATGGCAAGAGTCTTACCTGCCTAGTTCACAGATTCATCAAAATGCCTTGCACAGCACCCAAGACTTACTGGGCACTCAATAAATATTCACTGGGCACATAGAGAGATGAATTAATGAACTCTACAATTGATAAGCAGACAGTTACATCAAAACAAGAACGTTGTGAAAGGCAATTTAGGTTAAAACAATTAATAGAAACAACACAAACGTCCCTCAATTGATGAATGGGGAAACAAAGTGTGATGTATCCAGACAGTGGAATATCATTCTGTCATAAAAAGGAATGGAGGGCTGACACATGCTACAACACGGATGAGCTTCGAAAACATGATGCCAAATGAAGGAAGCCAGTCATAACCGCCACATGTCATGTGATTCCATTTCTATGAAGTGTCCAGAATAGGCAAATCTAAAGAAACAGAAAGCGGGTTACAGGTGGCCAGGGGCCGGGGGAAAGGAAAATGGAAGTGATTCCTAATGGACACAGGGTTCTCTTTAGAGGAGAAGAAAATATTCTAAATTTCACCACAATGATGGTTGCAAAACACTGCTCACATACTCAAAACCATTGAACAGTACACTGCCAATGGGTGAGCTGCACGATATGTGAATTATCTCTCAATACAGCTGTTACCAAAAGAATTGAAAGAAAACTTTCAAGGCAGCTTGGCCATGGATCAGGTTTTCCTCATTTGGAGGCCACTTCTTGAGTATAATAAATTAGGCAATGAGGAAAAGCGGCACTGATTATTTTAAGTCCCCAGGGGTCAGTAATTGACCCCATCTTCAGTAGTTAACACAGTCTTGAGACAGGGAATGCTGAGAAAACTCCTCAGTGCTGAAACCCTCCCTACTCCACACCGGGGGTCACACTGAGGGCTCTCCCTCCAACCCTAGGGAGTAGAGACAGTTCTGGTCCCCATTTTACAGCTGCAGAAACTGAGGCTCAGATAGGTTGAGCTGCCAGGCTGAAGTCACACAGCATGCAAATGGCAGAGGCAGCATCTGAAGACACATCAGTCTTATACTAAAACTTAGGCTTTGGGCCGGGCGCAGTGGTTCACACCTGTAATCCCAACACTTTGGGAGGCCAAGGTGGGAGGATCATTTAAGGTCAGGAGTTCAAGACCAGCCTGGCCGACATGGTGAAACCCTGTCTCTACTAAAAATACAAAATAAAATAAAATAAAATAAAATAAAATAAAATAAAATAAAATAAAAAAATTAGCTGTGTGTGGTGACGGGCACCTGTAGTTCCAGCTACTTGGGAGGCTGAGGCAGGAGAACCTCTTGAACCCAGGAGGCGGAGTTGCAGTGAGCCGAGATCATGCCATTGCACTCCAGCCTAGGCAACAAGAAAGAAACTCTGGCTCATAAGTAAGTAATAATTTTTTAAAAACTTAGGCATTGAATTGTTCTGTTGAATTGTCATCTAAGGCACATGTCATTTCCTGAACTGCCTAACTGGAAGGAGCTTTGAGAGGACCTGGCCTAATATGGACAAAGGGTCCCATAGAGAAAAGAGATGTATCTTAAATGGTGGAGAGCTTTGTTCCCAGGAAACAAATTGAAATGACATCTGAGCAAGGAGCTGTATCTGCACAACCCCTGCAAACTGTGAGAAAGGCCAATGACCCAAACGAGGCAGCTCACTGTTGCAGGAGGAAGAGCCTGGAGCCTATGTACAGGTGTACATGTCCACCTCTAACCCCGTACGGGTGTACGTGCCCACCTCTAAGCCCATACAGGCGTACGTGCCCACCTCTAACCATGTACAGGCGTATATGTCCACCTCTAACCCCGTACAGGTGTACGTGCCCACCTCTAACCCCATACAGGAGTATGTGCCCACCTCTAACCATGTACAGGCATACATGTCCACCTCTAACCCTGTACAGGCGTACGTGCCCACCTCTAACCCCGTACAGGTGTATGTGCCCACCTCTAAGCCCGTACAGGCATACGTGTCCATCTCTAACCCCATACAGGTGTATGTGCCCACCTCTAAGTCCGTACAGGTGTATGTGCCCACCTCTATCTGTGTACAGGTGTACATGCCCACCTCTGCCTCGGTACAGGTGTATACACTCACCTTTACAAAACTAACAAAAGCAACTGTGGTTCTAGGAAGGACAGCGACTTTCCTAGCACTGCCCTTGTGGCTCGCCCTGCAGAATTCACTGCTTATTTCCAGCCAGTGATTAAGTAGGAGGTTTTAACTCGGAAGCATGAGCAGTGCCTGAATGGCCATCACACACACCTGCCCCTTCTCGTGACACACATCTGCTTAGACAGAAAGGCCATCCACAGCACAAGAGAAAGGAAGCAGGACAGGAAGCCTTTCAGGACTTCCTTGGCAATGGAGCCACCTCTGTATTTCCACCCGCTCTGGTCTAAAACCTAAGCCCCAGAGGCAGGCTGGCCTGGAAGGAAAATCTGGTGAGTTGTGATGAAATCAGGATTCTGCATGAATTTCTGGAGACAGGGGAAAGTCAGAAAAATCCCTTCTGTCTTGTAATCAGAAAAGCTGAATTTACATGGCGAGGGTGTCCCTGCTTTGTTTCCTGTGATGTTTAGGGGCATCTATCACAAGGCCTCATGTGTTCAGGATTCACAGCTTAGACCAAGGGTCTTCAAGTCACATGCATGAAAAGGCAAGTGGGAGAAGTCAATAAATGAGACAATGAGACGGGCTAGTTGGGAGGCAGAGTACACTGGAGCAAATGCCCTGTGGCAAAGCAGCCCAGGTGGCAGGGCCTGCTGCTTATACTCCTATTGTGGGAGCCCCACAGCTCATTGGGCCAGCCACGCCCACTGGGCTAGAGGGTTGGTTGATTTTTTACTTTTACTTCTGATGTTATTACCTCAACCTCCCCTGCCTCATGCCCTGCGATCACCTCATCTCACCATTAGCCCATCCCAAGACAGAAGAGAGAGGTTTAAATGACAACCTGGGAACTTAAAATAGAATCTCATCACCCTGAGCAACTGAGGCACCTCCAGGCTGAGATCTCCAGGTGGTCTGTGTCCCACGTTACTTGTCAGGACTGTCAGCACTGCTGTGCCTCTGCTGGGCACCTTGGACGTTGCTCCCCAAGCATGGGTCTCTCTGTTGGTCAATAAACGACCCTCAAAGGTAATGAAAGGGAAGTGCTGCAGTTTCATGTGATAATAATAACAGTTACTGTTTTAAAGATTACACCGTGTAAGGACCAGAAGCCCACTCAGACCAGTTTGATCAGAAGGGGCGTGATGGGACTTCTCTGGATCTCAGGACCTGGACCGCGAGCCTGCCCTGCATGTCCCCTTCCTCTCCGGGAGTGGGCTCCCGCCCCTGCTTCAGTCTGCATGTGGAAATCAGGTCTCTCTCCCTCTCTCTGTCTCTCTAAATGTCACTCTCTTTCTATCTCTCTCTCTCTCCCTGTTTCTCTATCTCTCTGTCTTTGTCTCTCTCTCTCTTTCTTCCTCTGTCTCTGTCTCTCTCCATCTTTCTCTTCCTTTCTCTCTCTCCCTGTCTCTCTGTCTCTGTCTCTCTTTGTCTCTCTCTCTCTACCTCTGTCTCTGTCTCTCTCTTCCTCTGAAATTGAGCTCCTTCTGCTCCACCTGCCCACAGCTCAATGTGCCCACAGCTCAGCTGTCACAGAATGGTGGCCCCAGGCCCTGAATCCACCTGACATTCCAGCCCTGTGACTTTCAAGTGACCCCTGATGCTATGTCCAACCCTATCTTTCTGTAAAATAGACCAGTGGCCTGGTTTAGGCAGGGTGGGAGAGGGCAGACTCACAGGGCATGTGGGGCCGTGGCTTGCATAGAGCTGAACAGGAGATGTGGCGCAGGGAGGAGATGGCAGGACACAATGCCTAGGTCTGCCTGGAGCTAACCCCATGGGGTGCCTTCACACACCAGCATATTGATGTCCATCTCTGTTTATTTCTGCCTCAGCCACAGAAAGTCCAAGTGAGGAGAGAGCTCAGGCCGCCATGCCTCCCTGCAAGGCATGCACAACAGGCAGATGGAAGCTGGACAGACCTTCACAGCCCCCTCCACCACTAAGTCCCAGCCCCTGGGCCCCAGTCCTCTCTGGTCTCTTCCTCCTCACTCAAACCACTAGTGCCCAGCAGCTGGCTTCAGTCTCCTTAGCCATCTCCTGGGTTGCCCAATGCCCACGGAGGGGACTCTTGCAGTCCCCTGGCATCATGAAGCTTTGATGTCCTCAACGCCAACCCCACTTCTGATAACCATAAACATGGCCAACATAGAGTTAGCTTGTGGCGGGTTCTGTACTCCCCACACATAAGAATGTAAGCCTCTGAGTCCCAGCGTGCACCCAATCCTCTCGCCCTTCATCTCCTGAGCCTCCAGTCCACACAGGCTCTCCCTCCCCTCTCAGCCCCTCTGCAGGCTTCTCCAAGTGTTGTTTCCATCCAATTCAACCCAGACCCCCATGGGCAGTATTTCCAACCAGCACCCAAGATTCAATCACTCCCTCGAACTCCACCACAACCTCATTGCCCCTACCATCTGCTTTTTCTTATTTCTGCCCCCAAGTAGATAGCTTAAAATCTGCTGGAAAAAAAAAATCGTAATATGAAAAATTCATTTTACTTGGCTTGAGCAAGGTGCTAAGGACCTTCGGGTTCTTTAAGTATCCCCAGATGATGTTCTGTCCCATTTCCCAATTCTCACAGAGGTGCAGTGAAATCAAACACCTTTGAGTATCTTTGGTGGCATCACAAGTCAGCACGACCCTTCCAAATGGCAATTCTGCATCATTTCTCAAGAAGCACAGGGCATTTAACTGCAGACATTCGTGTCTGAGAATCTGTCCTGGAGAAAGAATCCTAGGTAGAGAGAGAGCCACATACTTGAAGGATTTCCTGCTATATTAGTAATCACACTGAAAATGGTGAAGCCTTGAAAATCTGCAACACAAGGGGAACCGTTAAGGAAGTTTTTCTACAGTGGGTATTCTACTGAAAGACTGCTTATGCCTGTAGTTTTGAAAATAAAACTTCAATTTAGACTACTTGGAATAAATTATTTGATTTGATTATAAAATAAAACCAAATAAATCAGGTGCAAAGTAAGCATAGTATACTATTAGGGAAGGAGACAAGAGCAAGTGCCTAATTCCAGCGAGAGGGTTGAGATCACAGAAAGGTCCAGGAGAATCCTGCACCCAGCCCGCAATGGATACCGCACGGGTATTCACTTTCGTCTGATGAATCAGACAGAAGGCTTCACAGACAATGTCAGATTTCAGGGGCTGACTTGTGAAAGGCGGCATCTGGCAGGTTGGCAGAAGACGTATGGTGCCTCCAGTGAGGGGTGGAGGTGAGACTTGAACCACGGTCTTAACAACTTTGCCACACTGAGATACACAAAAGGATTGGCAAGCAGCCCTTTGGCCTTTGCCAAGGCTGTGGAAAATGTATTGAAGCTTGGTTATGTGATTTCTGCCAGCAGTGAGGCACTGGCTCCCGGGATCAGGAGGGGGATGTCTGGAGTTGGGAAGGGAGGTGTAGGAGAAGGTCAAGGCTGTGGTCCAATGGGGAGTGAAGCCAAGCATGATCCTGGGGACCCAGACAGGGTCAGCAAGTGGCTGAAGCCACACCAGGAAACGGCTACGAGAAGCAGCCCTGGAGGAGCCTCCAGGAGGGCGGGAGGACAAGGTCACAAGGAGGCGGTGGCAGGCAGGACTGTAACCAGAGTAGGCTGCCCAAGGTTCACTTTGGAGGAAGAGCCATTCTGCTTGATGCAAGGAACAAGGATATGGCCATGGAGGTGGGTTGCTGGGGGAATTTGAAAACAGAAAGATAACAACTATGTATCCAATATCTCTCAAAATTAAAAAGTCCTTACACTCACTCCTTTTGTGGATTGTTCACAGCCTTATCTCCTTCCTGTGGGGAAGCCTACTATTTTTCTTATCCATTTGTTAATTACTTATCCATCTACCACCACTTTCCCAGTCTACTAAATAAAGACTATCCTTAATAAGTAAGAACTTACAGTTAAGTGTGGCTTTTCTCTCATAAGTGTTTAGGAAAAAGGGAGAATCACAAGAAAACAAGCAGTTGTCAATAAATTATGCTAAAGAGTAACATGGACGTTTCAATATGCATCAACATCTTGGACACTCTTGTTGGTATGTTTGGTAGAATATACAATATAATCGTTATACATAATGCCTTCAGTAAAATAAACAAGCAAGCTAAACAGACTGGTTCTTTGCCAAGCACGTGCAACCATGCTATAAGTCTTTCCACAGCCTTGTTCCCAAGTGTTTTCATCTCCGTTGCACAAGGAAATAACTTCAGCTCAGAGAAGCCCAGAACCCTCCTCAAGGCCACACAGCTCGAAAGCAGCAGCACTGAGGTGACAGCCCAGGTCAGCCGGCCCCAGAGCCAGGGAACCTCCTGCACGCGGCATCGTCAGTCAGCCTGCTCTGCGTGAGGGCTTGGTGTCGACACGCCATGAAAAGCACACACCCTTACTAACCTGAGTCACTGTCGCTGGACTACATGTCAGCTTCACAAGAACGGCTTTCACTAAGTAAGAGTGAACCGAAACATTTTCAGTCTCATTTGTTAAAAACAAACAAAAAACCTGAAAAGAACTGGGGGCCTCACTAGGTCTGGTCACCTCACTTACTCACACGTCCATGTGTGTTTCTGGTTCAGTGGCCCTGATGTCCTTCTGCTGGCGTCGGTCTGTCCTCCACGTCTCCACCCAGTTGCTACAGCCAGCCGGAGCCATCCTTAGCAAATCCGCCTCCCTCTCTGTAGCAGGTTGAATAGTTCCCCTGCCAAGATTCATGTCTACCCAGAACCTTGCCTAGAAGTAGGATTTTTGCAGATGTCATTCGTTAAAATGAGACCATGCTAGCCTATGGTGGGTCCTAAACCCAATGACTGTGTCATTCTAAGAGGAGGAGAGGATGTGCAGAGACATGCACAGTAAAGGCCACGTGAAGGCGCCCAGAGGCTGCGGTGACACGGCTGCAGCCAAGCAGGGCTTGCAGCCCCCAGACGCTAGAGAGGCCCAGGGGCATCCTGCCCCAGAAACTTTCAAGGGCAGGTTTCAGCCCTACTGATGCCTTGACTTCAGACCTCTGGCCTGCAGAGCCGTGAACTGCGAGGGAACACATCTCCATGGTTTAAAGCCCCCCAGTTTGTGGTCATTTGTTATAGCAGCCCTAGGAGACTCACATACTCTCCTTCACCCTCCCTGTGAAGTCCGTCACCATGTGGCATGAATGTCACCTCATGCAACACTCTGGGTTAGTCCAGTTCCCTCACCCACTCCCCATTTCCAGCCCAGGACTGGCCCCCAGCACCTCCTGCCTCAGCGATTGCAGAAACGGCCACCGTGCCCTGTACCCCCTGCCCCCTCCAGCCCCTTTTCCTCCAGAGGGCTCTCTTAAAAAAGCAATCAAATCATGTCACTCCCTACTTAACAGCTCCAACTTCTTCCCTTTCGTTTTAAGGATAAAATCCCACTTTCTTCACAAAGCTACAAAGCCACCAGGATGCAGCCTCTGAGACGTGCTGTCTCCATTAGCAACGTGCATGCTTCCCCCTTCCCCACCTTCCAGACTCATGGGCCTTTCGTTGGTCCATACATCCTGCTCTCTCCTGCTCAGGACCCCTGTCTGAAACACCATCCTGCTCCACATTCCTCTCCACCTCTCATTCCTCATCTAGGGAATGCTCCCCCACTGCAGGTCTCAGGGTAAAGGCTGCTTCCTCATAGAATCCGCCTCTGTGTCCCCCACCCCACCCCAAGCTGGGTCAAATCTCCCTGCTAAATGCCCCCACCATATCCTAAGCATCTTCACATACACCCATGTGTCATTCCTTGTCTAGTGTCTGTGTCTCTCAAGACTACATGCCTTTGAGGGTGAGACCGGCCTCTTGTTCACCACCAGAATCCTAGTGCCCTGTGCGGTGCCTGGAACACAGTAGATGCAGACAGATTTGGGGTGACAGAATAAATGAAGGAATGAATGAATCGTCTGTAGCTGCACAAAGAGTGCCCTTCAAGCACAAGTTTCCTGTCTCTAAATGGGGTCTCCTGTGCAGCACCGAATACAATATTCCACCGCGAGTTCCTTTCACAGGGGCCAAGAGAAACTGATCCAACCCAAGGCATCCCACAAGGAGATTAGGAGCCGCAGCAAGCAGCCCTGCCACTAGCGGTCACCCTGTGGACAAGAGAAGCCAGTAGAAATTTCATTTTTCACACCACCTAACTGCCGAAGCCAGTCGTGCACACAGATCAGGTTTCCATCTGATTTGACTTCCTGAGAACTCCCACCGAGAGGCAGGTCTGTCGCTGCGTGGCCAACCTGGAGTCCAAGGAGCCAAGACCACATGCATGCAGAAAATCACATGTATTGGCATCTCTGGCCACAGAAAGAAGCCCTGTGGAAGTCCAAGTTGGACAATTTTGAAGCTTGTTTAAGAGGACCTGGCCAAACCCATTTGCTGGTACACATTGTGCCATGGGGCTGAAGAACCAAGTCCTAAAAAGGGGGTCCTGTCCATTGTCCATTGAGTATCAGGATGAACTCAGCCACTCTGTCTGGTTCTCACAGGGAATGGCTGTGAGAGGGTGAAGGAGAGTATGTGAGTCTCCTAGGGCTGTTATAACAAATGACCACAAAGCCGCCAGGATGCAGCCTCTGAGACGTGCTCTCTCCATTAGCAACGTGCATGCTCCCCCCTTCCCCACCTTCCAGACTCATGGGCCTGTCGTTGGTCCATACATCCTGCTCTCTCCTGCTCAGGACCTCTGTCTGAAACACCATCCTGCTCCACACTCCTAACGGCACAGCCATCAACAAGCAGCCCAGTCCAGCAGGAAAAAGTGCTTTCTCTTACTCAAACTTCCTTAATTCAGAACAAAGTCACGGTACCCGGGCGTGCCCTTCTGCTAATCATGCCCCTAGAATCGAATCCAATTTTCCTTTCCCTGGAAGGTAATAGGAGGATCTAGAAACTGGCATAATCCACTGCCCACTTTAAAATTCTGAAACAGACATTAGGAAAATGAGAATCACAGTGTGAAGAGATACAGTCAAACAGACATTCAGGCTGCCACATTCTCTTCCTTATCCCTCAGAATTATGGAAAAACAAAGAATATATGTAAGGACAAATAGAAAGTGTTTCCCACAGATGAAGCAATGGTCTCCTGATTTCCCTTCTTTCTACTTTTCATAGGCAAAGGCAATGACTATTGTATAATTTCCCTATTTTTGGAAAATTGACTAAATTAGAAATGTTTCATAAAACAACTCACTTTCTGGCTCTCCAAGAGAATGATGTTCTTGCTGTAGATACTCAGTGTTTATATATGACTAACTTTTGTATGAAATCCAGATTATGGAGATGAAGTGATAGAAAACACTATTTAAGGCATTTGCCAGCTGACTGCTTTCACCCCTGACAGTAGTGCAATAACAGGGAATTGCCATAGATTGGAGGAAGGAGAAACTTGCTGATACTTTAATGAAATTCTGGTGGCCAGATGACAGATTAGAATGTGAAGAAGCCCAAGCCACAGAGTGAGTTTTTTGTTTGTTTGTTTGTTTTTTGAGACGGAGTCTCGCTGTCCCCCAGGCTGGAGTGCAGTGGCGCAATCTCGGCTCACTGCAAGCTCCGCCTCCCGGATTCACGCCATTCTCCTGCCTCAGCCTCCAGAGTAGCTGGGACTACAGGCATCCGCCACCATGCCCGGCTAATTTTTTGTATTTTTAGTAGAGACGGGGTTTCACCATGTTAGCCAGGATGATCTCGATCTTCTGACCTCGTGATCTGCCCACCTCAGCCTCCCAAAGTGCTGGGATTACAGGCGTGAGCCACTGCGCCCAGCCCAGAGTGAGTTTTTAACCACTGGATACTGTTTTGTACAGGTCTTCCTGGAGGTAAAGCAAGAAACCTGCAAGAACCCCAGAGATATGTGGGGCCTCACCTAAGTAAAAGGCAGTGTCCTCTGAAAGTGGGGGGCTAAGGAGGAAACTCAAGAGAAATCTATCCTGGGAACTCCGGACATTCAATTATTGAAGGCTGGGGGCAGGGAAGACAGCTGGGAGAAACCTCTCCAGGGCATTGCAAGTCTTTACTGAGGGCAGGACAGATGCCCTACAAAGTCTGAGTAGCAGGGCAGAGGGAGCACTCCAGTGGGACTAGAAAACAAACGTAGCTCTCTGTGACCCCTGCATCTGCTGGCCGGGCTGTGGCATGGTCAAAGCACTCCAAGGTTCAGAAAGCTAGTACTGCAGATATAAAGTACAAAGAAACCACTCAGTGCTCAGAGCCTAAGCTATGGTAAGGGAAAAATCCTGACCCTTCCCTCTAAGCACTCGAAGCTGGTAATACATGGAATGAAACTAAAGCTACAAAAAGCTCCAGACCCGGCCAGTTGCGGTGGCTCACACCTGTAATCCCAGCACTTTGGGAGGCTGAGGCAGGCAAATCATGAGGTCAAGAGATCCAGATCATCCTAGCCAATATGGTGAAACCCTGTCTCTACTAAAAATACAAAAAGTAGCTGGGCATGGTGGTGCGTGCCTGTAGTCCCAGCTACTTGGGAGGCTGAGGCAGGAGAATCACTTGAATCCAGGAGGCAGAGGTTGCAGTCAGCTGAGATTGCACAACTGGACTCCAGCCTGGTGACAGAGCGAGACTGTCTCAAAAAAAAAAAAAAAAAAAAAAAGTCCCAGACCCAGCTGATCTACAGGTACGACTGACTCAGTGTTCCAACTCTGATAAGTGGAAAGAAAAAGAATGTGCTGTTATTTGACACAGAATGCCTGACATGTAGTATAAACTATGATGCCTGAAGAAGCAAGAACATTTGATTTGTGATCAAAAAGAGGAAACAGACAATAGAAGAAGATTCATAAATAGCCCAGCTATTGAAATTATCACACAACTTTGAAATAATCGTGATAGCAGTTTTTAAAAATAGTGTGTGAAAGGTAAACATGTATGAAGAGATTTTTAAAATGAACCACATGGAAACTGCAATAGATATCCAAATGGAAATGCTATAATGAAAAATATATTATCATTTAAAACATTCATTAGATGGTCTTAATGACAGAATAGGCAGAGAAAAAAAAAAAAAAAAGACAAGTAAGCATGAAAACAGGTATAGAAGGCTGACAGCTCCATGATGGCAACAAGCTAAATTGTAGGCCAGATAGTTTATCAGAGAGGATCAGAGCAAGACAGCTAAGAAGAGCCCTCTTGGTCAAACCTCAAAGACTGACCTCAAAAAATACCTTTGCAAAGGGGTTCAAATTTAACTGGATCAGGTTGTAGAGGAATGCATGCGCCCTGGACATTGTCAAAAATAATGGAGCAATAATTTGGCAGTTAGTGGAGCCTAATAGCTTGGTATGATACCAACAGAGGCAGACAGATTAACAGGGAGATTAAGGAAGGAGGCAGAAGAGAGAAGTCAAAGAGACACATGCTAAAACTACTATCATCTCAAGGTGACTGTGCACACTCCCAAGGCTGCAGCGTCAGAAAAGTAACACCAAAGGCTCCACACTGTGGGTAGAAATAAACACTAAAATAGCCTATTCCTGTCACAAAACACATAAACAAACAACAATGGCAAGCTCAGAGGAAAAGAAAACAAGTATCCAGAGTTGCTAAAATATATTATCTACTAAAACGTCCAGCTTTGAAAAAAATCTAGTATGTATAAAAACACAGGAAAGTGCAACAAATACATTTAAAAAAAAGCATTCAAAAGAAGCTGCCTATGAAAGGGCCCAGGTGTCAGACTTAGAAAGATTTCAAAGTAACTATTATAAATATGTCCAAAATATTATAAATATGTACACTGTTAAAGAGGAAAGAGAAGGTATGTTGGCAAATAGATAATGTCAATAAAGAGATAGAAATTATTTAAAATAATCTAATGTAAATTATACAGTAGAAAATTATAATAATTAAAGTTCAAAATTCACTAGAGGGGATCAACAGTGGCTTTGTTGAATTGGTAGAAAAAAGAATCATTGAACTTGAAGACAGTCAGAGATTATTCAATCTGAAGAGCAGAGGGAAAGAATGAAGTAAAATGAACATAGGCTTAGTAAATTGTAGACACCATTAAGTGGACCAACATATGTATAATGGGAGTACCAGAATAAGAGAAGAGTGAAAAAGAAGCAGAAATTTTTTTCAAAGAAATAATGGCTAAAGCCTACCAAATTTAGTGCGAAAAAACCCTAATCTATACATCCCAGGTACTCAACAAATTCTAAATAGTATAAATGCAAAGAGACCTGCACCCAAGCACATAAAAATCAAAATGTTGAGAAACAACAAAGAGAAAAATCATGAAAATAGCAAGAGAAAACTGACTAGTCACTGCAAGGATGCCTCAATAGGATTAACAGCAGACTTCTATCAGAAGTAATGGAGTCCAAAAGGCAGTGGGATGAAATATATTCAAAGTGCTGAAGGAGAAAATAAAACAACTGTTAACCAAGAATGTTATGCCCAGCAAAAGTATCTTTCAAAAATGAAAGTGAATTCAAGACATTCATAGATAAATAAAATAGGATAATGTATTGCTAAAAGATCTGCCATATAAGAAAAGCTAGGAAAGTTTTGAGGCTGAAATCAAGTGACACCAAACAGTAATTCAAATTTACACACACACAAAACAAGGAGCTCCAGTAAAGGTAATGATGTAATTATGAAAGACAGCCTGAATGCATATTTCCTCTGCTTTATTCTGTTCACTGATTTAATAAACAATTGCATAAAATAACACACAAACACACACACACACACACACACACACAACACACTTCTATCATTGTGCCTATAACATACAGAAATGTAAAATGTTTGACAATAACGCAAAGGAAGTATATGGGAGCAAAGATGAATTGGAGTAAGAAAATGACACAAGACAGTAACTTGAATCCACAAGAACAAATGAAGAGAACCGGAAATGGTAAATTAAAAGGTTAAGATAACAGACTCTGTAAATGAGCACTTGCTCTTTATTTTCTCAGCTTCCTTGAAAGACATAAATTCATATAAAGTAATAATTAATTGTAACAATGTATTGTAAAGTTTGTAGCATATAGATGTAATATGTATAAAATTATAGCGCAAAAATGAGGTAGAAGAAAAAATCATGCTATTCAGGAGTAATGTTTCTATATCTAACTGAAATTAAGTTAGTATGAATCTGAAGAATTCTGATAAGTTAAGATGTATATGGTAATCCCCACAGCAACCACTAAGAAAATAAATTTTTAAAAAATGATTAAAGAAATTAAAATGTTACACTAAAAATACTCATTTAAGGCCAAATAAAGCAGTAAAGGAAAAATAGAGGAACAAAAAAGGCATGAGAGATATAGAAAATGAAAAATAAAATGGTAGATGCAAATCTAACTATATCCATTATAACAATAAATGTGAATGGATTAGACAATCCAACAAAAGTAAAGACTGTCAGACTGAATAAAAATCTGATACTACTATATGCTAGCTACAAGAGAAAACACTTTAGATTCAAAGATACAAACAGTTTGAAGTAAAGAATGGAAAAAGATATAGCATGCAAACAGCAATCATACAAAAGCTAGAGTGGCTATTCCAATATCAGATAAAGCTACTCTAAAACTAGAGATATAGATATAGAGAGATGATGGTGAAACAGTGATGAAAGAGTCAATCCATCAGGGAGGCATAAAAATGATAAATATATATGTACCTAATATAAGACCCCCAAAATATATGAAGCAAATATTGATAGAGTTAAAGGGAAAATAACTCAATAATAAAAATCGGAGACTTCAATATCCCACTTTCACTCATGAATAGAATAAGTGGGCAGAAGATTAAGGAGAAAAAAGAAAAGATGAACAACAGTATAAATGAACTATATACCATATGACAGACATCTATAGAACACTTTACCCAGAAACAGCAGAATACACATTCTCAAATGCACATGGGACATTCTCCAGGACAGATCATAGGCTGGGCCATAAAACAAACCACAATAAATTCAAAATAATTGAAATCATAAAAAGTATAATTTCTGACCACAATGGAATGAAATTAGAAAGCAATAACAGAAAGAAACTTAGGGGATTCACAAACATATGGAAATTAAACAATATGGCCCTAAATAACCAATGAGTCAAAGAATAAATCATGAGTGAGATTAGAAAGTACTTTGAGATGAATGAAAATGAAGAAACAATGAAGCAAAATTTATGAAACAGAGTCACAGAAATGCTTAAATAGAAGCCTATAGCTCTAAATTCCTATATTTAAAAGAAAAATCTCAAAATAAAAGCCAAATCCTCCACTCGAAAAGAGTAGAAAAAGAAGAACAAACTAAGCCTGGAACATTCAGAAGGAAGGAATTAAAGGCTAGGGCAGAAATTAATGAAATAGAGAATAGAAAAACAACAGAGAAAATCAATAAAATAAAGAGTTGGTTCTTTGAAGGATCAATAAACTTATAAATCTTTAGCTAGACTGATAAAGAAGAGAGAGAGAAGACTCAAATTACTAAAATCAAGAGTGTAAAAGGGGCCAACACTACCAATATCACAGAAATAAATTATAAGGGAATACTATAAATAACTGCATGCCAATAAATTAGTAACTCAGATGAAATGGACAAACTCCTAGAAAGCCAAAGACTACCAATTGTGATGATAGTTGCACAACTCTGGAAAGATATTTAAAACAATTAAAGTTTACATTTCAAAAGTGTGAAGTGTATAGTATGTGAATTGTATCTCAATAAAGCTATATATAAAAAAATTTAAAAACCATAATGAGATACCATTTCATATCAGCCTGACTGGGAAAATTAAATGAAAGATAACACTCACTTTTGAAAAAGGTGTGAAGCAACTAGAACTCATGCCACTTAGAACTATTTGGAAGTTCTTTTTAAACATAAACCTACCCTATGTTCCAGCAATTTCACTTTTATAATTTACACAATTAAAATAAAAACATAGATCCGCAAAAGGACTTGTACAAGAATCCTCACAGAAGCTTTATTTACATCAGCCAGAAAATGGAAAAAACACAAATATGCAACGAGAGACTGGACAAATTATGGGATATTCATGCAATGAAGTACTCAATAAAACAAAGAAACCAACACATACACACACACACATACACACACTGAATGAATTTCTAAAATATTATGTTCAGTGAAGGAATCCAGACACACACACACAAATGCCAACTGTATGACTGCACTTATGTGATAATCTATGGTGACAGATCTATGGAAAGTAATTGTCTCTGTGAGCTAAGGAGGAATTGGCTCGAAGAGTAAACTGGGAAAATTTCTGGAGTGATGTGACTTTTCCATATTTTATTTGAGAAGCTGGTCAATTTGTTAACACGTTCCTTTAGCCTCCATATTTCCTGAAAACTGGTAGTAAAATTTAAAAGCTTGGTCACATTCAGGCTTAATTTTTTAGGAAAGAATCCTTTAGAGGCAGTGGTTTATATTTCCAATTACATATTAGGAGGCATATAACTTCTGGTTGTCCTACCTTTAGAGAGGTAAAATGAGATCAGTACATTCAGGTTATATCAGCCTGATTTATCCATTATAAAATTCCCCATTGATAGTTACCTAATGCTGTTAACACCTATTGATAATAATTGCCTACACCTGTTATTTCATTTGGGTTGTCAAATGGTAATTTTCTCATTCTTTCCTTTTGCATTTATTAATTAAAATTTTTCTATAAAGAAGACGTTCAATCATCAGCTATTTGGTTACCCTGAAATATAAATAAAACAGGAAGGCAGAATAAAAGCTTGTTTCTTATTCCTTTTTTAGCAACTTTCAGAATAGAGAGCTGGTGTTCTAGCAATATACAACGGTGACCAATTATTTTTTGAAGTACCATCTGAAGGCACAGATTTTTATAATTCTGATGTGTTTCAATCAATTCTAGTCATTATCCTGTTGGAAATGTATTAAGCAATTCCTCTTAGCCAGCAGAAAATCATTCAATTCTTTTGCAATCATCTCATTAACCTTTGATAGCTTATTTGCTTTCTGGCATAATAAAGTATCCTAGACCAGGAAGCAGTCACTTCTCCAAGGAACTCTGCTTCGTTTTAGTGGGGAATGGTATTTAGTACACAAAATCTGGGTGTAGAAAGCGTTCGTTGCTATAGGGTTTTCACTGCTTTTAGGCTTTTTCAGTAGACAGAGTTATGAAATAGATATTTTAAGAGCAAAGAATATCATGAATATTAATATTTCTAATTTAAATGTAAGATTTTAGGATTTCAGATAACTTTAAAAAATATTATACCTTATCTCTTTTCTTTCATAATAAGAATCTTGATTCATAACAACATTAACATATTGCTTAATTGCTTTCTCCAAGTTAGTCCTATAATTTCAAAATAATAACATCCATATTACAGCTAATAATAACACTAATCATGAAATATATGATTCTTTTTATTTACATATGCTAGCATCCTTAAATTCCACCCCACTATGGATATACAGTTAAAATACTGGGTTTTAGTGTTACTTAAAGAAATTACTTTCTCACAGCCGAGTGCAGTGGCTCACGCCTGTAATCCTAGCACTTTTGGGAGGCCAAGGCAGGTGGATCACAGGATCAGGAGTTCGAGACCAGCCTGACCAACATAGTGAAACCCCGTCTCTATTAAAATTACAAAAATTAACCAGGCATGGTGGCAAGCACCTCTAATCCCAGCTACTTAGAAGGCTGAGACAGGAAAATCGCTTGAACCCGGGAGGCGAAGGTTGCAGTGAGCAGAGATGGTGCCACTGCACTCCAGCCTGGGTGCCAGAGCAAGACTCCATCTCAAAAAAAAAAAAAAAATTACTTTCTCGGGTTAAGCTACCAACTTGATATATAGTTAGGTTCAATTATTTCCATCTGTCTTCAATTATAAGAATATTTTCCCTTTTAATTTTTTGAATATGTAAAAATATTTACACACTTTAAAATTCAGAATCATATAACAAAGTACACTCATAGAAGTCTCACTTCTATTTCTGCCCTCCCCTCTGTTACTTCCTCCACTATAGGCAACCGTTAGTGCTCGCTTTTTACTCCCAGCATTTATTTTAAACAATCTAAGTACACACACACATGAAAATGCACACGTGAACACATCTCTTTTTTACATGAAAGGCAGTATTCTATAAAAATATCCCGATTTTTTTTTCACTCAATGATTGTGATGTTAATTTTATGTGTCAATCTGGCCACAGGTTTCCAGATTAAATGATATTATGGATTGTGGACGTGTCTACAAGGGTATTTCCAGATCTTAAAAAATGCTAATCTCGATGAAAAAATGTACACTCTTAAAGAGGAAAGAGAAGGTATGATGACAGATAATGTCAATAAAGAGACAGAAATTATCTAATTATTTAAAAGAATCTAATGGAAATTATAGAGTAGATTAATGCTAATTTTGATGAGATTAGCATTTTTTATTTTAAGAGATAAGGTCTCACTCTGTTGCCCAGGCTGGAGTGCAGTGGCACAAAGTGCAATCATACCTCACTACAGCCTTGAACTTTAGGGCTCAATGGATCCTCCTGCCTCAGCCTCCTGAGTAGCTGGCACTACAGACAAGTGTGTGCCACCATGCCCAGCTAATTTTTTACTTTTGTTTTTCAGAGATGGGGTCTTGTTATGTTTCCCAGGCTAGTCTGGAACTCCTGGCCTCAAGTGATCCTCCCTGCTAGGTGCCCCCACCCCAAAGTGCTGGGATTACAGGTGTGAGCCACCACATCTATCAGAGACTAGCATTTGAATTGGTGAACTCAGTAAAGCACATGCCTTCCCTCATGTGAGTGAGCAACATCCGACCTGATAGAGGCCTGAATAGAACAAAAAGGTAGATAAAGGAGGAAGTCAGCCTTTTTTCCTTCCTGTCTGCCTGCTTGAGCTAGCATAGGGACCTTCTCCTGCCCTTAGACTGGAAGTTACATTACCAGTTCCCCTGGTTCTCAGGCCTTCAGACTCAGACTAGAATTACACCATCAGCTTTCCTGGAGCTCCATCTTGCAGACAGCAGATTGTAGAACTTCTCAGCCTTCATAATCACTTGAGTCAATTCCTCATAATAAATCTCCTTTTATATCTGTATGTATCTCCATATCTATCCGTCTATCTACCTACCTACCTACCTACCTACCTACCTACCTACCTACCTACCTACCTACCAAAAAGATCCTGTTGGTTGGGTTTCTCTGGAAAACTCTGACTAATGAATACTATGATATATCCTGGAGATGACTTCCATGTGAGTAGAGAGAACACGCTCATTTCTTTTATTGTCTTCCGATACCCCTTTGTCTGGCTATGCCATTATTTATCCAGCCAGTCCACTCTTCGTGATATGTGCATTGTTTCCAACACTTTGCTATAATGAATAATGGCAAAACAAATACCATTGCCTGTGTGCTATTTTACCATTTGCCAAGATATTTTGGGATAGATTCCTAGAAGTGGGATTACTGGTCCAAAGGGGGACTATTTATGTAATTTTGCTAAATATAGCCAGATTTCCTTCCATAAGGTTCATATGGCTAGCTGGTAATGGCAATATAACATGATGCTTTAATTTTTAAATGTTCTATTTTTATATTTTATATTGATTAATAGACACTGGCAGGCCATTTTGGCAACCAACTATAGAGGCAATAGTTCATAATTTACTACATGATTCAGTGACTTAATTTATTCTAGTTTCTGACATGAAAAGTTACGCTACTTTAGAAAATGTAATGTAATGGGAGGATGTATTTATTCATTTACATTTTTTACTTTAGACAAAGTCTCACTCTCACCCAGGCTGAAGGGCAGTGGTGCAATCATAGCTCACTGCAGCCTCGAACTCCTGATTCAAATGATTCTCCCACCTTGGCCTCCTAAAGTGCTGGGATTACAGGTGTACACCACCATGGTCAACCCAAAGATGATTTTTTTTTAACAGTTTCAACACACACACACACAACATTCATGCATTCAACAGCCAGAATTAACAAAGATTAACATCTTGACATCTTGCTTAAATCAGGTTTTCTTTTTGTTAAAAGACACAAGAAAAAAACAAAACATTATAGATCAAATGTAAGCCTCCACAGTCACCTCAGAAGCCCTATCATAGCCCCCAACCCTGCCACACTGCAGAGGTAACAACTAGGGCAACTTCTGGGTAGATCCTTCTTGTTTACGATTTCTCATTCCACTATCAACGGTCTGTCCCACCACCCCCAACCCCTGAGACTTTTTTTTTTTTTTTTTTTTTGCTATCAACGCATTGGAAAACATTCCTGGATAATTCTCTTGCCACTTACAAATGTGATTTTCTCCAGGGAAAAGGCCTGGAGAAGCATTGCTGAGTCATAGTGTCCCCAGCTCAACGGGATAGGTCATATTGCTCTCCAAAGCGGTCACACCCATTTACACTAACATCAGCAGGTCTCCATCCTTTGGCAACACTTGCCATTGTTATATGCTTTGATTTTTGCTAGTCTGATGGGTAGATACAGTAGTTCATTGTTTTAATTTGTATTGAATATGATGATGTTTGAAAGCAATAGTGCCTTCCTTTGATGGGAAAATTTACTTTCACTTGACTTTTTAAAATTAACGCCCTCCCCCCAACGAGAACAATCAATATAATGCAAAAGACAGGATACAGCTTCATATATTTATTCTTATACCTATGAACTTAGAATCTTTGTATCTGCAACCCTTTACATGAATCATAGGTATATGCAGATATATACACACATACCTTATTAATTTTAGAGAAAAATGCAAGTATCAACATCACACCCATTTGGAATTTTCTCTGAATTTTTGAATTTATAGTTCTGCTGATGTATAAATATTTCTTTGTTTCATGTGTTTCATAGTAGAAACACAGATTTCTAAGAAACCTGTCATAGAAAATATGACCAAAAATGCCTGCACATTTTGTATTGCATTGTGAATATTATTTTATATCTAGAGCCTAGTATTTCATTCTTTATAGTTAAATTTTTTGCTCATTTGCCAAAAGAAATTCTTCCAGCAAATCCCTTTATATCTATTTCCATACTTATAAAAATAAAATGGATGCACATCTATAAATTATTCATCTATATTTTGACAAATGTGCCAAATTTACCTTTGGACCTTCAGGGCAAAAAACAGGAACCTTTAAAACCACATTATGAGGTCTTAGTTTCTTATTTTTAACATGTAAAGTAAACATTGATTGAGTGGTTAGGGACAATTTGTATCTCATATGGAAGGCATACTCCCAACTTATCAGTGATACTTTTAAACTACAGAAAATACACCACTGAATATTAACTGAGTCATGAACTGAAAAAAGTCTTCAAAATAATCAGTCTGTATTGGCATCTAAGCTCTTAATTGGAATTTCTGTGACTCTAACAGAATGATTTTTGATAGTCTGAGGTATGGAGAAGCTCTTCTTCAAAACCAAATAAAAGTAAATACTCAATAAAATTCCAACCGTCCTTTATATTACCACAAAATCCACCTAGTATAATTTATCCCCCGAGTTACAACATGAAATATATACAATATTTAAAGAAAGAAAACATGTTGCTGCTATTTATAATTAACTCTTTGTTGAATTTACTTCATTAATAGATGTGCCTGTGTATAACAGGATTAAATTAAGACACATGCTTTAAAGAAATCTTTTTAAGGAAAATACACATATCTTGGCTGGAATCTCCATAAGCATCAAGAATTAAATAGAGTTGTTTTGCCCTAACCATTACCATAATAACTTTTCTTATAACTATTTCATAGATGAGTTATTTGCTATTTGCTTTTCAATTTGCTTACCATAAAACCTCACTCTCATTAGTGTCTTTTTTTATATTAGGCCAAGTCATGGAAAAAAATTTCAGTAATTAGCTCAAGTAAATAAACAATTGTCCAGCATGGAAACTCTGGGGGAAAATCATCCAACTCTTTACCATACTCATCCATCAACAACGCTGATCTAGATGGAGCAAAGGAAACTGATGCTTCGATGCCTATATTCCCAGCCTCATCATGTAAACACAGACATTCCCAAGCCGGAACAACAGGACTCTCTCCTCCTAGCAGGTGTTCTGGGGTAGGTGGTTGCCAAGCTGTCCCAGTCCCTCCTATGGGGGACACAGGCTGCCTGTGGCTACTCCGAGGTGGTTTCTCTAAGGGCGAGCTTGTCACTTATTCACTCCACCTCACATCAAATCACATCAACCCAATCCATCATTTTCCTAATCCAAGTGTGTCCTCTTTAATTAGTGCCAAAAGGACATGGCAGTGATGGATGTTGCTGAGCAGAGGAAAGGACAGGCCCTGCCTTAAGTACCAAGGTCAGCGTAAGCCTGGACTGGGAAGAAAAACAAATGCTATCATCAGCCCCAGAAGGTCAACCCCTCCCTGACCCTCCATCCCTGGCCTCTGGGATAAACAGATTAAGCCACCCTCTTGCTGATTAAGAAATCACGAGGAGATTTTAAAGATGTTTTTTAAAGACTCTGAGATGGACTTATTTTTTCCTACCCAATTGCCATCACCACCTTTTCTGGTTCAGCACCTTGATTTCCCTCAAGGGACCTACCCCTTGCCCAATCAGGCCATGTGATTTTAAAGAAGCTGACCACCTCCAGGCCAGTAAGATATGATTCCTACAGCTTTGGTATTCTTCACTAATAGGAAAGAGAAACTCACCTCCTTCCTCAAAATGGCTGGAGCCTGGGGGAACAGAGGAGAAGGAAATGTGGCCTCACAGCAGGCCAGCAGAGAACCAGGCAGTGAGAGGGACGAGAAGCAATGGTGAACAGTATAATTAGACCCTGTGGTCAATGGGCCTGAAGCCAAACTCCCCCTGGACTAATCACAAAACGGTGTCAGTCAATAAATACCTTTGATGGTGAAGCCAGTCTGGGTAGGTTTCTCAACAGCAACTAAAGCCATATGCAACTACAGAATCTTCACTAATAAGATGAGGAACCTCCTGGAGGGAAGGCACCTAGCCTATAACATCTATCCATTAACCAAAAGGATGTTTTCCTACACCAACAGTCTAGATGAAGCAAAGTCCTATGGAAAGTTGCAAGGCTGGCAAAAAGTAGAAAAATAAAACAGTGCAAAATCCCCCATTTCACAGATGAGGAAACCCAGCCAAGAAAGGCCAAGCACCTCATTGAGATTCACAAGCACATTAAGGGTGGGACTGGGACCTGAATCCAGGGAGCTTAATTCTGATTTAGGCAACCATGTTAGGGAGTTGGGCGTTGTGGGAGATGAGTTTGTACAGGGTGTGTGTGTGGCTGTATGTGATAATAATGGCATTCATTTCTTTCAGGAAATGTGGAGCTTGTGGATCAAAAGAACACAGGAAACTAGTGGGGAAAGAGATGGAAAGGGATCAACAGAAAAGATGTGAATAAGAATGAAGAGGACTGTACCCCCACCTGCATGTCACTCCAACACCCTGCTGCTCAGTCCTGCCAATGGACCTCCAAGGGCCTGGCTGCCACCTGCTGCCCTGCACCACCCTCCCCAACCTCAGGGGGCCTTCCACCTGGTACCCTAAACTCCACACTGGCCTCTCCATGCTAGTTGATATGGTTTGGCTGTGTCCCCACCCAAATCTCACCTTGAATTGTAATAATCTCCACATGTCAAGGGTGGGGCCAGATGGAGATAATTGAATCATGTGGGTGGTTCCCCCCTACTGTTTTCATGGTAGTAAGTCTCACGATATTGGATGGTTTTATAAATGGGAGTTTCCCTGCACAAGCTCTCTCTTGCCTGCTGCCATGTAAGACATGCCTTTGCTTCTCCTTTGCCTTCCGCCATGATTGTGAGGCCTCCCCAGCCATGTGGAACTGTGGAGTCCATTAAACTTCTTTCCTTTATAAATTACCCAGTCCTAGATATGTCTGTATTAGCAGCATGAGAACAGACTAATACCCTAGTCATCAAATCTTTGCCAAGCTGATCTGCCCGACTGCAACCACCATGTTTAAAATCCTCAGAGGCTTTCCTGGTGCTCTTCATTTAAAGACAAAAATCCCTTTAATGAGCCCTGCCTGGTCCCACCTTGGGCTTCCTCCCACAACACGGGCATCTTTGTGCTCCACTGGGAAAAACCCTTTCAGAGTCACTCATACCTCCCCAAACACTCACACAGTCTTCTGCCACAGAACATGTGTGCATGCATACATGCTGTCTGCTCTCCCTAGAATGTTCTTCCCAGCACCCTCCCTGCCTCAGGCCCAATTAACTCCTATGCCTAGTCAGATTCCAGCTCCGAGTCATGTTCCTGGGGGATGCATGCTCCCCTCCAGGCCTGGACTGGTAGTTGCAGGGCCTGAACTGGGGAACTGCATCTACTGAACAATCGGATTCACTCCCTGGGCTCTGGCTGTGCCTCCCAGGGTACACTGGGCCCAGATTGAGAAAGTCAGCAGGAAGGACTGACAAACAAGCTTCATTTTCACTTCGTTCAGTGTAACTCCTATATTTCAGTAGATCACATGGTAAGGTACTTTCTTTTGACAGGGAAAAACTGATTTTAAAAAAAAGGCAACAATGACAACTCAGTGAAGAAAGAAAATTTAACTTGCTCCTATTGTAAAAGTCACCAAGAAAATGTAGTTTTCTTCGTGGTCTTTTATAAAAAGGTATTATAATATCCAGAACCAACCCAATTTTTTAAAACAGCCCTTGCTGAATAGCTAAACCTTGCCCCCAGGTATACAAAGGAGGCCAGAGTGAGCCCAGCTCTGGCAGGACATTTACCCAGGGCCCCAGGGCTCCCACTAACAAGCAGCAGCTGTGGATGACAGGAGCTGCCCACTTCAGGGGACTTGAGCCTTACTTCCTCCCTCAGACATCCCCAGGGACTGGCTGGAGGCTGAATGACTGACACGTCCCCTCAGAATCGCAGGGGCTGGGGGTAAGATCCTAGAACTGCCCACGGGACTGGGCAGGAGCTTACAACCCTTGCCACCTGCCAACACTCCAGGCAGAACGGGGCCAGGGGCCTCCTGAGTGAGGCTGTGTGATGATAGTGACCAGCAGAGGGCAGAGGCCCCAGGCTCAACAGCCTTATTAAAAATACAGGACAGGGGAGGGGAAAGAAACTCATTCATTAATTCTAGCCGTATTTATTAAGCTTTCATGATGTGCCAGGCACTGAGCTAGATGCTGGGAGAGACTGTTTTCATTCCAGCGTCACGACATGAAACAGAAGGCTTTCTGTTTTCATTAAAACATGACGGTTTCATTAAAACATATTCTGGTGGTGTCGACAGGGATATGCACACACACACACGCCACACACACATATGTACATGTATATCATTATATAAATTTATGTTTTATATGCAATATAAGCAACATTTAATTGTGCGTGAATAACATATGTCCAGATGGTGATGAGCACGCTCAGAATCAAATCAAGCAGGACGAGGAGAGGTCCAGGCTGGCAGGGGCCAGCGCTTTAGCCTCCGAGGCCAGGGAGGGCAGTGTGGGGCGGACACACACGTGACGAGAAAGGCGCCACAGGCTGGGATCTGAGGGAGGCTGTTTCAGGCAGGAGAAAGAGCCAGGGCAGAGGTCTTCCCTCCTTCCTTCCTCCCTCCACCTCCCTCATGATTCCACAAGAGAACTTTTGTTCATTCTAAAAATACTGAGCACCTGTTCTCTGGGCCCAGGGAGGTTAACCCAGCCCTGCCTTTGGGGGACTCATGATGCATGGAGAATCAGAGAGTGGGTAAAAAAAAAAAAAAAAAAAAAGATCTGCTAACATAAAAAAGAACAAAATCATATCCTTTGCAGCAACATGGATGCAGCTGGAGGCCACTATCCTGAGTGAATTAACGCAGAAATAGAAAACCAAATACTGCCTATTCTCACTCATGAGTGGGAGCTAAATCTTGAGTACACACAAACATACAGAACAACAGACACAGGGGACTCCGAAAGAGAAAGGGAGGGAGCGAAGGAGGGGGACAAGGGCTGAAAAACGTGCTGTCAGGCCCTATGTTTACTATCTGGGTGACAGAATGAACAGAAGCCCCAGCCTCAGCATCAGGCGATGTGCCCTGGTAACAAACCTGCACATGTACCTCCAGAACCTAAAATAAAAACTGAAATTTTATAAAAAGAGATCCTCTAAAAAAAACACTGGCCAACAAATGAGTAGCGATGAGGTAGGGATGTGACACAAAGGGAAGGCGCAGGGTGCAGGAGAAGCGACAGAGAACCACCAGGCTGGTGCAGGGAGAGCCCCCAGGAGGTGCAGCCTGTGCCTGGAGCAACCTGGGACACCAGGGCAAATGTGTCCTGGCCCCGTATGCTGGAAGTGCTCTGGCCACAGGCAGCACAGGACCACCAGCTTCTGTCTCGTACCGCCAAAGGATACATTTGCCCATTCAACACATACTTGCTACAGGCTGCTAAGCACCAGGCCAGTGCTAGACCCTGGAGTCCCAGCTGGGAGCAAAAACAAACTCAGCTCCCGCCCCCTGTTGGAGTCTACAATTCAGTGGTGGGGGAGGCGAATGAGGGAGGACAAGGACCAGGGAACCCGAAGATAGTGTTGAAACTGAACAACCAATGTCATGGTCACTGTTTATTTCCTTTTATATCTTTTTATATCTGTTGTTTATATCACAACAAATAGAAGTTAATTCAAAACTGTTTTTCACTTCGAAATGCAATCAAATAATTTTATAACCTTGCTGGTAATGACTTGATTTGCAGCTGCCTTCTCCATCACCATAGCTCTGTGAGGGAAGCTTCTGCCCATCAGGGTGCTGCAACCACTAGCTCTTGTCGCACACTGCAGGCACGCAATGGCCTTTGACTTCATAATGGAGGCTTTTCCTCCCCACTATACCAGAAGCCTCCATTGCATCCATAACCTTTAGCAGTTTCTCAGTGTGTATTGGCAAGTCCGACGGATGCAGGCAGGGGTTACTCTGGAACGTTCCAGGTCTCTTGCTGCCCTTGAGGAGATGCCGCTTAAGCCCTGAGCCCTCTGCTCCACCTCCTTCCTCAAACACAGTCAGTAGTGTTCTCTAACAAGTCCACCAAACAACGCCAAGCAGGACCGAATGCCTGCCTAAGTGCTACTTTCACAGGATATCCAAACTGTGACTACAGGAGGCGAGGCAGAAGGCCTTCTATCCCCACCCCCCTTTTCACTTAGAATCCAATACTTTTAGACAAGTAAAGGGACTGCGTCACCAGCACCCGTGCATTTGCCCTGAACACTCCACACAGAGGGGCTGCCTCACTCCCTCTCAGCTTCTCGCCGCTCCATCAGGCGTGCACCCAAGTTCCCCTGCACTGCCAAGAAGGATTAATTCTCCCACTGGGATTTTATCCAGATGCATTTTAACATGCAGTGTTTGACTTCTAATTTTAGAGTCTAATTATCCTGTGAAGAACGAGCAAATGTCTGTTCTCCTCCTGGAGCAAGGGCACTGTTTTGTGCAGAATTACTCAAAACTTGTTGCAAAATTTAGCAAAAGGCAAAGTTGGGGTGCTCACATGAAAACAAGATGCTTAAAATCATAATAAAGACCAACTGCTCTGTGTGTGTTGAATTCCCCCAACACTACTTCCTTAAGGCTCATTTAAAGGAACAAGGAAGTCAGGCACAAAAGTAGTTCCTACAAATGGGAAAAAAAATACTACAAATGAAGTGGAATAGCACTCATTTAATGTGCGCTGTGTGCATTGATGCTGTGCAGGATACCTTCTCACCTTACTCTGATCCCCAACTTTTAAAAGAAGAATTAGGCCGGCGCAGTGGCTCACGCCTGTAATCCCAGCACTTTGGGAGGCCGAGGCGGGCGGATCACAAGGTCATGAGATCGAGACCATCCTGGCTAACATGGTGAAACCCCGTCTCTACTAAAAATACAAAAAATTAGCTGGGCATGGTGGCGGGCACCTGTAGTCCCAGCTACTCAGGAAGCTGAGGCAGGAGAATGGTGTGAACCTGGGAGGTGGTGCTTGCAGTGAGCCAAGATCGTGCCACTGCACTCCAGCCTGGGCGACAGAGTGAGACTCTGTCTCAAAAACAAACAAACAAACAAACAAAAAACAAGAAGAAGAATTAAATTCTTAAAATTCTTTGATTCAACCAGAGAGCTCTTTCTGTAGGCAAACGCCCCAATGTTGGCAGGACAGCAAGTTGCTGTCATGCACCAAGGGTTTCCAATCTTCATTCCTTCTGCCCCGGGTTCCAGCTTCTAGGAATTTAGCCTAAAGAAATAATCAGAGATGTACACAAAAAGGCAGGCAGCCTTAAGTCCATCCCAATTACTATAGCAAGAAAGAAGCAAACAAAAGCCTCAAGCCAGACTCAGTTTCCAATGAAAGCAGAATGGGAAAATAAATGGTGGCAAATTCCTATTCTGGAGCATTTGGTCCCAAGTGTCCTAAGCAGTGTGGAGAAAAGCTTCTGATGTATTAATTTAATAAAGGATATAGGCTGAACAATCCCGACACGGGAAAAATGTTTCTATAGGAAAAGTACTGGAGGAACACACACAAAAGTAGCCACAGGGGTTATCTCTGGGGTGGGGGTGGGGGGATTTGTGAATGCTTTTGATGTTCTTGATAATCTCCTATGTATTCTGAATTTTCAATAATAAATATAATTTTTGTTCTAATCAGAAAAAAAAAAAGTCTAAAAGAAATAAAAGTGAACAGATACCAACCAAGCAAGCAAATAACTAATTATCCACCGAACCCTGCAAAAGTCCAGGAAACTAGAGGAAGGGTAAGCTGGGGTGGCATCCTTGTCCATGTCTAAGTCTTTTTTTTCCTCTCTAATCCTGACCACTTCTTCCCAAATTCTAACGCTCTGCAGAAAGGCTGCCTTCTCTACATCCGGACCTCCACGGGCCATGCCACTACAAAATGCAAGCCAATGATCACCCACAGACCCAGGAGTTCCAACAGAGATGTTGTCTGCACCCTCCCCAGGAGCTAGGACAGCCATGTGACATCCACTCAGGATTCCTAAGTGACAGAGACTGATTTTGTGAGAGGTTCCTCCGTGAGGGGCCTTGGGAGGTTTAATTGACTTTAAACAGACTAATAGAAGAGCAATTAATAAAATGAGACTAGGGTATCATTGCTGCATAATTTATTTGTATATACAGAAACATTGGAAACCACCAGGTCACAATTAATCTCTGCCTCAAGGCTGTGAGACATCCTTAACAGGATAATTATATATTATATATACACAAATGTACATACACACACAATCTATAGATATGCATGGGATGGTTCCTTTAATGTGTCAACTTGACTGGGCCTGAGGGTGCCCACACATTTGGTGAAACATTATTTTGGGTGCCCATGAGGGAGTTTCTGGATGAGACTGACATTTGAATCAATAGGCTGGGTAAAGCAGATGGCCTTCCCTAGCATGAGTGGGCCTCATCCAATCCATTGAGGGACTGAATAGAGCAGGAAGACGGAATAAGAAAGAATTCTCTCTATCTGTCTTCGAGCTGAATCATCAGTCTTCTGCAGACTCAGACTGAAATTTACACCATTAGCTCTCCTGTTTCTCAGGCCTTCAAACTCGCACTAGAACTACACCATTGGCTCTCTCAGGTCTTCAGCTTGCTGACTGCTGGGACTTTTTAGACTCCACAACACATAGGCCAATTCCTTCTAATACATCTAGATAGACAGATAGACAGACAATGGATGAATGGATGAAAATGATAGAGAGAGAGAGACATACATACATGCATACATACATGGATGGATGAATGGATAGATGATAGATACGATAATGGATGGATAGATGAACAGAGGTGGATGGATGGATGGATTGGTAGATAGATAAATAGATGAATAGATAGGCAATAGATAAATCTCTATATCCTATTGATGGTGTTCCTCTGGAGAACCCAGACAAATATAATATGTATATATATGCATACATTATCTCTATCTATATCTTCTCCCCATATATCTATGTATCTATATTTATATAGATGTGCATATATATAGAGAGAAACACAGTAAAAGAAACCTGTAACAATAATGGCATAAACTTGGTTATGAGTCCCTACTCTACTGCTTCATTTTTGGTCCATTTTTACAACTTAGAAGCCAAATGCTTGCTTTTCAAAGACACATTTAAGATTCTTTTGCAATGATAATGGTATTTGTCAGTGTTCTTGGAGTTCATCACCTTTGCAACCTCCCTAATCTAAAATAGCACTGCCCTTCTCTGAGATGCAAGGTAAAATTTACAACCCTATGATCTCTCTAGAAACAAGACTTAGGTTCTCCCCATGGTTGCCTTCTCTACTACTGGTTTGATGCATGGAAACCTAGACTTCCAAATTCTCTTGAAAACCAAAGAGCTGACAGTCACGCACATGCCCATGTCATCATAATGAGCAGGGCTGTGCAGATCATCCTCTGCAGGCAGGGCAGGAGCACTTTAGGTTGCTACAGTCCCCGCCCCTCCCCAGTGTCTCTGCACCCCAAAGCTGAGTCGAGCTACTATTTCTCACCAAGACTGGTTGAAGACCGCCTGGCCCCAGGGGCATCTGCACTCTCCAGCCTTGCTCTATCCAGCTCACATCCAACCAGGATCTTTGGAGAAATCTTTCTTCAACACCTTGTCCTCCAACCCTTCTGCGCACATGACCTAGCCCAACTAGAGAGAAAGTTCCTTGACAGTAGGATAGTAATTATAGCCAAAGCAGGGAGAGTTGACATGTCCTGAGTCCATGTGGTGAGCTAAGCATTTCTACACTGACTGTACTTGATCCTACCAACCATCCAAGGTTAAGAATCTTTCCCAATATTGCTCAGCTGCTGACGGGCTGACCCAGGGTCTGAGACAAGTAGGTCTGAATCCAGATCACAGCTCATCAACCCATCTGCTATGCTCTACTGTCCTGTTGCACACCTCACAGCCTCAACCCCAGCATGCACAGGATGAAGTGTGCCTGTTTTTTGCTATTCCATAGAGCTCTCTCTTACAATGCCAGAATTGGAACTAGGAAAGCCTCTGTCGGCCTAGGGGCATCATGGCCAGGTTTGCGAGTTTTTTTCCTGCATTATCACGGAGAACATGGAAGAGGAAAGAGAACAGGTTTCAAAAATTTATATCCCAGCACAGTACATCTCTTCCAAGAGTCTAAGAGAAAAGAAATGAAGGTAGTAAAATGGAAAGTCAGATAAGGGGAATTAACAACTGCTACTGCCTTCCATTCATGTGCATCCATCCCCCTTCTCCCCTCCTCCCTCAGCAGTACCCAAGGTTGGCATCAGGATGGGAACTGAAGCTCAGAGAGAGGGATTAACTTGCCCAAAGCCACACAGCTAGTAAGTTATAGAACTGGGACTCAATACCAATAATCTTTGTGCCTGCCTCCCAAAACACTCCTCAAAGTCAGCTTTATGAATATTCTCTTTCAATCGGCCAGCCCAGAAGAGGTCCAAGGTAGGAACGTGGGGAGAAGATGAGAGAGTCAAGTTGGCTGGAGGTCACACCATGCTTGTCCCCTCTTGGAACTTTGTGTGGTCAGTACAGCCTTCCCCTGACTGTAACCAGAGCATTGCTGTGAGGTCCTCTTGGCCAAGAGAAAAGAACAGACAGGTGGGAAATGCTCATCCTGCAGGTGCTCCTTTCTCCAGGAGCTAATGTCAGCAAATTGGGGGCTGTGCAGATAATTCCCCCCTCAAATACTATGTCTTTGTTTCCTCTTCAAATGACTGTCCTTCCAAATACCTGTCCTTCCACCACTGTCCTTCCAGCTGCCTGGATTTCTACCCACTCATCCATCCATCCACAGACCCACCCACCCACCTACCCACTCATATATCTACCTAGCCATCATCAACCCATACATCCGTCTACCCATCCATCCATCCATCCATCCATCCATCCATCCATCCATCTATCCATCTCCATTTATCCATCTGTCCATCCACCCCACCCATCCACCCACCCACCTATCCACTGGTATGTCTACCTAGCCGTCATCCATCAATCCATTCACCCACCCATCCACCCATTCTCCAATCCATCCTCCTATCCATCTATCAATCTCCATCCATCCACCCATCCACTCACCCACCCACCCACCTATCCACTCATATATCTACCTAGCCATCATCAACCCATCCATCCATCTACCCATCCATTCGTCCATCCATCCATCTATCCATCTCCATTTATCCATCCGTCCATCTACCCATCCATCCATCCATCTATCCATCCCCATTTATCCATCCATCCATCCACCCACCCATCCCTCCACCCACCTATCCACTGGTATATCTACCTAGCCATCATCCGTCAATCCATTCACCCACCCATCCACCCATTCTCCAATCCATCCACCTATCCATCTATCAATCTCCATCCATCCATCCACTCACGCACCCACCCACCCACCTATCCACTCATATATCTACCTAGCAATCATCCATCAATCCATCCACCCATCTACCAATCAATCTATCCATCCATCCATCCATCCATCCACCCATCTACCTATCCACTCATATATCTACTTAGCCATCATCCATCATCCATTCATCCACCCACCCACCTGCCCATCCATCCATCCATCCATCCACCACCAACCCACCCATCCATCCACCCAGCACTTATGGAGACTCTACTGTGTATAAGGCATAGATAAGGGATGGATAACAAACTGGATACTGTCCCTGTCCTCACAAGGCTATGGCTTGGCCCATCCATCTAACATAGCTACAACTACTAAGAACCTAAATAGCAGTTAAATGACAGTGTTTCTAAGTACTACAAGAGCACTTTCAACATGCTAAGACAGCTTATACCAGTGAACCCCACCTGGTTGGTGGAAGGAGGGGTAGTGGTGCAGGTGTCAAGGAACTCAGGCAGCATTTAATAGTATGCACTGGGGCTAAGACCTTGGGGCCAGCAGCAAAACAGCCTGGATTCAGACCCTGGCCATGTAGTTTTCTATTCCCATACTTCCCTGAGCTTTAGTTTCCTCATGCTCAAAATGGGGATAATAATAATGGGAATCTCTTAGAGCTCTCATGAGGCTTCAGGAAGATAAAGTATGTAAAGAACTATGTGCTTGGCAGATAAAAGCAGTCCCTCAAGAAAAATGGTAGCCACCCTCATAGAACCACCACTGACCCTGTCTTCTAGCAACTTCTCAACGAGCAAAAAGAATGCAGCCACATCAACCACAATAGGGAATCAAGTTTTGCCAAAAGAATTACTCCTCCCTCCTCATTGTTTGTTGGTTTTTTTTTTTTTTTTAATGCTTTGTGTCTTTATTCTAGCATGTTGGTTGGTTAAGGATCATTTCATATTTGTTCACGTTAGGGTTGAGGGTAGGGACAGGAGTCAATGACAAGGTCATCCTATTTAAGGAGTGAATTCCCAGGAGAAATGCATCCATTATAGACATGAATTTCTATGGAGCATTTAATCTGTGGCATTTTTACCAGCTGTGAACTTGGATTTCATGTGAGCTAAGATGTTTTGGCCTGGCCAACTATGTAATCCCAAGAAAGGACAAACAGCAAGCATGGCTAGAGGTAAAACAAAGGTCACTAGAGGACACACTTACAGACTAGGCCACCTGCCCACACTGTGATTTCTTTAACCTACAGCAGAAAGGCCAGACCACAGGGCAACAGGGAAAAGGCATCTGCCAGAGACATCGCTCTAGCAGAGCTGGTCAGGAGAGCTGTGGAGAACCCTGAGGACTCAGAGGCTCCAGCTCCAGCTCCAGCAGCCCTGAGTCCTGCTTCTGAACACAGAACAGACCCCATACAGGAAACAAAGGTACTGCTCACCTTCAGACCCCATACAGGAAACAAAGCCACAAACCTGCAGAGGTGTGGCAAGCTGGGGCAGACAGCCCCACAGGGAGCCTGAGGAGCAGGTTGCTTTGGAAGCACGGCAATTTCCTTGCCTAGATCATTCTAAAATTCTCCTGGTCACCTTGGATCAGAGTCTGTGTTGGTGAGATAACAGCCTGTACCCATCGAGGGCTTTCAATAGGGCCCTTGGCAAGCAAAGTCTTCTTTGCTTATGATGTTACTGAATGTAGAAATACCTACACTGTAACACATTAACAGAATAAACAATAGCTAACTCTCAGGTAGCAACTATCTTCTAGACACTTTCTGTTTATCATCTTTGCTCTGTATTTTTCATCACTGTATTAATAATCATTGCTAATAGTACAGAAAACAGCCATCATTTATCAAGCATCAGTGAAGTATAGGAATTATGCCAGGGCCTTCATACACATCTCCATTTCTATTTACAACAACCTCAAGGTAAATATCCTGATATCCATTTGAGAGCTGGGGAAATTTAGGCTCTGAGAGGTCACATAACTTTGTCCAGAGCCTCACAGCCAGTAAGCAGAGCCCCGATCCAGACCAGGTCTTCCTGGCCATCTCCCACACCCCTTCCCCTCCCCATGCCTCCCATGGTGTGCTGACCAGGAGTGTGAGCTCAGGTGGCCACATGCTCTGTTCAAATCCAGACTATGTCCCTCATCCACCAGGACTTGAGAGAGTTCTCAGTTTCTTCACCTGTAAAATGGGGATAAATAGCACCCAGCTCCTCAGGTGGTTATGAATATTGAATGAGATAAAACCTGCAAAGCTCATAGTAGGCCCTCATTGAATCAAAGTGCTATCAAAGTCTGCTATCTGCGACCTGATCCATGCCCCCATTAAACTGTCCAAAGACTCAGGAACTGGCTTATAACCACTGGCCTCACCCAGAAACTAAAAGAAGCAAGAGAAATGACCAGAGATATTTCCAAGCAGTGACTTCTGGGAACATGTCTTTTTTAAAAAAATAAATACATAAAAGTGATGAAAATATAGACAAGCAATTTTTCGCCAGCAGATTGGCACAAGGAAGAAAGATGGGCAAGATCCAGCATTAGCTAATGTGAAGGAGCAGCAGCTTCTAACATTTTCTGTAGAAACATACATTGATCAAAGTCTCTTAGGAGGACCTCGTGGCCACTCTGGACAAACATGAAAAACACAGAAATACTTCACAGCAAGGACACTCATCACTGAGCAGCTTAAAACAGTCCCCAACTGTGTGCAGCCCGGAGACCTGCCCAGAGAGGCCACTGCACACCGAGCACCCTGCAGCCATTAATCAGGATAATATGAAGCTTTGTGTAGTCCCTGTCCCAGCAGAAAAGTGGGGGCACACCCCATGCAGACATTATGACTCCCCTCTTACGCGCCATACAAATATTTGAAAGTGACAGCAAATGTACTGCCCAAAATCCTTTATCTCTACAGCATGGGATTAAGACATCTTAACTTCCTTCTTCATGCTTGTGAATGTTTACCAAATAGTTCACACAAAAGAGTAAGTTCAATTTTTATATTTACAGATGCTTTGAATCAGCAAAAACATAATAAAAAGCAAGGAGCAGGCCGGGCACGATGGCACATGCCTGTAATCCCAGCACTTTGGGAGGCTGAGGCAGATGGATCACCTGAGGTCAGGAGTTCACGACCAGCCTGACTAACATGGTGAAACCCCGTCTCTAATAAATACAAAAAAATTAGCCGAGTGTGGTGGTGCACGCCCGTAATCCCAACTATTGGGATGCTGAGACAAAAGAATTGCTTGTACCTGGGAGGTGGAGGTTGCAGTGAGCCGAGATTGCGCCATTGCACTCCAGCCTGGGCAACAAGAGCAAAACTCTATCTCAAAAAAAAAAAAAAAGAAAGAAAGAAAGAAGGAAGGAAGGAAGGAAAGAAAGAAAGAGAAAGAAAGAAAGAAAGAAAGAAAGGAAAGAAAGAAAGAAAGAAAAAGAAAGAAAGAAAGAAAGAAAGAAAGAAAGAAAGAAAGAAAGAAAGAGAGAGAAAGAAAGAAAGAAAAAAGAACAGAAAAAGAAAATGCAAGGAGCAGCCTTCTCCCTTTCCTTTATTTCAGCCAAAGCCAGCACCCTCCACCCGGCACTCTCAGAAAGGATGCTAGAATGGAGGTGACTGGTTCTCTACTCTGAGCCGGTGTGGTGTCACTGCACTGCCCGATGTGGTTGCCATTAGCCACAGGTGGCTATTTAAATTTAAATCAATTACAGCTAAGTAAAATTTAAAAATTCCATTCTGAGGTTGCATGAGCCACATTTCGAGTGTTCAGCAACCATCTGCGGCCAGCGGCGCAATCCCGGGCGGCATGGCGCAGACCTAGACCATTTCCATCATCACAGGACGTTCTGCTGGATGGCGCTCACCTATAATGAGGCCTCTGAAAGGAGACCCGAGAAGATAAAAGCACAGGAGGCTGCCTTGAGGGCAGGGAGCAGCGATTCTTTTTCTATGAAGGGCCAGAGAGTAAACAGTTTAGACCGGGAAATTTTTCTGGGAAAATGCTCAATTCTGTTGCTGCGGTGTGAAAACAACCACAGGCATTTCATCAACAAAGGAGCAGCAGGCCAGGGTGAGGGCTTGCTCCTCCTCATTCCATGCTGTGATTAGATGACCATCACCACCGTTCACGGCCAACACTCCTAACCTGTTACTCTGTGCTGGACACCACATTAAGTGTTTTACCTGCATTTTCTCATTGAATCTTCACTGCAATGCAACCAGGTTAATACTACTAGTGTGCCCATTTTATGAAGGAGGGAACGGAGTTGGAGAGGTGATGTAACCAACCTAAGTGCAGAGGCTGGGATTCACACCCAGCTCCGCCTGATTTCAGAGGCTGCACTTGCAACCACAACACTTCGTCCCTCATGAGAATTAAAATATTGCCTTAAATATTTCCAGCCCCTAAAGCATTAAAATACTGCCTTATGTTACAAACCCTTCCAGGGCTCATAACATCTGAATCCATTATATCTATCTCCCAGGCAATAAGGTGAAGACCGAAAGCTGGGCGCTGAACAGTGACGGAGTAAGCAGAACATTAGTATTTAAACTGAGCAGAGGAATCGTGTAAAAATTAGACATTTCCCAGTAATGTTATACAGTTGAGTGGTTTGGGAGAAAATATTCTTTGGAAAAATCAAAATGATAATGAAGTTAGGAACCTATTAGTTAATCTGTTACAAAGTCTTTGGCTTTGTAAGAACCTCCTAAATAATTAATTGTGTTATCCATTAACCTCCGCCCTATTATACCACTCAAAGAACCAGAGTCCAGAGCCACAGGAGGTAATAAATTGTGGGCATGGGTGACTCATTATTAAAATTAAATATGTCATTAGCAGCTCCTGAGAATACCTTTTCCATGACTTACAGAGCCCTCCACAACACAAAAACCCAGGCAATATTAAAGTATCCAGGCAAGTGAGCTTCTATTTTCTTTTATTTCTTCTAAAAACAAAAACAAAAGAAAAGCGGGATACATATGCAGAACGTGCAGGTTTGTTACATAGGTATACATGTGCCATGGTGGCTTGCTGCACCTATTGACCTGTCCTCTAAGATCCCTCCCCTCACCCCCACCACTCAACAGGCCCTGGTGTGGGTTGTTCCCCTCTCTGTGACCATGTGTTCTCAATGTTCAACTCCCACTTATAAGTGAGAGCATGTGGTATTTGGTTTTCTGTTCCTGTGTTAGTTTGCTGAGGATGATGGCTTCCACCTTCATCCGTGTCCCCACAAAGGACATGATCTCATTCCTTTTTATGGCTGCATAGTATTCCATGGTGTATATGTACCACGTTTTCTTTATCCAATCTATCATTGATGGGCATTTGGGTTGTTTCCATGTCTTTGCTATTGTTAATAGTGCTGCAATAAACACACGTATGCATATGTCTTTATAGAATGATTTATATTTCAAAACCCTACTTTCACGAGAAAAGCCTAATCTCTAGCACACGCTGTGTCACTGGGAGTGTGACAGGTCCTCCCAGAAGCAGAGGCCATGGGTAGATGTCTCCTCTCATCTCCCCATCAACTCCCACACTCCTCTCCTTCCTGCCCCCGTGCACCCCAGGATCAAGGTGGGGGACGGAAGTGCAAAAGCAAGAGCACTGCAGGCCAGTCTTTCTCAGCACCCGGCAACCACCCTCCCGGGAAACACCATGATACTCCACTTTGAAGCAGCTTCAAGAGCTTTCAGTGAGGCAGAATCCCCAAAGAGTGATGGGAAGATCTCCCTGGGACTGGGCATGCACTTAAAGCAGGTGAGGGAGAGTGATGTGAGGGGAAGTAGGTGGGCATTTGCATTCCAGCCTGGGCACTTTCATGAGCCCTGTGATCTGGGCAAAGCCATTTCCTTCCTCTAAGTCCCTGTAATAATCAGAAATGGCAGAAGCCCAATCAAAGCTGCTGAAGCCTGAAAGGGAGGAAGTGTTTAACTGAGAAGCCCGGGGGTGCGCCAGCTTCACACACGCTGGATCCAGGGATGCAAATAATGCCATCGGGAAATCAACCTTCAAAATTGTCTTTGCTCAGCTTTCCTTTGGGCTAGTTCCATTCTCAGGCTCCAGCTGGGTTGGGGAAAATGGCCACCAGCACTCCAAGCCCACAGCCGACCAGCTCTGTGACTTCTTGTGGAGGGAAAACAACTCTTTCCAAGCGCTTCAACTGAAGTCCTAGAACAGATTCTCATTCGTGAAGCCTGAGTCATGAGCCCATCTGAGAACCAATTACCAGGGGCAGAGACTGTGCAGGATGATGGTCAATTCCACGTGGACAGAGACGGAGGAGGTGCACCTTTTCCCAGCCAGACGCAAGGGGACTGAGGAACAGGAGTGGGCTACTAGGACCTCCCCTAGCTTTGGTGCTCAACCCCAGCACATCCCAGGATGTGAGCATCTCAGGAACCTGGAGCAGTGGTAGAACACAGTCAGCACTGCCATGGCTCATCATGGCCTATGAAGGGCATGTGGTAGCATTAGACGAGAGGCCGCCAGCCACAGCCCAGATGATACAGTCCCCACACGTCCCGTACACCACAAGGTGAGGACGATAGGGAGGCAGGTTCAGAAGCAGGGACACTCCAGGTCAGTGTTTGCTCAGGCCCTGGCAACCTCTCTCCTGGGAAAGGACAGAGGCTACCACAGGCCGGGGCCAGATGCCACTCTACAGGGGCTTCTGGGAACACAGACCTCAGCTCTGAGGACCACAGGCATTCCCGTTCATACAGCCGCAGCCCCCAAGCCTCAGCCCAGTCATCCATGCCAGCCTGGGGTGATGTTTCCCAAGTCCTTTGAAAAATGAGGACAATGCAGTGAGGTGTTTTGGGGGCTGGCTCTGTGTCCTTGAAAAGACTGTCTTCTGTTGGAGTATATGGCCTTCCTGACTCTTTGGATTTGAAATTCCATTTCTTTTGGGAAATACTGGTGTTAATAGTGTTATTATTATACTGTTGTGAAACCAAGGATGTTCGGGTTTTTCTTCATTGTTGTTTTTAAACATCCCTAGTTGACCAAAATATAAAAGTTGGCAACTCCTGCCCACCCCTCCTGCCTCTGTCAAGGCCCCTGTAAACTGGACCAAGACAAAGTCCTACCTCTCTCCTCCCTCCATAGCTACCCAAAAACTGTCACTGCAAACAAACCTCCCTCCCCTGTCCCTGCAGAAAGGCAGGCACTAAGTGTTTGCTGTTGCTGGGGGCTAGGGGACAGAAGAGCGGGGCATCTGAGGAGCAGCATCCCCCAGGAGCTCATTAAAAATGCAGAGTTTCAGGCCCTACCCAAGCGTCAGAATCCACATTTTAACCAGACTCCCAGTGACATGTATGCACATAGAAGTTTCAGAGGCACCGGACCAGACTTTATCCAAGGACCTTGCCTTGATAATTATGGCAACCAAGGGCCCCTAAGATGGGCATCTGACCCTGACTTTTAGCCTCTGGGCATTCTTCCCTGAGCATGGCTTCTCTCCCAGTATGGGAGGTCTATGCCTCTTTCAGCCCTGCTCAACGCACACTTTAACTTCCATTCCACAATGACAGCTAACAGCCATGAAGCTAGCTCCACATGCCAGCATCCCTGGTGGTGGTCACTTCAACTCCAGAAACCCCACAGACCCACCCCTTCTTCATGAACGTTTTACCAAATCCCTCCAACCACCCCTGTCTACCCATCAGGTGTAACTTTCCTCCTCGAATCCCCTAGAACACCGAGAATCCTAGAGCTTCCTTGATAAGCCTAAGAACCCTCTGCCCCTGAGTCAACATTTCTCATGTCCCCCTCCCCACTTCGACAGTACAAGCTCCTTGAGGGTGGCCGGGACTGGACCCTGCCTCTGTGAAGGGACCCCCACCCAGTGGCACTTCCTCTAGATGGTGCCAGGTAACCGCCCACCCCAGTGGTACTTCCTCTAGATGGTGCTGGGTAACTGCACCACCCGGTGTCTCCCCAACTTCACTCACACGTCACCACTCTTATGGATGTTGCTCTAATAGAACCACTTGGTCTAAAATGAATATAATGTTTTCTTAAGAAAGTTTAAAATGAAAACTTGACGTCTACTTTAATGGAAATGCAATATTTTTCTAATGAAAAATTAAACAGGCTGGGAACGGTGGCTCAAGCCTGTAATCCCAGCACTTTGGGAGGCCTAGGCGGGCGGATCACCTGAGGTTAGGAGTTTAAGACCAGCCTAGCCAACAGGGTGAAACCCTGTCTCTACTAAAAATATAAAAATTAGCCAGGTGTGGTGGTGGGCACCTGTAATCCCAGCTACTCGGGAGGCTGAGGCAGGAGAATCACTTGAACCTGGGAGGCAGAGGTTGCAGTGAGCCAAGACCATACCACTGCACTCCAGCCTGGGGGACAGAGTGAGACTCCATCTCAAAAAAAAGAAAAAAGAAAAATTAAACAGACATATACCTGATATGAACGTTCTTTATAAAATTAATAGTTCATTTACCACCTAAAATCATCTCACACATTGCCAGGAAATCAGTGTCATGATTGACACTAATCAGTTGACTGGAAAGTGGCAACCACCAGGACACACTTGCCCGTGGGCTGGGCTTTAGGACCTGGCCCTATATTCATGCATTCTGCAGGAAAGTTTCTTCTTTCCTTTGGCTGCATGGAACCCCCTTGGCTGCCTAGAACCCCTGGTCTACAGCCACACCCACGGGTGTCATTTAATGCCATCACGGGGAGTTGGGTGCTTCCTTCTAGTGACTTGCCATCAGTCAGTGGGAAGACGGAAGGCCACAGTGGCTGTCTTGACAAGCACGACACTCATTCGGTGCCACCCACTGCAACTGTATTGAGGACAATTGTGAGATTAAGAGAATTTTATTTCATGAGCACTAAGCTCCAATTCCAGAGAGGCAACCGTGTTTATTCCGCTCCATTGTCTGATAAGGAGCAGAAGATGGAAGCCTCCAGATCTTCTGGGGACAGGCATGGAGCTCATACCCTGGAAGGGCAGGATGATCATGTGAAGAGAACCAGGGAGAAGGCGGCCACTCACAGCCACAGAGAGAGTCCTGGGACGGGTCCTGCCCTCACAGCCCTCAGAAGGAACCCGCCCTGCTGGCACCTTGATCTCAGACCTCCAGCCTCCAGCACTGCGAGAGAGTAGGTTTCTGCTGTGGAATCCCCCAGTCTGCAGCACATGCTAGGGCAGCCACAGGAGATGAGCTCAGCCAGAACAGCGGAGGGAGAAGGGGAAGGCTGGGCCTTCTCAGGCAGCCAGGGCCTTCCTGGGAAGAAGGGAGGTGGGGTAAAGGCTTGAGCCTCCACAGGCACCAGAGAAGCAGAGGCCTGGGGGCCAGGAGGAGGCTGCCCCTGCCACTGGAGCATGGTGGGGGCACAACGTAGAGAAAAGGAAGCAGGTGGGCATCCAGTCAGCATCCACACACGTCGCCCATGCCACTTCAGGAGCCAAGGGGCCTGGCGCCTCATTATTTAAAAGTCAAGTCTCACCTGGTTGTCGTGAAGCTATAGGTGTGATAAAATTTCATTCAATTATTCACTGAAAAAACAGCAAAAGTGCTTGCAAAACCTGGTGGAATTCGCTAAGGCCTCTGGTTTAGTTGGTTTAGTTAACCTCACTGTACCAATGTCCACCTCCTGGTGCCAACCAGTGAACCATGGAAAGGTGGATGCTGTCATTGAGGGAAGCTCTGCAACCCCCACGTGAGTCTAAAATTATTTCAAAAAAGTTTAGAAAGTGTGAACAATTGTATTAAAAACAAACAAAAAACAAGATCTAACCTCCGTGGCTCTTCCCAGCGCAGGGCTGTGGCTTCTCAGTCCTCTTCCCAGCCTTCCAGGGTCCCACAAATCCATCCTTCTCTGGCCCACCTAGTAGGTACTATGGGGAATCTTCCAGAGCACAGGCAACAGGGGAGGTCTTGAGACCAACCAGGAGTCAGGAGAATGAACTGATCCTCTCCCGTACTTTTTGTTTCTTTGTGTTTTTGTGAATTTTGTCAAACAGAACTCGGGGAGAGAACAGGGCTCGCCTCTCTCCCTGGGAGCCAGGAGCCAGAAATGCCTGCACGTGGCCCCATGCACGGCTGCACTCCGAGGGCCAAAGCCTCCATTCACGTGCAGGCTGCGGGGACAGTGCAGTGCTTGCTCTCTGTGAAATGCCCGATTTCAGCCTGCAGCCATCGCTAGCTTGCACAGCATCCCTGGCCTGCCTCAATGGCAACCCTTGTCCCCGAGAAGCACAAAGCCGCCTCTGCTCGGGAGCCAGGGCTGCAGCTGGGGGGCGTCTCCACCCCATGACTGGGCCCATTCTTCCCCAGCACACAGGCGACCCTGCCAGGGAACACGCATGGCTCGGAGCTCCCAAGTACTCTCTCCTGGCAAGTGAGGAGTGTAAATAAATCTTGGGAGGAGGACATGAGAGAGAAACACAGTCCCTGGAGGACAGCATTCTGGAGTGGCCACATGAGTTGGAAACTTCCATGCCGAAGCCTTAAGAGGTTGGTGAGTTTCCTGTCACTGAAGGCATTTGAGCAGGGACGAGAATTTTCCTGGGCAGGGATGGGCTAAGGAGGGGGCAGAAGGAAGCAAGCACTGCCTGGATAGATGGATGGATGGATGGACAGAGAGAGAGACGATAGATACACAGATTGATAGATAATGGTAGATGATCGATTAGCAGATGGATGACAGATTATAGATATATTGAAAAATAGATTATAGATATATTGATACATAAATAAAAATAGATAAATGATTGATGACTAGATGCTAGAATATACATATATTTATAGATGATAGATATATTGAGAGATAAATAAAAAAGAGAGATAAATGATAAATAGATGGATGATAGATACATACATAGATACACAGACGCTTCCTAAGCAGGAGGGCACAACTGAATCACAGATGCAGGTGGGCACCTGACCTAATCAGTGTTGTCCAGTCCCAGATATCTCTATCCAACCACACACCTCTCCCTAACTCCAGGTACAATTTCCACCTGGGGATCTGATAGGTCTCTCAAACAGAACCTGTCCACAGCTGAACAGAGCATTGATTTGCCCAACCCCCATCCTGCTCATCTCAATGGTTCCTCCCCATTGCCGCCAGAACCTCTCCATCCTTCCAGCTGCTCAGGCTGGAACGCTTGGAGTCATCCAGGACTCTTCTGTCTCATCCCAGCCATCTGATCCCTCTCACACCACATCTAGCTCTACCACCATCTTAATTGGATTCTCCTAAAAGCAGAGCTGCAGGCGGGCTTAGGTGAAGGTAGCTTATTTGGGAGGTATCTCAGGAAGCAGAAGCAAGGGAGCAATGAGAGTGAGGGAGGGAGGAAGGGCAAACCCACACACGTGCATTTCCAGGGTCACAGCTGTAGGCAGCAAGGTTGCATTCTCTGAAAGCTCCAAGAAGCACCCACCTAAAGGATGCATGCCTGGGATGTTTACTCCCATTTCGTCAGCTGAGGATTGTCCTTCAGACATTAGCTCCCCTCATGTCCTGGCTGCACTTTGATGCTTGGGAGAATATCCACAGCACTGGGCTCATGGCTGTGCTGTGCTGGAAAGTGTTTGGGTGGTATAAGGGAGCTGATATGTACATTTGCCAATTGCCATGGTGTAAATACTTCCCACTGCAGCCAGCTTGCAGCATTCCTGAAAGTGTAGCCACCTGCTCCAATACAGCGCTCATCACCCAACATGCTGGTTGATTGAAGCCACAGCTGAAGACCAAGGCAGAGCTGGTCCAAGGAATTGTGATGCAGGCACAAAGAACATCTGCTGTGAACAACCTGCTCCAAACCACCAGCATCTCTGACTAAATGACCTTCGAATCCTCCAGCACAATCTCATCTCACTCTGCAGCCATTCAAATCTTCAACGGGCAGCTCTGAAAATAAAGCCCAAGTCTTCCCCCAGGCCTCGGCACCTCCCTGGGATCCTCCCCTGGCCACCTCTTGGCATTGTGGGCATCAAAAACTTGCCCCTTTCCATCACTCACTCAGCCTCACTGGTCTCCTTGTTCCTACCACACCCAAGCACATGCCTGCTGCAGGGCCATTGCACCTGCTGTTCCTGCTGCCCTAGTGCTCTTCTCGAGGGTAGTCACATGACCAGCTCCCTCACTTTGCCTGGTCTCTGCACAGATGCCCTGCTCTGAGGTCCTCTCTGACCATCTATCACAGACAGTTGGGCTCTCCTCCCTGCCAGTCTCATTCCTCCAGCCTCACTTTATCATCACTCCAGGCATCTATAACCACCTAGAGTCCCATCATACATCTATTTCTATGCTGTCTGTTTCCCCTCATCCCACGAGACTACTCATTCCATGAAGGCAGAGACATGAGTCGTCACTGCAACCTGCCATATATAGCTATATGCATACTCAAAAAACGGTGACAGGCTTAAAACAGGTGTCCAGTAAATATTTGTTGAATGGCTGACGACCATGAATTCTGGAGGGAGAGTTCAGAATGGTTTCATTTTTAAATTCCCTGCAGAGGATTGCAAATAATATTTCTGGCTCTGAACACCTGGGTCAGACCCCCTCTAAAGTTTGGTCCAGCCCTGGTACCCCAAGATGGGCTGGCCTCTCCCCAGCACAATAGAAGCACTAAGATCTCTTGCAGCACAGAAATCTCCACGTCCCTCACCACAAACCCTGAGGTATTCGGTCACAGATACAAGCGGTGCACCCTCCAAATGCCACCCAGATCTAGAACCAGCCAGAAACGAACAGAGAAGCCTCATCTCAAAGTCAGCCCCTGCCCAGGAGCTCTCAGCCAAGAACCCCAGCGTAACAAGGGTGAGAAACAGCCCCGGGCTGTCACGCAAGACAGAGACGGTGCATGCAGAGGAAAAGCCTGCATGCCTCCGCAGGGAGGATGTGCCCACTCTGACATTGGGGTGAGAGGAGGAAAACTGGGCTCAGAGGGGGAAAGCTGGGCTCAGATGGGCAATGGGAGTTGGGCAAATCCCTAAGCAAGAGAAGAAACCAAAGGCGGCCAGGGAGACATCAGCATGTTCCTCCTGCACAGCCATGACATCCTACAAATGATATCTCTTAATTTTAACATCAGCTTTGGGAGAGGGCCATGAATAGATTTCTAAATATATTCCAGAGCAGAATTAAGTGGGATCTTCCAGTTTCTGAAAGTGACTTGCGGAGAGTGCATCAGATGGGATGAGAACATGACATCAGCCACACAGGCAGCCGTACTGGGCAGCTGCCTGCCGGGCAAACCCCGTGCCCACAGAGACCATTCTCAACCACTCCTCCCAACCACACCAGTTCCACGCACCTTCTCTAACAGGAATGGGGCCTGCCTCAGGGTCAACTGAGGCCTCTAGCTATCAGATTCCAGAGAGATCTCTGCAGACCCTGGCTCTAGGCAGAATTTACAAAGAAAACAAATGAGAATCTATTTCCATGACTCAAGATGCCCCGCAAGCAGAAGAGGAATTTAAAAAGAAGTTCTGGATTGAAGGACATTCTACAGAACACCCTACAGGTGCTCCTCAAAACTGCTAAGGTCACTAAGAACAAGCAAAGTCAGAAAAGGCGTCACAGCAAGACAGCCTGAAGGTACATGATGTCCAGATGTCATGCGGGATCTGGATGGCATCCTGGGATGGAAAAAGGGCATTAGAAAAATACTAAGGATGTTGGAATAAAGTATGAACTTGAGTTAATAATAATGTTTCAAGAGTGGTTCATTAGTGATACAAATCTACTATAAGAGTGAAAGGGAACCAGGGTGCAGGTTTACATAAAGTCTTTGTACTAGCTTCACAATTTTTCTGTAAAATTTAAATTAACATCACAAGTTTTTTTTTAAGTCTTCTTTCCATCAGACTGAGTTAGGGGGCTCCAGCAGGTCAGCTCCAGCCCCTGTAATATGTTCCTTGGGTAGGCCCAGAGAATGGTACCCGAGTTGCCAGAGACCACTCCGGTAGGGACTGAGGTGGCTGCGCTGGACCAGCCTGCACACCCGGCTGCCAGGAGGTGTCTCCTGCAGGCTACACAGGAGCAGCATGGGAGGGAGACCAGGCCAGAGATGTTTCTAGTCTCCAGAGCAGGGTGTCCTCAGATCAGCAGCATCAGCGGCACCTGAGATCTTGCTAAAAATGCATGTTCATACTGGCTTCATGGCAGATGCGTCAAGTCAGGAGCTCTGGGAAGGGACCCAGCATGCTGCATAGACAAGACCCCCGGCGAGTCTCATATACCCTAAAGCTTGAGACTCCTGCTCTAGAAGATCACCCAGGAGGACAGAGACCCCAACAGGGAGCAGGTGTGGAGCAGTCCACCAGTGGATCAGGGGCTGTAGGATGCAGCCACGGAGGGGTTGGTGCATGCTGTACTTGGCTTGAAAGATGACCTGGGGATCAAAATATCCAAACACCCATGAGAGCACCAAAAGAGGGGCAATTTTCACCAACTTCCAGGCTCACATCGAAGAAAGCCACCCTCTAGAGACACTGCCCCAGCCATTTCCCACTCTTATGTCCCCACCCTCCAAATCGAGAGGCGACACACCAGCAGCTCCCAACCACTCTCCCCCACTTCTCCTGCCAGCAGGTCCATTTCCTCTCTTGGGAAACCAAAACAGGACACCTTCTCTACACAACGCCCATGGGCACCAAAGCAGAAGTGGGGTGACCTTTCCGAGTCCCAGATCAGTGGGTCACCCTCTGCTCCATAAGTGTCAGCAGGTCTCCATCACTCCATAGGATACAGACAAAAACCCTCAACCTGGTCTTCCCTGTCCCGCGTGGCAGGCCCAAGCCACCTCCCCATCCCCACGCACCAGCCGTTCAGCCCATGCTCACACGGTGCCCCTCCCACCACATGGCCACCACATCCGCTGTTCCTCTGCCAGGGACAGTGGTCACCATCCCCACCCCACCTTCATCTGGTCCATTCCCACGTATCCTTCAAACTTCATATCTACATCCCACAGATGCAGTTTTAAGAGGGAAAAGCCAGGCACAGAACAGGGGCTAGCGTGTTTCCCTTCATATTACAAACAAACGAAGAAGAAAAGAATGCATAGAAATTTCCTGAGAGCGTACACAAGAAAGCCATCAGCAGCTGTCGTGGGACGAGAGACGGGTGCACAGCCAGAGAGACCTGGTTTTCACTAATGAAAAAGACAGTCGATGTTTGTTGAATACATACATGTAACAGGAATGTGACAGATCATATCATTTAACCCCCACAACAGCTGCATGGTGCGTACAATACTATAGTTCCCATTTTATAGATGAGGAAACTGAGGCCAAAGAGGAGAAGCAGACAGCTGGAAGGTCATAACACGGGCTGGACCAAGCCTGATCCATGCGGAGCCGACATACCTGCCCCACCCCATCCTGTCTCCAGCCGCCCTGGAATTTTTCAACATGCGCGCGTTCTACTTTTCCAGTTTTAAAAAGCCTGTTGAGTTTTTTTCAATAATGCTCCTGCCTCCCACAAAAAAACATTTATTTTCCCTTCCCTGCCTATATTTCCAAGGGGTGGGGGAGTGTTTTTGAAAGCTATACATCATACAGGAACCATGGTTCTGAGTGTTTGCTGAAGATTTGGGTTTTTTTTTTTTTTTTTTTTGGTTAAAGCTGCTGTAAAATTAGAATCCTTGTAGAAGCCCTCCTTGAAATACATTTCACAATGGGATTACATATTAGCCCAGGGGTTTTGCTCCAACAGGATAAGCCCAGACACTCTGGATAGCAGTTCACAGCTTTCAAGCAGGATGTGCATCTCCTGGTGGGTGCCAGGAATCATCAGTCCTGGCCAGAGCCGGCTCCCCCAGCAGCCCAGGACAGATGGACAGATGGGAGCTGGTGCCCGGCTCAGGTCCCGAGGCATCTCTAACCCCTGGTCTCCCTCATTCCCAGTGTGGAGCTGAAGGGTCAAGAGACACACACGGCCTCTCTGTGTGCAGCGAGGTGCCGGGGCAGTCTCTGGGCCTCCCTAGCAAACAGGGAGCACCCCTCGCAGCAGGCACACGGCAGCCTCCTCCTGAGATAGTGTCCATCGCAAACCAGGAGATGGCTGCTGTGTCAGCAGGGCCAGCACTTTCTATTCTACTAACTGACATGAACAGAGCATTTACCAGTAGGTAAATTACAGTTATGTCACTGTAATGTTAAAATCCTGCAAAGGTCACGTGCCTCATCTGGAACTCATACCCACCCCAGGAGTAGGAACTAGCATTGCCCCCAGTTTATAGAGGAGGACCTTAAAGCATGGCCTGATGAAGGGACTGACAGAGGTTGGCCAGGCACAGTCAGTACGGCTGAGGCTGAAGCCTGACCCAAAGGCCAGCTTCCAGGCACCCAGCTCCAGCTCCCTGCAGGAGGGATGCACCATGGCCTTGACCCTGAGTCCCTTTCAGCCTTTCAAAAAAATGAGGGGAAGTTATGTCACAAAAAAAAAAAAATCAGGGGAAGTACCCACACGTGCACACCTGCACACACAAACACATACTTGTACATGCACATACACACACATATATATATGCACAAACACACAGGCATACACACGCAATGACTCATTCTCCCAATGACTTTCGACAAAAATAAGCAGAAAAAGCTGTAGTGAAGGTTATTGCCTAAAAGACAGATGGCAAAGTTGACCTTAAAAGATCTGCTTGTGAGTCTCAGAGGCTGTGCCTTCTCCCAGGAGCTGCCTCTTGTCTCTGGGAAGAAAGGAGGGGAGTGGGTAGGGAAGAGGAAAGACAAATTAAGTGCCATGTGATTCTGTAGAGGTGACCTCCCTTCCTTTGTCCTCTGCACCCCCAAACTCTTTTCCAGCTTGGCACACAGTATGTGGTGGACGTGGCTCACCATGCCCCACACCTCCCCAGGGGCCAGTGGCCTGTGCTCCCTGTCACTTTTGTACAGCTCCTTCAGGGAAGGCCACTGAGGCAGGCAGGAAGTCTAGACTGCCACTGCCAGCCAGTGCCTGCCTGGGAAAGGCCACTGTGGGAAATCTACAAAGGATTCTGGGCCATCCACGAGGGCAAGAAAGACAGGAAGGAGGCAAAGATCTTATCATGGACCAGAAATATGCCTGAACCCCAGAAGAAAGAGAGAAACGGGGCATGTTACATGTGCCAAGACCATGCTCCCAGCCCTGACACTGTGGACAGTCCCCAAGATGTGCCAGGCTGACATGGGCTGCCCAGCATGGCCCCACCTAATCCCTGTGTGGGGTCCGACTCATAGGTCCTTCCACAGGGCAAGAGCAGGAGTCTGGGCAAGCCCCAACTCTGCCACCTGCTCCCTGGGGAACCCGGCTACATCAGTCTATGTGCACTGGGGTGCTCACCTACAAATAACCTACCTGCACAGGGGTCTGCAAGGATGAGGCGGAAGCAGGCATGGGAGCCCACAGCCCCTGAGAGCACCTTCCCAAATCCTGCACAGCAAGCACCTCAGCAGAGGCGAGGCCCTGGGGGCCTGGAGCGTCTTATGCTGCCAGAAAGCAAGAAAGAGCTCAGACAATGATGGGAGCACTCCACTGGCACAGACACCGACTCGAAGGAGCTCCCAGTGGCCACGTCTGGGACAGTTCCAGCAACAAGAAGATGACAGCAGTGGACTCTACTCCACAGGATAAACATACATGCAGGCGTCCACACTAGTGTAAGTAAACAGGTGAATAAATACATGGGAGCGTGGGGGAAGCTTTCCCTTATTAGTGAGTAATGGAACTCACTAATACATTTAAGAGAAATGACGGAAAGACAGCCACCCCTGAACACGCACCATGGTGACAACTGGCAGGCGAGGATTCCCAGGGTGGGAAAGGGTGTGATGAGAAACGATGTCTGACAGTCTCAAGGTTTCCCACAAAACGCTGACGAATTACAAAGAGGAAGAAAGTGTTAACTTTAGAGCAGAGGCACCTGGCTGAGCAACCACAGTCAACATCACCAGGATTGGTCCAACTGACCTAGGGATCTCCAGCGACATCGCTTATGGGGGATTTGTGCCAAAAACGCATATACTCGATTTAAAAAGAAGGAAACATCAGACAACCCCTCATTTAGGGACAGTCTACAAAATAACTGAAAGCACTCTTCAAAGGCATCAGGCTATGAAGACACTAAGGAACTGTTCCACATTGGCGGACGCTAAGGAGACATGCTGGCCGCGTGCCACGTGGGATCCTGGGTGGATCACAGGATAGAAAAGCATGTTAGCAGAAAAATGGACTCAATTCAGATAAGGTTGGTAGATGAGTTAATTGTATTGTACCAAAGCTAATTTCTTCTTTTTGATGACTTACTGTAGTTAAGTGGGATGTTATTTGGGGAATATAGGTGAAAGGTACGCAGGAGTTATTTTTTTACTATTTTGTGACATTTTTAGATGTCTAAAATATTTCAAAGCGAAAAGTTTAAAAATGCTCTAAAGGAAATTAGAAATACACATAAAAAGGAGTGGCTATGGGGCCAGCTTGAGAGTCACACTAGTAAAGCCACCAGTAACCATGGAAACACACCGGGTTTAGGGTGAGTGTGAGAAGCCAGGGAGGGCCTCGGAGGGGCACCCCTCCAGGTCCTGTGTGCCAACAGGGAGGGTGAAAACAGTCACAAGGGCCCTGACACTTTCACAGCTGGCACAGCCTCCAGGCCACTCCTCCTGCGGCCTCAGGACAATGCCATGACCAGCCCATTTCGCAGATCAGGAAACCGAGGCAGCACACAGCAGGAGCATCAGAGTCTGGCCACACAGCTTTGCTTCTCAGCTCCGCCAGGGTAGCCAGGTGACCAGGACGATCCCTTCACCTCTCTGAACCTGAGGCTTTCCCCTGTAATATGGAAGCAATAAACTTCCCTCCCCGTATTAGTTTTCTATTGCTGCATAACACAAAACCATAAGCTTACTGGCTTCAAATAACACCCACTTATTAGCTCCTAGTTCCGTAAGTCAGAAGTCAGGACATGGCAGGACTGGGTCCTCTGCTTGGGGTCTCAAAGGCTGAAATCGGTGTGTCAGCCCAGGTGCCTTCTCATCTGCTCGGGGTCCGAAAGGCTGAAATCAGTGTAGCAGTGGGGTGCCTTCTCATCTTCCCTCAAGGGGAAACTCTACTTCCGTGCTCACTCAGGGTGTTAGCAAGAGTCAGATCCCTGCAGCTATGGCACTAAGATCCCTATCTCTCTGTTGACCATCAGCAGGGGCCACTCTCAGCTCCTAGAGGTCACTCACATTCCCTTCCACATAGTCCCCTCCATCTTCAAACCAGCATCCCCCGCTTCCATCCTGTGCTTCCAGTCTCAATCTCCAGGAAGAATTTTGTCCCCTTTAGGGCTTCCCTGATTAGGGCAGGGCCACCAAGGCTTATACTTTCTTAAAGTCTCCTGTGCATATAAGATAGCCTAGGCATGCAGGCGAAACCTGTCACAGTCACTGGTTCCTGCCACACTCAGGGGAGGGGGCTATACAGGATATGGGTCATGGAGGGTCTTCATATAGCAATTCTCCCTTCCACATTTGCTCACAGTAGGAAAAGCACACAGGAGGTAGTGAGCATCCACCCCTGCCAGCATCCCTGCTCCACTGTGCCAGGAAAAGAACCTTTGCCCACGGAATCCACGTCCAACTCCCATTTTCCAGCTTCTCATGTATAAAGAAGAAAACACAGTCCATCCTAGGGCACCCCAGGCAATCTCTCCGAGTATCCTGCACTGCCCCAGACTCTCTCTAAACAGTTCCAGGCTCTCAGCCCTGCTCAGGGTGAGACAGCACCTCTCAGGCTCTCGGCCCTGCTCAGGGTGAGACAGCACCTCTCAGGCTCTCGGCCCTGCTCAGGGTGAGACAGCACCTCTCAGGCTCTCGGCCCTGCTCAGGGTGAGACAGCACCTCTTGCACAGCCTTCAGGGCTCCTGCATGAGGATCCTGGGAGGAGCCTTTGGCTGCACCATGGGGTGCCCAGACACCACGTAGGTGCCTCATGGCACATACCCTTCCCTTCCCTCTCCTGCCCTTCCCTTCCAAGCTGAGATTGAGCCTCCTCTCCTGCACAGATCTTCCTCCGGGCAATGTAGTCCCAGCCCCTTTTCTGAATGAGCTCTGCAAACCCCAGCCCAGGCCCCACCATCTGTGGCTGCCACACCCTCTTCCCTGGTCTCACTCTGCTGCCTTCCTGGGACCCATTTCCACCCGGGGTGGCCAGCCAGAGTGACGGCTTGGAAATGTGCCCGATCACACTGTCTCTTGGTCTCTGTCACACACACTCACGCACACACACACTCACATCCCTCTCTTCAGACATCCCATGGTTCCCTCATGGCAGACAAGCTCCTCCCCAGTCCAGGAGGCCCCAACCGTCTGGCTCCCAGCTCCCCTGCAGCCCCATCCCGCCATACTCCTGCTTCTCTCTTGCCTCTGGCTCCAGCCGAAGCTGCCCCCACCACCTGGCCTTTGCACTGCCAATCTCTCGGCCTAGCATACCTTTCCCTTTCCTGCTGGGCTAGTTAATTCGAAGCCACCTTTTGGCTCTAACTCAAGTGCCCTCCCCTGGACCCTTCCCTCAGATCCCCAGATATGCCAACCCCTCCACAAGCCCGCAGGGCTCCAGGGCAGCCTCCCCACAGCTGGATGGGGCATTCGCCTATGAGCTGATGTGATCCAAGCCCATCACTCACCAGACGATCTACCACGAGGATGAGGCAACAGGTCGGTTTGCTGCGCTATTCCCCAAGCCCAGCCTCACCCCTGACATTATCATAGGCACTAAATTTGCTGGAAGGGAAGGAGAAAGAAGAAGGACAGAGGGAGGGATGGAAGGAGGGACGAAGGGAGAAATGACACGTGCCGTGAGCTATGCCTCTTTTTTCTACTCAGACTCTCAATTGTGGACAGAAGCCGCTTAATTCTCCTTCCACACCTAGCACAGGCACCCAGAATGTCAGCCCCACGAAATGTTAGCTGAGCCCCTGGGTGCTAAAGTGAACAACTTCCACCTCCTCCTTGCTAAAGATTTCACCAGGCAAGATGCAAACATCAGTTCAACAAAACAGAAAAAAAAAAATGACTGGAATCCCTCTTTTCCTATAAGAAAATAGCTGCTCTACACTAATATCCTCTGGAATAAATTGTTATTAGTTAATTTTTTAACACCACACAGAGACCAATCATTAACAAATGTGTGGGCTCACTTTCAGTGATGTATATTCCTGAGAACTCACACTCGGGCTCCTGCCCACTGGCTTGCTCATTTGCTCCAGGAATTTCCAACAGGGTGAGACTATTTAACCTGAAGCCATCATGGAACTCTTTGTTTATTGTTGTTTTTTTTGGGTTTTTCTCCCTCGATTTTAATTTTTTTATGGGAACATGGGAATAGGTATGAGGAGGGGTGCTAGACGTCACTATCACGTACCCAAGAGTCAATCAATATTTACCATGCACCTACTATGAGCATAGCTCTATTCTACAGACCAGGATGGAGCTGGAACAACACAAATCCCTAAAGAAAAAGGATGCAAATATACTCCCCAAGTAGAAAAGGGCTGGAAAAATATTACAGGAAAATAATCACATTAAAATGTCAACACTGTTTGAAGTAATGATCTTAAGGAAAAGGCAGGCTGTATTAGACTCCCAACGGGGAAGCGAGCGGGGAAAGCCAGCCCAGGTGAATGAGAGTGCAGGCAACGCTCTGAGCTTACCCCACATGGCATGGTATTAAATGTGCTCCAAAACTCACCCTTCCCATTAAAAAAAAATGAGCTAAATTATAAATTCTCCCTAAATCTTTTGTTATTTCACATCAAAGCAGAACCAGCTACTTGCAAGGATTAGGGGAAAGAACTAACCAAAGCAAACAGCTAGTGCTCCCTTAGCTCAGTGTCTACATGCAGTTTCCTTCCTGAGCCCAGAGGCAACCCTAAGGAACCCAGGGGCTGGTGGTCAGCTCAGCGCAGCCACAGCCTCACGTCCCAGCTGGAATGAGACTCAGCCTCTGACCCTGGGTCTTTTACCCAACTCAGTATTCTGACTGCCTCAAGCCAGCTCCCCCACTAGGAAATCAGGGGGCAACGCCTTGAGCGGAGCTTCCCGGTGCATGCCAGCAGTCTCCTGAACCAGCTCCAGGGCAGTACAGGGTGAAGGGAGGAAGTTCTAGAGGGATGCCTGATTTCACCCAGCAGCTCAGACCAGGAAAGCCCTCCCTCCTGCATCTTGAGGCCCAAAGGAAGACAAGGGCATCTGGGAGCCTCAAAACTGCACCAGATCAGAACCTCCTGCTCTTATCCACCAAGACATGGCCTTTGGTGAAAACTTCTCCACAGTGATAGGAGGAGGCGAATGCTAGCTCATGGTGACCAGGATCTTCCTGTGTCCCAGGAACTGTGCTAAACGCTTTACAGAATTCATCTCATCTCAGCATCATAACTGCTCGTCTAAGGGGGTATTAATATAAGTAAAGTAATCCTCATTCTGCAGATGGGAAAACTGTGGATCAGAGATGTTAGGTAGATCTTCCAAAGCCACACAGTGAACCCAGGCAGTCTGACACCAGAGACCACACATCTGCAAGCACCCCACAGACCTTGTCTGTTGGCATCCAATGTCAAGGCATCACCTTATCAGAGGTGGCAGGAGATTCCAAGGTGATTCTGACTCCAGGAGCCCACAGACTACATAGGGAAATAAGCCTAATGTGTGGATTACAAGACTGGCCCCAATTCTCCACCTCTCCTGTATCTACATATGACTTTCCTGCTCCCCCAACCAAAGGGGTCAAGTGTATTTCCCTCTCTTTGACCTGAAGTTGGCCAATAGGCTAACAGAATCAGCATAAGTGAAGGTTTCCAGCCTAGGCCCTAAGAGGTCCCATGTATCTTCACCACTACACAAGACTAACATGGCTGGTTTAGACTGCAGGTCCAAGAAGGATAAGAGATGCACGGAGAAGAGCCAGCCTGGACCTTCGACCCTGCCAACCTTCAGAAACCCAAGGACTGAAAGCTCAATGCTGTAGGGCCACGGAGGTCTGGAGAATGCTTTTGCAGAAGCCTGTGATACCTGGCAGAGAATGAATGGGATACAGCACAGAAGGGGACAAGTTTGAGAGGCCTGGCACTTATTACATATGTGCCCTGTCATTTTACTTGTCAAAATGTTATGCCCCTAGCCAGACCATGAGCTTCCCGGATGCACGATGCCCCTTTGCATACCCTCACACCATGCTCCATGCACACTGTAGTGCTTAATGCGTCAGCAAATAGGTAAGTAATCATGGCCGGGCCACAAGACCAAGATGAAAATTTATAACAGCATTTCCCCATTTCACTGAAACCTGTACACCAGCTTTGTGGTTTTTGGCATGCCTGTGTCTTCCAAGCACTACCTTCATGGTTTCTTCGCATATTTCTGTGTATTACCACCACTACATTATTACTATTTTCAAGTCATGTTCTTTTTTATGTAAATAAGCTTGATTGGAAAGAACACTTCTATAGGCCCCCTCTTGATGGAAAACCTGTATCTCTGGTTGTATATAGAGAATAACAGGAAAATAAAGAATGTGGGGTAGGGGCCAGGCAGATCCCCGAAAAACAGGTGACAAGACAGTCCTGACACCGTGGAGGTCATCAGATCTCAGAAGCTTTGCACAAAAAACCCGGCCAATAAACGTGCCAAAGTCAGCAACCATTTGACTCACGTGACTCAAGAAACGCAGAGTCACCCCAGGAGTAACGCTGCCTAAGACAATGCCTTCCTGCCAAAGGGAAGCAGAAAGATCATTTTTGGCATATCTTCCTGACTTCATTGAAACTCCAGAGCTAGTGATTACAATAAGGCAACAATTTTTTCTATATATGGATACAAACTTTCAAGAGATAATTGAACCAAAAAGTAATGCCATAACAATACAACTCATTAGGAAGAGTATTGCAAGACCAATGGTGACTTTTTAAAAGGGTTGTATTACAAACAGGAGCATAGTATGTATAATAAACACACTTCTTAGGTCGTATAGCCACAGCTCCCGTCTTCTCAGTGCAGGGCTGATCCATTTCGTGGCTGCCAACTAATCAACGTCAAAGTCTACAGATGTCGTGACCATTAGATAAGGTGCGTTGCCAAGCTACCCATCCAACCGACTTGCTTTAACAAACAGGAACACGAGTCCCAGCCCATTAAAGACGGGACCTTCAACAACTCTACAGACAGCTGATTCTCTGCCATCGCCTTGCCTGACTTTCAATACATAAATCTTGTCCCAGTGGCCATTCTGGTTAAATGAACTGGGAAATGAAAGAGTACATCTGCCTCTGTGTGCTTTTGTGACTACAGGTATGTATACGTCTGTCAGCTAGATGGCTGGAGCCAGGAATGGGGGTGAAACACACATATCTATTCCATGTAAAGGACAGAGGACCGCTTTCCAGTAAGTTGCAGGATGAGGGAGGCAGAAGCTGGGTGGTGCAGATAGGGATGGGCCAGGCCTCAGACTCACTTGGATTCAAGATCCTCTTTAAGCTTCCCCTTTATATAAATGTGACCATGGGCCGGTTACTCAGCCTCGCTAGCTTTCTGGCCCTACCTCAAGGGTTTAGAGGACTATTCAATAAAAGGAAGTATGATGGCTCCTTTTATAACAAGAGTTGACAATAAGCACATTTTCACTCCAGCCGTTGATCGCTGACCAGATGATTGGCTCTGTGAGGAACAGTGACCCTGCCTATCTTGTTCCCTGGATATTGTTAAATAAAATTTGAATGGACATAATGTTTAGGCTTGGATCACATATCTTAGTCCAACCTTTAATTTCTTAGTAATGGCACAAAACATAAAAACTGCTTCAGTCTTCCCATGAGATTCTTTCTATCTGAGGTTTGAAAGGGCAACTACAGGCCACATGCAGCTCCCAGACATGTTTTGTTTTGATCACATTGTGCTTTTATAAAGTTGATATGGCAGAGACTGTAGTTCACTACCTGATAGTCATTCTCACCCTCCCCTTCCGCGGAACCTGCTCTTGTTAGAGTAGCAATACACCTATCTTAAGCAAACAAACAAACAAACAAAAAGAAAAAGCTACACTTCCCAGGCTCCCTGGCAGCTGGGAGTAGCCTTTTGATGTCCTAAGACCAAGGAGGTATAAGTGGGTGTCACTGGGCAGTGCTCCCAAGAAGGCAATGTCAAACTCGGCAGGTGGACACCCCTGTGCCTCTCCCTACCCTCTTTGTCCTGCCTAGAAAATGTACTTGTTGCTGGAGGTGAAGCAACCATGTTGCAACCAGAATTCAGTATGAAATTCACTGAACGTCCCACCCTACGACAGGGACGCCATCATGCTGTCTGGACTTCTGGTGGAAGGAAAACCTTTATCTTCTTTAAGCCAGTGTTATTTAGGTTTTCTATTACATAAAGTCAACCCAATCCCTAATAGATAAACTTGTCAATATTTAAAAATCATATCCGATAGGGTTTGAATATTTGTCCCCTCCAAATCTCATGTTGAAATGGAATCCCTAATGTTGGAGGTGGGGCTGGGTGGGAGGTGTTTGAATCATGGGGGCGGATTCCTCATGAATGGCTTGGTGCTGAGGGAGTTCTCGTTCTGATAGTTCATAAAAGATCTGGTTGTTTAAAAAAGCCTGGCACCTCCCTTCCTCATCCCTCTCTTGCTTCCACTCTCACTGTGTGATGTGCTGGCTCCCCCTTTGCCTTCTGCCATAATTGGAAGCCTCCTGAGGCCTGACCAGGAGCAGATGCTGGCACCACGCTTCCCGCACAGCCCTCAGAAGCATGAGCCAATTAAACCTCTTTTCTTTATAAATTACCCAGTCTCAGGTATTTCTTTATAGCAACACAAAATCCTAACACAACATGTCATATAAAAATCTGGATTCCCAGTGTCACTCTTAAAACAGGATGGTCAGCCAGGCGCGGTGGCTTACGCCTGTAATCCCAGCACTTTGGGAGGCCAAAGTGGGCGGATCACAAGGTCAAGAGTTCAAGACCAGCCTGGTCAGCATAGTGAATCCCCATCTCTACTAAATGCAGAAAAAATTAGTTGGGCATGGTGGCGCGCACCTGTAGTCCCAGCCACTCGGGAGGCTGAGGCAGGAGAATTGCTTGAACCCAGCAGGCAAGAATTGCTTGAACCAGGCAGGCAGAGGTCACAGTGAGCCGAGATGGCGTCACTGCACTCCAGCCTGGGCGACAGAGTGAGACACTGTCCTGGAAAAAAAAAAAAAAAAGATGAAGATGGTCTCACCAACCTGGGCCCACATTTCCACAGGGCAAGAAGCAGCTCCGCCCCAGCAGGCACACACCCTGACCCTCCCACAGCGGAAGTCCCGGCCCTGCAGACGCTGCAGTTTGGTGCCCTGTGTTAAAGAGTTTTCTAGTGCATGGAATAGAACCCAGCTCTCAAATTCAATAAGAAAAGGTCTCAAACTAATATACTAGTTTTTTTCAAACTTTTTCTTTTTGCCTCTGTTCCTGTGACATTTCATATCCTCCCATATATGCTGCCCTGGCTAAAGCTCTGGGGAGGGCCCAGGACACACCCACTACCTGCACCGTCCCCTCCGGCACGCTTTGGCCATGCGACAGGACTAGCATTAACAAGGCTCACCTGTGTCATTCCAGACAGCCACCCTCCCCTAAAAAGCACCTTCCCTGAAGATATACTTGCAAAGGAAACAAACTCATCAGAGTAAAACAATCCCCGCAAAATACACATTCAAATCGCATTTCAAGACAACCAGTGTGCTATCCCAAAATTACCAGACCAGAGGGAATAACTTGTGAAGGTGGGGGACCCTAGGAGATTTCCATTCACAAGCTGGGGAGCCAGGAAGGGAGCCGGGGAACAACATCCGAGGCTGGGTGGACCTGGGGCCGGAGAGGGAGGCAGGGGTAGGGGAGACACAGCCTCCACAAAAGGTGAGAGTGGGAAAGTGTAGGGGAGGAGCCTTTTAGAGCCAGGGGCCCAAAATCCAGAATCAGAGCAGGAACCACATCCTCCTCCTCCTCCTCCTTCCTCCACCATTTGCTGAGAATGGCCCTGGTGCCTGAAGCTGTTCTGCGTCACTGAGGGACACGGTCCCATGACTCCTGCCTGGCCCCTAGCCAGATCAGTCCTGCTCTAACTCACATTTCACAGAACTCAGAGAGGCTGACCAGCTCAGCCAGGCACACAGAAGGGCTGGGGTCCACCTGCAGGCTGCGCCTCCTCCCGCTCCCTGCTGTATACATCACTGTGGTCACTGCCACCATGACTTTGTTAACAGAAGATGGAATTACCTCAAGGGGATTGGAGAATGTTTGGGGAGGTGTCTGCCTCCTAAAGCTGTGTCTCAAAATTTACTCATTGTTAAAGACAACAGCTCAGTTATCCTCACTCATTCTGAACTTAAGGACAATAATGCCTACCATTTTACATTAAAGGAAACTGAGATTCAGAGAGGTAAAGTGACTTGCCCAAAGTCACACAGCTTATCCATGGCTGAGCCAGGACTTGGACACATTTATTTAGCCCCAGGGAAAGAATCTCTTTGCATCTCATTGTTCTCTTGTCCAAAGAGGCCCTTCTGGCAAGGGCCAAGTGTGCTGCATTGCAGGTGCTCTGGGAAAGCTCACTAAATTGAAATAAATGAGTTCTGTGTGGATAGGAAATTATCTCTGCTGGGTACCCTCCCTTTCAGAGGATGAGATGATGAGACTAGGGAGGCTGAGGGTCCCTTCCCGCAGGAGAGCTCAAGACCACACCAGTCACTCTGGCACATCCATTCTGTCAGCATTCATTGGGGAACTACCAAGTGTTAGCACAGTGCTAGCACTGGTGACACAGCCAAAAGGACCACAGGCAAGGCCCTGCCCTCAGGGAGCTTACAATCCAAGCAGCACCGTCCAACAAAGCTGTCTGCAAGGAAGGAATGTTCTAGATCTGCACTATCCAGTATGGCAGCCACAGCTGCATGGGGCTCCCGCACACTTGAAATGTGGCTACAACTGAGGAAACAGAATCTTAATTTATTTTATTTTATTCAGATTCAAATTGCCACATGTAGTTAGTGGCTACTGTATTGGACAGACCATAAACAAGTTTGTCTAATAAACAAATGAGATCATCTCCAGGAGTACCAAGTGAGGTACTGAAAACAGGTTCCTGTGACCATGAGGAAGGCAGGTGAGGCTGGACGGTGCCCCTGGGCCTGACTTCCTCATGTCTGTTGTTCCAATGCTGACAGCTTCGCCAGGTACCTGGCAGATCCTAAAGACAAAGGGGTCCATTGTCATTGGCTTCTGTGTGGTGTTAGGGTGAGAAGGGGGCAGAGAACAGGAATTTTGTTTCTTTGGAGACAGGGTCTACCTCTGTCACGCAGGTTGGAGTGCAGAGGCATGATGTCAGCTCCATGCAACCTCTGCTTCCCCAGCTCAAGCGATCCTCCCGGCTCAGCCCCCCAAGTAGCTGGGACGACAGGAGCACACCATCACAACCAGCTAACTTTTTGTATTTTTTATAGAGACAGGGTTTCACTGTGTTGCCTAGGCTGGTCTCAAACTCCTGGGCTCAAGCAATCTGCCCACCTAGGCCTCTCAAACTGCTGGGATTACAGGTGTGACCACCATGCCCAGCTAGGAAAAGGAATTTTAAAGCATCCATTTTCTATAATGAACAGGCAATGCTTTCATAATCAAAAAAAAGCTCTGAGTTCTTAAACTCAGTATTTTTTAAGCATCTAGCTTTTATGTTTTTAATAACCCTGAAGAAGCTGACAAGGTAATTACTGCATAGTTCTACTACTAATTAAGCCATGTAGACACTCTACAAGGAGCCAGAGGGAGATCCTCAGAACCCAGGACTCCAGAATAAGAGAACATTCGAGGAAGGAAGCTAGAAAGAGCCATGGTACAGACAAAAGAGGCTCTTGCCTCCGCCCTCTCCCACGCCCAGGAAGGGGGCAGCATTAGAGGGTTTGAGGCAAAGGAGAGACTAGACCACATTTGCATTTTGGAAACTTCCTGTTCTGCAGGAAAACCGGTAAGAGGAAGAGAACCAAGACTCAGTGTTGAGGTTGTCCAGGAAAGGGAAGGTAGGAGCTAAACCCTGGTGGGGGTGAGGGTGGGGGTGGGGGTGGGAGACCTGAAACAAGTGGGGTGGGCTCCAGGAGGCCCGTGTCTGGCAGACCTGTGACCTTGGGAGAGGGAGGTGTCAAGAACAGAGCCTGGTGTTGACGGTGTGTGGGTGATGAGGGTGCACAGGTGATGAAGGAAGTGGCCATCAGCACAAGCCCACACCTGTCTGCTGGCAGAGTGGCATAAAAGAGGAAGGGGCCAGCATGGGATGCCCTGAGCCCAGGGCCTGGGGAATGTGTCTGTGCATCCGTCTGTAGCTCATGACAGGAGAGGATGCTCTGAGAGGGTCTCCCTCTCCAGGCAGTAAAGCAGACCTGGACCCGGCCCTGCAGAAGGATGCAGCTGCTGGCTCCTCTTTGCTCTCCCTCCAAGCACTCTCTGGCCCCATCCAGCTGGCAGGAGTGGCCAGTTGCCTGGCCAGGCACCGCCACATAGGTTGAGACACCAGCGCCTGGGGCTTGTGCCCATTCGTCCTACAAATGCTTACTGAAAGTCTCCTGCATCTGAGCTCTGTGCTGAGCTCAGGGGTGCAGCACTTCAGGTGATGGTCAAGCCCCCTGTCCTCAAGAGGCTCCCAGTCTAGAAGGGACAGTCCACAGAGAATGAAACTGACAAGAACCCCAGGTGTTGAAGAGTGCCAGGAGCAAATCAGAAATGAGATCAGAGTTCCCTGGGGTGGGGAACAGGTCTGAAGGACTGGAAGGACCGGGCAGAACACAGAGGTCTGGAGCTCAGAGCCAGAGAGTTGGAGAAAGGAGCTGGAGAGGCATGGAGCCAGGACAGAGCAAGGCAGCGACAGCCAAGGGACAGGGGATGGCTGGTGAGGAGCAGTGATGGGATCATGTTGAGGAAGGCCCAGGAGGCAGCCTGGGACCCGACAAGAAGGAGGCCACCATCGTGCTGGGGCCGATGCCAGGGGCTGGCCCCAGGATGTGGAGCGGGCAGAAGCCTAGTCCCAGAGCCTGAGAGCAGATGGAAGAAAAGGAAGCAAAACCCCTTGTGACCATGAGCTCCTCTGAAGGAGGAAAGATCAGGGGATGCTTCCTTACCTTTGATTAAATTTCTATTTTGGAAGAACACCTAACCATGCTCACGGGTGTAGAGTGCGGATTTATAGAGAGGCACATTGTGTAGATACAGACGGGCCCATTAACGAAGCAGTGGTGAAAGTGGCGGGAAGGTCAGGCCTAGGGGAAATATTTCATCCCCGCCACACAGTCCATGGCCACAGACCCGGCCATGGGAGATTTAATGAACTAATAAGGCCACAAAAAGACACTCATGCTCACTAGCAATCAGGGAACTGCAAATTAACACAACAAGAAACCATTTGTCACCCTTCATGCTAGAGAAAAATAGATTGATGATCTCAGGTGTTGGCAAGGGTTTGGAGAAAGGGCACTCTCATAGATTACGGAAAGTGTGAATTCGTACATTTTCTAGGAGAGTGCAATATCATTAAAATAAAATATGTGGGTCCCCTGTGGCCTCAACATCCCAAGAGCTGGCACACACCCACCCTAGAGGAAATTCTCAGGTGAGTACAAGGCAGTTTGTGCCCAGGTAATTACAGCTGTGTTGTCTGTAGTGGGTAAAAACTGGAAACAATACAAATATCCAATGGCTAAACTGAAAAATTGTTTCTTGGCATCCTGTGTGGGTGTTAAAAGGGAAAGGGAGATGGATATTGCAATGAGGCAAGATCTCCGAGACCCAGTGTGGAGCAGAACCACTCATGGAAGAGCCATGAGTCCAGCACATTCCCATATGCCATTTTCCAAGCAACACAAGTATATAAAACATTAGGAAAAGTCCAAAGGATGCCCCTCAATTCCCAGCAGGGGTAACCTCTGGAAAATGGGAGAAAGAGGTGTCAAAACATAGCTCACCTTTTGAAGAATGCTTTGAGTCTTTGCAAATACTGATGCATTAAAAATGCCTTTGCAGGGGAAAGGGTGAACGCAACCTTGGACTCTTTCATTAAATTATAGAATTTAGATGGGAGGAGACAGCTCTGCTTCTTAACTCTGTGTGAGGTTATTCCACAGCTGGAGCTTCAGGTTCAATTTTCAGGAGTCTCACATTAGAGCAGCAGGTGGACAAATAAGGGAGGCTATCTAGGAAGAGCAGGTGAAGGGCCTAGACTTTCCAAGAAGTGACTGAGGTTGTTTCAATACCTAAAACCCCAGGCTCTCTGAAAGCCCTGAGTAACACCCAGCAGGAGAAGATCCCATCAGGACTGATGGGTACCAGACCCTTTGGAACCATTGGAAAAAGAATTCTTAAACAGATCTGCCCAAAGACAAGTATGCACTACATCAGGAAGAACTGAGTCCACCATCAAAAGAAGTATGCAGGCACACACCAGGCCAGCCAGGCAAGGTGCTTACAGAAAATACTCCCTGAGCCCGCCCTTCCTCCATCAAGTTCCCAAGTTCCCTCCAACTTGATGATTCTGATTCTCTTTCTGCCAGAACAGAAACACAATCTGCTTCACACAATCCATAAATACTTAATTGCTTGGTGCTTTTTAGTAAGGTTCTACTGCTCACAGAATTGCACATATTTTAGACTTTTCACCTCTGACACCTGTTCTCTGGGTCCCATTTAGACCAGTTGCACCAGAGGAGAGCTCAAGCCTGTGCCCTCCCACGCATAACTTAATCACAGGCATCCCAGCCCTTCCTCCTCCTTCTCTCATGGACCGGCACCACCTGCCCAACCCTCCGCTCCCACCCACAGAGGCATAAACTCACATACAGCCAAAAAGCCAAGTCCTCCATAATTTCCATTTCAAGTTTGCTTCCTCTTACTGCCAGGGAGACAAAGGGAGCTTAGAAGGATTCTCATGAGAAGCCACTCAACTTCCATGATTGGAACAGTTGTGGATGCGCCTCTCCAACCCAGAGAAAGGCAATCCATCATGGAGTGCTGAAGGCTGAATCCCCCATTCCTAGTAAAAGGATTAATTAAAACCTTAAGGGTCGGCCATGGCAGCCTCTGCTTGAAACTCTAAGGAAATTAACCTGCCCTCCCAGATAAAGAAAAGTCAGAGATTTATTCAGGCCGGTACCTTAGTTTGACCAAGTGACACAGTGTCAATAGTCTTAACAAAGAAATCTTCCAATACTTGCCCGGGTTTATTGTTTAAATTTTCAAATGGGGGGGGGAGGGATCCAGTGCCCACACAGCTGCCTGTAATGAGTCCTCTAGGCAGTTTATCGGGAAGCTCTGGTGTGTTCCAGTGCAGGAATCCCTCCCCACAAAGCCAGCCTTCACCCGGGCCCCAGGGATTCTGATGCCCACCATTTAACATCATCAAGTCCCCATCTGGGGTCGTTGCATTTAGAGAGAATAAGTCTTCAAAGGCAGGCGAAGCAACTTGTTATCAAAACAGAATCTACGAAGGAATTGTGCTTCTCTAAGATACAAAACTGAGTCCTGTGGCTTGATACCAAAACACCAGCTTTGATTCTTTTTTTGAACCCTACATTTCAGAAGCCCAGACTTCTCCCTGTGAAGTGAAAATTGCCTTCTGGTGGAGAGAGGTTTTAATGATCACTTTGCTTCCTGCGTCTCCATGGTGACAGGCGCACACAGCCCACCCCCCCCCCCACCTCCCCCCCCGCTTTATTAGGCCTTTCTTCCTCTCTGGAAAGTAATCAATCAAGCCCTATAGACGCCTTTGTGACCGGTTTATCACCTAAACAATCAACGCTGCCATGGGGGTGGAAGAGTGGACGGAGTCCACACGCTGTCACGAAACCGGGCTCTGTCCTGGCGCACGCCCTTCGTCTCCCTGCCGGCGGCTCTGCCCAGCACACCTGTCCGGGGGCTAGCGCGCCCAGGTGCGCCAGGCCCCGCTGGAGTCAGGCGCCTGGTGGAAGCCCTCAGCGCGGTGGCCTCAGCTGCGGAGCGCTGCCTTCCAGGAGCAGATGCCCAAGCGGGGACGTCCGGAGCTGGGGCCCGGCAGTGGGGAGGGAGGGAATGGCCCAGAACCGGCGCTGGGCGGAGGCGGCCACGGGTCTGCCTCTCTTCCCCCAGCCGGTCAGCACCCGAGGAAAGGAAGCCTCCTTCGAGGGGACGGCAGAGCTCACCAGCCGGAGAGGAGGGGAAGCTGCAGCGCCCGGCTCTACCCAGGAAATCAGCTCTTTTATGGACAAAGGGCTCCGAGGCGCCCCAGCCCTGCGAGACTGGGGATAGGAACCGCGGGGCCGAGCGCGGGTTCCTGCCGCGGCTCCCCGAATGCAGGCGGGGCGCGGAGCCTCGCGGGGTCCTGCTCTCAGCGCCACCTGCCTCGGGCCTCCCCGACCCGCCCGCCGCCCCCGCCCAGCCCGTTACCTGGGTTCTCCCCGGCGTCCGCGGAGGAGGTGGCCGAGGAGTCGGTGAGGACGCTGGGGTCACTCTGCGAGCGGCCCCGCGACACGAGGCAGCCGCTCCCGTCCTCCGACGCGGCCATGGGCCCGGCCGGCGCGGGGGCAAGTTAGAGCGAGCCGCGTGGAATCAGAGCATCCGAGGCGGCCAAGGTCACCGGCGAGGGGGCTGGAGGGGGCGTCTTTTTAAAAAAGAAAATTAAAAAAAAAAAAAAAAAAAAAAGGCCGGGAAAGGAAACGAGCTGGAGAAAGACGCCGGGGCTGGCTTCAGGGCGGGGAGACAATAGCCTCGCCGGCTGCAGCCAGGCGCATCCCGGCGTGCGCGGCCTCGCTTTGTTATTTATTCGTGTTTATTCCCATTCTTCAGTCTATATTCCAGGGAAAAAAAAAAAAGTTGAACCAGGAAATAAAAACTTTTTCTTGTCAGTGTTTATTGCGTGCTTGGGGCAGGGGGTGATGTCCTGGAATGTCTGGGGGCGCTCCCTCCCCCCACCCCACCCCCCACCCCCCCAGGAAAAAAGGGAAAAGGAAGAATCTTTGCTCTTGCAATTGCTTTAATCTGAAAGCTGTTCTTGGAGCATCTGTTGGAAAACATTAGGATTCTCCCATCATGCCGCGCGAGAGGAGCATGACGTCACGGGAGAGGGGCGTGAGAAGGCGCGTGGCCACTGGGAGGGGTCGCACATACCTGGACCGCGCGCCGGGGTGGGGGAGGAGGGGCTGGACCCCGGGTTAGGAGCCGCCCACCCCACCAAGCCGTGCTCTAGAAACAGGAAAGCTTCCTAGTCCCGTTTCCTCCCCTCCCGGAGGAAAGGGAACCCTGAGAGCCCCTAATTTCCCCAGCAGCTGCAGACAGCTGGTTTCCCTGGTCCTTCCTCTCCTGGGACTGGGAGGCCAGTGGGTCCCGACGCGCCCACCCCGGCACCGGAGGGGAGCGACCTGAGGCTTCCTCCCCGCAACCACCTGGCCTGGGCCTGCTAGGGCACCCCGGACCCTCCGAACCCTCGCTCCGAACCCTCCTCCCTGCCGGGGGGCGGGGGGGCGGGGGAGAGGGAGGAGGGCACGGGCGCTTTCCAATGAGGCTTTTCCTCAGACGCCCTTAGGAACCTGAGGGGCCAGGCAAGGGAGGCGACACCCCCCAGGGCTGCCACTCACAGAGGTGTCCTCCAGGGTGCTAAGGAGCGATTCTCACAACCCCAGCGGTGGTGTGGGGTGAACACAGGCAGGCAGCCGCTGCTTCCCCAGCCAGGGCAGGGAAGGAAGAAAGTCCAGGAAAGGGGTAGAGACGGGGGTGGAATGGTGGTGTCACCTGGCCTGGTCCTGGAAGGTGCCCAGAGGAGGAGGCATTTCAACAGACACCAGGATTCAAGGACCACAGAGACACCTGGGGGAGGACACCCCCATTTCAATTTCTCAACCCCATGGGGCAGCCCCGCTCTAAGCCCCCTTTGCAGGTGCTGGAAGGGGTGGGGGCAAGCGGGGAGAGTCGCTCACCAAGGGTCCTCCTGCTGGGGACAGAGCCCTCCCTAAGGCTGCCCCCATCAGATTAGCACCTACAGCAGGGCCTGGGAGTGCAGTGTGAGCGCTGGCAGTGTGGACGAAATCCCGGTTAAGCGCCAAGGACAGAACTGAGCGGGGTGGTGGTGGGGAGGGGGAATAAAGTGGATGTTCACTCCACACAGAGCTTTGGGCTCTTAGCAGCAGTTATTTCAGCAGCATCAGTCACCTCTAAAGAAAGGACTCATTCATTCATTCAGACTGTGTGCAGAGTCGAGTGTGTGCCAGGCACCACACCAGGCATTAGGGACCTAGCAGTGCACAAACACAGAGACGCCCCAACTCCTTGAGTCTTCCGGGAAAGGGGGAGGGTGAAGCCGAGAATGGTCACCAACACACTAATAAGATGCCCAAATAATCATTTAATTACAGTTGGCAATTAAGATCAGGAAACAAAGAGGAAACTGGTGGGAAACTGCTAGGAATAGATACGTTTTATCCACATAAAAATGTGCTGGCTGGATGGTGAAGTGGCCTGCCAGCCTTGGACTGAGCATTTTGCATGGGGACCTCATTCCTTCCTACAACTGCCCTGGTAGGTGAGAGCTACTGTGGTCTCCACTTTTGAGATGAAGGCAACTTCAAGAGGTGAGCACTCTTGCCCAGGTTACAAGCCAGCACGTGGAAGAGCTGGGCCACAGCCAATGCTCTTGGCCCAGGGTCTCTCCAAGTGGGTCTTCAACACCTCCCACTCCAAGTCCCCAGGGGCTGTCCTGACACACTGAGTACTGGCCCCATGGGAAGGTTTCTGAATCCTTGCCCCCAACCATGCCTTGGGCCCCTTCCGAGTCTGGGTGAGTGAACACCTGAGACAGTTCAGTTCCATTGGAAGGAAGCCTGCAGCTGACCCAGCCACGGCAGGTGCAGAAATGGTGGGGATGGGCAGGAAGGGATAGAGCCCAGAGACTGGCTATAGGTGGGGGGGAGGAGAAAGATCACACCAGAGGTCTCCAGCTGTCTGTCATTTGCCAACCATCCCTATGATTTTTAGCCTTCCCTATTTAAAACCTATCCTTCCATCCCTTAAGATTTGTCTTTAAATCAACTCTTTGCACTTAAACATATTTTTTCTTTTCTCTCTCTCTCTCTTTTTTTTTTTTTTTTGAAAGAGTTTTGCTCTGTTTTCCAGGCTGGAGTGCAGTGGCTATTCACGGGGGCAATCATAGTGCACTACAGCCTCAAACTCCTGGGCTCAAACAATCATCCCACCTCAGCCTTCCTAGTACTTGGGAGTACAGTGTGCACCTCCACACCGGGCCGACATGCATGTTAAAGGAAGCCTTCAATAGGACTGATGGAGCACAGCCTCGCTGGCTGGCATTGGTGGGGGGGACCACGGCACTAACTCAATACCTGAGTCCACTCTTGGCCTGAGCTGTCTCCTGTGTGGTTAAAAAGGGCCCAAGGGTGAGAGAGGAGTTCAGCCAGGCAGGCACCGAATAGAGACATCCTCCTTAATGTTACCATAAGGACAAAGAATGGAAGGAACTTTCTATCTAAGCCAATGTTCCTGCCTTGTCCGTGCACCACCAAAAATTATCCCTAGTCCCTTCAGATGGTCTACACAGCAGCACCCATTCACCTACTCCACCAAACTGTGTATGGATGAGGGTTAAAAACATATAAAAGGATAAGACTTGGCATTTGAGCTCAGGAGCCCACATGGAGTGGGGAAGCAGAAGATGAGATGCAACCAAGTTTTATTTCTTAGAAGTATATATTTTAGCAAAGCACTGTGGTTTGTTAAAGGTAGGTAGAGCTGGAGCTTTTCCTTATATTATTCTTTGGCTTTGAGATGTTCCATACTAAAAATAGTTTTAAATTTAAAAAAAGTTAGCAATCCCACCTCTACTGACCAATAGAAGATAATAAGGTCTCCGGGTAAATTGCCTGCCGGAGAGACTTTGGACTTCAAAGTCGGTCATCTCCAGACCATGACTGGCTTGAGCCCTGTGAGGATCTGGTCCCCAAGGTGTGTGAAAGGCACCTGTTTGGAGGAGGGTTTCCAGCCTTGAGGGCCCACAACAGGTTTTTGTGAAAGTCACCAATTGTCCCTCCTGAACAAGATCCCTGGCAAGGGGTGGATTTGGAAGGCCATTGCAGAAACCCTATTGGAATGAACAAAGCTTCATAATGGCCAAAAAATTACGAACAACCTAAATGTCCATGGACTGATAAATGGGTAAATAAAATGTGGTCCATCCTAACTGTAGGATAATATGCAGCCATGAAAAGGAGGGACGTACTGACATGTGCCACAATCACATGCAGATGAACCTGGAAAACATTATGCAAGTAAAAGAAGCCAGTGGCAGAAGGCCACGTGCCACATGAACCCAGTTATATGCAATGTCCATCCAATCAGAAAGCAGATCTGTGGACGCCGAGGATGGGGAGTGGGAGAAGAGAGGGGCTGACTGCTAATGGGTACCGTTTCTTTTTTGAGTTCTAGAAATGTTCTTAATGTTCTAAAATTAGATTATGGTGATGGTTTCATAACTCTGTAAATATACTAAAAACCACTGAATTTTATACTTTAAATGCGTGAACTTAATGATATGTAAATTCTTTCAATAAAGCTTTAAAAAAAAAAAAAAAGCATGTAGAGGCACTAGGCTGAGCTTTGAATTTGGAGGATTGGGTTCTGCCTCTTGCCCTGGTGGGCATAATCAACACTGAAACCCTCCCTGTCTCCACCCAGATTCTAGATCAGATAGAAGCTCATCGAAGGACCCCCCTTCTGCCCCTTGATCTCCTTGATCCGAAAACCCAAAGCCATTTCCTGACTCAGGGCAGCCCCGATAACCCAACACTGCTCCCTGAAGAACCACAAAGATGGGACAGAGTCAGTCCAAATTGCCCAAGTCCCTTTCAAAACTCACAAAACCGCAAAGGCAAAGGCAGTTTCCTCTGCCCAGGGGCAGCCAGGGAGCACATCACTGCAAAGGTGGCTCAGGGATGGCAGAACCCCTCCAACACACAGCGCATGTATGAGGCACCCCTGCTCATTAGGGAGTGGTGAGGAATGGTACCCCAAGACCAATTCCACCCCCACACACCTCCCAAGTTGGTCTCATTCTTAAAGCAGGTACAGACCAATGGATGCATCCAACCATCCAATATTTCCTAAGAATCTATTCTGTGCCCAAACAGTCACTTTGCCAGGAATACCACCATGAATGAGACATGATTGCACATTGGCTTTGTGGAGCTTGAGGTCTAGCACAGAAGACAAGATTGACTAATATGAATCAAAGGATCAATTAATTTCAATGAGTACAGAGTGCAGCATGCCTCATCTGGAGCAGAGAGGGAGCCTGGTTTGAAGAAGTGATGCTCTGGAAGTGCAAGGGCAAATGGAAGCCAACTGGACATGCAAGGGAGGAAGGGCGCCCCGGGCAGAGGGAACAGCCTGAGCGAAGACCATGAGGTGGGAGCAGCATGGAGCCCTGAAGTCCCTGCAAAGAGGCCAGAGCAAGGATCTGCAGCCACAAAGAGGGGATGACCCAGACCATGCAACATCTCATGGACCTCAGGAAGAGCCTGATTTTGTTCCAAGGATGGTGGAAAGCCACTGAGGCAGTGGTGGGTCTCCAGAGCATCCTTCTGGCTGCTGTCAGAGAAGGGACATGTGGGGCAAGGGAGGAAGCAGCAGGATGGACCAGGAGGCTGGAAATCATCCTGGTGAGTGGTAGCAGCAGCCTGGCCCAGCAGGAATAGGCAGAGGCACCCAGCAGGCTGGACTCGGTGTTCTCTGAAGGTGGCTCCCACAGGTTTGTGATGGATGAGCTACGGGGGACTAGAGAGAGAAGTCAAGGATACCTCCAGGGTTTGTTTTGTTTTGTTTTGTTTTGTTTTCTAGTTAACTATTTATGAGGGGGGTAGAATTGAGGTTACCAGCAAATCTGATACTGACAACAGGGTGGGTGTGATGCTATCTCCTGGGTGGGGAGGATCAGATCAGGGAGGGAGGAGGCAGCAAAGAGGAGGAGCCCCGTTTGACAAGCAGCCTTTGGGGTGATGTGGAAGAGTCTGCTGCCCATCACAATGGGGTTGTAAACTGAAACCAACCACTGGCCTGAGGCTACTTCTTGCGGGCACTTAGACGGTTAGCTCAATTCCGCCGTCTTCTTATGCTACCAACTGCTCTCCTAAGGCCCTGGGAGCCTTGAAGTTCCCTGGGGAGCTGATGGGCCAAGGACCTGGATGGTGGCAATGTCGGCTTCACAGGCACGGGGATTTTTGTTGTGTTTGTTCACCCAAGAATGTGCCTGGGAGGTCGTAGTCTCCCAGTACATACATATCCATTGATGAATAAATGAATGAATGTGCACGGCGGAGCCTAGCCAGGCAACTGCCCTGCTCCAGGAGTGAAGGCTCAGCCTCCCCACGGCCAAGCTGGCTCCGGGCTTTGTGGGACTGAGGGGCTCATGCTCCCTCTGCTGCCTCAGTCCCCCAGGACAATCTAGTTTCTTCTCTGGGGCTCCAGGGAACTCTTCTTCATGCTTAATGTAAAAATAACTCATTCAGCAAACTTCAAATGCTTAAGAAGAACTGCTCAAGCCACGATCTCAGGCTAAACTCATAGGGAACCATCTAAAGAGAAACAAGAAGGCAAAACACCAGTGTGGGAGTTCCAGGACCCAAGGAAAGATGAAGGCAAAACCACCACTCTGACACAGGCCAGGTTCGTCAGGTGGGCAGCCGCGCCCTCTGCTGGTCACCTGGAAAAACAACACCTGAAGTAGTGGCGGGTGGGAATGGTCCTTGGACCTGGCTTGACGACGTAGCCTTGAACTTCACTTCCTGCACCTTTGACCACATCCCTGAGGGACTCTCTACCTAGAGCTGTGACCAGAGACTACCCAGAGTGGTGCTCAATGCAATGCCAACCAAGGCTTTTTAAAAACAACACACCCAGCTCTTCCAGAACCAAATCCCTGATTTCACCATTCATGGCCTCTGCCCTGAAAGGCACTGGTAGCTAGAGTCGCCCTGAAAAAATGTGGTGTGGGCATCCCATGGCTTCCTGGAGATATGCCTAGCCCTCCTTGGGGTCAAGTCCACTCAAGCTGTCTAGGGCAGGAGCCACAGACCCAGGCACAAGATCAGGTCCCAACATTTTCTGACTGTGTGGCCCCGCTGAGCCTCCGTGTGTAAGTGAGAAGAAGATAACCTACCTTACAGGGTGTGGGCATTTGACACAGCACACAGAAGCCCTCAATACGCTTTCACCATTAGCAGAACAAAAAGTTCCTTGAGAGAGACCACCTGCCCTTTGATATTCTCCTTCCGTGCCCCCAGCACATCCAGGTGACTGGGAGAGGGGCCTATCTATGAGGCAGCAGAGATAGAAGACAGAACCCAGAGCAGAGAAACACAACCCGGGGCAGGGAGGCTTTCGACAGGGAAGGCAGAAAGCAGCCCCACTGGCCCCTGCACTCTTGTGTCATGGGCCACTGACCCATCTTGTATGTTGTCAGCACAAAGCTATAGACCTCCAGGTGACTTTTCCTCCATCCTGGGTCCCCCCACACAGTGACAGATACTGCATGCTCCGACTCTAGCTAATGAAAGGAGAGGAACAGGCTTCTGGGGCCTCTGGGAAAGATTGCTGATAGACAGAGAGAGCCACTTACAGAAAAAGCATTTGTCACCATTGCAGGTGCAGTTTGCAGTCCTGACTGCATTCCTGCTTCCTGCTCTGGAGTGCCTGTGGGGCCTGGAACAGCAGCAGCCAGCCTGTGACCCTGCAGCAACACACAGGAGGATGAAACGCTAACAGCAGAGAAAGACCTTGCACCTGTCTCCCTCCTGATCTCTTATAAAGGGACCAAACATCCTGCTGGCATAGGCCTCTGATAGTAGGGTTTTCATTTACTTAACACTTAGCTCTTACCATGTGCCAGCCATTGTTCTAAAAACTTTACAATGATTGCCATGGCTAAGGCTGAAACTACCCAAATCAGGTAGAACTGTGATTTTCCCATTTAGCCAATGAGGAAAATGAGAGGCAAAGTTCTTAAGTACTTGCCCCAGGTCACAAACCTGCAAAGCCAGGACTGGATCCCATGTCCTCAGCTCCAGAGCTCAGGCTGTTATTGCATCATATATACCCCAACTCACACAGGCAGGAACCTCATGCTTTTGTTGGGTCCCCCGAAAAGTCACTGACTTGATGATGATGATAAAGGAGGAGGAAGTATGAAAGGAAGAGGAGGAGGTAACAAGATTAATGCTGACAGCACTTTTATAGAGCCTAGAGCTTACCAAGGACCTCACATGCATTGATTTATAATCTTGTGAGGTTGGAATAATCATCCTCTTTCTTACAAACAATGAAGTTGAGGCTCAGACAGGGTATCTAACAAGGGTTACCAACAGGACAGAAAAGGGCTCCTACATTCTTTCCATAATACCAGCTCCAGCTCATCCCTCTGGCCTCCCCAACCCACCAAAATCTCTACCAGCAACCCCGGCTTACAAAGCAGACATTTGCTCAACAAACATGCACCAAACACTGACTCCATGCCAGGCCCTGTCCTGTGTGCTGTCAGGCACGGGATGGCTTGGCCCAGTCTGCATGGTGAGGGGGTAAGCCGTGTCCAACACCATCACAGCATGGAGAGGTAGTAGTGTATGAAGCCACTGGCCAGGCTGGGAAGCTCAGGGAAGCTCCAGGAAATGGCCTTTCACTGGTGCCTGCACGTGACCTATATTTGTTGAGTACCTGCTATGCACCAGGCACTGGCAATCCAGCAGTACACAAAACAGATGCAAAAATACACCACCGCCCTGCTGAGCAGAGCTTGGAAGGACACAGAGGAATTTGCTGAGCAGACACACAAGCTATGCATGCCAATGTCCAGAGGTGTTACACGCAGAATAACTCATCCAAATCAAAGATAGTTATCAGACAATAAAATGTTTTTGAAATTTTTAACCTAAGAATTTGAGCAGGCATTAAATTGAGCTACATTCACAAAATGAAATACCATACAACAGTGAAATTAACCAGACAAAAACCTGGGTAGGTATCACAATATTCTGTTAAAGAAGACTGTGTTCTATCTTATTCCATTTACAGAAGGTTCAGTACCAGGGCCAGGCATGGTGGCTCATGCCTATAAACCCAGCACTCTGGGAGGCCAAGGTGGACAGATCTCTTGAGGTCCGAAGTTCAAGACCAGCCTGGTCAACATGGTGAAAGCCTGTCTCTACTAAAAATATACACACACAAAAATTAGCCAGGCATGATGCTGTGTGCCTGTAGTAATTTACTTGGGAGACTGAGCCAGGAGAATCGCTTGAATCTAGGAGGTGGAGGTTGCAGTGATCCAAGATCATGCCACTGCACTCCAGCCTGGGCAACAGAGTGAGCTCTGTCCGAAAAAAGAAAACAAAGAAAAATAAAAACCAGACAACACTACTTGATGATGTTAGACTGCAGAGAATAGCTACCCATGGAGGAGGGGTTTTGTTAAGAGAGGACACGAGGCGGCTTTGGGATCCAGGTTATATTCTGCTTCTTGAACTGCGTTCTGCCTACAGAGGTGTGTTCACTTGGTGAAAATTCATCAAGATGAACGTTTATGGTATGTGCACTTTTCAACAGGTATCTTACAATTAAGAGTAAAAAAATAAAAGTAAAGAAGAAAGGCAGAGCAGACTTCAGAGCAAGAGAAGCTACCAGGGACAACAAAGGGCATTACATAACGATAAAGGAGTCAATTCTCCAAAAAGACATAATAATCCTTAACGCGTACACACCTAATGACAGACGTCAAAATACATGAGGTAAAAATTGACAGAACTTCAAAGAAAAAAATGGATGAATGCATGATTAAAGTTGGTGACCGCAATACCCGTCTATCAGAAACGAACAGACCCATCAAGCAGAAAATCAGTAACGACAGAGTTGAACTCAACAGCACCATCAATCAACTGGATGTAACAGACATCTATAAACCACTTCCTCCAACAACAGTAGAATACCCATTCTTCTCAAGCTCACATGAAATATTCACCAGGATAGACCACATTCTGGGACACAAAATTCACATTAACAAATTATTTATTTATTTACTATTTTTGTTTTTATTTTGAGAGGCTGGAGTGCAGTGGCGCAATCTCGGCTCACTGCAACCTCTGCCTCCCAGGTTCAAGCCATTCTCCTGCCTCAACCGCCCGATTCGCCGGGACTACAGGCGTGCACCACCATGCCGGGCTAAGTTTTGTATTTTTTAGTAGAGATGGGGTTTCACCATATTGGACAGGCTGGTCTCGAACTCCTGACCTCGTGATCCACCCGTCTCGGCCTCCCAAAGTGCTGGTATTACAGGTGTGAGCCACCACGCCCGGCACATTAACAAATTTAAAAGAAATTATACAATATCTGCTCTCAGGCCACAGTGAAATTAAACTAGAAATTAGTAACAAAAAGATAACTGGAAAATCTCAAAATGTGGAGATTGAATAACACACCTCATGTGCCACATAGGTCAAAGAAGAAATCTCGAGTGAAATTTTAAAATATTTTGGACTAAACAAAAATAAAACACAACTTATCAAAATTCGTGGGTGCTGTGAGAACAATGTTTAGAGTGAAATTTATAACACTGAAGGTATATCCTAGAAAAGAAGAAAGATCTAAAATCAGTTATCTAAGGTTCTACCTTAGTAAACTAGAAAAAGAAGAGCAAATTAAATCCAAAGCAAGCAGATACAAAATTAATAAAAAATTAGAGCATAACTCAATGAAATTCAAAATAGAAAATCAATAAAGAAAATCAATGAAACCAAAAGCTGGTACTTTGAAAAACATCAATAAAATTGTTAAGTCTGTAGCCAGCTTAACTAAGAAAATAAGTGAGAGGACACAAGTTACTAATAGCAGAAGTGAAAGAGGGAACACACATTGCAGATCCCATGAACATTAAAAGGATAATGACAGAATACTCTGAACAATTCTATGTCCACAAATTTGATGACCTAGATGAAATGAACCGACTCCTTGAAAGACACAATCTGACAAAACTCAGACAGGTTTTCAACATTGTGTGTCTGTTCAACATTGTTCAAGTTCAACTAATGCCATAAGACAGGAAAAGGAAAAATAAAAAGTACCTAGATTAGGAAGGAAGAAATAAAACTGTCTTTGTTCACAAATGACATGAAAATCTATGTAGAAAATAAAAAAAAAAAAACTCGACCAAAAAGCCTCCTGAAACTAATAAATTATTATAGCAAGGTTGCAAGATACAAGGATAACACACAGAAGTTAATCTCTTTCTATAAACCAGCAATGAGCAAGTCACCCCCAAAAATAAAATACCTAGGTATACACCTAACAAAATATGTATAAGATTTGAGGAAAATGACAAAACTCTGATGAAAGAAATCAAAGAACCAAATAAATGGAGAGAGAATCCATGTTCATGGATATTGTCAAGATGTCAGTTCTTCTCTATTTGACCCGTAAATTCAATGCAATCTCAGTCAAAATCAGTTGTGACTATTCACAAACTGAATCTAAGGTTTATATGGAGAGGCAAAAGGCCTAGCATCCCCAACACGCTGTTGAAGGAGAAGAACAAAGTTGGAAGACTGGCATTCCCGACTTTAAGACTTACTATAAAGCTACATTAATCAAGACAGTGTGATACTGGCAGAAAAACAGCCAAATAAATCAGTGGAATTGAATAGGGAGCTCAGGAATTGATCCACATAAATATAGTCAACTGATTTTTGACAAAGGATCCAAGACAATATAATGGAGAAAAGAAAGTCTTTTCAACAAATGTTCTCAAACAAGTGGATATCCACATGCAAAAAAGCAACTGAATCTAGACATAAGCCTTACACCCTTCACAAAAATTAATTCAAAATATATCATAGAACTAAATGTAAAATATAAAACTGTAAAACTCCTAGAAGATAACACAGGAGAAAAGTCTAGAAAACCTTAGGTTTTGTGAGGACATTTTAGATGCAATATTATGGCATCATCCTTGAAAGAAATAATTGATATACTGGACTTCATTAAAAAAAAAAGTCTACTTTGTACAGACACTGTCAAGAGATTGAAAAGAGAAGCTGAAGACTGGGAGAAAATATTTGTAAAAGACACCTAAAAAAGGACTGTTATCCAAAATATACAGAGAACTCTTGAAACTCAACAACAAGAGAATGAACAATTTGATTTGAAAATGGGCCAAAAGCCTGAATAGATCACCCATCAAAATAACCTACAGATGCTAAGTAGTACATGAGAAGATGCTCCAAACATTATGCCATTAGAGAAATGCAAACTGAAACCACAATGAGAGACCACTGCACACCCATCAGAATGGCCAAAGTCCAGAACACTGACAATACCAAATGCTGACGAGAATGTGGAGCAACAGGAACTCTCATTCACATTCACTGCTGCTGAGAATGCAAAATGGTGCAGCTACTTTGGAAGACAGCTTTGTGGTTTCTTACAAAACTAAAAATTCTCTTACCACACGATCCAGACATTGCCTTCCTTGGTATTTACACAAAGAAGTCGAAAACTCATGTCTACACAAAAACCTGTACATGGATTCTTATAGCAACTTTATTCATAATTGTCAAAATTTGGAAGCAACCAAGATGTCCTTCAGCAGGTGAGTAGACAAACAAACTATGGTAGATCCAGACATTGGAATATTATTCAGTACAAAAAAAAATGAACTATAAAGCCAAGAAATTATATGGAGGAAATGTAAATGCATATTGCTCAGTGAAAGAAACCAATCTGAAAAGGCCACACACTGTGTGATTCCAACTCTACGCTGTTCTTGAAAAAGGCAAAATTATGGAGACAATAAAAAGATGAGTGGATGCCAGGGGTTGCAGAGAAGGAAGAGAGGAATGACTAGGCAGAGCACAGAGGATTTGTAGGGCAGTATCTGTATGATACTATAATGAGGGGTAGGTGTCATTATAAATCGGTCTGAAAATTTAGTCATTTTGTCTTTAAAAAAATGAATGAATTGGTCTAAAGAATGAGTGAATGTACATCACGAAGAATGCACCCTAATGTAAACCAGGGACTGTGGGTGATCTTCCTGCGTCCATGTAGGTGCATCAGTTGTAACAGATGTACTGCTCTGGTGGGGGATGTTGATAATGTGTGGAGCTATGTATGTTGGGACGGGGGTCTATGGAATATTCCTGTACCTTCCTCTCAGTTTTGCTGTGAACCTAACACTGGTCTTAGAAAGAAAGGTCATGGTTTAGAAATACTGGTGCAAAGGCCGGAGTGGAATAAGGGAAGCAGCCATAGGCACAGGGCTCTCTAAGGAAAGAGCATGCCAGGCGTGGGAAACAGCACACACAAAGGCCCTGAGATGGGTTCTGCTTGGAAGACATTTGTAGGCTGATAGACAGCAGCTGCTGTGATACACTGTTAATAGAAATATCAAGGTGTGCGGGAGCATACACAGAATGGGAATGTTGTGTCTGTGTGTGTGTATGTGTATTTCAAAAGCCGTGCACAAAAGTTTTATGTAGACTTTCCAGAAGGATTCAGAGGCAACACTGGTGACCTCTTAGAGCCACGGCACTTCTCTGGGAGCAGCCAGAGAAGACCCAGAGGCCTGGAGAGTTGAGGGGCGAGAGAAGCTGATTTTTGCCTTACATCCTACTGTATTCTTTATATTTTTACCATATATATCTATCACTTTATAGAAAAACAACACAAAATAAAGTAACAGACGCCTTGGCCCTGCTGCGGGGAGCCACATGGTTTCTGCGGTGACACTCTTGGCCCTTTAACATTCACAGTTTTCCCAAGGCCATGGGCGAAGGGTCTGGAGAGCTTTGCAGAAATGGAGTCTCAATGGATCTCAATGGGTCTCAACGGGTGAGACCAGCCATGAGATCTCCCCCAGTGGCACTGCACTGTGGGAAAAAGAAGGCAGAATCCCCTAAAGAAAGGAATTTGCCCTGGCCCCCATGATGAGGAGCTGGAGTTGCTGGTGCCACAAAGCGGTCCCTGGTCCACCTCACCCAAAAACACCTCAGCTGTCTTCCTGAGGCCTCAGTTTCCTCATCTGTACCCTAAAATACCCACCAAGTTCCCCGCATGGTGTCACTCAGGAAGATGTGGAGGCCAAGGCCAGAGCTGGGAGATGAGTGAGGAGCCTTGCCCGGGTGGAGACCTGTGAAGTGGATGCTGACGGGAGCCACTGGAAGTGGGGAACTGAAGCACTGGGGCCCCGTGGGAGGGACTCTGATGGCTCAGCCTGGAGGGAGGAGCAGGTGCCTTCGGAGAGGATGAGATGTGTCCGTGCGAGGGACGAGAATGGCCAGAGCCCTGTCAAGGGCAGGCTGGGGCTGGTGCAAATTGCTGGGGAGGCTGCCTCATCCCTGGCGCTGCACCATGCGCTAGAATATTCTACGAGAATGAAGATGATGTACGTGGCACTGCCCATCATGGAAGCCACAAGTGTTGAGAGTGCTTAAAATGTGGTGCATGCTGCAGAGGACCTGAATTTTTAATTTCATCTCATTTTAGTTCATTTAACATTAAAATAAATTTCAACAGCCACATATGGGACATGGGTCCTGCACAGGACAGCGCAGCGCTCAGAGATGATGGTGATTAGGTCATGAGGGCCCCACCCTCATCAATGATAAGTGCCTTATAAAAGAGGGTCCAGGGAGCCCCTGTGCACACCTTTTGCTTGTGAGGATGTAGCAGCAAGGAACCATCTCTGAGGAACCGGCACTCACCAGACAGCAAATCTGCCGGCCCCTTGATCTTGGACTTCGCAGGCTGCAGAACAGTGAGCAATAAATTTCTGCTGTTTCTAAATTATCCATCTAAGATATTTTGTTGTTGTAGCCCAAAAAGTCTAAGACAGGAACCAGTAGAGCTCCTTGAGGCCACAGATCCAGGGAGCAGGAGGGCTGGCGTGGATCTGTCCCCTCAGGCCTCCTTCTTAACCACCAGGCTTTAGCCCCTGACCCCAGTGAAGAAAAGAATAAACAAACAAACAGGCAAAGTTGAAAGTCTAACACCAAGTGCTGGTGAAGATGTGGTGAAACAGGCACCACGAATGCTGGGTGGGACTGAAACCGGCAACCAGGATGACTGGCTGCATCTGCCCAAATAGAAAATGTCCTGTCCCAGCTCATCCAGTTCTTGTCATCTACTCCAGAGAAACCCCAAACACAGGAAGGTATGCATGAGGCCGATCAAGTGGAAACAACCTAAATGTCCCTCAAAGCAGAATGGCTGCCCTACGGTATATCCACACTAGGGAATAGCACTCAGCGGCTTCCTTGTACTGCAAAAGATCTTTGTAGTCTAACATCATTGGAGCTCTTATTTCCTGGGTTAGTACATAACATAACAATGCCATAATCACTCATGGAGCACACACTCACAAGCACGCACACACATGCACACGTGAGTGCACACACTCACCAGTACCATATATTTCCCACAGACACATATGACTATGGAAGCACAGGGCGGATGTTCTGGGCATCTCTGCCCTCCGTGGTGAAACAGCTGCCTACAGAAGCGGAGGGAAGAGCCTAGACTCCACGACGGCGGCTGTCTGAGCTCCCTACTCAAAATGCTTTCATTTTTGCCAGGAGGCGGAGATCATGAAATACTTGGATCGTTAGAATGTTAATAATAAATAAAAGAGCAAATCCATACCCTCTTCTAGAATTGGCACTGTTGTGCACACTATTAGTGTTTACTTCTTTTCTTTCACTTTTAAAGGAAGATCTTTCATGTTTAAATAATGCCCCTTGTCACCCAAACATGTTCTCCTTCTGCCAGTTCAATGTGGACGTTTCCTATGTTTACTGGATTTATATACTTAAGAGAGTTGTTTCTTTTCCCAGCAGAGTCCGTGGAGCTGGGCTTACGGACTCACCACAGCACAGATTCATGCCACCAGCACCCCGTCGCAGCAACTGTAGATTAAGTACTTTACAGAGTAACCATTCAAAAGCAGTCTCGTAGCCCGAGCTATAAATTACAGAAAATCCATAGCACTAGGCTTATAGGTAGTGCTTTAAAAATAGATCTTACGTTCTGCAGCCGTAGCAATGATGATCCCAAGAATCAACCTGTACAAACCTATAAATAGTAACGGCCGTCCGTGTTTGCACAGAAGCTGTGATCTCTCGGCGCCCACCATTCATTAAAACCCATGCGCACACTGAAGCTGGTGGGTCCATCGGGATTTCGCATTTGGGGAAAGCAATTATTTAGGCAATTAAATTCTGGCGCCCTCACCGGCCTTCGCCCTGAGATATTAATAATAGTGCAAGGGTCTTCCAAAGCCCACGGGAGAATAACATTCACTTCTCTATTTGGCAGAGGGCTCTGCCGTCCCGCAACTTGGGGTGTAACAAAGATTACCCTGGTACTTCAGGCTGCAGTTTGCGGTCACGGACCCTGCTGGTTCTTTTCAATTGCTACTTTGGGGGACCTGTGAGTCTATACACTGTGGCATAAAGGGAGCCTCCCTGTTCCTGGGGATGGGCCTGGGGGGCCATCAGCAGCTGGAAGTGAAGGTGCAGACATTAGAACATTAGCACTTCCTGCTCCCCTGGAAACCTGGGACTCACAGCAAAGATGGGAAGTAGACCCTTCATTCGGCAACGGGCCTGAAGACCACAGACTTGCCAGGCTGGAGGAGTGTCCCTGAGACACAGGCCCTGCTTTATATTTGATCATTTGAGTCTCTCATTCGTTAATTCACGTGTCCACTCATTCAACCAGTATTCACTGAGCACAGGGCCTGTGCCAGGCATGGAGGCCAGGGAGCGGGGGTGGGAGGTGGTAGGGCAAGACTAGCAAGCACAGGGCAGCTGGAGGGGCTGAGAAGCAGCCAGGGGTGAGGGGTGGGGCAGTACCGGGAAGATGGCGGGAGGCTGAGGATGGGGACAGGCCTCAGGACTCAAAGGGCCTCTTGCCCCAGCATGAGTAGAAGCGTGGATTTTATCCTGGGAGAAACAGGAAACCCAGGAGGGTCTTCAGCCAGGAAGAGCTGAGAGCAGATTGACCTCTCCTGGAAGGGTGTTGGGGCCGCCAGATAGAGGATAAAGTGGACGACAGCAGAGATGGCCCCAGGGACCAGGGGGACGGGGCTGCTGCATCGGACAGGGAGAGATGGGGCAGCCTGGACTGGGACAGGGGCGACAGAAATGCTCAGCAAGGGGGCGGATCCCAGATTTGTTTTAACTATATTCAACCGGGTCTTTTTATCAAAAGCACCCTGCAGCTAAATCTGTAATAAATGAAAAAACTTCCTGTGCACTATTACTGCTACAAATCAGAGCCTCACATATGAGTTTATGTGCTGTTTAAGTGAGAGGTTGTCTGTTTTACTGTGAGGTTCCTCCAAGCAGCCCTCAGCCACTTACCCACAGTAAGGACAGCAGAATTTGAGAGCCATTCATTCCCTCAGGACTCCCGACCCCCGGTGACCTGATCAAGCACCAATGCAGGCACCAATGTGAAGGCCTTTGCAGCTGGGATCAGGGTTATAATCAGGAGACCTGAAGATATGGAGATGAACCTGGAAGACCCGATGGGCCTCATGGAATCACTCAGGAAGCAGAGGGGAAGGCAGGAGTGGACAGGGTGGAAGGGAGGGAGGAGAGATTTGAAGGCTGAGAGGATTCAGCCACCCTTGCTGGCCTTGAAGGTAGACGTGAGCCAGGGAAGGCAGTGGCCTCTACAGCTGAGAACCAAAATGACCCGGGCCCAGGCCCCAGCCCCAGCCCCAGCCCCGGCTCCAGCCCCAGCTCCAGCTGACAGCCAGCAAGAAAATAGGGACCTCAGTCCTACAGCCTCAAGGAACTGAATTCTGACAACCACCAGAACGAGCAGGAAGTGAATTCTCTCCCAGAGCATCTGGCAAACAGCACAGCGCTGCTGAGACCCAGAGAGGGAAGCAGGTAAGCCCACCTGCACCCCTGACCCACAGGCTGTGTGTGGCAATAAATCGGTGATGCTTTAGCTGCTGAGTTGGTGGTAAATTGTTCTGGCAGCAATAGACATCTCTCCTGTGATCCTCCTGACCAGCCATGAACACTGGGTTTCAGAATTACACTCCATCCACGAGGAAAGCCAGGCTCAGAGAAGGGTGAACATGTACAAGGTCACACTGGGACTCGGGGCAGAGCTGGGGACACCCCACATCTGCCTCCTGGCCCCAAGGGTCCTTCTCCCACCTCTGTGCAACCTGCATCTCCTCCACCCTGCTTAGACGATCCTCGGAAGAAAGGTGCGCTCATATCCAACATCAACTCAAGACTCTAACAAAGGGAAGAAGCCACAGATGAGGACAGGTGGAGAGAACCATCCCAGTGTCCACCTGTAGGGCACACGGGGTCCCACCTGTGGGGCACCACATCCCACCTACAGGGAAAGGCTCTTTTCAGTCAGCAGCCTGCTCATTTCCAAGACAGGCACCCCACAAGGACAGCCAGAGTTGGGGCATCTTTTAAGGGCTTCCAAAGCAGGCAGTAACAACAAGCATTGACCTGCTGTCAGACACTTTCCAGAACCAATGGGATATAATATAAATCCAGGTTCATGAGAGACAGGATCACAGAACGACCAAGAATCCAGCAGACTGTCCAGGCTCAAATTCGGCTCAGCAGCTGTGACCTTGGGCACGTTACTCTGTCCCTTTCAGCCTCGGTTTTCCTCACCTGTCAAATGGGGTCCCACCAAGTGGAGCTCATCTCCCACAGAGATGTGTAGATGAGTGAGCAGGACTGAGGACAGGACCTGGCTGGTGTGACTATCACTGTCCAGTGACTGCAGAGTGGCTCCTCTCCAATCCCCCACTGCAGTGACTCCCAAGCAAACGCAAATGATCAGTGTACAATATTCTGCACTTTCACCCGTGACCACAATACTCTAGGTCAGAAATCACAGTAATCTACAAATAAGAGGAATATCGCCTTATTTTTTATCATCCCAATGTTTAACCAAACAGTAAAAAAAAAAATGGAGTTAATTTATCATGATTTGTCATGGATTATAGGAAAAGGCACAGATAGCAAAGCCATTAAAATAAAAATAGAAATCGAACATGCACCAAGCCTCCAGTGCTGGAGCGTCCTTGTTACTGGAATTAGAGTGAATTAGGGTCGTTAAGGGGATTTAGTCATGGAAGACGGAGAATGTGCAGTTCATACAGCTGTTTCGGACACTCGTAAGTGGAGAGACACAGTCCTTAGCTTATATTAGAAACCTCATCCAGTGAAGAGTCTATTTTTAGTGTTTGCCCTCTGGGGGAGTGGCAATGAACTTAGGTCCAAATGTGCAATGTGCAGGAGGCAGGAAGTCTGTGCCGGCCTCCAGGAGGCAGAATGACCACAGAGCAGGCCAGGGCAGGCCACCTGGAGGGAGGCTTGGATGGAGAAGGGCTACCAAGGGCACCTGTCAGGTGACAGCACGAACACATAGGGTGGGTATTGGAGAAGATGTCCGGGCAGGCCTGCGCATTCCCATCTCCAGGTCTGCTTGTAGAAAAGGTGTGTAAATCATTCAAGACGGTCTAAAAATACGACATGTTTTCAGGAGGAAGAGCCAGCTTCCACCGCTGAGAGACTCACGCAAAGAGGCCACATGCCCACTTCCTGTAACTTGACAGAGATAATGTTGCTAAATTAGGAGATTCTTTTTGCTAAATGGCTTTCCTTTAGGGAGAGGTGAAAAGCTCAATGTCAGAGCGACAGTACTTAAAGGAACTCCTGTGAGCCGCAAGGGCCTCTGCACGCGGGTGAGGAGAGGAGGCCTCCCTGCCACCAACCCCACCTCCCCACCATCGCCTCCCCATCATGCTCTCCATTGGACACAGAGCTTACAGCACACCTGCTAGGTGCCAGGCACGGAGTGCATGCCCTGCACACAAAAATGCGCCAGTCACTGCTGCCCTGGGTTTACCTTTGGTGGAGCAGATGGATCATTAACAAGAGAGTGAACAGGGTGATTACTGTGCTGGGGGTCCCCAGGACCACCCCCAGTTTGAGTGATTCACTAGAGGACTCACAGGACTCGGCTGTAGCTGTACTCACAACTGTGATTTATAGCAGCAGCAGGCAAAGCACACCCAGCAAAGAAAAACGTGCCTGGGTCGAAATCTGCCAGAAACCAGGCACAAGCATCTGAGAGTCCCTCCCAGTGCAGTCACATTTTGGGGGATTTTCCCCAAAAATGGCCACAACATCACCTCCAACCTCATATGTTCTTCTTGCAACGTGGCTTTGCACCCTCCCACTGAGAGGTGGGTTCATGCCGACCCCGAGTCAGGGAAGGCCGATTCTAAGGCAGAAGTGGGACTGTGATGTCCAAAGCCAGATCATAAGCGGTGACAGAACTTGAGTCTGTTTCTCTCGGGTTGCTCACTTCTCCACCTCAAGCTGCCTATGCAAAAGCCCGAGTGGAAAGGACCCGAGGCCCCGCTCACGTTCCCAGCCAAGCTGTCAGGGGCTGAACTGTACTCCCCCTAATATGTATATGTTGAAGTTTTGATCCCCAGTGTCTCAGAATGCAATATTTGGAGAAGGCGTTTTTTAAAGGGGTGATTACATTAAAATGAGGCTGCTGAGGGGGTGGGGGCTGGGCAATCCAATCTGACTGGTGTCCTTATATGAAGAAGAGATTTGGACAATAAGAGCTTACAGGGGGAAAAGATCCCCCCGGAATAGGGGGTGAGAGGCTTCACAGACGAGGTCTCGCTGCTGGGCCTTGACAGATGGGTACACTCCACGGGAGGCCAGGAGCCTTCCGTCAGAAGGAGCAGCACGGGTGAAGGCCGGGGAGTGAAGGTGGAGGCCTGGCTTAGATGGAGTGTTAGGGGCTGGGAGCTGGAGGACCTCCTAAGCCTCTGGTCAGAGCAGGGCTGTGCTGAGGCTGGCACACTAGGTTGAGGGAGATCGCATCCATATATACATGCACACATACACTCATGCACGTACACACTCATGCACACACTTGTGCATGCACACACTCATGCATGTAATATTCATGCACACACTTGCTCATATACACACTCACGCACACCTTCACACACACTCCTGCACGGCTTCACACCCTCACACACATGCATACACACACAGGCACGCACACTCCTGCACAGCCTCAACCCTCACACGCACACACACAATCACGCACACACAGGCACATGCACTCATCACAGCTTCACACCCTCACACACACAGTCACACACAGGCACGTACACACTCTTGCACGGCCTCACAAACACATGCATACACACACACAATCAGGCACACACAGGCACACGCACTCATGTACATCCTCACACTCTCATGCACGTTCACACACACTTGTCCTTAAGGGCACCACCCAAGGCACTGAGGCACTGAGGCACTGAGTCAGGGCTGCCCCGTTGCACACACGGGCACCAGTACGACACCTTCTTGCCCACGCGCTCACTTGTGTTTCCTTTGACCCACAGTTTGTCACTAAAATGCCTGGTGCAGGAACCTTCCATAGCGAGCCCACCGGTCTGGCCCACTTCGTAGTGTGAGGCCCAAGAGCTGCTGAATTCCCTCCAGGAAAGGCCTTCCACATGTCCACGCGTGAACCGTCCCTGGTGACTGGTGCACCTAAGTAGCTTTCCTGAAAATACTGTAATCACGCAAAATCGACATTGCTCCAGGTCATCTAGGCCACAAGGTCACCAGCTTCCAAAGGGCAACTCCCCCTGCCCAATGCAAAGCCCACAACGCAAACCCTGGGCCAGACCCCCGGTCCTCCCATCCCCTCATCCCAGCCAGCCCCGGCCCAGGCTAGGAGTCCTATGCAAGGGAAGTGTACCGTTGTTGTTTTCCTTAAAATAAACCGCTACCGAAGTCTGGTAGAAATCCCGAATCAGAGGAGGGTTCCGGGAAAGCCAGCACCCTGGGGTTGTTGGGAGTCAGTCCGAGGCTGCTTGCGTAGGCGGGCACGCGGGGAGCCTCCCTCCTGGGGCCGGCCCTGGGAAAGCAGCCAGGCTGCGAGAAGGAGCATCCAAATTTCTCCACACAGCTGGTCCCTGCTTGGGAAATGTACAGCCAATTGTCAATCGTATTAATAAAACCATGTAGGCTACCAGATCAGACCAATTTTTGCCCAAAATCTGCTCTGAGTTTTGGTTTGGAAGCCATGGTCCACTTCACAGTTAGGGGTAAAGTAAATTGACTGGATCTGTCCCCACCCCCAGACCACCTTTCCTCCCTCTGCTCCCTCAGGGCTAGGAATCCCCACCAGAATCAACAGATCCCTGGGTTAAACCCAGTGACTCCTGTAATCCTTATTAAAACCCTGCATTCTACCTCATACTGTTCTTTCACACACGTTATAGTAGATAAGAAAAATAAATGCAAAGAAAAAGCTATACAAGCCTCAAAAGGAGACGCAGAGGGATGTGTTTTTGAGCAGCCATCCTGGTATGCCCCCGGCTGAGGACTTCTCAGGATGCAGGACTTTCAGAGCTAAAACCAGGACCCTCCCTGCCACACTGAGAAAAACTGTTCACTCTAAACTCGAGGCAGAAGAGGGTTTCTTAAGACACAAAAAGCAAAAACAAAAAAAAAGCTGGATACATTTTACCACATCAGAACTAAAAGCTTCTATCAACCAAGGACACCATAAACAAAGTGAAAAGACACACAACAGACAGGACACGAATATTTGCAGCCAGCGGAGGATCGGGTTCCAGATCAGATCGACGGCGCTCACAAACCACTCGGAAACACACGAACGACCCCCCTGGAAAAAGAGGGCAAAAAGTAAATGAAGAGGCAACGCTCAGAGAGTGAAATCCAAATGGCCAAGTCACATAAGAAAAACTCTCAAGCAATCAAGGCAATGCAAATTGAACAATGTAATTTTCACTTCTCTGGAGGATTGGCAAAATTTCAGAATGTGAATGTATCAAGTGCTGGCGAGAGAAACGGGTACCTCCGACACTGCTGTTGGGAGTGACACAGCCACTTTGGGAAACAGTCTGGCAATAGCAGCTTAAATTTAAAATGCACTCATCCTAAGCCCCAGGAGTTCCATTCTTCGGATGTGCCTTATAGAGAAACACTTGTACAGACGTGCTCAGTGCCTCACGCAGGTTGTCCCCTGCAGCACAGCCTGTGACAGGATCTGAGAGGGACCTCCATGGCCATCGGTAGCAGAAAGGCGAAAACAGCCATGGAATATTCTAAAGCAATTAGACAGAACCTATGAAGCCAGATAAATCTCCAAGATACACTGCAGAGTGAAAACAGCTTCACAGCGAGAAGTGCTGTGTGATGCCATTTCTTTAAAAAGCACATGCTTATGTCAAGAAAGTTTGGTGGGAAATGCCATGAATGGTAACAGTGGCTTCCCTGGGGAAGGGCGAAAGGTGGCGGGCGGGGGGAGGATTCATGTTCCAGAGGGATTTGAGCCTTATTTGCAATGTTTTCAATTGCTCACTTGGAGGATGTATTCATGACATACTAGTGTAATTAAATATATACGTGTATGTGTTTGAGTGAGTAATTTTTTTTCCAGAAAAACTTATCCCCTGAGCTGGAGACCACATTATCCATTCATCCCATAAAATATTTATGGAGTCCCAACTACAGGCTAGGACTTTTTTTTTTTTTTTTGAGACGGAGTCTCGCTTTGTCACCCAGGCTGGAGTGCAGTGGAGCAATGTCGTCTCACTGCAAGCTCCGCCTACCGGGTTCACGCCTTTCTCCTGCCTCAGCCTCCCAAGTAGCTGGGACTACAGGCACCTGCCACCACTCCCAGCTAATTTTTTGCATTTTTAGTAGAGACGGGATTTCACCGTGTTAGCCAGGATGGTCTCGATCTCCTGACCTCGTGATCTGCTGGCCTCAGCCTCCCATAGTGTTTGGATTACAGGCGTGAGCCACCACGTCCAGCCTAGGCCATTTCTAAAGATTGGGGATCACTCCTTTCCCTTCAAACAAAAACGGAGCGATCAACTTAGTCATCAGCAAAGTTCACCAGCAGACAGCAGTCCTTAAAGTAATGGGGTGACAGCTGCGTGGGGATTTGGACTAAGTGGTGAGAAAAATGTGAGGCTTGGAGCAGGTGAAGGAGAAGCAGACCTGAGGGGCCACTGGCTGTGGGGAGGTGCTTGGCTCTCACAGGTGTGCCCTGAGCACCCTGGGGGGAAAGGAGAGAAACGAAGATGTGTAGCCAGGTCACACCTCTCCCAGGGCCTTCTCGAGCTGCCGGGACATCATGACTCTGCCTTTTGCCTCCAAGCACCCATTGGTCACAGGAAAGAAAACTGAAGGCTGCAGTGTGATTTGCAATGCACGGCAGGTTTTGCAGGTCAGGTGGGCACAGCTGTGGGGTTCTTGCACTGCCATGCTGGCGTTTGTGACCCCCAGTACCCATGTCCTTCTGCGATCCTCCTGATTTCCTACTGGAAGTCTCAGGCTGGCTATGGCGGGGATGCCAGCTCCATTTCTGGACCGGAGGAGACAGCTAGGTCTCAGCCGTCCAGTCCTCCCCACTCCCTCACTCCAGTAAGTGGTTCAAGGGCCAGCTATATGACCCACCCTGAGTCTGGGACAGACAAGGAGAGGCTAGCTGGAGCTACAGACGCCCAGTTTCCTGAATTAACAGATGGCCCTTTTGCTTCTGTGTGTCTAGTCCATTTCAGTCACTTGCTACCAGAAAAGCCTGCTAAGTCCAGCTGGTTGTCATTAAGATTTCAAAAGAATTGGGCAACTCCAGACCCAATCTGGGTCTTCAGAGTTATAGCCTCCAGGGAGCCTTGCCCAGCCCCGACTCTGAGCTGAGCCAGGAAACAAGGCATTAAATTTCAAACTGTCTTTTGCAGCCCCTAAAGCCACAACTTTTAATGAGCATCAGCTGGGACATGTCATGATATCATTGATCACGCCTTTCCCTTCAAACAAAAATTTTAAAGGAAAAAAAAAAAACTCATTTAGTGCAGAAATAACCCACTACGAGTCAGCACTTCGAAATCAGACTTCGAAGTCTGGAAGAATGAGTGGTTAATTTGTTCCTAAATTAATGCAGCCCTGGCCCCAGAAATAGCACATTATCCCTTTAAGGGTGAGAGTTAAGATTCCCAAGCAAGCTCCGGGAAGTAGCCACACAAATCATGGAAGCTGAGCTTCAGGTGGCAGCTGGACAGATCCTCCTGGTTCCAAAAGGAATGAAGTCAAAGGGACCTTCTTGAGGTCTGGCATCACAGTGCCCAAAGAGTTGTGGGCACACAGCCTGGTTCTTCCTTGGGTGCCGGGACCCTTGCTCCAACCCAAAACTTGGCATTTGCACTGGGGTCCTATCTGACTCAACATTGAAATGCAACATTGAAACCAAGAAACCCAGCCACACTCTCTGCCTCAGCCCCCTCCCAAGTGACCTCCTTTAAGTGCCAGCCCCATTCTGATGAATCTCAGATTGGAGCCTCCAGAACAACCACCGCCCCAAGCTCCAGACTCAGACGTGCAATGGCCCAGTGTAAACAGCCCCTCCAAATCACCATGGTCAGCACGGAATGCGCGCTTCCTCTCCCAGACCTCCCCTCTCCCACGGAAAGTGAAGGAATGCACTGCAGAAGCCTCCGGCCAGTCTCCCTCCTCCCCGACCAAGCCTTCCACACCCCCATAAACAGCACCACCATCCACCCAGTGCTCAGACCCCAAACCTACAGGGCATCCTGGATTTGGGGTACCCAAGTCATGAGCAGGTCCTATCAGCCCCCAGTGCTTCCCACTTTCTCCGTCTCTGATGGACCCTCCTGTCCTCCAAGCAGCTGGCAACTCTGCTGCCATAGCCTCCAAATAAACCTGCGGCCACACAGCAGCCATGAGGAGCTTTCTCTCAGACACAGAGGGACATGCAATTCTTCAGCCTAGAACCTGCCATTGGCCTCGGGTTGCACATGTAGAACCCCTAGGGACTTCTGATGGAGGCCAAGGCCCATGGGCCACCTCCCCAAACTCAGCTCCCTCCAGTCCCCTAGCTGATGGGCTTCCAGCCTCAAGGACCCTCCTATTCCCCAGTGCCATCAAGTGAATTCTCACCTCAGGGCCTCCCTGCTCCCCGCAGCATCCCAGCATCTAGATCAGTGCCTGAAGCATTTTCAATGATGAATAATCATTTGCTGACCCACTGACAAAATATTCCGCTTTCTCCTTGGGGAAAGTGGGTCAGCAGTGGCTGAGCCCTGCCATCCATCCATCAAGGCCTAGACAGAGGCCGCAGAACTATTTTAAAAATGCCCAGCGACTGAGGAGCACAAGGAACAGGTGAGGAGTTGCGTAATTACTGCAGGCAGAACATGGGCTCCTGGTGGCCCTGAACACACTGCCAAGCTGCCGAAGGTTAGGACTGGGAACGCCCTTTCCCAAAATCCAACCCAGAATATGCCCCACTGTTCTTAGTACTCATGCACTGCCAAAAACAGGGGTGCTTTAGGGGAGGGCACTGACACTTGTGGGCACTTACTCTGTGCAGGCACTGGGGGAGGGGCTTCTGCCCCATTAGAGGGGAGCACCCTAGAGGGGCCTCATCTCCCTCTCCCGACTCCACCCTGGGAGCTCAGCACTGGGACTGGCGCTCAGTAGGGGCTCAATATTCCTGATGAGTGGATTCAGCTGCCCATCCTCTGTGCCTGAGCTCAGCTTCTGCCACGAGCTTCTCCTCCAAGGGCACCACAGAAGGCCTGGCAGATAGCGGGCTCTCAAGTGTCCCCCAAATCCCCATGTCCTCCTTTCTTGACTTTGTGACTCCATGTATCCCTGTATCTCAGGGTTTCCCAACCCCAGCACTAGCCTGTGGACTACACCATGACCGCCTCGTGGGGAAGGAGGGCTCCTGGCAGTGCGGGATGCTTAGCAGTGTCCCCGGCTTCTGCCCACTGGGTGCCAGTGGCGTTCCCCCAGGTGTGACAACCAGAAATGTCTTCAAGGGAAGGCAGGATCAACCCGTTTCGAGGCACTGAAAAGAACCACGGATGGATCTAAACCAGAGTTTCCTGGTGCTTTGGTTAAAAACACAGATTCTCCCAGGAGATTGCAAGGGGCAGGCCTGGGTGGGGCCCCTGGAACAATCTGTAATAAGTGCCCCCGGTATCCTCACCAAGGGCCAGTGCGGAAACACTGGCCTAGCTCTCCTCCACCCCACTCCGGGCTCTGCCTGCTGGACACCTGGTACTCATGCACCCATGGCCACTGAGCACAGGCAAAACTCTAGCCTTGTCACCAGGAGGCCTGAGGCCACTCCCCGTCCTCAACTCCTCTTCCCTGGCCCAGCTGGGGCCCTGGCCATTTTCTGGATTCCTCAGGCCCCTCTTCCTAGATCCCATCCCTTGAACTGCAGCTGGACCCTCTCCAGGGTCAGGTGTCTGCCCAGCAGGGGGCGAGGGGCCAGTCCCACGTGGGTGGAGGCCCATGGCCCTCCCTGGGGAAGAAGGGCGATCAAGCACAGAGCCCTCCCTTGGGTGGCCAGCGCTGTCCATACGATCCCAACTGCTGCCCCCAAGACACAGGTATCCCCCATTTCACAGATGCAGAAACTGAGGCGCAGCAAGGTCAAACGCCATGCGCACAGGCTCATACAGCGGGCAGAGGGGAATTCCAAACCCCAGACTGTCGACCCCAACGCCAGCGCTTCTGACCCTGCGGACACTGCCCTTGTTTAGGGAGAGACTCTGGTGACTTTGCTGCGAGGGGGAGGAGGGGGGCGGTAAGCCCGAGACCCGGGGCGCCCACCTCTGTGGCTGGGGGCGCAGCGGGCCTCCCGGCCACCCGCAACGGCCAAGGGCAAGGGATTCAGGAGGAGTCGTCCCCCAGCGCCTCGTGCCCGGCGGGCACCCCGGGCCCCACGTCCCGCGTCCCCTCCCCGCAGCGCGCGCTTACCTTGCGCAGGATCTCGGGCGGCGGCGGCAGCGTCCCGGGCCCCGAAGGCGCCCAGCAGCGAGCGCAGGGGCGCAGGACAGCGGGCGCGCCCCCCGCCACGGCCACGCATCCCGCCGGAGGGCCGCGGAGCGGAGCCGGGGCCGCGGGGAGGCGCCGGCGGGGCGGGACCGGGACCAGGGCCGGGGGCGGCGCCGCCACGCGAGGCCGGCCTCTCCGCCGGGCGGGGGCTCCGAGGGGCTCCGCTGCGACCTTGACCCGCCCGGAGCCGCAGCCTCGCCCGGGCGAGCGGGAGCGGGAGCGGAGACCTCAGCGCCGTGCCCGGGCCTTCCAGGGATGCCCTAGAAACGTTAAAGGGACAGCCGGGCGGGAGGTGTAGCCGCCGGTTCCCCGCGCTGTAAACAGGCAGCAGCGCTGGAGCCGCTGTGGGGCGGCGGGCGAGTCGCTTGGCCTCTCTGAGCCTCAGTGGTCTGGTGTGTAAAATGGGCTGGGGCTGAAGTGGGATGGGCCGAGACTGAGCCGGGCCTGGCGCTCCCTAAGTTGGAGACTCCTTGGCTGCCTTTAATGTAAGGGCGGTGGGAGGCACTGCTGCCTTTCGAATAAACCCCATATATTTACCTTTTTTGCTATGAAACAAAACATTCGTATTTAGCTTAATGAGTGCTGCCTGGGGGACACCTTTGTAACCACCAACCAGCTCCAGAACTAGAACTGTGCCGGCCCCGTCCTCTGACCCTCCCAGCGCCCTCTCACAAAACGCCCGTCCACCCACCAGCACCTGGGCCTGAAGGGGTTGGGGTGACTCTCCAGAGGCCTCAGCAGCCTCTACTGACTTTGGGGTTTTTGTAGCCACAGCCCTGCCCTTGAGGCAGGATCCTGGCCTGAGATGGACTCAGGGTCCCCATCAGCACCCACACAGCCACGTCCCCAGCAGAGTTCCGGGTAACCTTCCTCCTGACACTCAGGTCCTCAGAGCCCCAAAGGAACACCACTCCCCTCCTCCACCACTGAAGGCTTTCAAAGTGCACTCTGCTGAGGGACTAGGAACCCCCGTTCCATCCCCCAGCGGCTCCCCCAGCAGGTGCAATCAGTGGGCCACACAGCGGCCAGGGCAGTGCTGGGATTGGGATGTAGCCAGGCCTCCCAGCCACCTGCCTCCTCCCTGGCAGCCTGCCTGCTTCCCGCGTCTCCCGCCCAGACTTCTCAGCCTCATCTTCAGAACTGCTTAACGGTGGTAACAGTCGGCAGCCAGCACGTGGTGGCACTGCGCTGAGCATACATTCCCTGAACCTTTAGAAAACTCACTGAGGAGGGCGCTGTTACTGTGCCCACTTTATGGATGAGAAAATGCAAGCTCCATGAAAGATGAAACTGAGTCCACTGCTCCAATCCCCTCCTACTTCATCCTGTTTGCTCCTCCATCAGCTCCTGGAGAGAGGCACTATCATCATGCCCTCCTTTCTAGAGGAGGAAACTGAGGCTCAGAGAAGTGAAGTTACTTGCCTAGAAAGTGAGAAAGGTGCAGCGTCTGGATTCAACACCTGGCCAGTGTTGCGGTGCTTCCTAGCTCTGTGCCCAGCTCATTGGTTTGCCCTGGTGAACTCCTACCCAACCTTCAAGACCTGGCTTAAGTGTTTGCCTCTTTTCTGAAGACTTTAATCCTTCAGTCTCCCTGCCTGTCTTCCCCAGGCCTTTGGCTCTCCCTTCCGCAGGCCCCCTGCACTGGGTGCACACTCTGTTGGCCATACACTGCATCCCATTGAGATGATTTGTCCACCCATCTGCCCTGCCCCACACTGGGCTGGAATTTGAGAGGACAGGCATTGGTCCTGGTCACTCAGGGACCATGTGTTTTGCAGGCTTTGTCCCACTCTGCTGGGAATAGCATTTCCATTTCCTGCTGGAAGCCTCCTTCCCCACTCTGTGGACCCAGGGCCCCTCCCTAATTCCAGGGGAGGGCTCATGACCTAGTCCAACCAACCAGCATAGATCATCCACCTGACCTCAGGGGCTGGGCCAGAAAAGTTGGTTCACAGAGGCACACATTTGGGACTTTGCTGGACTGGGAGAGAGAAGCCCATGTTATCCACTAGTCCTGAGAAGGATGGTCTGAACGTCCAGGGCCATTACATGGCTCAGAATCAAAAGAACACAGAAGAGGGAGGAGCCTGGACAGGGAGGTATCAGGGGCTGCTGGCATTGTCCGTGTGAGCAGCTGGTTCCAGCTGTGCCCGAAGGCAGCCCTATGGAGGACTGGAATTTTCAGTCCCACCCTCCTTGCCATTTCCTTTTCTCCCTAGCCTTGGTGGGGAAGAGGTCACTGGAGGAAAGAGTTAGGAGACAGAAATGTTAGCATGAAGACAAATTCGAGGTGTGCTAGGAAAGGTCTCTCTTTCTGCCGGCCCTGCCGCCTGTCCACGGGCCAGAGCCTTCGTGGCCCCTGATCTGTTTGCACATGGATCTATTGGTGACCTACAGAATGGGGCTTCACATGGCAGCCCTCTCAAGTACACACTACCAAGGACGCTGACTAACCCCGTCTGAGGCCAGCAGACACTGTTGGCCTCCTTAGGTGTGGCCTGGGTTGGGCCTTTTGAACTCTGAGCAGGTTTCTTCAGAAGAGGATGCAGAGGGGAAGATGAAGCCTAATCATTCATCCTCACTAAACACTTCCGATGCGCCAGGACCTGTGCTAAACACTCCATCTGCTTTATCCCAGTTCATCTTCACAAAAATCTAAAGACAGCATTATTCATTATCCCTAAGAAAACTGAAGCTCTCAGAGGCTCCCCGAGGCCCTGCTGCTAATATTAGGACAAGCCAAGCTCCAGGCCTCGTAACTGGACTCCAGGACCTGTGCGCTTCACCAGAGCCACATCACCCCTGGGTGCTTCTAGGGCAGAGGACAGGCTGGCCAGGCCCAGCCCCTGCAAGGAATCCAGAAGGGCTGAAGGCCACCCCATCAGCTGCTCCCTTGGGCCCAGCAGGACCCTCAGGGCCAGCCCTGTGGGTAACATCCCTTCTTTGTGAGGACCCTCCAGGGTGTCCTGAATGTCCATGGGTTGGTCTGGGCCATGGGAACACAGACCAGCAGGAGTCCTGCTGAGAGGATCCCCCTCGGCTGTAGGGCTGAAGTCTAGGACACAGCAAGGGCCATGAGGGACAAGGGGTATTGGTCTTTCCTGCAGCCACGTGCAGTGGGGCATCCACTTGGCTAAGCCACCTAGCCCCACGTTTGAGCCCCACTCACTCCAGGGACTCTTTCAGTTCCAATGGGCTGAAATCCAAGTCCTTCTGGCTGGAGCAGAAAAGGTACCCCTTGGCCACTGGAGAGACCAGGAGGAGGGGTGGTGACAGACATGGCTGAATCCGAGAGTTCCACTACCAAAGCTTCAAGGGGCCACCTCCTTCCTTGGAGCTCCAGAGAAAGCACCAAGCCGAGTTTGCTTGGACCTCCTCACAGCACCTCTCCCCAACTCTGAACTGGTCCTCGTCACTAAGGGATGGGAACTACGGGTTAGCCAGGCTGGTGGCACGGAGGAGGATGGAAGTGGGGTAGGATCAGCTCACCTGAACCTCCTCTGCTGAGGCCTGGGGAGAGGAGGTTCTCCAAAAGCTGCTTTGGTGCAGCTGCCTAGAAAGGGGGAGAGCTTGGGGCAGAGCAGACACCAGGCTCTCCACGACACTGCGCTTCCAGGCCAGGCCAGCTCCTCATGCAGAGCCCGAGTGGGGGTAAATGGCCAGAATGACTGCGATGAGAGCTGCCTGGACAGGCACAGGGCCCCAGGCTCAAAAGGGCCCAGACTTGGCTTCCCGCCCTACCACCACCACCTTGCAGCTCTTCATAATTTTTGAATAAGGGAACTGTACTTTCATTTGCATTAGACCCCTGGCAAATTCCGTAGCAGGTCATGGCTGTGAGTGACCTCCCTGGACACACACCAACCCAACAGCAGTGACTTGCCAGGTTCACTGTATCTGTCTATGCTGGGAGTTTCTTCAGCATCCTTATGACCCGCAGGAACCAGCTAGGATACCTTCACAACGTTTTCCCTGCAGGCATGGAGTGAGGACTAGGGGTGATTTCCTGTAAGCCTATAAAACCCGGTTGCCCTGCAACTTGTGGACAAGTGAGACTTGAGTTCATGGAACCCAGTGTATGTATATATGATACAGACCTCTGTGTGTACAACATCACAGCTCGGAATGACCCAAAGCTTTCTCAGTGTTGGTTGGCAATGTACCTGAGCTCCACAGGGTCACTAGGCTGCCTCAAGGATCAGTAAGAGTGCTGCAATTGATTGGCAATGTCTGATAAGGGCAAGGGCCAGCAGAGTGGGGCATGGGTGCTACATAGTTACCAATCTTTCTGCTGTCTGGGAGGAAATGAGGACTCTGCTTCTAAGAGCTAGAACACTTAAAGAACATGTTGGGGTAAAGGCTGGCTATCACTGAGGGCAGAGACTGTGTGTAATCACCATTCAAAATCCCCAGTACCACACAGACTTCGGTTCATGGTAGATGCTCAATAAATAATTAATAAAGAAAGATCTAAAAGGCACCACAAAGATGAGGTTTTACCATAAAATGATGAAAATGGTTTGGAACAGGTAGAAGTAGTGGGCGCACAGCATTGTGAATGTCCTAAATGCCACTGAATTGTTCACTTTAAAAGGGCTAATTTGGTATTACACAAATATCACCTCAAATAATTATTTTTTTTTAAAAAAAAGGAAAGGGTGGCTTATGCCTATAACCCCAGCTGCTCAGGAGGCTTCAAGCTTCAACTCGCTTGAAGCCAGGAGTTCAAGACCAGTCTGGGCAACATAGCGAGACCTCATCTCTACAAAAAATTTAAAAAGTAGTTGGGTTTGGTGGCGCAAGGCTGTGGTCCCAGCTACTCAGGAGGATTGCTCGAGCCCAGGAGTTTGAGGCTGCAGTGAGCCATGACATGCCACTGCACTTCAGCCTGGGCAGCAGAGCAAAACCCCATCACTAAAAATCATAAACACATAATTAAAAAATAAACTAAAATAAAGGAAAGAAATCCTCCTTTTAAAAAAAGCCACTGTAAGTTACTCAGAGTGACTGGAATGATCCCATCTTCTTCATCATTATCATTCCAGTACAGTGCAGTACAGTCTTTTCTTTTATAATAAAAATCAATGACACGTTTGCCTTCTCTCCACACACACAAATTTTCCCTCCAAATCTTCCAGGGGCACTGACCCTAGAGGAGAAGACACTCAGCCCCTCTAAGCAGCCCCTGGGCTGCACCCCGGGGGCCCCAGGACGCAAGACACCCAGACCTGGGCCTGACCCCAGAAGAATTCTCCGTGAGCGGCCTGCATCCCCTCATCCCAGGCTCCATCCCGCATCCCTGCTCTTGTTCCTTTCTCCTTGCGTCATCCCCGTCTCTCTGGGTCCCCGAGGTCGCAGCTGCTGCTGAATTTTGTGAATCGCTCTAAACTGCCTTAAATCCTCTTTGAGTCACGTGGCAGATATCCAGGAGCGACGGCTGTTTTTTCTGGGGCAGGCGCTGTGGACTGTGGGCTGGGCTTGTCCTGGCAGCGTTTCCACCCTGCCTCAGGGACCCCTAACCCTGGGCTTCTCAGCATCTTGTAGGAGGGGACACAGGTCCAAGGTCCCCCGGGCTGTGGGAGACGCCTTGCAAGGCCAGACCCTCGGCGGAGCTCTGCCTCCAGCTGTAGGATTCTCAACCGCTCTCTCCTTCGTCAGCGTGCTGACTGAAGTTAGGAGTCTGAGCGGTCCACTTCCCCCTGGGAAGCCCGGGGTGGGTTTCTGGATCAGCTCTGCCGGCAGCACTGGGGAGAAGCGGGCAGAAACCTTGGGTATTTATTTCCTGGAATCTGCAACCCAGGGAGGATCCAGACGCCCTCTAGTGGCCACTAGGACGGGTGCAGGCGAGCCTGCCCAACTCTCCCCAATTCTGGTGGGTGGGAGGTGCCCCTGCTAGGGGTTCTCTGATGTGGGGGCTGTGGTCAAAGGAGCCTGCAGCGGAGGCATGCAGGTGCTGGATCCCTTTGAGCTTTCTAAAATTCATCCAGTTTTTCATTCTAGTCAACATGTGTCTATATTCTTTTCATACACATCACTTTCTCACCAAACAGTTAAGTAAAAATCAATGCTCTGGAAGATGCACGGTGTGTACCCAGGGGCTTCAAGGGCCACTTCCGAGCACCCCAGGGTACCCACCCTGCAGCATGGCCCAGAGCCTCCTGTGAAGAGCTATGGCCTGTGCCGGGCAGGACTCTGCTCTCCCCACTCCCTGGTCCTGTCCCAATTCCCCGTCCTTGCCCCGATGCTTCTCACTTCTCTGACAGTCACCTGCTGAATTCAGGTGTGGGTCTAAGCTGCTTTGAACCGTCTTTGACACATTGTGGGACTATCCATAAATTGTTAAAAACAAATCGTCAGCATGTAAAATGGTGCAGCTGCCTTGGGAAACAGTCTAGCAATTCCTCGAAAAGCTAAACATCAAGTTGCCATATGACCGAGCAATTCCACTTCCAGGTATGTACTCAAGAGAACTGGAAATATTTTTCCCCAGAAAAGCAAGTGCATGGCTGTTCATAGCAGCATTCACCATAATAGTCAAAAAGTGGAAGCAACTCAAATATCTGTCAGCTAATGAAAAAGTCAGGGGTAGTACCCTAGTCCCTCAGTACCCATGGGGGGTTGATTACAGAACACCCAGGGATACCAAAATCCACAGATGCTCAATTTCTTTATATGAAATAGTGTACTACTTGCTTATAAGCTACATACATCCTCTTGTATCCATTAAATCAGGGATATCCAATCTTTTGGCTTCCCTGGACCGCATTGGAAGAAGAATGGTCTTGGGCCATACACAAAATACACTAACGATATCTGATGAGCTAAAAAGAAATTGAAAAAAAAAACCTTTCATAATGTTTTAGGGAAGTTTATGAATTTGTGTTGGGCTGCATTCAAAGCTGTCCTGGGTCACATGTGGCCCACGGGCTGCCCTTTGGACAAGCTTGCTTTAAATCATCTCTGGATTACTTATAATACCTGATACAATGTAAATAGTCATTATGCTGTATTGTTTATAAAATAATGACAAGAAAAAAGAGTCTGTACATGTTCAGTACAGATACTCCATCCCTTTCTTTCAAAAATATTTTCAATCTGCAGTTGGTTGAATTCCACGGATGTGGAATCAGCAAATTTGGAGGGCCGGATGTATACCCATACAATGGAATATTATTTGACAATAAAAAGGAATGATGTACTGATCCACACTACAACACAGATAAACCTTGGAAAGATTGTGCTAAGTGAAAAAAAAATCATAAAAGTCTATATCGTGAATGACACCACTTACATGAAATGTGCAGAAAGCGCCAATCCAAAGAAACATAAAGTAGCTTAATGGTTGCCAAGGGCTGGGGAAGGGGAGGATGGGGAGTGACTGCTTAATGGTTTTCTTTATGGGGTGGTGAAAATGCTGTGGAATCAGATAGTATATGATAGTTACACAGCCTTGTGAATATACTAAAAACCACTGAATTGTATGCTTTAAAATGGTGAATTTAGACTACATAAATTATATCTCAATTAAAAAAAAAGTCATCAATACAGCCACCTGGTTGAGGGTCTACCGTGTGCCAGATGCTTAGAAGTAATCTGTCAACCCTTCCCACCCCAGCAAGCAACTCTGGAAGTTGGGGGGAGAAAAAATCTTACAGGAAGAACACTGAGTCAAGAAAGCTGCAGTGTTTGGTTTGGGAACAGGCTCTACACCTTACAACTTGTGTGAGAAGAAGGCAGGGGTTGGGTAGGGAAAGAAACAGGAGGTCATGGGGCCCCAGAAGCCAATGCTGTGAACCAGTTCCCTTACAACTGATACAGCAAGATAAGGGTGCTTGCTGGAATCTGCCCATCGTCCGTCCATCATCTATTTCCCATCCATTATCCATCCATCCAGCATCCTTCCATCCATCTTCCATCCAACCATCATCCATTCATCCTTGATCTATCCATCCTCTACCCATCATCCATCCGTCCATCCACTTACCCACCCATCTACTCATCCATCCATCATCCATTCATCTCTGATCTATCTATCCTCCATGCATCCATCCATCCATCCATCCATTCATCCATCTGTCCATCCATTCTCTCTCTCTCTCCCCACTCCCTCTCTCCTGCTGCCTTTGTTTCCATCAGCTTTGGTTTCTGTTTCTGACTCTCTCTGTTCTCTCCTCTCTCTGTTTCTGTTCCAGTTTCTCCCTCAGTGTGTGTCCTTCTTGCTCTCCCCGCTGCAGCTGCAGTGATCAGAGGGTGCTTCCCCGCCCCATGGATGGAGTCTTTCATGGCAAAGTGCGGGTGGATGAAATGGTCCCGGTAGTGCAGTGCTTCTTATGGCCTTTCTTCCGTTGTTTTACCTGGACGCCTTTCCTAGGATTTGCTTCCCCACTTTATCTGCCACTGACAAGGGGCTCTACAGGATTTGGGCTGAGAAGAAACAGAGGGGCAGGAATTCTTTCTGGGATTTCCCCAAATCTTGGAATTCAGCCGTTTCTACCGGAGACTCTGCCTGTGCCACCCCCTGCCTGGACGACTCATGGCCCCCTCTCCTGCCAATTCTTTCCCCAAATCTCCCTATATGTCCACTCCTCAGAAAGCCCCTCCCCAGCAGTCTGGGCCAATTATTCTCCCTTGATTTCTGCATCACAGCTCCCTGTGGGTGTCCTTCCGTGAGTTGAAACTGGTCTGTCCCTAGAACCCAGACGTGCTTGCGACACTCCCGTTCCTCACACCTTCAAAGGCTCCGGCCTCAGTTCCCGAGAAACAGAGCCTGAGGCCCAGACACAGGTGACCCTCTGGGGCTAGGGAGTGTGGGCCAGGAGCCAGAGGAAGGGAGGGAAGAGGCAGCCACCACTTCACGGCAAACCAGTTGCTGGATGTCAGGGGCACACATGAGGGTGCAGGGTGAACACATCCTTCATCTCATCATCTGGGACACTCGCTGTTAATGACACCAAGGTGACAGGTATAACCTGGGATTGTCCCAGGCAAACTGAGACATGAGCCACCCTGTGTATGGCGACTCCCTGAGGATGGCCCATCTGGAGGCGGGAAAGGAGGAGGATTTGATGGGAGGCGGCATCCTCCCGTCTCCTGTTGGATGAAGATTTACCCCAGTGGGCCCTGACTCCCCTGACCCTCCTCCACCTGGGCACAGAGCAGGGTCCACAGCAGTTCCTCCGGGATGCCTGGGCAGCAAGGAGTGGCAAGGCACTTCAGGTGAGGGCTGAGCCCCCATAGAGCTCAAAGTCACAGCAGAGGCCGAGACAACAGTTATGAGGCAGAGAGGCTCCAAAACCTCAGTGAGGAGCCATGGCAGGCCCCGCCCACCTGCCCAGCCTCAGGTGTGCTGTGCCTTCGCCACAGATGCCCTATCCCTCCTCCCCTCCCCTGGGTCCTCTCGTTCTGGAGCTTTCAGCCCCACCCCCACTCTACACACACACACACACTCACACGCAATGTACAGTCACACACACTCACATGCACACTCTACACACACACATGCTCACACACTCACACATGCAGTCTCACACACACTCACTCTCACAGTCACACACATGCACACGCACACTCACACACTCTCACTCACACAGTCACACACTCACATGCACACGCACACTCACACACTCACTCTCACACTCATACACACTCTCTCACACACACGCTGCACTGCAGCCACTGGCTCACCTGCCCCTGCAGTGAGCTCAGATCTCGAGGAAGACAGTGGCTGCATCTTATTCCCACTGAGCCCCCGAGCCCAGCAGGGCACCTGGCACACAGCAGGCGCTCAACTCTGTTTGTCAAATGAATGTTGACAGCCAAGTGGCCCCGGTGAGGCATTAATCCAAAGAAGCAGGGCACAGAGATGACATTGGGAAGGGAAGCTGTGGGGAAGGGATGGCAGAGAAGTAGAGAACCTGGAGAGCTGATGAGGGCTGGGACCCCCGGCCCGCGCAGAGTGAGAGCAGTTAGGGCTCAGAGGCCCTGCAGACAGGGGAGACCTGCCTGAGGGGCTTGGCAAGAAATCTGGGGCTTGGATCCTCAGAGCTGCTGGGCCTCCTTCTGGGCCAGGACCCCTGCTGCACAGCCAGGAGAGGGTGCCCGGGACCCAAGTCCCCAGGGCCAGAAACACACATGGATTACAGAGTACCTGCTGCACGCCGTCCCTGAGCCCAGCCCAGGGTGTTTCTGCAGTGGGTCCCCATCGCTGACACCAGCCTGAGACCTGTCATAGAAGATCACAGCTGAGGAATGAGTCCTGATAGCAAATGGGTCCCTCCCCCTAGGCAGGTTCCCACCAAGGAGCCACACTGCCCTGGGGAACATGGAGAAGGGGCGATGGATCGGTGAGTCTGGCCAGGGCAGGGCTGGCAGTGGTCAGAGTCGCACCAGCTCCTCGTCCAGGCAGGGGGAGGACGCCATTCATTAGCATCTGGTTCATGGGTGGGTGGCAAACTTGTCCTGTAAAGGCCACATAGCAAATATTTCAGGCTTTGCAGGCCACGAGGCCGCTGCCCCTATAGTGCCAAAGCAGCCCCAGATAATATGTAAACAAATGGGCGTGGCTGTGTTCCAATAAAACTTTATAAGACTGGTGACTGGACTTGGCCCACAGGTCACAGTTCTGACCCCTGACCTAAAACACGACATCAGTCTTGTGTCAGTTCCATGGTAGCCAGGAGTCAAAGGCTGAGTCAAGTGGATCTGACGAATGCGTGTTGAGGGCCTAGGACGGTCGGTGCCGGGGTGCAGCAGGGAGGAGGGGACAGAGTCCCCGACGGTGGCAAAGACCTCATCACGCTCACCTCTGACACTGACAGCAATACAACAGGGAATCACTGTTCTCTTCTACAATTTATGTTGCTCTTTAAATGGAATATCTGACTCATGGCGTTGATCAGGTGTCCGCCTGTGGTTGCCAGAAAAGTTACAAGAGTTCGAGATGTCTCTGCCAGGGGCTCCTAGACTCAGGAGGAAGATGGAAGAGACTGCCCTCAGATGGACCACAGCGCAGCTTGAAGCAGTGGGAAACAAAGATGGAATTTCTTAAAGTTCTTGTTTCATCTTTTAAGGTCATGAGAGTGTTGCGCTCAGCCCTCTTTGTATTCATATTTAAACAACCCAGGTTAAAAATTATCACTTCCCCTCCCAAGCAGCTGTGTCCCTCAGGGGTGGTCAACATGGCCATGGCCAGCGTGACCGATGGCAGCCCACAAGCCAGGGCCTGCCTATGCTTGGACTCCTGTGATGGGACCCACTTTGGAACAGGGACAGTCGTCAGCCCTGGGACTGCACATTCCCGTTCGCTGGGACAGCCCCTTTGCATGCTTTGCTGTCCAGGGATGACTGTTAACCACACTCCTTTCCCTCTCTAAAGTTTCCTGGTTTGGGTGATCAAGCCTCCCTGGGTGTAAGTGAATGGCTAACAGCAAATCGCCAAGGGAAGGTCTTAGTCGTTCAGAGCCCCTCTCCAGCCTGCACATGTGCCCAGTGCTGAGCTGGACACAGGACCACAGCCTGGCACCAACCTCACACAGGCCCTACGGGGGATGATGCCCACTGAGGAGGGTGGGAGGCTCCATCAGGCACCAGCCTGGCCTGGCCCCATGGCATGGGACCTGGACAATCATGTGACAGGTGGCCCCTGCTGGGCGAGCAGGTTTGTCTCATTTGTTGCCTCTCCTTGTCCATCTCTCTGTCTCGAAGTCTCTGCCTCTTGCTTTGTCTCTCTCTAAGTATCTGTGTGTGTGTGTCTCTGGACTTTGCTCCATATTTCCCTCCCCCTTTCTCTCTGCAGATCTCTGCATCTCTCTAGACTTTATTCCATACATCTCTGTCTCTGTGTCTATGTGTCTCTCTCCGGACTTTGTTCCATATCTCACTGTCTGTGTTTCTCCCTATGTCTCTGTCTCTCTGGATTTTGCTCCATATCTCTCTGTCTCTGTGTCTCTGTCCTTCTGAATGTCTCTGGCTGTCCCTCTGTCTCTCTTTGGACATTGTTCCGTATGTCTCTGTCTCTGTGTCTCCAGCTCTTTCTGTATGTCTCTGTCTCTTCAAATTTTGTTCCATATCTTTCTGTCCCTGTGTCTCTGTCCCTCTGGACTTTGTTCTATATCTCTCTGTCCCTATGTCTCGGTCCCTCTGAATGTCTCAGTCTCTGTATCTTTGTCCCTCTGCATGTCTCTGTCTGCATCTTTGCAGACTTTGTTCCTTGTCTGTTTTTGTTTCTGTTTGTCTCTGTCTCAGCCTGTATGTCTCTGTCTCTGTCTGACTCTGTCTCTCTGTCTCAGCCTGTTTGTCTCTCTCTGTCTCTGTCTCAGCCTGTATCTGTCTGTCCTTGTCTCTCCATCTGTCTCTGTCTCTGTCTCTCCGTCTGTCTCTATCTCTGTCTCTGTCTCCCTCTGTCTGTCTCTGTCTCTCTGTTTCTGTCTGTCCCTTTGTTTGTCTCTGTCTCTGTCTGTCTCCCTCTGTCTGTCTGTCTCTCCATCTGTCTCTGTCTGTCTGTCCCTCTGTCTCTCTGTCTCTGTCTCCCTGTCTGTCTCTGTCCCTCTGTCTCTGTGTCTCTGTCTCTGTCTGTCTCCCTCTGTCTGTCTCTGTCCCTCCGTCTGTCTCCCTCTGTCTGTCTCTGTCTCTCCATCTGTCTCTGTCTCCCTCTGTCTCTGTCTGTCTCTGTCTCTGTCTTTCTGTCTCCCTCTGTCTGTCTCTGTCTCTCTGTCTCTGTCTCTCTGTCTCCGTCTCTGTCTCTCTGTCTCTGTCTCTCTGTCTGTCTCTGTCTCTCCATCTATCTCTGTCTCTGTCTCCCTCTGTCTGTTTCCGTCTCTCTGTCACTGTCTCTCTGTCTGTCTCTGTCTGTCTGTCTCCCTCTGTCTGTCTCTCTCTGTCTGTCTCTGTCTCTCTGTCTCTGTCTGTCTCTGTCTCTCTGGCATGTCTGATCATGCTCTATATTCTCTGTGTCTCGCTGCGTCCCCCTCCCTGTCCACCCTTTTCTCTCCGTGGCTGTGGTAAGAGGCTATGATTCCACATGCTGCATCAGGGCAGGCAGGGGAGGCTGGCTCTGCCCTTGGCCTGGGGGCGGACGCTGCTTTCCCCCCATGCCCGGGGTGTTCCTTGGACTCATCCTCTTCATCTGAGTGGTGGTCGAAGTCCAGAGCTGTGGGCCTGGGCAGGGGACAGAGGGAAGGAGCCGTCCGCATTGTCTCTTGGTGCCATAGGCCCCTCTGGCCCCAGCCCATGGCAGTCTCTGCTGGGCCCAGCCCAGCTCTCCAGCTTCCTGAGACCGGGGAACTCAAGCGCGCCCTGACTCCAACCATCTCCTCAATGGGCCGATCAGCTCCCTCTCAGGTCTGCAGACGGGTCATAGTGTGAGCCTGTCATTTTTCATCAAATTACTTGTGAAGACAGAGGCTGAAACTCTGCCTCCCCCATGTCACTCTTGGGGTCGCCATCTGAGTGGGGTGAAGTCCTCCCAGGTTCTGAAGACCTTGGTGGATCTCAGCATGCGTGTGAATCTTCCGGTCTATTCTATTCTCCATCCTTTATGATTCTGCTAATGTGAAACTTTTTAAAAGGTAAAATGATGACTTTCAAACATCTATAAAATGAACATGTGTCAAAGATCTGTTTTTTTTGTACTCACTAACTAATGAGGAATCCAATAAGGTATTAAAAACCAGTTCAAAGGAGAATCCAAAGGGCAGCCAGTCAGGAATGCTGACATGAATTCGCTCAGTGAAAGTGCAAAATGAGCTTCCGGAGAGGGGCCCAGTGTACCTCCACCAGCCAAGACTCATCCACCTTTCTATGAACCCAGGATAATTTGCACTCCATCCATTTCTACCATGTACAGAGCTGCGAAATAGCTCAGAGACAGTCAAAGGCACAGAAACCCCACCGAATCAGATAACCCAGATGCGGGACTGGAACCCTAGTTCTCCATTGCAATCATTCCCAGTAAGTCTTCCACAGTTTTTCCTAACAGCTTTAACATTTAAAAAACCTGATTTCTTTCGTTCCTTATCCTCACAAATGCTCTCTTTCATTCCAGGGCCTCCTGGACCTGCAGGATCCATGCTCTTGACAGCAGCCATATAACAGAAGGGGCAGCTTCTGCATGGCCAAGTTCACCTTCACCCTCAGCCTTTGCAGACATTGCTAATCAACCAGAGCCTGGGTCCCAGTGAGCCCTGAGGCTGGGTCACAATATTGATGCTGCCATCAATATTGATGGCAATATTGATGGGGGCTTCCCCTGATGGGGGAGCCAAGATGGGGGCTTCCCTTGGCATGGGGGGTGGTCAGCACCCTGTCTCATTCATCTGCTTTCTATATCTGTCCCACCCTGGGTTTCCCCATCCTTCGCCTTCTCCTTCATCTCTCCTCCTCCTGTTCATCTTCTTCTGGTTTACTTTCTTTTAAAAAATGTGGTGAAATACACATAAAATTTACCATCTTAACCATTTTTAGGAATATAGTTCAGCAGTGGTAAGAATATTTACATCATGCAACCATCACCACCATCATTTCCAGAACTGTTTTCATCTTGCAAAACGGAAACTCTACCCATCATTCTCCCTCCTCCCAGCCCCCGGCAACCACCCTGGAACTTTCTGTCTCTATGAGAACTTGACTATGCAAGGGACTTCTTATGAGTGGAATCACACAGTATTTGTCCTTTCGCATCTGGCTTATTTTACTTAGCGTAATGTCCTCAAGTTTCACCCACGGTGTAGCCTGTGTCACAATACCCTTCCGTTTTAAAGCTGAATCGTATTCTGTTGTGTGTACAGGCCACATTTGCTCTGTCTATCCATCCATAGACTCTTGGGCTGCCTCCACCTTTGGGCTATTGTGAATAATGCTGCTCTGAACACGTGTGTACAAATATCTGTTGGAGTCTCTGCCTTCGGTTCTTTCAGGTATGTACCCAGAGGCAGAACTGCCGGAGGCTATGGTAATTCTATTTCTGGTTATTTTGAGGATGCATCATTTTTCATAGCGATGGCACCATTTTACGTTCCCACCAACAGTGCACAAGGGTTCCAATTTCTCCATGTCCTCATCAGCACTTATTTTGTCCTGTCTTGTTTTTATGATAGCCATCCTAATGGATGTGAGGTGGTTATGTTTTTAGATTTTTTTTCATTCTTTTCTGAAATTTTTTGTGGTAAAATATATACAACATAAAATGTGCCATTTTAACCATTTTAAGAGTACAATGCATTGGCATTAAGTACATTTGCAGTGTTGTACAACCATCCCCACCATCCACCTCCAGAACTTTTTCATTAGCCCCTCATCATTAAGCAATAACTCCTTGTTCCCACCTGCCTGGCCCCCAGAACCTCTCTTCCACTTTCTGTTTTCTACCGCCTGTAGCTGCTGCTGGAGATGCTGGTTCCCCCACAGCATCCTGGGGTCTGTGATGGACAAGTGCTGAGTGGCAGCTGTGGTGGTTCCTGTCCCTGGACTGCAGCACAGGTGCTAGAGGTAAACGATGCCAGTGGGAACCTCCTGGCACTGCCTTTTCTTGCTTGAGGCAGAGGTAGGACGATTTCGGCCTGGGGGACAACTTCTGAGCTGTCCTCCTAGAGTCTCTTCCTCCAGCCCTTCCAGTACTTCTGTGAGCACCTAAGCCCCTGTAGTAACTCCCATTCTGTGCAGAACTGGGACATGGTTTCTATTTCTTGCAAGTGAATCTTGCCTGACACTGTCGATTCTGTGTGGGATGAACACTTTTGGTGAGTCATGTCTGCCAGGATGGCACCATCCATATTGCAAACCTGCCTCAAGGCTCACTAGGACCCAGGCTCTGATTGATTAGTGATGTCTGCAAAGGCTGAGGGCAAAAGTGAACTTGGCCATACCAGAACTGTCTCTTCTGTTATATGGCAGTCCTCAAGAGCATGGATTCCTCAGGCAGGCTTCTTGGTTCAAATCCTAGCTCTGCTTCTGACAAGCTGTGCAACTGCAGTTCAGCCACTTAAACTCTCTGAACCTCAGATTCCCTGGCTGTAAAATGAGCACACTTCAACAAGATGAGGCATGTGTGCTGGCTCCAGGGCATCGTGTCCTCACGCCCTTTCTTGTCTCCCCTGTTCTGTTCTGGATGGCAAGGGGGCGGGGCTGCCTTTCCTGCATCAGCTGCTCCTGAAGGCCCTGGCAGGAGGCCGGGATGTTCCCCTACCACCCTTGTTCTGCCCTACACAGCATCTTCAGCAGTGCAGGAAGCAGCCTCCATCCAGTGACCTGGCCCCAGGTTCCCACCACCCCACCTCCACCCTCTGTCCCTCCAGCTGAGGTGTGGCAGCTTGCTGCTTCTCTGCGTCCCTGGGTTTGGCTCACAGCCATGCCACCCCCACTAGCCAGTCCCCTGCCTTAAATGCCCTGTGGGGTAAACACTTGGCCCAGGTACTGTTTCTTGATGGATACCACATGCCAAGCTGATAGCCCCATGCCTGACACACGGCGAAAGCTCACAAAATGGCAGCCCTTGTCATTATGGAGCAAGCAACCCACTGCTGGGCCAGGGGGTCTCAGAGTGGGACCTTAAGTAGCTACACAGCAGGGATATTTGAATGGGTTAAAAAAAGGACACAGAATTCAGAGTAGCTGAAGGGGAGAAGAAAGACACCAAGGAGGAGAAAGACAATAACATTTATCAGAAAAGAAAGGACAACAAAATAGTAGCACGTGAATTACTTGTACTACCCTGAAAAAACTTTTTCGTAGTGGGGAAGCTGTGAATTGTGAAGTCTGTAAGCCTCCCTCTAGTGGCCACCCCAAGTGTTTCAACTGAGAATCTCAGATATTCCCCAAAGAAGAGGACTACAGATGCCTGGGATATAGGTGAGGAGTGTGATAAAACTATTTTATAAATTGCATTATATTTTAAATTTCACTTTAATTTCATATATTCGTCCAAAATATAACCATGTTTTTAAAAATATAAAACACCGTTTTGTTTTACCCTCTACAGGGATAAAACGCCCCATGTTGTTCCTGAGCCCCTCAGGGGACCTTTGGTGACACTCTGGTGCCTGGCCAGGAGGTTCTGAGAGCTCAGTTCCTGGCCCTTCTCTAAGGAAGTGGAGAGGACTTGATTGTGTAGGGTCACCAGATAAAACACAGGGCACCCAGTGAAATCTGAACTTTAGGTACCTAATAAATAACTTTTCAGTATATATCCTATGCAAATATTTGGACTGACTTATACTAAAAAATGTTCATTCTTTATCTGAACTTCAAATTTAACTGGGCGCCCTATATTTTTATTTGCTACATCTGGAAGCTTCATCATGTTATGAGTCCTGGGGGGCCAATGCCACACCCCCGTCCTCTCTTTCCGTTCCTTGGCCTCACCTTTCCCTCTCACCTAAAATTTCTGCCGCTTTGCTGTGTTTTACCCGTCACTGAAAGGCACCTGCATTCCACCTTGGGGAACAATGGGGTGGGGTCCAAACCAACCCACAGTGAGGTTGATGGCCGTGCCGGCTCCTTGAGCCAACTCTAGCAAGGGGTTTCATTGCTCAGGCCAACCCCAGGCCTCCCTAAGCCAAGGGGTCAAAGAGCTAAGGTCATGACCCAGCTGGAGGAAGGGAGGGAACAAGAGCCTCAGTGGACACGAACCTCAGTTCACAAACCAGATATACAAGAAAAAGGACATGGTTATTATGAATCAAGATTGCTTCTCTTCTAAGTCCCTTTCCTGCTGGGAGGGCCGAGACAGAATCCAACACCTCCAGGTCATGTCTATTCAGGGTATTTGCAGAGCCGAGGCATCCAGGATGGCCCTCGCATCCTCTACCTCATCTGGTCTCCAAACTGCCTTCCGGGATGTACCTGCCAGATACAAGGCTCCGCTGCTGCTTCCCATCCATCCCAAGCTTTGGGGGAAACAACTGCCTATGGGCCTTGGACTTTCCATCCTGAATGCTGACAGTCACACCATGTGCCTTCTCCCCGGGGCTTAGGCCACCCCAGGGCTCTGCGCAGGAGCGGAGCGCGGCCCCCTTCCCCTGCACTCCTCCCACAGCAGGCCCCTTCCATCTGAGGGCTGACCTGGTACATGCTGGACCTGGGACAAGGGTCCAATAGAGGCCCACATACGAGAGTCTACATGTTACTTCTAGATCTGGCTCACACACAGCCAAATGCCATATGTTCTGTCCTCCTCCTTTGACCCACTTACCCTCCTGACAATCTGCCAGGCCATGCTGGCCTTTACAGTACTCAGAGACCTCGCAATTCCCAGAGACCTCTCAGTTCCCTGCCAGGACATGGTGGCCCAGGCCAGCCCAGCCTTGTCCCTGCCCCACGCCCTTCCAGACCCCATCCCATGCACACCACCAGGCTTTGTGCACACACCTGTGGACACTTCGGGCCACGGCTTCACTCTCTGCTCACATCCTCCCTGCAGCTAACAGCCAGCACACACTTAAAAATTTAATCACAACACTTTGGGAGTAACAGAAAATGCTTGTTTCATACATGAGGAGAAAAAGGAAGTGAGCATGTATTTATTCTGTGTATAGATATAAAAATGATGTTTGTAGGCTGGTTGCAGTAGCTCACGCCTATAATCCTAGCACTTTGGGAGGCCAAGGTGGGCAGATCATGAGGTGAAGAGATTGAGACCATCCTGGCCAACATGGTGATAAGGGAGGAGACCGCCCCTCATATTATCTTATGCCCAATTTCTGCCTCCAAAGAAAGAAAAAGTAAAAACTAAAAGGCAGAAATGAAATCCACAAGCAGACAGCCCGGCACCACACCCTGGGCCTGGTAGTTAAAAATCAACCCCTGACCTAATTGGTTATATTATCTATAGATTACAGACATTGTATAGAAAAGCACTGTGAAAATCCCTATCCTGTTTTGTTCCAATCTAATAACCGGCGCATGCAGCCCCCAGTCACGTACCCCCTGCTTGCTCGATCGATCACGACTCATCACGTGCACTCCCCTTAGAGTTGTGAGCCCTTAAAAAGCACAGGAATTGCTCACTCGAGGAGCTCGGCTCTTGAGACAGGAGTCTTGCTGATGCCCCCGGCCGAATAAACCCCTTCCTTCTTTAACTCGGTGTCTGAGGAGTTTTGTCTGTGGCTTGTCCTGCTACATTTCTTGGTTCCCTGACCGGGAAGCGAGGTGATTGGTGGATGGTCGAGGCAGCTCCTTAGGCGGCTGAAGTCTGCCCTGTGGAACATCCCTGCGGGGGACTCCGGCCAGCCTGAGCGACGCGGATCCTGAGAGCACTCCCAGATAGGCATTTGCCCCGGTGGACGCCTCGCCAGAGCAGTGTGTGGCAGGCCCCCGTGGAGGATCAACGCAGTGGCTAACACCAGGAAGGAATGGGCACTTGGAGTCTGGACATCTAAAACTTGGTAAGACTAGTCTTTGAAACTTGCCCACTCTGTTTGAGTGGAAGTGTGGCCTGATCACCCATGGCGTGCCTTTATCGACACTTTAGTTTTAGTTTTGGTTTTGACTTGGTTTGAATTGCTTGACAGGACCAGTCTTAGGAACTTGCCCACTCCATTTGAGTGGAAGCGTGGCCTGATCACCCACGGCATGCCTTTTATCGGCACTTTGGTTTTGGTTTTGGTTTTGACTTGGTTTGAATTGCTTGACAGGACTGGTCTTGGGAACTTGCCCACGCCACTTGAGTGGAAGCGTGGCCTGATCACCCATGGCGTGCCTGTACCGGCACTTTGGTTTTTGTTTTTGACTTGACTTGGATTGCTTGATATTTTGGTTTTGGTTTTGACCTGGCTTAGATTTCTGGATACTCTGATTTTGGTTTTGATTTTGGTTTGGTGTAAACTACGAAAGTGCGTGTGTGCCTTTTTTACCCATTGTTTTGTGGTGTGTGTGTGGTGTGAGCGTGATGTTTTGTCTCGAGGAAACATAGGTGAGGCACAAAGTAAGCCCACCCCTCTAGGAACTATGTTGAAAATTTTCAAAAAAAAAAAAAAAGGTCGGGGGGGCGATTTAAGAGAGACTATGGAGTACTATGACACAAGGAAAACTTAAAAACTTTGTGTAAGATAGACTGTCCAGCATTAGAGGTAGGTTGGCCTTTAGAAGGAAGCCTGGACAGGTCCCCTGTTTCAAAGGTATGGCACAAGGTTCCCTGTAAGCCAGGGAACCCAGACCAGCTCCCGTACATAGACACTTGGTTACAGCTGGTTTTAGACCCCCTGCCCCCAACACACAGTGGTTGAGAGAACAGCAGCATAAATGGCTGGCAGAGGCAATGAAAGAGCAGCAGAGAGAGAGAAAGGAAAGAGACAGAGAGGAAGAGATAGACAAAGAAGGAGTCAAGGAGAGAGAGAGAGAGAGGCAGAGAGAGAGAGAAAGAGACAGAGGCAAAAGGAAAGTCAAAGAGAGAGAGAGACAAAGTCAAAAAGAGAAAGAAAGAAAGGTGATTTAACATTAACCACTGAAAATTCCCTTAACCCAGCAGGTTTCCTAACAGGGGATCTAAATCTTAATTACCATACAAAGGTCTGACCAGACCTAGGAGGAACTCCCTTCCGGACAGGACGATTGATGGTTCCTCTCAGGTAATTGATAAAAAAAAAAAAAGCCATCTATACCAATTCTAATTTGGACAAAACAAGGTCTTATTAATATCAAAGGATAAATAAAATCCCAAATTTACAAGGTTTTCAACAAAAGTAAAGTTTGCTAAAAGTTAACAGTGTAACGTGTATTATAGTAACTTCTAATCTTGTGGCCTTAGACAGTCTAGTCCACAGACATAAAAAAAAAGTTCACTTTAGAAAAGAATGGTTATCATCTTCGGAAAAAAAAAAAAAAGAAAAAAATAAAAAAGGGGAGGCAGAGTTTACATAAAAAGAGTATTATATAATAAATTCTTGTCCTGAAATAAATTAACTGGTTATTTAAAGAAAGAAATATTTGTAATAAGTCAGAAAGTTGAGGCATGTCAAAAAAATTGCCTGTAAATAAAATCTTACCTTCTAGCCAAAATTAAAAATTAGATAAATATGTCTACAAGGTTTTATTAAAATTAAGTTTAACATTAGTAACACACTAATATAAAGATAAAATTTAGCTTATCTGGTATAAAAATCATACGAGAAGCATTGTTAAATGTAAAATAGTATTTGGCTTTCTTTAGTCTAAAAACTAATAAAAATAGGTGCTAAAGGAAATCTTTCAGTAAAAAGGCACTAAGGACTATAAAGTCCACCACCAAGGTCCCCACATTTAAAACAAACGGTCAATTTCTTAGAAATTATATACTTAGTTTATCTTCCACTTTCTTTTCTCTCAAAAACTAAAAGTCTTTTAGCACATGTACCACCCCTAGAATTTCCAGTAAACCAGCACCAGCCTGAAGATCACGTTCTCATCAAAAGGTAGAAAGAAGAAAAACTCGAGCCAGCCTGGGAAGGACCTTACCTTGTGCTGCTAACCACCAAGACCGCTGTTCACACAGCAAAGAAAAAAAAAAAAAGAATGGACTTATTACACCCGAGTCAAGAAAACGCCACCCCCTCCAGAGTTGTAGGCCATAGTCCCAGGGGAAAACCCTACCAAACTAAAGCTAAGAAAAATTTAACTCTTTTCATCTATTCTATTACTCTTTTTTCTTTCCTTGTTCTGTTGCTAACCATCTAGTTATTAACATAACCAAGTCAATTTCGCCGCCTCAAACTACTGCATTTAATGTTTGCCTTGTTATACCCTGTGAGGACTTGCCTAGTCAAAGACAGCTCTCTACTTCAGAAACTTACATCTGTCCCTCCTGACTCTCCTCAGACTGGGCGTTAGTAAACTAGGACCATTTAATCCAGGGAGATTTCAATAAAGACCCCAGTGCCAACCAGGAATCTTGCCCCCCGATGTAGAGCTTTCATGCCACAGTTAGTCCAACGTTCTGTAGACCACTAAAGAGCAAGGATGGACTGCCCCAACCAGTTTTTGTAATTTCCTAAAACCATACATTCATTTTACTAGAAGATCATAGAAGTTAAAGACTTAAAACAAACTTTAGCAATTAAGACAGGATACCAAGATGCAAATGGCTGGTTAAAATAGATCAAACATTCCACCTGCACGTTAAACAAAAGCAATTGTTATGCTTGTGCACATGGCAGGCCAGAGGCCCTGATTGTCCCCCTTCCACTAAGGTGGTCCTCCAGTCGACCAGGCATAGGCTGCATAGTAGCTCTTTTCCAGGATTCTACAGCCTGGAGTAATAAGTCATGCCAAGTTCTCTCTGCTATATCCCGAAGTCCGGCACCCTGCGGGTCAGCCCCCGAGGGCCATCCAGCCTCCGTCTCCCAACACTAAGTTCACTTTGTGTCTCTTATGACAACGAGGAAACTTAGTGTTCCTTAGAGACCTGAAAGGATGCAGTGAGCTTAAGAATTTTCAAGAGCTTATCAGTCAGTCAGCCCTTGTTCATCCCTGAGTGGATGTGTAGTAGTATCAATGGTAGACCTTTACTGGGCACTCTGCCGAATAACTGGAGTAGCACTTGTATTTTAGTCCAGTTGGCTATCCCTTTCACCCTGGCATTTCATCAACCAGAAGGAAAAAAAAATAAGACATCGTAAAGCGAGAGAAGCCCCTTATAAGTCTTTCGACTCTCATGTCTATTTAGACGCAATTGGAGTCTCACGAGGAATACCAGATCAATTTAAAGCTTGAAATCAAATAGCTGCAGGATTTAAGTCAATATTTTAGTAGGTGACAGTTAATAAAAATATAGATTAGATAAACTACATCTATTACAACCAACAGCAACAAGGTTTTCATGAGTTAAAAGAAAAACTCATGTCGGCCCCAGCCCTGAGGCTACCTGACCTGACAAAACTCTTTACAATCTATGTGTCAGAAAGAGAAAAAATAGCAGTTAGAGTTTTAACCCAGACTGTAAGGCCCTGGCCAAGGCCAGTGGCCTATCTCTCAAAACAACTAGACAAGGTTTCCAAAGGCTGGCCCCCAGGTCTAAAGGCCCTAGCAGCAACGACCCTGTTAGCACAAGAAGCAGATAAACTAACACTTAGGCAAAACCTAAATATAAAGGCCCCCCCATGTAGTAACTTTAATGACTACCAAAAGACATCATTAGTTAACAAATGCTAGATTAACCAAGTACCAAAGCTTGCTATGTGAAAATCCCCACATAACCATTGAAGTTTGCAACACCCTAAGCCCCACCACCTTGCTCCTGGTATCAGAGAGCCCAGTTGAACATAACTGTGTAGAGGTGTTAGACTCAGTTTATTCTAGCAGGCCCAACCTCCAGAGACCATCCTTAAACATCAGTAGACTGTGAGTGGTACATGGACAGGAGCAGCTTCACCGACCCCTGCAAAATGACTCTGAAGAAGATGAGAAGCCCTGCTCCAGTCACACCCAGAAGCTGACTGGTCCACGCACGGCCGAAGCATAAGAAAACTCATCGCAGGACTCATTTTCCTTAAAATTTGGACTTGTACAGTAAAGACTTCAACTGTCCTTCCTCAGACTGAAGCCTGTTCCCAGTGTATACATCAAGTCACTGAGGTAGGACAAAAAGTTGCTACAGTCCTATTGTTTTATAGTTATTTTAAGTATACTGGAACTCTAAAAAGAACTTGTTTATATAATGTTATTCTATACAAAGTATGTAGCCTAGGAAATGACCAACCTGATGTGTGTTGTGACCCATCTGAGCCTCCCATGGCCACAGTTTTTAAAATAATATTAAAGACTAAGGACTGGTGAAGGCTCATAAACGATACGGTAACGTGTTAACCAAAACAAAAGAAAAAAAGGTGCCCAAACAAGTCACCTTAAAATTTGATGCTTGTGCTGTCATTAATAGTAATAATTAAGAATAAGTTATAGTTTTCTTAATTAGAAAAGAGGCTATATGGCAGAAAATAAGTACATCTGTCATAAATTAAGACTGTGTAGAAATAAATGTAAATACTGGTCTTGTGTCATTTAGGCCACTTAGATAAAACAAAAAAATGAAAAAGATCCAGGCCACCTTCAGAAAGGAAAAAGTGGCCCTTCCTGTACTAAAGGACAATGTAACCCCTTAGAGCTAGTAATAACCAATCCCCTTGATCCTCGCTGGAAGAAAGAGGAGCATGTGACCTTAGGAAGTGACGAGGCCGGACTGGATCCTTGGGTAAATATCTTAGTTCGAGGAGAAGTTTACAAACGTTCTCCTGAGCTGGTGTTTCAAACTTTCTATGATGAACTAAATGTGCCAGTACCAGAAATTCCAGGAAAAACAAGAAATTTGTTTTTGCAATTAGCTGAGTATGTAGCCCAGTCTCTCAATGTCACTTCAATGTTATGTATATGAAGAAACTATAATAAGAGATCAATGGCCATAGGAAGCCCGAGAATTAGTACCTACAGATCCAGTTCCTGATGAATTCTGGACTCAAAAAAATCACCCTGATAGTTTCTAAGTCCTAAAATCCTCAATTATTAGACAATATTGCATAGCTAGAGAAGGAAAAGAATTCATTCACCCTGTAGGACGACTTAGTTGTCTAGGACAGAAACTGTATAATAGTACCACAAAAACAGTCACTTGGTGGAGTTCAAGTCACACAGAGAGAAATCCATTCAGTAAATTTCCAAAGTTGCAAACCGTGTGGACCCACCCAGAGTCCCACTGAGCCTGGACAGCCCCCACTGGATTATACTGAATATGTAGGCATAGAGCTTATGCCAAATTACCTGACCAGTAGGCAGGTAGTTGTGTTATTAGCACTATTAAACCATCTTTCTTCCTATTGCCCATAAAAACAGGCGAACTCCTAGGCTTCCCTGTCTGTACTTCCTGTGAAAAGAAAAGCATAGCTATAGGAAATTAGAAAAATGATAAATGGCCCCCTGAGAGAATCATATGATGTTATAGGCCTGCTACTTAGGCACAAGATGGCTCGTAAAGATACCGGACCCCCATTTACATGATCAACTGAATCATATGATTACAAGCTGTCTTAAAAATAATCACTAATAAAACTGGCAGAGCCTTGACTATTCTGGTCTGGCAAGAAACTCAGATAAGAAATCCTATCTATCAAAATAGATTAGCTCTGCTAGCGGCTGAAGGAGAAGTCTGTAGGAAATTTAACCTTACTAATTGCTGCCTACACATAGATAATCAAAGGCAAGTAGTTGAAGACATAGTTAGAGATATGACAAAACTGGCACATGTGCCCGTGCAAGTGTGGCATAGATTTGATCCTAGGGCCCTGTTTACAAAACAGTTCCCAGCGCTAAGAGGATTTAAAACTCTTATAATAAGAGTTATAATAGTAATAAGAACCTACTTACTGCTCCCTTGTTTGCTACCTGTACTTCTTCAAATGATAAAAAGCTTCATCGCTACCTTAGTTCACCAAAATCCTTCAGCACAAGTGTACTATATGAATCACTATCGATCTGTCTTGCAAGAAGACATGGGTAGTAAAAATGAAAGTGAGAACTCCCACTATTAAGTGAGAGTCTCAAAAGGGGGAGTAAGGGAGGAGACCACCTTCATATTGTCTTATGCCCAATTTCTGCCTCCAAAGAAAGAAAAAGTAAAAACTAAAAGGCAGAAATGAAATTCACAAGCAGACAGCCCGGTGTCGCACCCTGGGCCTGGGAGTTAAAGATCGACCCTGACCTAATCGGTTATGTTATCTATAGATTATAGACATTGCATAGAAAAGCACCATGAAAATCCCTGTCCTGTTTTGTTCCGATCTAATTACTGGGGCATGCAGCCCCCAGTCACGTACCCCCAACTTGCTCAATCGATCATGACTCACTCACATGCACCCCCTTAGAGTTGTGAGCCCTTAAAAAGGACAGGAATTGCTCACTAGAGGAGCTTGGCTCTTGAGACAGGAGCCTTGCTGATGCCCCCGGCCAAATAAACCCCTTCCTTCTTTAACTCAGTGTCTGAGGAGTTTTGTCTGTGGCTTGTCCTGGTACAGTGAAACCCCATCTCTACTAAAAAAAAAAATACAATAATTAGCTGGGCATGGTGGCGCACACCTGTAGTCCCAGGGACTCAGGAGGCTGAGGTAGGAGAATCGCTTGAACCCGGGAGGCGGAGGTTGCAGTGAGCCAAGATCGTGCCACTGCATTCCAGCCTGGGTGACAGGGTAAGACTCTGTCTCAAAAAAAAAAAAAAAAAAAAGTCTGTATATGGAAAAGATTCAAAGCAACATTAAAAACTGAAGTAAGTATTCATGGTGGAATGTTTTCCTTTTCTTATTTTTCTTTTCAATTTTTGTTTTAGGTTCAGGGGGTACATGTGTAGGTTTGTTACATGGGTAAATTGTGTGACAAAGGGGTTTGATGTACAGGTTATTTCATCACCCAGGTAATATGCATAGTACCCGATGATAGTTTTCTGATCCTCACCCTCCCCTCCTCCACCCTCCAGTAGGTCCCAGTGTCTATTGTTCCCTTCTCTGTGTCCATGTGTAGTCAATGTTTAGCTCCCACTTGTAAGTGAGAACATGGAGTATTCGGTTTTCTGTTCCTGCGTCAATTCACTTAGGATAATGGCCTTCACCTCCATTCATGTTGCTGCAAAGGACATGATTTCATTCTTCTCATGGCTGCATAGTATTCCATGGTGCATTGTACCACATTTTCTTTATCCACTCCACCACTGATGGGCATGCAGGTTGATTCCACGTTGTTACTATTGTGAATCATGCTGCAATGAATGTATGCGTGCATATGTCTTTATGGTAGAATGATTTCTATTCCTTTGGGTATATATCCACTAATGAGATTGCTGGGTTAAATGGTAGTTGTGTTTTAAGTTCTTTGGGACATCTCCAAACTGCTTCCCACAGTGGCTGAACTAATTTACGTTCCCACCAGCAGTGTATAAGTGTCTCCATTTCTCCACAACCTCACTAACATCTGTTATTTTTTGACTTTCAATAATAGCCATTCTGACAGGTGTGAGATGGTATCTTATTGTGGTTTTGATTTGCAATTCTCTAATAATTACTAATGTTGAGCATTTTTTCATATGCCTGATGGCCATATGTATGTTTTCTTTTGAGAATTATCTGTTCATGTCCTTTGACCATTTTTTAATGGGGCCATTTGTTTTAGGCTTGTTGATTTAAGTTTCTTACAGATTCTGGGTATTAGATTTGTGTCGGATGCACAGTTTGCAAATATTTTCTCCCATTCTGCAGGTTCTCTGTTTATTCTGTTGATAGTTTCTTTTCCTGTGCAGAAGCTCCTTAGTCTATTTAGGTCCCACTTGTCAGTTTTTGGTTTTGTTGCAATTGATGTTTGAGTCTGTCTTGAAAGCTTTGCCAGGGTCTAAGTCCAGAACAATATCTCCTAAGTTTTCTTCTAAGGTTTTTATCATTTTCGGTTTTACATTTAAGTCTTTAATGCATCTTGAGTTGATTTTTGTATATGGTGTAAGGAAGGAGTCCAGTTTTAATCTTCAGCATGTGGCCAACCAGTTATCCCAGCACCTTTTATTGAATAAGGAGCCCTTTCTCCATTACTTTTTTTTTTTTTTGGTCAGCTTTGTCAAAGATCAGATGGTTGTGGATATGCAGCTTTATTTCTGGGTTATATAACCTGATCCATTGCTCTACATGTCTGTTTTTGTACCACTACCATGCCGTTTCAGTTACTGTAGCCTTGTAGTATAATTTGAAGTCAGGTAGTGTGACACCTCTAGCTTTGTTCTTCTTGCTTAAGATTTTATTGCTTATTTGGGCTCATTTTGGTTCCATGTGAATTTGAGGATAGTTTTTTTCTAATTCTGTAAAAAATGTCATCAGTAGTTTGATAGAACTAGCACTGAATCTGTAAATTGCTTTGGGCCTCATGACCATTTTAACAATATTAATTCTTCCAGTCCATGAGCCATGGAATATTTTTCCATTTGTTCGTGTCATTGCTGATTTCTTTGCAGTGTTTGCATTCAATTCTCTTTCACCTTCCTGGTTAGCTGTAATCCTAGGTATTTTATTCCTTTGGGGGCTATTGTGAATGGGATTGTATTCTTGATTTGGCTCTCAGCTTGGACATTATTCATATATAGAAATGCTACTGATTTTTGTACATTGATTTTATATCCTAAAACTTTGCTGAAGTTGTTTATCATATCCATGATTCTTTGGGCAGAGACTATGGGGTTTTCTAGGTATAGAATCATATCATCTGTGAAGAGAGACAGTTTGACTCCCTCTCCTCCTATTTGGATGCCTTTTGTTTTTTTCTCTTGCCTGATTACAATGGCTAGGAATTCCAGTACTACGTTGAATAGCAGTGATGCGAATGGGCATCCTTGTCCTGTTCTCATAGTTTGTCATAGATGGCTCTTATTATTATTTTGAGGTATGTTCCTTCAATACCTAGTCTGTTGAGGGTTTTTAACATGAAGCATGTTGAATTTCATTGAAAGCCTTTTCTGCATCTTCTGAGATGATCATGAGGCTTTCGTTTTTAGTTCTGTTTATGTGATTGATCACACTTATTGATTGATTTGTGTATGTTGAACCAACCTTGCATCCCAGGAATAAAGCCTACTTGATAGTGGTGGATTAGCTTTTTGATGTGCTGCTGGATTTTGTTTGCTAGTATTTTTTGAGGATTTTTGCACCTCTGTTCATCAGGGATATTGGCCCGAAGTTTTCTTTTTTGTTGTGCCTTTGCCAGGTTTTGGTATCAGAATGATGCTGGCCTCATAGAATGAGCTAGGGAGGAATCCCTTCTCCTCAGTTTTTCAGAATACTTTCAGTAGGATTGGTACCAGCTCTTCTTTATACATCTGGTAGAATTCAGCTATGAATCCATCTGGTCCAGGGCTTTTTCTGGTTGGTAGATTTTTTTTATTACTGATTCAATTTTACTCTTTTTCTTTTTTTTATATTTATATTTATATTTTTATTTTTTTGAGACAGAGTCGCACTGTGTCACCCAGGCTGGAGTGCAGTGGCACAATCTCAGCTCACTGCAACCTCCGCCTCCCAAGTTTAAGTGATTTTCCTGCCTCAGCCTCCCAAGTAACTGGGACTACAGGTGCGTGCCACCATGCCCGGCTAATTTTTGTATTTTTGGTAGAGATGGGGTTTCACCATGTTGGCCAGGTTGTTCTCGAACTCCTGACCTCAAGTGATCCACCCTCCTTGGCCTCCCAAAATGCTGATTCAGTTTTAGAATTCTATATTGATCTGTTCAGGGCTTCAATTTCTTCTTGGTTCAATCTTGGGAGGTTGTATGTTTCTAGGAATTTATTTAATTCTTCTACGTTTTCAGATTTGTGTGCATAGAGGTGTTCAGAATAGTTTCTGAGCATCTTTGGTATTTCTGTGGGGTTGGTGGTAATGTCTGCTTTGTCATTTCTGATTGTGTTTGTCTGGAGTATCTCTCTTTTTTCTTCATTAGTCTAGCCAGCAGTCAATCAATCTTATTTATCTTTCAAAAAAGCAACCTTTGGATTTGTTGATCTTTTGTATGATTTTTGCGTCTCAAAAGCAGAGCAGAGCTGTGGTGCCGTGTGGTCCATGTGCTCACACTGATCGCTGTAGAATGGTGTGGTCCATGCATGAGAACTTCAGCAAAGCAGTTGGGGGAGGCTGTGGGTGAGTGTGCCCTGACAAAGCAGTGGGTAGGGCTGCAGGTTGCTGCATGCTGGCAGTGGCCTGTTTGTAGAAGTTCTCTGATTGTTAGGTGGGGTCTGCGGGTAAAGGAGCTATGGCAGTAGCCAGTGGCAAGTGCACCGATTGGGCATCTCAGGCTGTGCTAGATGTAGGTGCAGCCACGCAGGAACCCTGGAGAGGCTGGCAGGCAGAGGCGTGCTCAGATCAGACTGGCCCTGTCCCACTGGAAAGATATTCTGTCCAGGTCTGACAATCGACAAAGACCCAAGCCAGCTAGAGAAGCACGGTGAGCCTTCCAAGATGCGCACCCTTGGGCTTGCTCCACTGCAGACGTTCCCGTGCCAAATCCTCTGGGCTTCACACAGGCGGAAGTGCTGTTCCTAGCAACTCTCCAAGCAGCTCTCCTTGCCAGCTCTAATGTCCATGTAGGTCATGGGTTCTCCTGCAGGTAGGCTTCTGGAGGTCTGTGGCAGGAGTGGACCACTTGATGCCCATTTAACTTGCCCCTTCCCCAGGAGCTGCTTGGGGCCAGGAACTAGTCCTCGTGCTTGGCAACCCCATGCAAGGTTCGCGGTTTCCTTCCCATTCAGCCCAGAGGCTGTGTCCTCCCTCTGTCCGCTCTCAATGCCTTCCTCCCAAAGATCTGCTCAGAGTGTGGCAGTCTTCTTGATGGTCTGGTCTCTCCATAGAATAAGCTCTTCCTGGCTGCACCTAGTCAGCCATCTTGACTCTTCCCACCATTTTTCTTATTTCTATTTAAATATTTATATGATTCTTGTAAATGAGAAAAATAAAGCATAAAATTTTAAGAATGCATCCCCAGAATCTCTGGCATCCTTTGCTGATCTGTCAAGCATTTATCATCCGTGAAGTTTTTAAGCTAAGTATATTTTCAGCCAGTATCACCTGCTGAAAAAATTGTACCTCCTTTATTTGTCCTTAAAAAAAAAACCACACTGCTACTTTCAGACCTCAGGGTATTATTACTCATTACCTTTGTATATTGTGATGAGCAGGATAATCCCCGCCAACAAAGATATCCACATTCTAATCCTAAGAAGGTATGAATAGTCATGTTATATGCCAAGGAGAATTAAGGTTGTAAATAGAATTAAGGTCTCTGATCAGCCAAACTTAAACTGAGGAGAATGTCCTGGATTATCTGTGTTGGCCCAGTGCAATCAAAAGTAGAAGAGACAGGCAGGAGAGGTGAGGGTAAGACCATGTGAGATCTCAACCTGCTGCTGCTAGCCAAAGATGGCCAAGGGGCCATGAGCCAAGGTGCAGAGGCAGCCTCTGGAAACTAAAAAATTCAGGAAAAAATGCTCTTCTGAGCCTCCAGAAGGAACCAGCCCTGCTGATACCTTGATTTTAGCCTCATGAGACCCATGCTCCTCTCCTACAGAACTCAAAGACAATATATTTTTATTGTGGTTAAGCCACTAATTTTGTGGTAATTTGGCAGCCACAGGAAACTACTCCATGTACCAGGATTGAATGGAGTCTGGATTTTTCCTAATTACAACATCCATAGTTTTACAGATTCCACCCTATTCTCTTAACCTGTGCAGACTAAAGAGTCCAATTGTTTTTAAGTAAAGTCTTTTATAATATTCCCTAAATTGTTACAGCTCTTTGTCCTTGGGTCTTCTTTGTCTTCTTTGTCCCTGGATGTATGGTGATGGAAAGCATGTGCAGAACTTAGCATTCAGCTGTATCATGGTTTTATACAAGCTTATATTTCTCACTTTGTTTCTAAAATTGACTTCATTATGGTGCTTGGCCAGATGTTGTTGGCTTTTTCAGTTGTGGCGGCAGATCAAGCCAATGTCTGTGGTAACAATACACAATGGCTCTTTATTGTTTTGTTACTGATTGCTCATAGTTATCATTGAATATGTAGAGTCAGGATTACTTATTTCCTTAATGCGAAAATGTAACCAAGACTCCCCTGCCATCTTTTAATTGGCTTACAGCAGAATTGCCTCGTAGAATTGCATGCATTTTGCCACCTGGAAGAAATCTTCATCATCTGTGAAGTTGGATATTTTATCAGGACACTCTCTGTTTATCCACACTGTACATTCAATTTTTAACAGACACCAGCCCTTCCACTTAACTTTTTTCTTAATCAAAGACAAAATCAGCTTATCTCTATTGAGTTATCTGGCCCTAATCCAGCTCCTTTTTGTGACAAAGCACTTGCCCCTTTTCCATCTGCTCAACAATACCCCACCCGCTCATCAGCAATGAGGTAACTTTGTGATAACTTCCTTGGGGAACCTTGCAGGAGCTTTTCATTTTGCATATTTTGAACCTATATTATTAGGTACATAAACGTTTATGTTGTTATACCTTCCTGGTAGATTGACCCTATTGACATTATGAAATGATCCTTTACCTGTAGTAATGTATCATAATTTAAACTGTACTCTGTCTGATATACAGTATTAGTATAAATAAGCCAACTTTCTTTTTTGGTTAATATTTGGTCTATGTTTTCCAAGAGTTCATGTTCATTCTTTCCTAATGGACCTTGAAAGCAGAAAGCACTTTGTTTAGTTTTATGTTGTTTTATTTCTTTCGGTCCAGTCTAGCAATGTTTGTCTTTTAACTGGATAATTTTTCTATTTATATTAAATATATTTTGATATGTATTTGGGTTTATTTTTATCATCTTACCATTGGTTTCCCTCTTGCCCTACTTGTATTATCTTCATTCTTGTCATTTAAAAAACTAATCAAGAATTCTATGTATTTCATTTTGCCCCTCTAATAGCTTGGTGGTTGAAAATTATTTTACTATTATTTTAAGCTAAAATAGAACAGTTCATGTAAAACCTGAAAAAATTAATATACACATCCTGGAACACAAAAAAATCCAAATAGGGTAAACACAAGATGATCCACACACTTTATCATCAAAATGTCGAATAAAGACCAAAACAAACTGTAAAAGTAGTGGGGAGAAATGACTCATCCCATACGAGGTCCCCTCAATAAGGATAACAGTGGAATTCCCATCAGAACAAGAAAATCAATGCCAGAAGGAAGTGGAATAACAAATTCGAAATGCTAGGGGGGCAAAAGTTGTCAACAATAAAATATCATGTTTGGAAAAATCTCTCTGAAATAAAAATAAATGTATTCTAAGATAAACACTAAGATAATTTCCTCCTAGCAGACTTGCCATAAGAAAATACTAAAAGATGTTCTTCAGACTAAAAGCAAGTGAGACCAAGTATGAAATCAAAATTACATTAAGAAAACAAGAGCACTGATTAAGGTAATTATGTAGATAATTGTACAAGACAGTGTAATTGCATATTTCTCCTCCTTTTTTCACTTGACTGATTTAGCAAGCAATCATGTAGAACAATATGCATCTCATTACACTTTAGGTTTATCATATATAAAAATGTAATCTATGTGACAATAACAACACAAAGGAGGAGACGGAAAACAAAGCTGTCTTGAGTAATGATGCCGTAGAGGAGGTTGAATCCACAGGAGAAATGAAGAGAATCCAAAATGGCCAATAAGAATAATAATAGAGCAAACTCTATAAATATATACTAGCTCTTCTCTCTTCTCTGAGATTATTTAAAAGACATGAAATTATAAAAATAATGACAACAATGCATTGCCGAGTTTGTAACATCTTTAGAAATAATATACATAACAAAGTAATGCAAAACTTGGGTGAAGGAATTGAACTATAGAGGAGTAAATTTTTTATATCCCACTGGAATTATGTTAGTATAAATCTATGCTGACGAGTTAAGATGTACGTTGCAGACCCTAGAGCAACTACTAAAAAAATAGCTAAATCATTAAAGAAATTAAAATGTTACCCTAGAAAATATTCACTTAATGCAAAAGAAGAACGTATACAGGAACAAGTAAACTGAGGGAGAGAGAAAGAACAGAAAGTAAAATAGCAGTTGGAAATCCAACTCTATTACTAACAACATTAAATGTGAATAGATTTAACAGTCCAACCAAAAGCCAGAGATTGTTGGACTGGATTAAAAATAAGATTCAACTTGTCAAAAGACAAAATTACAAATTTAAAGTTGTTTTTATTTTCAATTCATAAATAAGGGCAGCCTCCATTCTACAAAATAGAATCAAAGCTCCCACGGGACAATAGGTGGGAACAAGGAAACGGAACAATAGGGGGAATAAAAAGCTGATTGGCTAATGTCAGGAATAAAAAGCTGATTGGCTAATGTCAGGTTACTTCAACTTACTTTTTTTGGTAAAAGTTAAAGGAGAAGTGACTTCTTTATTACACTGACTGAGGTAGACCAGAAGCTCCTGGTTTTAGGAAAAACTGGTCTGAGGCTCTATAATACCTGCTTCCTCAAAGTGTCATTTTGATCACGTGTCATTCAGCATGAGTGACTCTGTTTTGGTTTGATTTGGTCTGGTCTATTAGGGCCTAGTGCGGAAGCTCAGTCCAAAACAATAGCCTCCCATAATTTTTGTTTAACACATTTTATACTGTATATAAAAAACATACTTTTTTTTTTTTTTGAGACGGAGTCTCCCTCTGCAAGCTGAAATGCAGTGGTGCCATCTCAGCTCACTGCAAGCTCCACCTCCCAGGTTCACGACATTCTGACTCAGCCTCCCGAGTAGCTGGGACTACAGGTGCCCGCCACCACGCAGGGCTAATTTTTTGTATTTTTAGGAGAGACGGGGTTTCACCGTGTTAGCCAGGATGGTCTCGATCTCTGACCTCATGATCCACCAGCCTCAGCCTCCCAAAATGCTGAGATTACAGGCTTGAGCCACCGTGCCTGGCCAAAAGCCTACTTTTATCTCAAAATATAGGTTGAAAGTTAAGAATGGAAAAAGATATACTGTGCAAACAACAGTGGTAATAGAAAAAAGAAATAATTATAAATTACAAAGAATATTTCAGCAAACATATTCAATGAAAAAGAAAACAAATCAGACAGAGAAGACTGGAATAAATAATTAATCCTTCAATGCAAAGACATTGGCATTCATCCACAAGAAACAACAGTGAACAGGAAATATGACCTCCCCAAACAGACAAAGCAAAGAACTAGTGATTGGTCCTAGCTAGATGAAAATACACGAGCTCCCTGACCAATAATTCAAAGTGGAAGTCTTAAAGAAACTCTGTGATCTCCAATATGACACAGAAAAGCAACTTAGAAATTTATAATATAAATTTAATAAAGATATTGAAATTTTAAGAAACACAGACATCGTGGAACTGAGGAATACATTTTCTGAACTGAAAATTCAGAACAAATCAAGCAGAGGAAATAATCAGTGAGCTCAAAGACAGGCTATCTGAAAATACACAGTCAGGGCTGGGCGCGGTGGCTCATGCCTGTAATCCCAGCACTTTGGGCAGCCAAGGCGGGCAGATCATGAGGTCAGGAGATCAAGACCATCCTGGCTAACACGGTGAAACCCCATCTCCACTAAAAATACAAAAAATTAGCTGGGCGTGGTGGCCGGTGCCTGTGGTCCCAGCTACTTGGGAGGCTGAGGCAGGAGAATGGCATGAACTTGCATTGAGGCAGAGCTTGCAGTGAGCCGAGATTGAGCCACTGCCCTCTAGCCTAGGCGACAGAGTGAGACTCCATCTCAAAAAAAAAAAAAAAAAAAAGAAAGAAAGAAAATACACAGTCAGAAGAGAAAAGAGAAAAAAATAAAAAAGAATGCAAAGGAATGAAGATCATCTACAAGATATTGAAAATTACTTCAAAAAAATCACACCTAACAATTATTAATGTTCAAGAGGGAGTTGAGCAAGAGCAAGCAGTGGAAAGCTGACTCACAGAAATAACAGAAAACTTCTCAAAACTTGAGAAGGAGATAAATATCCAGGTACAGGAAGGGCAGGTTTGACTCAAATAGGACCAAGCCAAGGCATATAATAATCAAATTCTCAAAGGTTAAGGTCAAAGAAAGGATCCTAAAAGCAGCAAGAGATATGAACCAAATAACATAAGAAGGAGCTCCGATTTGCCTGGCAAGAGACTTCTCAATGGAAATCATATAGACCAGGAGGAAGTAGGATAACATTTTCAAAGTGTTGAAAGAAAAGGAAAGGAAAGGAAAGGAAAGGAAAGGAAAGAAAGACAAACCTTTGTGATCCAGGAATACTACATCCAGTAAAGTTATCCTTCAAATATTAAAGAGAGATAAAGTGTATTCCAGATTAACCAAAGCTGAGAGAGCTCACCATTACCAGATCTGTCTTACAAGAAATGCTAAAGAAAGTTCTTCAGTATGAAAGAAGAAAAATACTGAAGTGCAAAAAAGTATATATGTATTTGCAGATCTAAAACCTACTGGTAAAAGTAGGTTTTAGTACACAGACAACCCCAGAATAATACCGTAATTGAGGTATATAACCCACTCATAACTCTAGTATAAAGCCTAAAAGACAAATCTATCAAAAATAATGATAGTTACATCAACCCGTACATATATCAAATATTTATATTGAGACAACCAAAAGTCTAAATATTGGGGTAAGGGGGTGGAACTAAAGTGTAGAGGTTTTTAAAATTTTTTATTTGTTTTTATTCTTTGTGATCTAGGATAAGTTGTCATCTCTTTAAAATAAATTGTTATATCCATAAGATCTGTTTTGTAATAGATACACTAACAATAAAAAGCAACAAGTTAAAACATACACATTAAAACACATAACAACAAAGAAAGAGAGTACAAAAATGAAGAGTTACAAAACAATGAGGAAACAGGCAACAAAATGGCGGTAGTACATCCTTACTTATCAATAATAACACTGAATATACATGAACTCAACCCTCCAATTAAGAAACATCAAATGGCTGAATGGATCAAGAAACAAGACCTAACTATATGCTGCCTACAAGAACCCACTCACTTATACAGACACATATAGATTGAACATGAAGGGATGGAAAAAGATATTCCATGCAATGGAAATCAGAAAAGAACTGGAGTGACTATGCTTATATCAGATTTAATAGACTACAAGTCAATAACTTTAAAGAGGGACAAAGAAGGTACACTATATGATGATAAAAGAGTAAATTCAGCAAGAGGATATAATAATTATAAATACCTATGCACCCAACACTGGAGCTCTCAAGTATATAAAGCAAACATTACTAAATCTAAAGGGAGAGGTAGACTACAATACAATAATAGTAGGGGACTACAATACCTGACTCTGAGTAATGGACAGAAAACCAACAAAGAAACATTGAAGGTAAACTACACAGTAGACCAAATAGGCCTAACTAACATTTGCAGAACATTTCACTCAACTGCTGTGGGATATATATTCCTTTCCTCAGCACATGAAACATTCTCCAAAATAAACCATATCTTAGGCAACAAAACAAATCTCAACAAATTCAAAAAAGTTGAAACCATATCAAGTATCTTTTCAGACCACAGTGGAATAAAACTAGAAATCAATAAAAAGAAGAACCTTGAAAAATATACAAACACATGGAAACTAGACAACATCCTCCTGAATAACCAATGAGTCAATACAAAAATGAAGAAGAAAATTTAGAAATATTTTGAAACAACTGAAAATTGAAACACAACATACCAAAACCTATGGGATACAGCAAAAACAGCACTAAGATGGAAGTTTATAGCAATAAATACCTATATCACAAACAAAATACTTCAAATAAACAGGCTAATGATGTGCTAAAAAAAACTAGAAAATCAAGAACAAACCAACCTAAAATGAGTAGAAAGAAAGAACTAATAAAAATCAGAGCAAAATTAAATGAAATTGACACTAAAATAACAATACGGAAGATCAACAAGTGAAAAGTTGGTTTTTGCAAAGAAAAACAAAATCAACAAACCTAGTTTTTTTGCCCAATTAACTAAGAAAAAAAGAGAGAAGACCCAACTAAATAAAATAAGAAACAAGAAATGAGACATAACAACTGAGACCACAGAAATGCAAAGAATCATTAGAGACTATTATGAACAACTATACACCAACAATTTGGAAAATCTGTAAGAAATGGATCAATTCCTGGACACATGCAACCTACAAAGATTGAGGCATGAAGAAATAGAAAACCTCAACAAATCAGTAACAAGTAACATGATTGAAGCTGTATAAAAAGTTTCCCATCAAATAAAAGCCTGGAACCTGAGGGCTTCTCTGCTGATTTCTACCAAACATTTAATAAAGAATTGGTACCAATTCTACTCAAACTCTTCAAAACACTGACGAGGAGGAAATACTTCTAAACTCATTCTATGAGGCCAACATTACCCTGATACCAAAATCAGACAAGGACACTATGATAACAAAAAAGAAAACTACAGACCAATATCATTGATAAATATGGATGCAAAAATCTTCAACAAAATACTAGCAAACTGAATCCAACAACACATTAAAAAGATCATTCATCTTGATCAATTTGGACTCATCCCAGGGACACAAGAATGGTTCAACATACAAAAGTTAATAAACATGACAAATCACATTAATAGAACCAAGAACGAAAATCATATGACTATTTCAATAGATGCTGAAAAAGCAGTTGATAAAATTCAATGCTCCTTTATGATTTAAAAAACCCTCAAAAAACTGGGCATAGAAGGGACATACCTCAAAACAAGAAAGGCCATACATGACAAACCCACAGCCAACATCATATTGAACTGGTAAAAACTGGAAGTCTTTTCTTTAAGAACTGGAGCAAGACAAGGATGCCCACTTTCATCACTGTTATTTAACATAATACTGGAAGATCTGGACAGAGAAATCAGGGAAAAGAAAAAAATAAAGGGCATCCAAATGGACAGGACGAAGTAAAATTAGCCTTGTTTGCAGATGGCATGATCTTATATTTAAAAAAACATAAAGACTCCACCAAAAAACTATTACTGCTGATAAACAAGTTCAGTAGAGTTGCAGAATACAAAATCAACATACAAAAATCACTAGTATATATAGACCAATAGCAAAAAATCTCAAAAGGAAATCAAGAAAGCAATCCCACTTACCATAGCTACAAAGAATATAAAATGATGGAATCAATTAAACCAAAGAACTGAAAGATCTAAACAAGGAAAACTATAAAACTCTGATGAAAGAAAATGAAGAGGACACAAAAAAATGGAAAGATATTCCATGCTTATGGATTGGAAGAACTGATATTGTTATAATGACAATACAGGTTTGATGCAATCCTTATCAATATGCCAATGACTTTCTTCACAGAAATAGGAAAAACAATCTTAAAATATATATGGAATCACAAATGACCCTGAGTATACAAAGTAATTCTGAGCAAAAAGAACAAAGCCAGACACATCACATTACCTGACTTCAAAATATACTACACAGCTATAGTAACCAAATTAGCATGGTACTGGCATTAAAACAGACAGATTGACTAATAGGACAAAATTAATAACCCAGGTATAAATCCATGCAACAGCCAACTTATTTTTGACAAATGTGCCAAGAACATATAATGGGGAAAAGACAGTCTCTTCAACAAATGGTGCTGGGAAAACTGAATATCCATGTGCAGAAGGATAAAAGTAGACTCCAGTTTCTCACCATATACAAAAATCAAATGAAAATGAACTAAACACTTAAATATAAGACCTATATGTAAATCCTATAAAAAGAGAAAACTTAACAGATTCCCTGAAGAGATGTGGCAAGGAAGGTAGGTAGTTATATATTAGTATGATGCAACATTATAATCAAATATTAATAATGCGACCAATAATATTTTGGTACCACTTTTTTTGATACAGGATATCACTCTGTTGCCCAGGCTGGAATTCAGTGGCACAATCACAGCTTACTACAGCCTCAACCTCCTGGGCTCAGGTGATCTTCCCACCTCAGCCCACTGAGTAGCTGGCGCTACCAGTACTGCACCACCAAACCTGACTAATTTTTCATATTTTTTTTTAGAGATGGGGTCTCACCATGTTGCCCAGGCTAACCTTGAACTCCTGGGCTAAGTGATCTGCCTGACTTAGCCTCCGAAAGTGCTGGGATTACACGCATGAGCCACCGCACCTAGCCTGATGCCTCTTATTCTTTTAAAAATTTGAATTTTGGAGGGGAGGAGCCAAGATGGCCGAATAGGAACAGCTCCGGTCTACAGCTCCCAGCGTGAGTGATGCAGAAGACGGGTGATTTCTGCATTTCCATCTGAGGTACCGGGTTCATCTCACTAGGGAGTGCCAGACAGCGGGCGCAGGTCAGTGGGTGCGCGCACCGTGCGCGAGCCGAAGCAGGGCGAGGCATTGCCTCACTTGGGAAGCACAAGGGGTCAGGGAGTTCCCTTTCCTAGTCAAAGAAAGGGGTGACAGATGGCACCTGGAAAATCGGGTCACTCCCACCCAAATACTGCGCTTTTCCGACGGGCTTAAAAAACAGGGCACCAGGAGATTATATCCCGCACCTGGCTCAGAGGGTCCTACGCCCACGGAGTCTCGCTGATTGCTAGCACAGCAGTCTGAGATCAAACTGCAAGGTGGTAGCGAGGCTGGGGGAGGGGCGCCCGCCATTGCCCAGGCTTGCTTAGGTAAACAAAGCAGCCGGGAAGCTCAAACTGGGTGGAGCCCACCACAGCTCAAGGAGGCCTGCCTGCATCTGTAGGCTCCACCTCTGGGGGCAGGACACAGACAAACAAAAAGACAGCAGTAACCTCTGCAGACTTAAATGTCCCTGTCTGACAGCTTTGAAGAGAGCAGTGGTTCTCCCAGCATGCAGCTGGAGATCTGAGAACCAGCAGACTGCCTCCTCAAGTGGGTCCCTGACCCCTGACCCCTGAGCAGCCTAACTGGGAGGCACCCCCCAGCAGGGGCACACTGACACCTCACACGGCCGCGTACTCCAACAGACCTGCAGCTGAGGGTCCTGTCTGTTAGAAGGAAAACTAACAAACAGAAAGGACATCCACACCAAAAACCCATCTGTACATCACCATCATCAAAGACCAAAAGTAGATAAACCACAAAGATGGGGAAAAAACAGAGCAGAAAAACTGGAAACTCTAAAAAGCAGAGCGCCTCTCCTCCTCCAAAGGAACGCAGCTCCTCACCAGCAACAGAACAAAGCTGGACTGAGAATGACTTTGACGAGCTAAGAGAAGAAGTCTTCAGACGATCAAATTACTCCTAGCTACAGGAGGACATTCAAACCAAAGGCAAGGAAGTTGAAAACTTTGAAAAACATTTAGAAGAATGTATAACTAGAATAACCAATACAGAGAAGTGCTTAAAGGAGCTGAAGGAGCTGAAAACCAAGGCTCGAGAACTACGTGAAGAATGCAGAAGCCTCAGGAGCCAATGCGATCAACTGGAAGAAAGGGTATCAGCGATGAAAGATGAAATGAATGAAATGAAGCGAGAAGGGAAGTTTAGAGAAAAAAGAATAAAAAGAAACGAGCAAAGCCTCCAAGAAATATGGGACTATGTGAAAAGACCAAATCTACATCTGATTGGTGTACCTGAAAGTGACGGGGAGAATGGAACCAAGTTGGAAAACACTCTGCAGGATATTATCCAGGAGAACTTCCCCAATCTAGCAAGGCAGGCCAACATTCAGATTCAGGAAATACAGAGAATGCCACGAAGATACTCCTCGAGAAGAGCAACTCCAAGACACATAATTGTCAGATTCACCAAAGTTGAAATGAAGGAAAAAATGTTAAGGGCAGCCAGAGAGAAAGGTAGGGTTACCCTCAAAAAGAAGCCCATCAGACTAACAGCAGATCTCTCGGCAGAAACTCTACAAGCCAGAAGAGAGTGGGGGCCAATATTCAACATTCTTAAAGAAAAGAATTTTCAACCCAGAATTTCATATCCAGCCAAACCAAGCTTCATAAGTGAAGGAGAAATAAAATACTTTACAGACAAGCAAATGCTGAGAGATTTTGTCACCACCAGGCCTGCCCTAAAAGAGCTCCTGAAGGAAGCACTAAACATGGAAAGGAACAACCGGTACCAGCCACTGCAAAATCATGCCAAAATGTAAAGCCTATCGAGACTAGGAAGAAACTGCATCAACTAATGAGCAAAATAACCAGCTAACATCACAATGACAGGATCAAATTCACACATAACAATATTAACTTTAAATGTAAATGGACTAAATGCTCCAATTAAAAGACAAAGACTGGCAAATTGGATAAAGAGTCAAGACCCATCAGTGTGCTGTATTCAGGAAACCCATCTCATGTGCAGAGGCACACATAGGCTCAAAATAAAAGGATGGAGAAAGATCTACCAAGCAAATGGAAAACAAAAAAAGGCAGGGGTTGCAATCCTAGTCTCTGATAAAACAGACTTTAAACCAACAAAGATCAAAAGAGACAAAGAAGGCCATTACATAATGGTAAAGGGATCAATTCAACAAGAAGAGCTAACTATCCTAAATATATATGCACCCAATACAGGAGCACCCAGATTCATAAAGCAAGTCCTGAGTGACCTACAAAGAGACTTAGACTCCCACACATTAATAATGGGAGACTTTAACACCCCACTGTCAACATTAGGCAGATCAACGAGACAGAAAGTCAACAAGGATACCCAAGAATTGAACTCAGCTCTGCACCAAGCGGACCTAATAGACATCTACAGAACTCTCCACCCCAAATCAACGGACTATACATTTTTTTCAGCACCACACCACACCTATTCCAAAATTGACCACATACTTGGAAGTAAAGCTCTCCTCAGCAAATGTAAAAGAACAGAAATTATAACAAACTATCTCTCAGACCACAGTGCAATCAAACTAGAACTCAGGATTAAGAATCTCACTCAAAACCACTCGACTACATGGAAACTGAACAGCCTGCTCCTGAATGACTACTGGGTACATAACGAAATGAAGGCAGAAATAAAGATGTTCTTTGAAACCAACGAGAACAAAGACACAACATACCAGAATCTCTGGGACACATTCAAAGCAGTGTGTAAAGGGAAATTTATAGCACTAAATGCCCACAAGAGAAAGCAGGAAAGATCCAAAATTGACACCCTAACATCACAATTAAAAGAACTAGAAAAGCAAGAGCAAACACATTCAAAAGCTAGCAGAAGGCAAGAAATAACTAAAATCAGAGCAGAACTGAAGGAAATAGAGACACAAAAACCCTTCAAAAAAGTAATGAATCCAGGAGCTGGTTTTTTGAAAGGATCAACAAAATTGATAAACCGCTAGCAAGACTAATAAAGAAAAAAGAGAGAAGAATCAAATAGACGCAATAAAAAATGATAAAGGGGATATCACCACTGATCCCACAGAAATACAAACTACCATCAGAGAATACTACAAACACCTCTACGCAAATAAACTAGAAAATCTAGAAGAAATGGATAAATTCCTTGACACATACACTCTCCCAAGACTAAACCAGGAAGAAGTTGAATCTCTGAATAGACCAATAACAGGATCTGAAATTGTGGCAATAATCAATAGCTTACCAACCAAAAAGAGTCCAGGACCAGATGGATTCACAGCTGAATTCTACCAGAGGTACAAGGAGGAACTGGTACCATTCCTTCTGAAACTATTCCAATCAATAGAAAAAGAGGGAATCCTCCCTAACTCATTTTATGAGGCCAGCATCATCCTGATACCAAAGCCGGGCAGAGACACAACCAAAAAAGAGAATTTTAGACCAATATCCTTGATGAACATTGATGCAAAAATCCTAAATAAAATACTGGCAAACCAAATCCAGCAGCACATCAAAAAGCTTATCCACCATGATCAAGTGGGCTTCATCCCTGGGATGCAAGGCGGGTTCAATATACGCAAATCAATAAATGTAATCCAGCATATAAACAGAACCAAAGACAAAAACCACATGATTATCTCAATAGATGCAGAAAAGGCCTTTGACAAAATTCAACAACCCTTCATGCTAAAAACTCTCAATAAATTAGGAATTGATGGGATGTATTTCAAAATAATAAGAGCTATCTATGACAAACCCACAGCCAATATCATACTGAATGGGCAAAAACTGGAAGCATTCCCTTTGAAAACTGGCACGAGACAGGGATGCCCTCTCTCACCACTCCTATTCAACATAGTGTTGGAATTTCTGGCCAGGGCAATTAGGCAGGAGAAGGAAATAAAGGGTATTCAATTAGGAAAAGAGGAAGTCAAATTGTCCCTGTTTGCAGATGACATGATTGTATATCTAGAAAACCCCATTGTCTCAGCCCAAAATCTCCTTAAGCTGATAAGCAACTTCAGCAAAGTCTCAGGATAAAAATCAATGTACAAAAATCACAAGCATTCTTATACACCAACAACAGACAAACAGAGAGCCAAATCATGAGTGAACTCCCGTTCACAATTGCTTCAAAGAGAATAAAATACCTAGGAATCCAACTTACAAGGGATGTGAAGGACCTCTTCAAGGAGAACTACAAACCACTGCTCAAGGAAATAAAAGAGGATACAAACAAATGGAAGAACATTCCATGCTCATGGGTAGGAAGAATCAATATCGTGAAAATGGCCATACTGCCCAAGGTAATTTACAGATTCAATGTCCTCCCCATCAAGCTACCAATGACTTTCTTCACAGAATTGGAAAAAACTACTTTAAAGTTCATATGGAACCAAAAAAGAGCCCACATCGCCAAGTCAATCCTAAGCCAAAAGAACAAAGCTGGAGGCATCACACTACCTGACTTCAAACTATACTACAAGGCTACAGTAACCAAAACAGCATGGTACTGGTACCAAAACAGAGATATAGACCAATGGAACAGAACAGAGCCCTCAGAAATAACGCCGCATATCTACAACTATCTGATCTTTGACAAACCTGAGGAAAACAAGCAATGGGGAAAGGATTCCCTATTTAATAAATGGTGCTGGGAAAACTGGCTAGCCATATGTAGAAAGCTGAAACTGGATCCCTTCCTTACACCTTATACAAAAATCAATTCAAGATGGATTAAAGACTTAAATGTTAGACCTAAAACCATAAAAACCCTAGAAGAAAACCTAGGCTTTACCATTCAGGACATAGACATGGGCAAGGACTTCATGTCTAAAACACCAAAAGCAATGGCAACCAAAGCCAAAATTGACAAATGGGATCTAATTAAACTAAAGAGCTTCTGCACAGCAAAAGAAACTACCATCAGAGTGAACAGGCAACCTACAAAATGGGAGAAAATTTTCACAACCTACTCATCTGACAAAGGGCTAATATCCAGAATCTACAATGAACTCCAACAAATTTACAAGAAAAAAACAAACAACCCCATCAAAAAGTGGGCGAAGGACATGAACAGACACTTCTCAAAAGAAGACATTTATGCAGCCAAAAAATACATGAAAAAATGCTCACCATCACTGGCCATCAGAGAAATGCAAATCAAAACCACAATGAGATACCAACACCAGTTAGAATGGCAATCATTAAAAAATCAGGAAACAACAGGTGCTGGAGAGGATGTGGAGAAATAGGAACACTTTTACACTGTTGGTGGAACTGTAAACTAGTTCAACCATTGTGGAAGTCAGTGTGGCGATTCCTCAGGGATCTAGAACTAGAAATACCATTTGACCCAGCCATCCCATTACTGGGTATATACCCAAAGGACTATAAATCATGCTGCTATAAAGACACATGCACACGTATGTCTATTGCGGCATTATTCACAATAGCAAAGACTTGGAACCAACCCAAATGTCCAACAATGATAGACTGGATTAAGAAAATGTGGCACATATACACCATGGAATACTATGCAGCCATAAAAAATGATGAGTTCGTGTCCTTTGCAGGGACATGGATGAAATTGGAAATCATCATTCTCAGTAAACTATCACAAGAACAAAAAACCAAACACCACATATTCTCACTCATAGGTGGGAATTGAACAATGAGAACACATGGACACAGGAAGGGGAACATCACACTCTGGGGACTGTTGTGGGGTGGCGGGAGGGGGGAGGGATAGCACTGGGAGATATACCTAAAGCTAGATGACGAGTTAGTGGGTGCAGCGCACCAGCATGGCACATGTATACATATGTAACTAACCTGCACATTGTGCACATGTACCCTAAAACTTAAAGTATAATAATAAAATAAAAAAAAGTAAATAAATAAATTTTTTAAAAAAATTGAATTTTGTTAACTCAATATCTCTGTTCTTGTTTTAGTATAAAAATAATCAAACATACCCCTAAAATCTGGGAGAAAGTATGATTTTATTTGTTTGTCTTTTTAAAGACTACTTCTTGAGCAGTTTTAGGTTCACAGCAAAATTGAGCAGAAGGCACAGAGATATTCGAGATGTCCCCTGCCCCAACACATGCACAGCCTCCCCCATTATCAACATCGCCCACTGGAGGCGAATTGTTAAAACTGACCCATGATTATCACCCAAAGCCCACTCTACATTAGGATTTACTCTTTGTGTTGTACCTCTGTGGATATGGACAAATGTATAATGACATGTATCCACCATTACAGTATCATACGGAATATTTTCACTGCCTTAGAAACCCTCTGTGCTCTGTCTATTCATCATCCCTCTTTTCTTCCAACCCGTTGCCTCCACTGATCTTTTTACTTTATGATAAAAAGCCCTCAATTAACTGGGTATAGAACATTCTCACTAAATTCAAGATAATCTAGATTTTTGACGATACCATCATCTAGGAGTTTTATAGTTTTGTGTTTTACATTGAAATCTGTAACCCATTTTGAGTTAATTGTTATGAAAGGTATAAAAGTCTCCACAGTTTTGTCTTTTCCAGAATTTCAGAATGTTGGACTTATACTATATCTAGCCTTTTCAGATTTCCTCCTTCCGCTTAGTAATATGCATGTAACATTCCTCCATGTCTTTTCATGGCTAAATGGTTCCATTTATTTTTAGCCCTGAATAATATTCCATTTTCTGGGTGTACTACAGTTTATCTGCTGCAGGACAGCTTGGTTGCTCTCCAGTTTTAGCACTTATGAATAAAGCCATAACAAACATCCGTGTGCAGGTTTTTTGTGTGAAAGTATGTATTTAACTCCTTTGAGTAAATGCCAAAGAGTGTGATTGCTGAATCATATGGTAAGGGTTTATGTAGTTTAGTAAGAAATCACCAAACTGTCTTCCAAAGTGGCTGCACCGTTTTGCATTCCCAGCCGCAATGAATGAGAGTTCCTCTTGCTCCATATTTTTTCCAGTATGTAGTGGTGTCCATGTTCTGGATTTTGGCAATTCTAGAAGGCGTGTAGTGGTATCTCATTGTTGTTTTAATTTCTTTTCCCTGATGACATATGATGCGGAGGACTTTTTCAAATCCTTATCTGCGATCTGTAGATCTTCTTTGGTGAGGTGTCTGTTAAGGTCTTGGCTTTAAAAGAAAAAAAATAAGGTTGTTTGTTTCCTTATTGTTGAGTTTTAAGAATCTTTTTGTGTATTTTGGTTGATGGTCCTTTATATGTCTTTTGCAACTATTTTGCCCCAGACTGTAGCTTGTCTTTTCATTCTCTTGACAATGTGTTTCACAGAAGTTTTTAATTTTAATAAAGTCCAGAATCTCAATTTTTCTTGCATAGATCATGCCTATGGTGTTATAGCTAAAAAAGTTCTTGCCAAACTCAAGATAATCTAGATTTTTGCCAATATCATCATCTAGGAGTTTCACAGTTTTGCATTTTACATTTAAGTCTGTAATGCATTTTGAGTTAATTTTTGTGAAAGGTCTGTGTGTAAATTTATTTTTCGTATGTGGATGTCCAGTTGTTCCAGCACCTTGTTGAAAAAGACTATCTTGGCCGGGTATGGTGGCTCACGCCTGTAATCCCAACACTTTGGGACGCCGAGGTAGGTAGATCACCTGAGGTCAGGAGTTTGAAACCATCCTGGCCAAAATGGTGAAACCCCGTCTCTACTAAAAATACAAAAAATTAGCCAGGCATGGTGGCGGGTGCCTGTAATCCCAGCTACTTGGGAGGCTGAGGCAGGAGAATCACTTGAACCCAGAAGGCAGAGGTTGCAGTGAGCCAAGATCGCGCCATTGCACTCCAGCCTGGGCAAAAAGAGTGAAACTCCGTCTCAAAAAAAAAAGACTATCTATTTTATTGCCTTTTCTCCTTCATCAAAGATCAGTTGACAATATTTATGTTTACACATTTCTGGGCTCTCTATTCTGCTCCATTTGTCTATCTGCTTATTCTTTTGCCACTACCACACTGTCTTGGTTACTGTAGCTTTATATCTTATCTTGAAGTTAGGTAGTATCAGTTGTCACCTTTGTCCTTCTAAAATATTGTGTTAGGTATTGTAGTCCTTTGCCTCTTTAGAATCAATTGGCCATTGTCTTCAAAATAACTGGCTGTGCTTTTGACTGCCATTGCATTGAATCTATAGACCAACTTAGGAAAAACTCACATCCTGACACTATCGAGTCTTCCTATTCATAAACAGGAAATATCTCTCCATTTATTTAGTTCTTTCATTTCTTTTAACACAGTTTAATAGTTTTCCCCATAAAGATCTTGTATATATTTTGTTAGATTCATACCTAGGTATTTAGAAAAGCAATTGCCATTTTTTTGTTTTTGTTTTTGTTTGGTTTTGTTTTTTACATTAACCTTGAATCCTGTAACTGCTATAACGGCTTATTCATTACAGGATATTTTTATAGACTCTTGTATCTTCTCCAAGGACAATAATGTCCTCTACAAACAGACAGTTTTTTTTCTTTCTCCCCAATTAGTGTACTTTCTGTGTTCTTGTGCTGTTATATTGCATTAGCTAGAGCTTCCAGTACAATGTTAGAAAAGGGTGGTGAGAGAACATTCTTGCTTTATTTTTTACCTTCTCACAAAACTTCCAGTTTTTCACCATTAGCTATGATGTTAGCTATACTTGTTTATGGCTATCCTTTTTCCAGTTGAGGAGGAAGTCCTCTATTCCTGGCGTGCTGGGAATTCTTTTTATTATTATGAATGGATGTTGGATTTTGTCCAGTGCTTTCTTCCTGCATTTATTAATATGATCATGTGATTTTTCTCCATTAACCTTTTGGTGTGATGGATTGCATTACGATTTTGAAAGCTGAACCAGTCTTGCATCCCTGGGATAAATTCCGCATGGTTGTGGTGTATCATTGTTTTCTCTATTCTTTTTCAGTTTAGATGCTGACTGCTATAAACTTCTCTCTTAGTACTGCTTTTTTTTTGCAGTTTTTGGTATGTTGTGTTTAAATTTGTATTTCTCTACTTTGTAGTTCTTTGAAGCTGAGCCTCTTTTATATGATTATGGGCCATTCGCATTTCATTTTCTCTGAATTCTTTGTTTATATCTTTTACTTGATTTGAAAAATTTGGTTTTTGCTTGAATTCTTCTTTGATTATAGCCATTTTCTATATATTACAGACATAATGACTTTGAGATTGTTTCATGTTGCATGTATTAACATTTTTAAAATTTTTTTATAGCTGGGTAGATTGAGACATGCCACAATTTGTTTGCTCGCTAATGGATGGAGATTTGAATTGCTTCCAATTTGGGGCTATTAGGAATAATGCTGAACATAAAGAATTTGTATGCCCTTGTAAGACTGTGTCTGTGTGTGCGTCTATGTATGTCTTCATTTCTCCTGGGTAAGCACCTAGTGAAACAGGAAAAGTTCCCTTATCCCCCTCACAGGGCGGGCCATGGGGGTGTGGCTGGCTTCTTCAGTGCCCCGCTGCTCAGACCTCTAGGGGGAACATGCAGACCGCAGGCTGTGGGGTCCGACCCCACAACACTGTCTAGGGGTGAATGTTTACAGCTGAAGCCCCAGTGGGCGTATGTTACAGGGTGCTCTTTTAGTTTAGCCACCTGTAGGTGGCTTGTGTTAGCTCAGTTCCCTCTGCCTTATCGCAAGAACAGAGGGCTTTCTGTATCCTGGGGTTCTTGCCTTGGTGTACCAGAAGAATCGGAGGACGCGTGGGCTTGGAGAATGAGTGCAAAGTTTTACTGAGTGGAAGCAGCTCCCAGCAGATGGGGGAGACAGAAGGGTGTGGTTTTCCCCTGGAGTTGGGCCACTCAGCGGCCTGGGCTCTCCTCTGACCACCCTGGCCAAACTCCACATCATTCCACGGGTGGATGCCCTGCCAGCCTGCCCACGTCTGTCAGCGTGCTCTTCTGCCACATGCTCCCCTCGACGTCCAGCCACTTGTGTGTTCTGCCACCAATGTGTTCCTCTTGATTTCCAGCTACTTGTGTGTCTGCTTGCTAGGGTCTTGGGGTTTTTATAGGCACAGTATGGGGGTGTAATGGGCCAGGGTGATTTTGGGAAATGCAACATTTGAGCGTGAAGGCAGGAGTGCCCGTCCTCACCTAGGTCTGGGAGCACAGACCCAGGGGTGGAGCTCTAGCCAGGGACCATGCCCTTCCATTCCCAGCACTGCCCTGCCCCCCTTCCATATCAGTAGCTGTAGATCCCACTGGATCACCCACTGGGTGGGTGACCAGTGCATGTCTGACTGTAAAAGGTGATCGATGCCTGTCTGACTGTATAAGGCAATCAATTCATGTCTGGCTGTATAAGGTGCTGCTGCGCTATTTCCAAGGGACTGCACCATTTTGCATTCTCATCAGCAATGTAATGGGTCTATTATTAATTTTCGAAGAGTAATACAAACATATCTGGAAATTAAGTTTTGATTTCCAACATAATATAATATCTACAGTATATAAGCACATATGTATAAGCACTATCTATCTGCAGCATATAAGCACATATGTACCTGCTGCATAAACCAAAGCTTTTGTGGATCCTCAACACATTTGAAGAGAGCAAAGCGGTCACAAGACCCCACTATTAGACCCCCCTGTTTCAGAGCAGCATTTAGAAATGGAAGGTGTCTGTTTTCTAGCAGCCACAAGGGGGAAGCCCTGATCTCTTCTGCGTTTCTCTGAACAGAGTTCATTTTTAAAGACACAAATCCACAAAGACCCCCTGAACATGTCCCAGCCTACTCATTGAAACACATCAAGCTAAGAATATAAAATTCTGGACTATGACAATCTATTTTAATGGTGCATTAGCATTGAAATAGCAGGGTTTTGTCATTAGGCTGCTAAAGCTGTTGTTAATGCTGATTGTTTTACCTTTTTCATCAAAAGCTGCAAAAGTGAAATTTTTCCACACCCTTCCCATCCCCAGCACTCTCGCTGTCCCCAGTGGGTGTGAAAATGCAAATTACAGAAATGCTGAGTTGTGCAATTCAGTATCCATAAGATCAAAACAGACTGATTGCTCTGCAGCAACACAGCCTGTCTACACCAGATAAAGGCCACAGCCCTCAGTTCTGACCCTCAGCAGGCAGACCCTCCGTGGAGGGAGGACTCTAGGAGGGGCCCTGGGACCTCCACCTGCAGTCCATGAGCTCATCCCCGACTGGGCGGACCCCAGGCTGGACCCCACCTGGATGAGGACAGCTCCTGAGCTGTGTAGCCTGGGCCCTCCCTGCGCACCTGTGCGCTCTCGCAGATGGAGACGGTGGCTCTGCCTGCAGCGCGGGCGCCATCCTGGGAGAGGGCCAGGGCGTGCATAGCGAGGCGACCTGGACTCAGGTAAGGCCTGAAGTGCGTGGGTATCTATTCACACCCAGAAGCTTTAGACGCTTGTCCAGGCTCCTTTCTTCTCACAGAGGGCAACAAAGGATCAAAATGGCACATAAACTAGAGCACGTGTGTCCAGCAACAGGGCTGGACGTGGGTGAGGGGGGTCTGGGCAGGAAGCAACCCCCTGCCAGGCTGGAGCGATGGTCGCCCATAGTCCCGGCTCCACCCGGGTGGGCGTTGCAGGCTCCGAGCCCCGGCTCAGTCCGAGGGTCACTCACCCACTTTGGGGGACTGGGCTGGACCCAGGCGACAGGAGGCTTAGTGTACACCTGGTGCATGGTTTACCTGGAACATCTGAACATTTCAATATCCATTTCTATCTTTTTAAAACAAGCATCCCCCTGTCAGCCATTAATATAGAATCACTATGGAGCGATGAATATGTAAAATTTCCATGACTTTTGGAAAGTTTCCACGAGTCTGGAAAGAGCCACCAAAGACTACCCTCTCCCTCGTCCGCAGCCCGCGCCTTCGGCCGGACATCGGGCGCATTTCTTCCAGAGAATACGGATCCAAATTATTACAGCGCCTCGGCCGCAGTCTCTCCAGCCGCCGCTAGAGGGAAACCTGATCCCGTGCGCGATTCCTAGGGGGCTCCCAGAGCAAGCACTGCCTGCTGGTTCTGGGAATGGGTGAGCCTTGGGAAAACAGAGAGAAAAGTGATCCTCCATGCGTCCCCCTCCAGCTCCAACAGTGCTCAGCATTTGGCCAATCTGGTTTAAAACCATCCCCCTATAGCCTGCTTTTTTTCCTAAAGTATCTTCAAGCAAATCCCAGACTTTGCATGGCTTCGCTTGCAAATAATTCAATATGACTCCCCTCCAGAAAGTGCTTCTTCAATACATTAAGTAACAACTGTACCATCCTCACACCTCACAAAATTGCCGTCAATACCCTGCTATCATATGACGACAGTTTTCAGCTTTTACAGCTTCTTGGAGATCTCGTAAATGCCTCCTGGGAATCCCAAAAGGGGAAGAAGTAGAAAAAGGAACAGAAGAAACATTGGAAACAGTTATAACTGTGGATTTCCCCAAATTAATGTCAGACATGAAACCATAGATCCAAGAAGCTCAGAGAGCACCAGGTAGGATAAATGCCAAAGACAGATGAAATCACACCCAGGCCTATGTTTTTCAAATTACAGAAATGTTGACCGACTCAGGAATGGTAGAAATGGGTGGGTATGATATTTAAAATTAAAAATGATAACTGGTTTTCCTCAACTTGTTTGCTTTTTCCTCCTCACCTTGCGTCTTTCACCATCCACTGTAGTTGGGGCATACATCATTTTCCTTCATAACACTTTTTTTCTAAACAGAAAAATAACTGTGGCACTGAGATTCCATTTAGATTTACACCTAGATATGTCATTTTGCGGGGTGCTAATAAACACAGTATTGTGTTTTTAATTTCAGATTCCACTTGTTCAGTGCCACTGTGAAGGAAAATGATTGACTTCTGTATGTTAACCTCGCATCCTACAACCTTGCTAGGATCACTTATTAGTTCCAGAAAACTTTATGTTGAGTCTTTTGAATTTTCTATATAGACAATCAAGTCATCTGCAAACAGTCTTATTTCTTCCTTATCAATCAGTACACATTTTTTCTTCTCTTATTGTATTCTTTATGACTTCCAGTGCAATATTGATAAGGCATGTTGAGAGAGGGCATCCATGCCATGTTCCAGATCCTAGAGGGAAGGTTTCAAGTTTCTCATTATTATAGGTGATGTTAGCTGTCGGGTTTTTTTATAGATACATTTATCGAGTTGAGGAAGTTTTCCTATATTCCTAGTTTACTGCGAGTTTTTTAATCATAAATTGGATTTTGTCAAATACATTGTCTGCATCTATTGATAGAATCATGTGATTTTTTCTTTTTTTTTTTTAACCTTCATTATGTAATGGATTACATCAATTGATTTCCTAATACCAAACCAGCCTTGTGTATTTGGCATAAATCCCCCTTGGTCATGGTATAAAATTATTTTTATACATGTTGGATTCAATTTGCTGATTTTTGTGAAAATGTTTACATCCATGTTCACAAGAGATGGTGGTCTGTAGTTTTCTTATCATGTCTGGTCTTGGTTTTAGAGTGTTGTTGGCTTCATAGAATGACTTAGGAAATATTATCTCCCCCTTCTATCTTCTGGAAGAAACTGTGGAGAATTGGTATAATTTCTTCTCTAAATGTTTGGTAGAATTCACCAGTGAATTTATCTCAGCCTGCTGCTTTCTGTTTTGGAAAGTTACTATTTACTCAATTTCTTTAATAGATATAAACTTATTCCAATTGTCTGTTTCTTGTGAGAGTCTTGGCATATTTTCTTTTCAAGTAATTGGTGTATTTCATCCAGGTTTTAAGTTTGTAGGCATAGAGTTATTCATTGGATGCCTTGATTATCCTTTTAATATCTATGGGCACTTAGGATGTTCCCACTTTCATTTCTGATATTACTCATTTGTCCTCCCTATTTTTTTCTTAGTTACACTGGCCAGAGGCTTATTAATTTTATTGATCCTTACAAATAATTGGTGTTTGGTTTCATTGATTCTGTTGACTTCCTGTTTCCAATTTTATTGATTTCTGCTCTAATTTTTATTAGACCTTTTCTTCTACTTACTTTAGATTTAATTTGCTCTTCTTTTTCTAGCTTCCTAAGGTGGAACCTTTGATAACTGGTTTTAGACCTTTCTTTTTTCTTTTTCTTTCTTTTTTTTTTTTTCAGATGGAGTCTCACTTCATAACCAGGCTGGAGTGCAGTGGCGTGATCTCGGCTCACTGCAAGCTCCACCTCCCAGATTCAAGCGATTCTCCTGCTTCAGCCTCCCAAGTAGCTGGGACTACAGACGCCCGCTGCCACGCTCGGCTACTTTTTTGTATTTTTAGTAGACAGGGTTTCACCGTGTTAGCCAGGATGGTCTCGATCTCCTGACCTCGTGATCCACCTGCCTTGGCCTCCCAAAGTGCTGGCATTACAGGCGTGAGCCACCATGCCCAGCCTAGACCTTTCTTTTTTCTAATAAACACATTCAATTTTATATATTTCCCTTTAATCACTGCTTTCACTGAATCCCACACATTTTCATAAGTTGTGTTCTCATTTTAACTTCTTTCAAAATATTAAGTTTTTCTTCAGATGTTTCTTTTGACCCATGTATTGTTTAGAAGTGTGTTGCTTAATCTCTGTAAATTTTGATATTTTCCAGTTATCTTTCTGTCATTGGTTTTAGTTTAATTAAGATCTGAGAGCAGACATTACATGATTTCTATTCCTTTATATACCTTAAGGTAAATTTTACCATCCCAGAACGTAGCCAATCTTGGTGAATGTTTCATATGAACTTGAGGAGCATTTGTATTCTGCTGTGGTTGAAGTAGTCTATAGATGGCAGTTTTAGGCAGTGTAGACAGTGGTATTGAGTTCAACTATATCCTTTCTGATTTTCTGCCTGCTGGTTCTGTCTATTTCCAATAGAGGGGTGTTGAGGTCTCCAACTAAAACAATTGATTCATCTATTTCTCCTTACAGTTCTATCCCTTTTTGCCTTATGTAATTTGACACACTATTTTCAGCACATACACTTTAAAAATTATGTCTTCTTGCAGAATTGACCTCTTAGTATTATACAATGCTCTTCTATATCCCTAATACATTTCCTTGCTTTGAAGTCAACTCCATCTGAAATTAACATAGCTACTTCTAGTTTGTTTGGATTAGCATTAGTATGGTATATGTTTCTCCATGCATTTACTTTCAACTTATATGCCTCTTTATTTTTAAGGTGGGTCTCTTGGAGACAACATATAGTTGGGTCTTATTTTTTGATCCACTCTGAAAATCCCAGGCTTTTACTTGGTGCATTTAGACCATTGATGTTCAAATGATTATTTATAGAGATAGATTAAATTCTTCCATATTTGTTACGGTTTTCTATTTGTAGCCCTTGTGTTTTGTTTCTATTGTGTCTTCCACCCCTTTTCAGCCATTTATGATTTTATCATTTAATATTATTTCATTCTCCCTCATGTCTTAGCATATCAGTTATACTTCTTAATTTAACTTTTAAAAAGTGGTTGCCCTAGAGTTTTCAGTATACATTTACAACTAACCCAAGCCCACTTTATCTTTTTTTTTTTTTTAGACAGAGTCTCCCTCTGTTAACCAGGCTGGAGTGCAGTGGCACAATCTCAGCTTACTGCAACCTCCACCCCCCAGGCTCAAGTAATTTTCATGCCTCAGCCTCCCGAGTAGCTGAGATTACAGGCGTATGCCACCAGGCCTGGCTAATTTTTTTTGTATTTTTAGTGGAGACGGGGTTTCGCCATGTTGGCTGGGCTGATCTTAAACTCCTGGCCTCAAGTGATCTACCCACCTTGGCCTCCCAAAGCTGGGGTTACAGGTGTGAGCCACCACACCCAGCCTGCTTTCTTTCCCTTTCTTTCTTTCTCTCTCTCTCTCTCTCCTTTTTTTTTTTTTTTTCATATGGACTTTCACGCTTGTTGCCCAGGCTGGAGTGCAATGGTGCGGTCTCAGCTCACTGCATGCAAACTCCGCCTTCCAGGTTCAAGTGATTCTCCTGCCTCAGTTTCTCAAGTAGCTAGGATTACAGGCACCCGCCACCATGCCCAGCTAATTTTTTTTTTTTTTTTTGACATGGAGTCTCGCTCTGTCACCCAGGCTGGAGTGCAGTGACGCGATCTCAGCTCACTGCAACCTCTGCCTCCTGAGTTGAAGTGTTTCTCCTGCCTCAGCCTCCCACGTAGCTGGGACTACAGGTGCATGCCACCAGGCCCGGCTAACTTTTTGTATTTTCAGTAGAGGCAGGGTTTCACTGTGTTAACTAGGATGGTCTCAATCTCCTGACCTCGTGATCCCCCTGCCTCGGCCTCCCAAAGTGCTGGGATTACAGGCATGAGCCACCGCGCCTGGCCAAATTTTTGTATTTTTTGTAGAAACAAGGTTTAACCATGTTGGCCAGGCTGGTCTCAAACTCCTGACCTCAGATGATCTGCCCTCCTCAGTCTCCCAACGTACATGAGCCACCACACCTGGCCCCACTTTCCTTTTGTATTCAGCCTTATGAAGGTTTGGTTGACAAATAGAAATCGTATGTATTGGTGGTGTATTGATATGTGTACACATTATGTGATGATTAAATTAGGCTAATTAACACATCCATCAGCTTGCATACTTATTTTTGTGTGTGGTGATCTGAAGATCTGCTGTCTTGGCAATTTTAAGTATGCATTACATTTTATCAACAGTAGTCACTATGCTGTGTGACAGATCTCCAGATATTAATTCTCCTGTTTAAAGGTTTGTATCCTTTGACTAACATCTCCCCATTGCCCTCAACCCTGCCCCTGGCTACCACCATTCTACTCTCTGCTTCTATGACTTCAGCATTTTTTTTTTTTTTTGACAGAGTCTCGCTCTCTCACCAGGCTGGAGTGCAGTGGCGCCATCTCGGCTCACCGCAACCTCCGCCTCCCAGGTTCAAGTGATTCTCCTGCCTCAGCCTCCCGAGTAGCTGGGACTATAGGCGCCTGCCACCATGCCTGGCTAATTTCTTTGTATTTTTAGTAGAGACAGGGTTTCACCATGTTGGCCAGGATGGTCTCGATCTCTTGACCTCGTGATCCAACCGCCTCGGCCTCTGAACGTGCTGGGATTACAGGTGTGAGCCACCACGCCCAGCCCGACTTCAGCATTTTTACATTCCACATATAAGGAAGAATGCGCAGTATTTTTCTTCCTTTGCCTGGCTTATTTCACTTAGTATAATGTCTTCTAAGTTCATCCATGTTATTGTAAAGGTCAGGATGTCTCTATTGAGTTTGAATAGTATTCCATGTCATATATGTCTACCGCATTTCCTTGATCCACTCATCAGTGGGTAAACACATAGGTTCTTTTCATGTGTTGGCTGTTGTGAATAATGTTGCAATGAACATGGGAGTGCAGATATCTCTTTCACATTGTGACTTCATTTCCTTTGGATATATACCAGAAGGAGGATTGCTGAATAATATGGTAGTTCTGGTTTTAATTTTTTGAGGAAAATTCATATTTTCCATAATAGCTATACCAATTGACACTCTCACTAGCAGAGTCCAAGGGTTCCATTTTTGCCATATCATCATCAACTCTTTTCTTATGTCTTTTTGATCATAGCCATTCTAACAGGGAAAATCAGGCAGGATCTGGAAGTGGGACAAGGGCTCAGGTGGGCAAACACCTGCTCCCAGCCCAGCTGTATCCTTTCCAGGCCAGCCTCTGTCATCACAGGGTCCTGAGCTGAGGGCTGGGTGTTAGTGCAGCTCTCACATAAAAATCATACATTTTCCTAGGACATTTTACTAGATTTCAGGGAGAAATTGATTGCTTTTATATTAAAACAAAAGCTGAGAATTGAGCCCAAGGCAAAACACAAATGCTTCATCATTTTTATGCATTTACAAGGGGCACCGTCAGTGATCAAGGGGCTTGCACCATCAATATTCTGCCAGCCAAGCCTCTCTGGTCCCCTGCACAGCCCTTCAGGGAACCTGCTGCAGGTTCTTCTCCCTTTAAGAGCCTCGGGTGTAAAAGCAGAAGCCCTGCAATTCTTCTGGTAACCACCAGAGGGACAGACAGCAATTTGAGAGGCCAGGACTGAGCCTTGGGTCAGTGCTGAAACACCTGTGTGTGAGTTTCTCTGGCACTCCCTGCCCTGAGCTGGCTCTTGCCTCAATCACACCTGTGTTTCCAGGGAGACAAGCCCTGGAGTGTAAAATTACATCTAGGTGTCTAGGTGCAAGAGAGCAAAAGGGTTCATTAAGATGCCACTCTAATCCCTTGCAGTGCAACTTGGAAGGTCATGAGTCTTCCCAAGGGCTCTGGGGAGAGAGGTTGGAGGTGGCTTGGTGTTGCTGTGTGATGAGCGTGAGGGAGGGCTCAGATGCACCTGGGGCTGAGGTGTCTGGGGCTGCTGGACAGTGCCCTGGGCAGAGCTCTGGAGGCTGAGACTGCACAGCCTGTGGATTTGGCTGAGCATTGGCCTCACACAGATGCTGGTTGTTGGATGGTGAGCTTTAGGGTAGAATGAGGGCTTGAGGGGCAAGGCAGATGCATTGTGTAGATTCTAGAACACAGCAGGACAATGCCAGTGATGACAGCTAGCTGTGATGGAGACCTGTGATAAGAATGTCAATTACAGTCACAATCCAGCAGGAATTGTGGCTGTCCTGGGCAGCACTGTTGCTTATCTTTCATGATTCTCATGGGCATTGATAATTCCCTAAATTATATTTTCCCTTGGCGCTTGCTGGACAAAATGTCCTCCAGAGCTCTCCAACATTGAGACACAATCCCACTGAGAATGCGGGAGGCTAGTGAGGATGCTGCAAAGGAAGAGGAGGGCAGCCCCCTGTATGGTGCAATCCAACATCTATCCACGGTCCTTTACTTCACCCTTAGAAATGGAAGTTTTCTTCTCAACTGTATGGATGTGGATTTGGGTATTGGGAAGAACAGTGGTGTTCCAATTATTTTCCTACTACAAGTGAGGAGAGCCCAAGGTTCATCCGTGGCCTCACAGGTGGCCAGCACCCAGCCAAGGGCCCTGGTGGTGACAGCCCAGTCAGAGGTACTGGGACTCAGGGACCCACAAGAGGGCCTGGGACTGGAGCTGGCAGGCCACGCAGCAGCCTCACACCTGGGACCCCTTCCTGCCCAGATTCTTGTTTCACCCTCTGTGCCTTCCCTGTCTCACCCACTGCAAATCTCTGTTCTGCTGCTGAAATTCAGGGACCATGGTGAGGCTCTGAAGCCTTTTCTGTGCAGGAAGGAGTTTGAGTGAGTGTGTAACGACGGCAATTTGATTAATGTATGATCATCTGTTTGTAGCAGTCTGTTCTCTGCCAGGTGCTTCGGGCTGGGGGTGCCTCACTGTCTCTATTCCACCCTCACTGAACCCACAGATCTGGACCAGGTCTCCTGGAAGAAAGGGCTGATTCCACTCTGGGGCAGTAAATGCATAAGCTAAGCCAGGAGCATCTTGTCGACCAGGAGGCAAGGACACTCTCTACCTCTGGGGTGCTGGCCTGAGGGTGCAGGAGCTGACCTGGAGAGGCTCCCCTGGCCTGAGTGAGGGCATGGACCATCCAGAAGAATGACGGTGGCAGGTGACTGAAACACATCAATTTTAGAAAAGAATGTGAGTTTGTAATTTTAAAAAGGGCTTTCAAAATGCTCGAACACCACCTTTTTATGATGCAGCTTGAAGGAATGAAAAGCATTGATCCCGCCTTTCCTATCCAAACCATATACCAGAAAAACCAAATATTGATGAGGAAACGTTCTTCCTGTTATTATAAATAGAAGAATCTGGCTTACAAATACTGAAGGAATGGTACAAATAGAACGTCACCATTTTGCAATTTCTTGTGAAAGGAAGGAAGGAACTTGGCAATGTTCATGAATGGCTGCTCACCCCATGAGCAGCAACATGGACGGTGAACAGATGATGAAGGATCCGACTGCACTGACAATCACAGCAGCCCAGAGAGACACAGCCTGACCCTCCTGCCTCTGGGTGGAGCAACAGGAATGCACCCCTGATCCATCTGCAGGCTTTCCCAGAGGACCCAACCTGGCGCTGATGAGGACCAGTTCCCAGGAATACAGGGGTGTTGGGGCGGTTATCTCACAGCCAGGTGCCCTCTAACGTAAGTGTGAAATGTCCTCACCAAATAAATGTCATACTGAAAACAAAATAACACAAAAACCCCAACAGCTAACAAATGAGCAAACAAACAGCAATGAAGAAAGGAAGGGGCAAGGCGAGGTGGCCCATGCCTGTAATTCCAGCAGTTTGGGAGGCTGAGGTGAGCGGATCCCTTGAGCCCAGGAGTTCAAGACCAGCCTGGGCAACATGGTTAACCCCTGTCTCTACAAAAACTACTAAAATTAGCCATGCATGTTGGTGTGCGCCTGTAGTCCCAGCTATTGGGGAGGTTATGGTGGAAGGATCACTTGAGCCTGGGAAGTGGAGGTTGCAGCAAGCTGAGATCACATCACCACACACCAGCCTGGGAGCCCAAGGAACACAGGAAGACTCTGTCAAAAAAAAAGAAAAAAGAAAGAAAGAAAACAAAGGAAGGAAGGAACCCCGTACGTAAAAAACTCTTTAGAAATATATTATCCAACAAACATAAATGTATAGGTCTGAAGGCAACCCAGTAGTCCCACAGACAGTTTTTTGTTTGTTTGTTTTTGAGACGGAGTCTCGCTCTGTCGCCCAGGCTGGAGTGCTATGGCATGATCTCAGCTCACTGCAAGCTCTGCCTCCCGGGTTCACACCATTCTCCTACCTCGACCTCCCGAGTAACTGGGACTACAGGTGCCTGCCACCAAGCCTGGCTAATTTTTTGTATTTTTTTTAGTAGAGATGGGGTTTCACCGTGTTAGCCAGGATAGTCTCGATCTCCTGACCTCGTGATCCGCACGTCTCAGCCTCCCAAAGTGCTGGGATTACAGGCCTGAGCCACCGCGCCCGGCCCATAGACAGATATATATAAATACACACATAGAAATTGACCCTTCTGGTCTTAAAGCTTGAAACTTACATTTGTTTTATCTGAGTTCCTTCCTCAGTAAAGGACTCCAGGCCTCTCAAAAAGTATTAAGAACTGAAACTCGCCAGATCACCATGTCCATAGGAGGAGATGCTGCCAGGCCCCTCATTTATCATGATTGCTTCCGGGCTCCTTCCGAGTTCCTGTTTTCCCACACATTGTTACATTTCTTCCCTACAATATAAAACCCTAATTTTAGTCTGTCGGGAAGATGGACTTGAGACTGAGCGCCCATCTCCTTGCCTATAGCACCTGCTTCAAGCCTTCTTCCCTGGCAATACCCATGGTCTCAGCGATTGGCTTCCTGTGCCCTGAGCATCAGGTCCTAGAGGGATCCCTGGTGTTTTGGTAACCGGTCTTGTCTGGAAATGAGTTTGAGCAAATCGGTTGCCAGGAGGCATTTACGAGATCTCCAAGAAGCCGTAAAAGCTGAAAACTGGTCATCATATGATAGCAGGGGATTGACGGCAATTTTGTGAGGTTTGAGGATGGAAAAGTTGTTTACGTAAAGTATGTAAGAAGTCTTTTCTTGAGGGGAGATATACTTAATTATTTACAAGTGAAGCCATACAAAGTCTGGGATTTGCTTGAAGATTCTTTAAGGAAAAAAAGCAGGCTATAGGGGGATGGTTTTAAACTAGATTGGAGCTGGAGGAAGACACATGGAGAATTACTTTCTATTCTCTTTGCTCTCCCAAGGCTCACCCATTCCCAGAACCAGCAGGCAGCAGCACAGCCTAGGGCTTCTCTGGGAGCCCCTAGGAATCCTGCATGGGATCAGGTTTCCCTCTGGCGGCGGCTGGAGAGACTGCGGCCGAGGCTCCTCTGGAATAATTCGGATCCGTATTCTCTGGAAGAAATGCGCCAAACGCCCGGCAGAAGGCGCGGGCTGCAAACTCGGGAGAGGAGATTCCTTGGGTGGCTCTTTCCAAACTCATGGGAACTTTCCAAAAGTCGTGGAAATGTTATGTAGTCATCGCTCCATAGTGATTCTATATTAATGGCTGACAGAAGGTGATGCTTGTTTTAAAAAAATAGAAATGGATATTGAAATGTTCAAATGTTACAGGTTGGCCAGGCACCAGGTGTGCACAGAGCTTCCTGTCACCTGGGGCTCGTCCAGTTCCCCTGAGGTGGGTGAGTGACCCTCGGACTGAGCCACGGCTCAGAGCCTGCAGCGCCCACCCGGGTGGAGCCGGGACCCTGGGTGACCTGCGCTCTAGCCTGGCGGGAACAACTTCCTGCCCAGATCCCCCTCACCCACCACCCAGCCCCTCTGCACCGCACCTCTCTGCACCTCTGCCCTAGTGTGTGTGCTGCTCTGAGCTTCTGTCGCCCTCTATCCAACTCAGCGCCTAAAGCTGCTGAGTATGAATGCGATATAGGAGGCGGGACTTGACTCCCAACCAGAGTGAAGACTGGCTGAAACATGGAACAGGCAAAAGCTCATTTGCATGAGACTCGCCCACCAGCACAATGACAGTTTACCGTTGCCATGGCAACACTTGGACGTTATCACCCTTTTTCTAGAAATTTCTAAATAACCCGCCCCTTACTTTGCATGTAATTAAAAGTGGGTATAAATATGGCGGCACCACTGCCCCACAGCTGCTGCTTTCCACACACTGCCTGGTGGGTAGACCTGCTGTGTAGGAGCAGTCACAGAGCTTAGCACTACGCCTCCAGCTCAGCCCTGAATTCTTTCCTGGGTAAAGCCAGACCTTTTCAGGCTAAGCCCCAGTTTCGGGGTTTGCCTGCCCTGCAGCCCATATACTTCAGGTCCTCACCTGCTTTGAGGACTCCCCACTGTGCACTCTGGCCCTGGCCCTGGCCTTGGATGGTACCCGTGCTGCAGGCAGAGCCACCCTCTCCATTTGCAAGAGCACAGGCGCACAGGGAGGGCCCAGGCTGCACAGCTCAGGAACTGCCCTCGTCCAGGTGGAGTCCTGGATGACTAATGCATGGGCTGCAGATAGAGGTCTCCCAGCCTCTCCTAGTGCAGGAGGGGCTGCCTGCCACACAGCAGGGTTGAGGGCTGTGACCTGCAGCAAGTATGGACAGGCTGTGTTGCTCCAGAACAATTAGTCTGTTTTTACCTTAGGGATGCTGAATTGTGCAAGTTTGCATTTCTGTAATTTGCATTTTCACATCCATTGGGGACATGGGGGAATATTGGGGATAGGAGGGGCAGTAGAAAATTTTTACTTTTGCAGTTTGTGATGAAAAATATAAAACAGCAACAATAAAAAACAGCTTTAGGCCAGGAGTGGTGGCTCACGCCTGCAATCCCAGTGCTTTGGGAGGCCAAGACGGGCAAATCACCTGAGGTCAGGACTTAGAGACCAGTCTGACCAACATGGTGAAACCCCATCTCTATCAGAAAACAAAAATAAAAAATTAGCTGGGTGTGGTGGTGCATGCCTGTAATTCCAGCTACTTGGGAGGCTGAGGCAGGAGAATTGCTTGAACCCGGGAGGCAGAGGTTGCAGTGAGCTGAGATTGCACCATTACACTCCAGCCTGGGCAACAAGAGCGAAACTCCATCTCAAAACAAAACAAACAAAAAAACCAACAAAAAAAACCAATAAAACAGCTTTAGCATCTAATGACAAAATCGCACTGTAGCAGTGCTAATGCACCACTGAAAGAGATTTTTATAGTCCAGAATTTTATATTCTTGAATTGGTGCTTTTCAAGTGGTGTCCTGGGACGTGTTCTGGGGGTCTTTGAGGATTTGTGTCCTTTAAAATGAACTTTGCTCAGTTAGAGAAACGCAGAAGTGATCATGGGTACCCCTCGCGGCTGCTAGAAAACAGACACCTTCCATCTCTAAATGCTGCTCTGAAAGAGAAGTTCCTAATAGTGGGGTCTTGTGACCACTTTGCACTCTTCAAATGTGTTGAGGATTGAAAAAAGCTTTGGTTTATGCAGGAGATACATATGTGCTTATTCAGTGTAGACAGATAGAGATATTATACTGTGTGGGAAATCAAAACTTAATTCGCAAATATGTTTGTGTTACTCTATGAAAATTAATAATAGATCCATTACATTGTTGATGAGAATGCAAAATGGTGTAGTCCCTTGGAAATAGCATGGCAGTATCTTGTACAGTCAAACAGGCATTGATCACCTTATACAGTCATTCATTCATTGATCACCTTTTACAGTCAGACATGGATTAGTCACCCACCCCGTGATTCTACTGCTAGGTGCTTACCCAGGAGAAATGAAGACTTACGTAGACACACACACACACACTTACAAGGGTATATGAATTACTTGTGTTCAGAATTATTCCTAATAGCCCCAAATTGGAAGCAATTCAAATCTCCAACCACTAGCAAGCAAACAAATTGTGGCATGTCCAAATCTACTCAGCTATAAAAATAAAGAAAATGTTAATATATAAAACATGGAACAATGTCAAAATCATTATATTTGTATTATACAGAAAACAGCCATAAGCAAAGAAGAATTCGAGCAAAAATCAAATTTTTCAAATCAAGCAAAAGATATAAACAAAGAATCCACAAGAAAAGAAATGTAAATGGCCCTCAATTGTATGGAAACATGCTCATCTTTATTAATAATATGAGAAATACAACTTAAAATGGCCACTTATTAAATTGAAAAAATCTCAGTACTTGGATTGCACACTGTGTAGAAACAGTCAGTCTTTTATCCGTCTGGTGAGAATGCAAATCCCTAATAGAGTGGAACTTGGCAACTCACCGGAAAATTCCATGCGCATTTATTCTTTGCCAATTGATCTTACTTCTAAGACTCTCTCCAAAGAAATACTGGAAAAATATAAAAGGAATCATGCAAAAGAGAAATATAAATGGATTTACTTAGTCCCTTGCATCATGAAAATAAGCAGTGGAAAGACCAGCCAAAATCTAGTAAATGGCGAATTGTGGCAGAGCGATGGATTGGAGTGGAGGACACAGGGAGGATGCAAACTTCTCTGAATGTAATTTTTATATAACGTTGGTTTTGGAACCATGTACATGTTTTTGTATAACTACAAAGCAATATTAAATATGGGTAGTAGAAAAGCAATCTGAAATTTGAAAACAAAAAGAAACAAATGAATCTAAAATTCTATCAGACTGGTGGTAGCATCACCACATGGAAAGTATCACGGGTTCAACTGACTTTAAAAACACAGTTTTTGTGAGCTATGCCTAATAGGACGTATTCTAAAAAGGAAAACACCTAAAAATTTTAAAATGAGTTATGATTGGCATGGTTATTTTGAAACAGTTACAGGATCAAGCAAGTGATTATATTAATGTTGTTAGGAACCAAGATTTTCAGCCTAAAGAGAAAAGAAGTGAAAATGTTAAAGAAATTGAGGAATACCTTATAATCTTACAGTTGAACTTGAAAATATCAATTAATATCAACATATCAATATTTTAAATATAGAAATATTTTAAAAAATATTATGAGGTTAAATTGATATTTTTTGATATTTTCTTCATTCTCTGTCTACTAAAATGCTTTAGAAAAATACAACTTGGCAGTATTTTAAAGTGAGCACACACCTAACACCCAGATTTTACCCTCTAAATACTATCCTTCATTGCATTATTCTGAAAAATGATAAATAACAAGAAAGAATAAGATATTTATCTGGACTTTCCTATATGAAAATCTCAGGGTAACCAAATTGGTGGTAAGAGAGAATGCTGGCTAATGATTTCAAAGAGAATGACAGATCTAGGTGAGAGTTATCAATGGATGCTCAATTGTGGAAGTGAAATGTTGGTGGGACCATGACACTGGCTCCATCAGGCCCAGGCCACCAATGTGCGAACCAACTGCTCATGTTCAGCATCACTGAAGGTGAAATGACGTAGCCACACGCCCTGTGGGGCAAAGCCCACCTAGGAAAGATGCCCTACAAAGTGGCATGGATGCGGTGAACAGGGAACACTTCTACGCCGCTGGTGGGAAAGTAAACTAGCACAACCACTATGGAAAACAATGCGGAGGTTCCTTAAAGAACTAAAAGTAGATCTACCATTTGATCCAGCAATCCCACTGCTGGCCATCTACCCAGAGGAAAACAAGTCATTATCCAAAAAAGATACTCGCACACGCATGTTTATAGCAGCACAATTTGCAATTGCAAAAACGTGTAACCAACACAAATGCCTATCAATCAACAAGTGGATAAAGAAACACATATATATATATATATATATAATGGAATACTACTCAGCTATCGAAAGGAACGAACGAATGGCATTCACAGAGACCTTGATAAGACTGGAGACTGTTATTCTATGTGAAGTAACTCAGGGATGGAAAACCAACTATTATATGTTCTCACTCCTAAGTAGGCGCTAGGCTATCAGGATGCAAAGGCTTAAGAATGACACAGTGGACTTGGAGGACTCAGGGGGAAAGGGTGGGAAGGGGGTGAGGGATTAAAGACTACAAATAGGGTGCAGGGTGCAGTGTATACTGCTGGGGCGATGGGTGCACCAAAATCTCACACATCGCCACTAAAGAACTTACTTATGTAACCAAACACCACCTTTTCCCCAATAACCTATGGAAATAAAAAAAAATTTAATTAAAAAATAAATAGATCTGGTAATAATCACTAATATTTAATGATTAGGGACAATTAGTTCTTCACACTTCAAGATTTATGAATGACAACTTTCTTTTTTTTTTTTTTTTTTTGAGACGGAGTCTCATTCTGTCACCCAGGCTGGAGTGCAGTGGCAAGATCTCGACTCACAGCAAACTCCGCTTCCCGGGTTCACGCCATTCTCCTGCCTCAGCCTCCCAAGTAGCTGGGACTACAGGCACCTACCACCATGCCCGGCTAATTTTTTTGTATTTTTAGTAGAGACGGGGTTTCACTGTGTTAGCCAGGATGGTCTCGATCTCCTGACCTCGTGATCTGCCCGCCTCAGCCTCCCAAAGTGCTGGGATTACAGGTGTGAGCCACTGAAAAATGTCATTAAAATTACCTATAGAATAATATGAATTAAATAAATGCTATTGCTGTGCCTCAGACTTTAAAAAACAAAAAACAAAACCAAAGTGAGTTGCCTCTAATAAACTTCTGATCTACATATCTCTACAAGCTGCAGAATACACAGGGAAGGTTTAAGTTGCAGCCCAAGGAAGCAACTACCCGAATCCAGCATGTGAGTCATCCCAACACCTAGATGACAGGTCTGCACTGGGGGTGAAATAGTATATGCAGGGGAGAAGGATGATGGTTATACAACAGAAGGAGCTTAAGAATAGGCACCAAAAATTGCAAATGGCCCTCAATAAACAATGTGGCCCAAGCTTGTTCAGAAGAAGAGAAATCCTGATTAAAATTAATATACCATTTCTCTTTAGTCCATTTGTCTCATATCCAAAAGTTGGACTTCATTCTCTGTTGAAAACACTGTGAAACAGACATTCCTATACATCACTGGTGGGAAAGAAAAATAGAATGAGAAAGCATTTCTATTTTTTTTTTTTTTTTGAGACAGCATCTTGCTCTGTCACCCAGGCTGGAATGCAGTAGCACAATCATGGCTCACTGCAGCCTCAACCTCCTGGGCCCAAGTGATCCTCTCACCTCAGCCTCCTGAGTAGCTGGTACTACAGGTACATATCCTCACGCTCCACTAATTTTTTATTATATTTGTAGAGACAGGGTTTCCCTATGTTGCCCAGGCTGGTCTTGAACTCCTGGCTTCAAGTGATCCTCCTGCCTTGGCCTCCCAAAGTGCTGGGCTTACAGGTGTGAGCCACTGCACCCTGCCGACATTTTTTTAAAGAAAAAATGGTATATTCATTTTATCCTTTAACCGAACAATCCCACTTCTAAGAGTTCATTCTAAAGATTCATGGGCAAAAATATAAAAAGGTATTTGTATAAGGCTAATCGCTGCAGCTTTCTTTTTTTGGCAATACCTGGAAACAATTTAAATGCCCATGAAGAGGGGACTGGTTGAATATACTATGGTACACCCACACAATGGAGGATCATTCAGCAGAAAAAGGAATGAGTGTTTTTACATATAGCTATGGAGTGACTCCAGTGTTATTCATTGAAAAATGCCAAGTGGGAGAAAGTATGTATGGTATTTTTTTTTTTTTTGAGACTGAGTTTTACTCTTGTTGCCCAGGCTGGAGAACAATGGTATGATTTCGGCTCACTGTAACCTCCGCCTCCTGAGTTCAAGGGATTCTCCTGCCTCAGCCTCCCGAGTAGCTGGGATTACAGGCATGCACCACCACACCCAGCTAATTTTTGTACTTTTAGTAGAGACAGTGTTTCACCAAGTTGGTCAGGCTTGTCTTGAACTCCTGACCTCAGGTGATCCACCTGCCTCGGCCTCCCAAAGTGCTGAGATTACAGGCATGAGCCACCACACCCGGCCATATGACATTCTATTTATCTAAGAAGGTGGGATATAAATATGTGTGTGTGTGTGTGTGTGTGCGCGCACGTGTTGCTACACATTGAAGTTTGTGCCGCTCTAAACTTTCTATTTAAAACCTAATCTCCAATGTGATTGTATTTGGAGGTGGGAGATGATGAGGCCAAGAGGGCAGATCCCTCATGAATGGAATTAGTGCCCTTGGAAAAGAGACACCAGAGAGCTCTCTTGCCCCTTTCACCACGTGACAAGACAGCCATCTATGAATGAGGAAGTGGCCCTCATCAGACCCTGAGTCTGCCAGTGCCTTGACCTCAGACTTCCCAGCTCAGTACTCTGAGAAATACATTTCTGTTGTTTATAAGCCACCTAGTCTACGATATTCTGTGATAGCAGGCTGAACAGACTAAGACAGAAACACACTTGCCTATCTTTGAGATGGAGTCTCACTCTGTCTCCCAGGCTGGAGTGCAGTGGCACAATCTTGGCTCACTGCAAGCTCCACCTCCCGGGTTCACGCCATTCGCCTGCCTCAGCCTCCTGAATAGCTGGGACTACAGGTGCCTGCCACCACACCCAGCTAATTTTTTTGTATTTTTAGTAGAGATGGGGTTTCACCATGTTAGCCAGGATGGTCTCGATCTCCTGACCTCGTGATCCACCCGCCTCGGCCTCCCAAAGTGCTGGGATTACAGGCGTGAGCCACCGCACCCGTCCTATCTTTTTAAAAGGAAGAATAAACCAAAAATGTTTAAAATATATCTACTTGCAGAAAGAGTCAAGGACCAGTGTAGAAGGGGCAGGAATGGGAGCCGGACTGCTCAGGGTATATCCTGTCAGTAAACATGACTCTAGAGCCATGCAAATATTTTGACATAATTATGTAAAATCAGTTCTAATTATATAAGATTAATTCATAAATAGTAATGAAATTATATACATTTTTTAAAAGCAATCCCTAATAATTGCAGTCAAGCTGAAACAACTAAACTTAACACTGTATCGTTGGTAGAATAGCCAGACATAGGGACTCTCCCGGTTGACTTTAAAACACAGATATTTGACTGTATGTTCCTAGTAAGTTAAATCAAAAAGAACATGAAAAAAAAACCTAAACTGATTTTAGTGACACTGATTTTGCTGGTAATGCTGTGTTCCATTGTGGCAGTGTCTTGGGTAGATTGCAGGAGAAAGCAATGGGATAATTACTTTGCCACTGGCCGCTGAAGTCTTTAGAGTAGGAGGAAGAAGATGCAGACGTGAGATCAATGAGGTTCAGTAAGTCCCAAGAATTCTGAATCTAATTATAAAGGATCAGTATAAACTCAGGATATATTTTATCATATATATATATATATATATTTCCTAGTTTTATCCTCTGACAAGGCCTAGAAACAATGACCACTGCAGTAGCAATGCATACTCCCAGCACATAGATTGTGGTCGCTACTTCATTTTTCTCTAAAAGGAACCAGGATTCCTTAGAGAAATAACTGATTATTTGTCTCAGGCAAGAAATGTTCCAGATAATCTTGGAGCATTTTATCATAACAGGAAGTGAGGACATTATCAAAGCCTACTAAGGTGGTATCTGAGAGACCCAGGTGTCAACTTGGATAAATCCCACCAAAGACAGGCTAAGGTAAGCAACCACTAACAGTGATAACTGCCATGAATGGAGACACACATACAATGTTTAAATTAAAAAACCATAATTTTACTAAAAAAAACCTCATTGATCATGTTTTAAGGATCCAACTCAATATTTTGGAAATTGATTTAAAAAAAAAAAGGTTCAATCATCTTCCTGCTTTTCTTATACAAACTATACCACATGATAACCAAACAGTGAAGAAAAATGTATCTTTATAAAAGCATTATAGCTCCAAGTAATAAGTGAAGAATTGATAGAATTAAAATATTGCTATGTTGTGACCCCTGATTAAGTTAACAGATTTAGGCAGTAGCTGTATATGGCTCCAAACATCAGAAAAGGAGAGACAGGCAGGATATGCTCCCGATGGGTGTAGATCACTCCTCCTAGGAAGTACTTTTGTTTCCCCACTTCCAAAAAAAAAAAAAACTAATCAAACTTGAACATAATCTAGCCTCTGGGCATAGCTATCCATTTACAGGAAATATGGAAATACAGAGAACAGAAGAATGTGTTTAAAAGTCAGCCGGGCACAGTGGCTTACACCTGTAATCCCAGCACTTTGAGAGGCCGAGGCAGGTGGATCACCTGAGGTCAGGAGTTCGAGACCAGCCTGGCCAACATGGTGAAATCCCATCTCTATTAAAAATACAAAAATTAGCTGGGCATAGTGGTGCATGCCTGTAATCCCAGCTACTCGGGAGGCCGAGGCAGGAGAATTGCTGGAACCTGGGAGGCGGAGGCTGCAGTGAGCCAGGATCGTGCCACTGCACTCCAGCCTGGGCAACACAGTGAGACTTTATTTAAAAAAAAAAAAAAAAAAAAAAAAAACAGAGGAAGAGGAAGAGAAGGAAAGTGTGTGTTTAAAAACCACATGGGAGGGCACCGGGCATAGTGGCTCACGCCTGTAATCCCAGCACTTTGGGAGGCCAAGGTGGGGGGATCACTTGAGGTCAGGAGTTCGAGACCAGCCTGGCCAACATGGTGAAACCCTGTCCTACTAAAAATACACACGCACAAAAAAAAGCCAGGTGTGGCGGTGGGCACCTGTAATCCCAGCTACTTGGGAGGCTGAGGCAGGAGAATCGCTTGAACCTGGGAGGTGGAGGTTGCAGTGAGCCAAGATCACACCATTGCACTCCAGCCTGGGCAACAAGAGGGAAACTCCATCTCAAAAACAAACAAACAAACAAACACAAAACCACACAGTGTGTGGTTAGCAAAGTCCAGATGTGGGAAACTTTCTGGACAAATGATCTGATTTTGTTAAAATCAAGTGTGAACAAATGTGAACCTGAAAGAGCCAGTCCTTCAAGAGGATCTTGAGTGGCTAACTGGGCCTACATTTAAAATAGAGCCAGGCAGTCATTTGCTCAGTAGAGGCCACACGTGTACTCCAAGTTCCCCCAAAACCCACACCTCTGTTTTACTTTGTGACTTTCAGAGCTAACCCCAGCCAACTAATCAGAGCCCACCTGGCTTGACCAATGAGAGCTCAGTTATATTGGCCAATCAGAACTCAGCTGTGTTGACGAATCAGAACTAAGCTAGTTTGAATCCTTCTTTTACATAAATGGACCTGATTGAGAACTTTCTCTATAAAAGCCAACCCTCCCTTTGTTCTCTGTAAAGCATCTTTCATTTTACCCGGAAGGTTGTGACTCCCTGGTTTGCAAACTATTCACTAAGATAAAGTCTCTTTCCTCCAAATTCTTTTTCAGAGAACTTTTGTTCACAACATATTGAAAGGGATTATTGATTACAGATTAAGAGACTGTAGAAACATATCAACAAATTGGGATGAAAGCTTATTTGGGTCCTGATTTGAAAATTAAAAAAATCACTTGGAACCATCAGAGGAATGCAGCATTAACTGGATATTGATGTCATTAAGGAATCATTGGCTATATTGAGAACTTCTAGTACTCAAAAAGGGTGGACTATACAGTTTATAGACATTTTGGAGAAGTGAGGCGCTGCTAATGATTATGCCAGGACAACAGGCATAAAGCTGCAGGCCAAGCCCTCTGGGGGCAGGGGTTATGCAGTGAAAGGGGGATGATGAGTACATTCTTTATTCAGGGTTGGGGTGCTGCAGAAGGCACCCCAAAAGTCCGTGTCCTAATCTCTGAAATCCTTGAGTATGTTCAGTTACATAGCAAAGGGGAATTAATTAAGCCTTAAGACAGGAGAAGTATCCTGGATTATCAGTTGGGTCAATGTAGCCAGTCACAAGGGTCTTCAAAAGTGAAGAGAGAGACAGAAGAGGCAGCAATGTCAGAGTGATGTGATGTGGTTTGAGGGAGACATGGCCTGCCATTGCCAGCTTTGAGGATGGAGGAAGGGGCCATGAGCCTAGGACTGTGAGGAGCCTCCAGGAGCTGGAAAAAGCAAGAAAATAGGTTCTCCTCTAGGGCCTCCAGAAAGGACTACAGCTCGGCCAACATTGATTTCAGCCCTTTGAGGCCCATTTCAAGCTTCTGACCTCCAGAATTGTAAGATAATACATGCGTATTGTTTAAGCCACTCAGTTTGCAGTAATTTGTTATAGCAACAATGGGAAACTAATACAAATTTCAACAGATTTCATCTCAGAGGCCACATTTAGCTAGTGGTCATAGCTTCTTGGACTGGAGTGCTAAAGACTGCAGGGCCTCCTCCTGTCCTAGGTGATGACGTTCATTACTGTATCCATATAGTATGCTGTATAACAAATTGCCACAAATCTAACAGCTTAAAACAACACTCATTTATTATCTCACAGATTCCATGGGTCAGGGGTCTGGGCACAACTTCATTGGGTTCTTTGCTTAGGGTCTCACTGGCATGCAACCAAGGCCTCACTGGGCTGAGTTCTCAACTGGAGACTCAACTAGGGAAGAATCCACTTCCAGGCTCACTGACATGATGATCAGCAGAATTTATGTCCCTTTGGTTGTGCGGCTGAGGACTCCAGTTGCTTACAGGTGGTCAGCCCTCAGGTCCCTAGAGGTGCCTGCAGCTCTCTGCCCTGTGACTTGCTTGGGAAGCAGCTCACAACATGGCTGCTTGCTTCTTCAAGGCCAGCTGGGGAGTCTCTTTCCCGCCTGAAAATAACGTAACCTTATGAAGGGAATGACAGCGCATCACCTTTGCCATGTTCTGTTGACCAGAAGCAAGTCACCAGTTCTCCACAGACTGAAGGGAAGGAGATTATTCAAGGTATAACACCAAGGGACAGAGATCATGGGGCTCATCTTAGAATTCTGCCAAGCACAGTGATTGATTAGAGATGTCTGTCTTGCAAGAGGGAGGTGGTATACAAGCTGCTTATTGTGTCTATTTTGCTCTGGGATAGTATTTCTTGACCCAAGCTATAAAATAGAATCAATCGGGTTGATTTTTTTAAAAGTCTATACCAGTTAACACCAGCACAATTAAATAAGAATCGCTAGGGAAGGGTTCTAAGTATCAACATATTTTAAAAGCACCTCCTGCACATACCATATAATTCAGACACACCACCATGGTTGCATTATTATTTTCTAGAGGAAAGAACCATTGATTGTCTCCTAGAGGCTGGAACACAGCCGGGGGTGGTGAGGGTTAGGGCACAAAATGGCATCAAAACTGTGGAGTGGATGAGAAGGAGAAGAGGGGCACAATAACAGAGGTGACAAGCTGGTACAGAAATAAACAGGAAGGGGAACGCTTCCCACCAGTTGTGTTCACTTCTAGGCACTGACTCCTCCAGTCAGCATACCCCCAAGAAGCATGGTCACCATAGAATTCCCCCAAGTCCCTCCAGAGACCTTCTAAGGGGGACAGAGGAAAACTACCAGGAACTCTCAGAGGCCTGGTTCACAGGATCAAGGTTGGGGTGCAGGAATTAGGTTTCTTAGAATTGTTCTTCTTGTGCCTTAAGTTGTAAGGGGCACTAATATTTTACTCCCTATTATATGCCTGCTACTTTGAATACAAAAACTGATATACAGATATAGAAGATATTTATTCATGTATATATATATTTTTTTGAGACGGAGTCTCGCTCTGTCACCTAGGCTGGAGTGCAGTGACGTGATCTCCGCTCACTACAAGCTCCACCCCCTGGGTTCATGCCATTCTGCTGCCTCAGCCTCCTGAGTAGCTGGGACTATAGGCGCCTGCCACCATGCCCGACTAATTTTTTTTTGTATTTTCACTAGAGACGGGGTTTCATGGTGCTCGCCAGGATGGTCTCGATCTCCTGACCTCGTGATCCGCCAGCCTCAGCCTCCCAAAATGCTGGGATTACAGGCATGAGCCACCACGCCAGGCTACATTTTTAAGTTTAGGAGCTTTGAGGTATAAGGTGCATCAGGTCTGTCTTGTAACTTTACATAAGCCCAGAATGTGGCCAAGAACCCCGGGGACATGCTTGGACGTGTGCACAGTGTCCAAGGCAGGATCTTGGAGCCCAGGCAGCCCAGCCCCTCTGGCTAGTGCTCGGGGCTGCACGGTGGACGTTCTGTACCCCAGCCTCACCTCCGGTCCATTTCATGGAAAACCTGACCCTGGTTTTCATTCCCTTTGTCTCTCCTTTCTCACTCTTTCCAAATCTCTGTTGTGCTGTTCTAATTTATGTGCTACTGTGTGTCTCTGAACCCTCTTTGAATGAAGAGTGAGCCTGAAACACGCAAAAAAAAAAAAAAAAAGGTGATTTGATTAAACATGAGCTTGCATTTGTACGGGGGCTATTATGTGCCAGGGACTGCAGGAAGTCTTCTCGCGCTCCTGTTAGATCTTGAATAATAGGAGTGTTTCTCTTATTTGATAAAAGACACAGAGGTCTGGAAAGGTTCATTAATTTATACAAATCACACACCTGTGCTATGAAATGTTTGATCAGATCATACCAGATAGGAGCATGGGAATAGAAGAGCATCATCTAGCTTTGGAGGACAAATAGGGAGTGCAAGCTTGGAGGGCAGGACTCCGCCCAGTGGGTGGGAAGATGATGATTGATCATATCACTGATGAGGGCCAAAAAGGAGAGAACGGTGGAAGGATGTCACATCAACAGCCTCTGCTCTAAGTGGACAGACACTGTCCTGCCCATTAGGACCAGGCAGAGCAAGGGAGTGACCTGGGACAAATAGAGAAAACAACAGCAGCCATATACAATAAAAGTAAGGATGCTGATGTGGGGAGTTTGTGCTTCTAAACATTTGTTTGCTTATTTTCCAATAAGCAAACAATCTTATCTTACTTGAATCTCTTATCTCAATATTTTATTTTTATTTTTTGTAGAGGTGGAGTTTCGCCATGTTGCCCAGTCTAGTCTGGAACTCCTGGGCTCAAGCAATCCGCCCATCTCGGCTTCCCAAAGCACTGGGATTACAGGTGTGAGCCACTGTGCCTGGCCACGTATCTCAGTATTTCTTCATAGGAGTCTGCAGACCCTGGGAAATGCACCATGTAGCCATTCCACAAGAAAATGTTTAAAACTTATATTGCAATGTAAAATGTAAAACTCCATTGCAATGTAAAATCACAATTGAAAGACGACTTTTGACACTAGAACTTTAGAGTTTATCATTGGAATTGCTTTGAATCCCTCACACTTTGCTCCAGAAATCTTCCTGAAGGCCCAGAAGGCTGCATCTTCTCTCAGGGAGCCTGAGGTGAGCAAGACAGGATCCTTGGTGTTCCTAGATTTCTTGCTTTCTCCTAAGAGGATGTTCATAATTTTTCTTAAAAATGCCATCAGATTTGTATTCTACGAAATGATACATTTATTTTAACATTTATGCATTTAACATTGAAAATATCACCTTTCTGTATATTTTCACAAAAAAAAGGGCATTGCCGGGCACGGTGGCTCACGCCTGTAATCCCAGCACTTTGGGAGGCCGAGGCAGGCGGATCACGAGGTCAGGAGATCGAGACCATCCTGGCTAACACGGTGAGAGCCTATCTCTACTAAAAATACAAAAAATTAACCGGGCATGTTGGCGGGCACCTGTAGTCCCAGCTACTGGGGAGGCTGAGGCAGGAGAATGGCATGAACCCGGGAGGCGGAGCTTGCAGTGAGCCGAGATCGCGCCACTGCACTCCAGCCTGGGCGACAGAGTGAGACTCCGTCTCAAAAAAAAAAAAAAAAAAAAAAGAAGGGCAGTGTAGCCCTGTCCAGCAGTTAAGCTCCTCTGTCTTCCTGGCAATTTGGGCTCATTCCTTAACTTCTTGGTGCTGCAGTCTCGTCATCTGTAAAACTGTGGTAAATAGGATTGAACACACAGGATTGTTTTGAAGATGAAATGAGGAAATTCAAGCAAAGGACATAATAATAGCTGGCACAGTGCAAGGACACCAGAAATATCTGCTATTATTATTATCCTGCAGAAAGCTGCCCTCGTTTTCTTCCAAAACTTGACATAATCCCTTGATGTCACATGGGGCCCTGGGCTGGTGGAAACTCTAGGTTGTGGAGGAGAGAGTTGAGACAGAAACGGGTGGCAGGGACAGCGTGCATCAGCCACGTGGTTGGATTTGCCTTTACTCGACTCAAAACATTTTGGTTTTGTCCATTTCTCCTTTCAGTTCTTTCAATGTTTGCCTTATGTAATTGGAAGCTCTTTTATTTGGTGTATACAGATTTAGGATTGTTACATCTTCTCAATGAATTGCCTCCTTTAACATTTGCCATGTCCCTTTTTGTTCCTGATGTTCTTTGTTCTGAAATCTACACTGCTTGATGTTAATATAGTCAGTCCTGCTTTCTTTTGAGTAATGTTCTCACGGTAGGTCTTTTTTCATCCTTTTACTTTTAACAGTTCTATAGCTAAAGTAAATTTCTTGTAGAGAGAAAATAGTTGAGTCTTGCTTTTTGCCTTTTAATTGGAGTATTTAGGTTATTGTCACTTAATGTATTATCAATGTGGTTAGATTTATGTCTCTTATCTTTTAAAAAATGTCCTATTTGAAGTAATCAATTACACCTCACTGTTTCAATTTGTAGTGGTTACCCTAGGGTTTATAATATACATTTTTAACTTACCATTGCCTACCTTCAAATAATGTTATACCACTTCCCAGATAGGGTAAGAGCCTTACCACATTGTATGTACATTCCCTCCCATTTTTTGTGCTGCCTTTCCTTTGTTCTAAACTTTATTTGTATGTATGTTATAGGCCACACAATATTTTTACTATTTTTGCTTTAGACAGTCAAATATTTTCTACTTTTCCATACCTTTTGGAGGTATCTTATATGTTTACTGTATCATTTATTTTGTTTGTGTAGATACAAATTTCCAACTCATATCATTTTCCTTCTTCTTGAAGAACATAGAACATGAATATTTCTTCAGTGCAGTACACAGGTCACATTTTTCCTAAGCTTTCATTTCTCTGAAAAAGTCTATTTCATTTTCATTATTGAAAGATATTTTCACTGAATGTAGAATTCTACACTGATAGGGGTTTTTCTTTCTTTCAGTATTAAAAATATTGTTCCATTGTCTTGGGCTCACATAGCTTCTGATGAGAAGTCTGTTGTAATTGATATCTTTGTCCTTCTGTATGTAATGTTCTTCATTCTCTGGATGTCTTTAAGATCTCTTTATCTTCACTTCTTATAAGCTTGACTGTGATACATCAAGGTGTATTTTCTTTTGCATATATCCTGCTTTGTGTTCTCTGGCTTTTTGGGATTTGCAGTTTGTTGTATTTTATTAATGCTGAAGAGGTCATTGCTGAGAAGTTTCTAAATATATCTTCTTCCTTGTTCTCTCTGTCTTCCCTTTCCTGGACTCCAGTTACAGATATTTTAGATCATTGGTTATTGTCTTGGAGTTCTTGAATGCTCTTTTATGTTTTTTGTTTTTTTTTTAATTTCTTCTTTGTGTTTCAGTTGGAAATGTTCCATTGATCTATTTTCCACACTCCCCTCTCCCCTCAAGGCAATAGATCTTTGCTTTAGAAGAGTGAGTAGGGAGCTTTCCAGCTCTTCTGCATCTTGAGGCTATAGTGTCATGAGAGAGGAGAGTTGGAGAAACAGTTGGGCTTTGTTCTTGCAGCCCCTCATAAGGCTCTGTTTCCTGCCCTGCTCTTGATCTTTCTCAGCAGCATCTAGCAGAGATCCAGGGAAAAGAGCTAACAAGAGGGTGTGGAACCCCTTGAGTCTAGGCTTCCCGGGTGTTCCAAACTGTCATGCTAGCCTGTGTCAGCAGCCTTTAAGAGTTGCTACAATTTCACCTGTTTTCCCCTAGCACTTTTAGGGTGATCACCTATTCCTTCCATCTGTGCCCAAGGTAAGACAGTGTGTATGTACTCTGTCTTCAGAGGGGCTTGTCACTTCCTGGAATCTACTTCCCTAGGTTGCCTTGTAGCCTCCGCTTTCAGATGGGCTCAAAACACTTATAATTTCATAGATTATTCAGGTTAAGGTGGGAGCAACAATCTCTTGTGACTTTCTACAGCCTAAGCAGGAAGAGAGCTTCTTGGTATTGGATATTTTTAAAGACTGCCTGGCTAATTGTAAAGTGTGGACAAGCAGGGAATGGTGCCCAATTCAGTTGAACTGAAGAGGAAATCAAAATAGTAGCAACATTACCAATAAAAATATAAACAGGGATGGTTTTGCTGCTGGACAATCACTTTGTTTTTAACTCAGAGACAATTGTCAGTCATGGGAAGCAACTGTATTTCTCTCTGGTAGATGCTACAAAGATGACAGCCCAACTTTTCCAGTTCTTTGTCTATCACCTTTATTGGAAGAGATGCTCCGGGTCCCTGCAGAAGTCAGGCTCTTAAGATTAAGGGATTTGGTCCATTGCCTAAATGCCTTTGAATTATATTGCTTTATCTTTCAAAATCCTTATATTTTAGTTTCCCTAAGTTAGACATATTTGTGATGAGTAAAATGATGACATGTTTAATGGTCTAATTGTAAGATATAGGAAACACCAGTTCTGCCCTTAAACTTCACATAGTTCCAGCACATGGACAAGGACCCCTGAGGGTGAGCAACCTTCATCCAGGGCTTGAACCCAAGAGGCAGCCCTTCTGCATGTGCCCAGGTCAGAGGGCAGGCGGTCCATGCTCCAGCTTCACCCCTGCCCATTTCACGTCCCAACACATGCACTTTTCTGTTGCTCTGCTCTGTTCTGTGTGTCACTGCGACCCATGAAAGTCTCATGGAGACTAGAAGGTGTATGAATACATACTCAACAGTGGTGATCTGATTAAATAGGAGCTCCCATTAATTGGGGGGCCATTGTGGGCACTTCACATGCTCTCTCCCACTCAGTCCTGCAAGGTACATGCTAAAATTCTCATTTTTTTTTTGAGACAGAGTTTCACTCTTGTTGCCCACGCTGGAGTGCAATGGCACAGTCAGCTCACTGCAACCTCTGCCTCCCAGGTTCAAGTGATCCTCCTGCCTCAGCCTCCCAAGTAGCTGGGATTACAGGCACCTGCCACCATGCCCAGCTAATTTTTGTATTTTTAGTAGAGCTGGGGTTTCACCATTTTAGCCAGGCTGGTCTCGAACTCCTGACCTCAGGTGATCTGCCCACCTTGGCCTCCAAAAGTGCTGGGATTACGGGCAAGAGCCACCGGGCCCGGCCTATTCTTACTTGATTGAGCACATTGTGGTCAGAAAGTTTAATTAATTGATGAGTGGTCATGCAGCTGTCCCACGTCATTGATCCAGCATGGTCTGACCCCAGGTCAGATTATATCTGGAGCAGAGATCTGAAGGACACTTTCTCCCATCTCACATGCCAACCCTGAAAGCCCCTACTTCCCCATCCCCAGGCAAATAACTGATGTAGTAGGTTTTAATAGCACCCTTTTACCGAGAAGCCCTGTGGTTCTCTATAGCAAGCATTTCCCTCACCGCAATGAGTAATAAACCCAATTCATTCAACAATGAGTGTGTTCCTGAGGATCTGTGGCTGGAGGATGTGGACACAGGCTTCAATGGCCTGTACTAAATGGTCACCCACAGCCAGGACTTGAGGATGACAGTGGCTGAGGCCACAGGCACCAGGGCAGCCGGGTCTGTTGCAGGACCAAAGGGGTTCAGACATGAAACAACAAGTAATGATAATATTAATAAAAACAAAAGTAGTAAGCATAGAGAAGTTGCACCTCTCTTAAAACACTTTCTTTTATTATATAGACATAGTAAAACTTGTCTGAAGAATGTTTAATATAGAATTCTGTTGCAATGAGTTGAATTGTGGTCCCCCCAAATTTCTACATTGAAGTTCTGAAACCCCGAGTACCTTAGAAAGTGACCTTATTTGGAAATAGAACCTTTGCAGTTGCAATTAGGCAAGATAAGGTCATACCTGAGATAAGGCCCCTAATCCATATGACTGGGGTCCTTATAAAAGGGGGAAACTTGGACTTAGATGCATGGAGAGAAGATATTGTGCCGATCCAGAGAGAATGCCATGGGAACATGGGGATGGCTGCCACAAGCCAGGGGACACCTGGGGACACCAGATGCTGGAGAAGCTGGAACGGATCCTTCCTCGAGGCTTCGGAAGGTGCCAACTATGCCGACACCTTGATTCTACACTGCCAGCTTCTGGCACTGTGGGACCATGGATTTCCACTGTTCTATGCCACCTCATTCATGGTGCTTTGTTACAGCAGCTCCGGCAAACTAACCCACCTTCAGATCCAAGACAGTGTGCACAGCACTCCGGAGGAAAATTCCCAACAAGTCACATATTTTTAAAAATTCATATCAATGAGAAGTTTTACATTATCTTAACAAATATAAAAGCACAGTCATCCTGCAAAATCCGAATGGAAAGACATCTTCCTGATTTAATGATCGCGATTCTTAAATCCGAGTCTTTCACACTGGGATCTTCACATCTGTCCTGAGGGTTTGAGTGCTGTCTCCATGAGAAAGTGAAGTTGCTTGAGTTTGAGGAGCTGCATTGCCACTCTGTGTCCACCAAGGCAGTCAGAGCTGAGCAGAAACTCAGGGTGAATTCCAGATCCCGTAGCCCAGGTTCCATCCCAGCCCCAGCACGGAGTGGGTGACTTAACCTGTGTGTGCCTCAGTTATCCCATCTGTAATGTGGGGCCATTATTAGGCGCTTACCTTATAGAGTGCTGTGGGGATTTTGTCAATATATGTGTGGTTGGCTGAATAACAATACCCCCCACCAAAAGATATTCATGCCCTAATCTCTGGAAACTGTAAATGTGAACTTACAGGTAAAAAGCAACTTTGCAGATGGGATGAAGTTAAGATCTGAAAGAGGAAAGATTATCCCTGGGCCGGGATGCGGCCATGGGTATCCTTATCCGAAGGAGGCAGAGGGAGACTTGGCACATACAGAGGAGAGGGTGAAGCTGAAGCAGAGACAGACCTGAAGATGTGGGTCCTGGAGACTGGAGTGAGGACGGCACCCCTGAGGAACCGGCAGCTGGCAGAAGCTGGAGCAGCCAGGGACAGCTTCTCCCCTGGCGCCACCAGAGGGCGCACGGACCTTGATTTCAGACCTTGATTTCAGATTTCTAGAAGGGAGAGTACTTCTCTGCTGCTTTCAAGCACCCAATGTGTGGTCGTTTCAGCAGCCACAGGAAGAGCTCCTCAGCCTCGACAATATTGCCAGGGTGGGCTGGTGACCCTCTGTGGTGGGGGTCACCTCGTGCACTGCAGGGTGTCTCACAGCACCCCATCTCCACTCGATAGATGCCAGGGGCGCGCCCACCTTGTGTGATAACCAAAAATGTCTCCAGACGCTGCCAGTTGTCCCCTAGGGGGGCAGAATCACCCCAAGTTGAGAAGCGAGTGTGAGGACAGCCCTGGGGCTTGGCGAGCACGCAGTGTAACCAGGGGCTAGTTTTCATCATCTCCCTTTCTCTTAGTGCTGAGACAAAGCTGAACACTGTTCCTTCGCACATCGCCCCCAAAGACCTCCTGGGTCAGAGGGGACTGAGGGGACCCCACCTGTGAGGACATCATGGGCAGGGAAAAGGAGAGAGACTGAGGTGGCCTGAATGTAAACCCCAGTTCCTCTGGAATACTCTTTTCCCTAAGAAAAATAAATTTGAATTTGGTATTCTACAAAAATATTACAGCTGTATTTGCACGTGGATACAAAGTATTCCTTTAAGTCCTTGGATCATGTCCACTCCGTGACACTGCCACCCAGCGCAGCGCCTTGGTGTGGGAGCTCGGTCCCCTCTTGGGCACCACGGGACACAGGGCTGCTGTGTGGGTGGAGCAGGAGGTCAGGATCAGTGCAGGAACTCAGCAGGCCTCCAACGCCAGAGGCAGCCATCATCATCCACACTGAGGAAGATGCACTATTTCAACCCAAAGACTAAACCACAGGCCCATGTGATGTCGGGAAGTGGTCACTTCTTTTTTTTTTTTTTTTTTGGAGAGGGAGTCTCACTGTGTTGCCCAGGCTGGAGTGCAGTGGCGCAATCTCAGCTCACTGCAATCTCCACCTCCCAGGTTCAAGAGATTCTCCTGCCTCAGCCTCCCGAGCAGCTGGGATTACAGGCATGCACCACCACGCCCAGCTGATTTTTGTATTTTTAGTAGAGACGGGGGTTTCACCATGTTGGCCAGGCTGGTCTCGAACTCCTGACCTCAAGTGATCCATCTGCCTCGGCCTCCTAAAGTGCTGGGATTACAGGCGTGAGCCACTGCACCTGGCCACTCCTCTTCTTTAGAGTCCAGTTGGCAGCGCTTCCCGGCAGATCCAGAGTTCCCAGAGGAGGAAGGGGATTGCGTGTTTTGAGGAGAGTGAGTCACGCCCGTCTAAATGAGGTCAGGAAATGATTGCGGGAGAAGAGCATTCGTGTACACAGAGGACACGCAGGCCTCCACGACCCGCGTGCTGAATTCGGAGACGGCAGTCCCCTCCAAAGGCCTGGTGTCCCTGCAGCTGCCCAGGCTGGTGGGTGAGCAGGGGTGCACAACGATCCCCCCATACCACAAGCACCTCCCAGGTCATGATCCCTCACCCTCTCTGTGTCGAGGGACACAGCAATTGGGGAGCACTGGGTTCTTGGGGGTTCAAGATCTCAGTGCAGGTAATTTTTTAAAATTCTCCTTTTATGCCTTCCTATCTCCGTGCCTTGTCCTATAAAATGTGAGAAGCGGCCTCACCCCTGTGCTTCTAGAGACATGTACACACAGCGGTGTCTGAGGGCTGTCACACAGTAGTGTCACGACAGATTGGATGGTCCATTATTTGAACAGTGGCTCATGCCATCTGTGGGTATATCTGTACCCCAACACAGGACTCGGACAAAGGGGGAGCCCATATGTGAAAGCGGAGGGCCTGAAGAGGATGGATGCAAAGAAAGCGCCATTCAAAGAAGCTGGGAGAAAGTTCTAAACTTTCTGAATGAGGAGGGAATTGCTGTTTGGTTGGAGGTAGCCAGGTGGAGGGTAAGCACTTGAGAGGAAAGCCCCCAGGCCTCTTCCCCAGGAGCAAGAAAAACTGCTTCTGCATGGTGGTGCTGAGGGCTCTGAGCTGTTTCCCCCAGGGAGAGGGCTTGCCCTGGGCTGGGTTTCTCGGACCCTGAAAGCCAGAGCCTGGTTGGAGTGATGCCCCAGGAGCTGCCTGGATGAGACCTGTCTGTCCCCGTGGTCCCCAATCTCCAAGCCCTTTTCTCAGCCATTAGAAACATCATCAATCTCCAAACTTCCCAGGGCAAGGTATCCTCAGAGTAATGCTCACTTTGTGTCTTATCTAGATTTCCAGAGGGAAGAAGACCAATTCCCCAAACTTAACATATGAGAGCTTAAGACACCACTCTCTGGATATTTGAGTGTAGGAGACAGTAGCCTTGTATTAGACTTTGCCTAGTCCAGATTTTGGTTCATGGATGACCATATCTGAACTGGCAAATAATTCATCAAGGGTGGGGCATGGTGAGTCAGCCCACAGTGCGCGGGACCCCGGTGGTACCAGCTGCCGCAGTACAGCATTCACCCTAAGACGCTTCCTTCTGGTACAGAGACCTCCTGGAGGGGTGGCGGGTCCACCAGCCATTCCTTCCACACACATGGGTCTTGGACAGCAGCTTTTTAACAGGCTGTACCTCAGAACCACCTGCAGACCTTTAAATAATCTGATGCTCAGCCCCATTCCATTCACTTAGGTCAGGATCTCTGGCAACATGAGTATATTCTCAAACACACCCCACATGAGGTTCCTGAGTGGCCAGATTGGAGAACCACTGGTCTAATGAGACAGCCTCCTCTGGCATAGGGAACGGCAGAATCATGGAATTTCAGAGGATAGAATGTGGGAGGGAGCGAGGGAAGAAGGCGGGCAAGGCGCTGGCATGGAGCAGCATGGAGCTGGTTTGAGAACAAGAAGAAGGAGAATATCAACAGCAAAGATACTAACATCCAGAAATGTCCAGAATAGTCGTGCTGCCGTGTAATTGCTTTGCACTGTGAATTGTGGATGTGATTATGTTTCTTTTTTTTTTTTTTAGATAGAGTCTTGCTTGCTCTGTCACCCAGGCTGGAGTGCAGTGGTGTGATCTCGGCTCACCGCAACCTCCGCCTCCCAGTTTCAAGCAATTCTTGTGCCTCAGCCTCCCAAGTAGCTGGGACTACAGGTGCACACCACCATGCCTGGCTAATTTTTTTGTATTTTTAGTGGAGACGGGGTTTCACCATGTTGGCCAGGCTGGTCTCAAACCCCTGACCTCAGGTGATCTGCTCCCCTCGGCCTCCCAAAGTGCTGGGATTATAGGCGTGAGCCACGCACCCGGCCATGGATGTGATTAGGTTTCTAACAGCTGAAAGAGGAGCTACAGCAAGTCTTCACCAATTTTTCTATCAAATTCTTCCAGAGTTGAACAAATAGAAGGTCCCCATGTACCCTGCTGAGTTTGGAGTGATAGGATGAAAGCATTCAATTTCGATCACTTTTTTTTCTCCTTGAGCTTTAAAGTTAATTAAAATTTGATGTTTTTCTCCCTATTTATGCATGTCTTTTGGGGTATGAAATAATGGTCTTTTTTATTTTCTAAGTTTTCAAGGTAGAAGATGTGCCAGGGGCTTTATATTATCCCAGTCCACAGCCAGGAGCCAAGGGTAATTGGGCCCCCGCTCTGGAAAGCACAGGCTCAGAGCCCAGTGTGAGGTCCACCCGCCTTTGGCAGGGACCAGGGATGACAGGACCCGGGGAGGAGAGAAGGTGATTTGTACTCTCACCTCCTCCCAAGCTGCCTGGGTTCCTCACCCTTGAGTTCATTCCTGTTGTCTCACTTTCTCACTTACCCTGTCTTTTGAGTTTATGTCCGAGGCAAGCCTCTGAGTCCGTCTCTGAATGGAGGGAGAGAATGTAACAAACACATCACAACAGCAATTTGATGAAACAGGAGCTCCTGTGTATAAGGGACCATCATCGGCAGGGATGGTGTGAGGGTTGAGCCCACCCAACAACACCCACTGTGGGTGTCCATCGCCCTCTGAGAGGAAGTGGACAGTAGAAAGGTCCATTCATAGCCAGGAGCTCCCATGGCTGGCTGAGTTGCACTTGGTCCAGACACCTTCGCCAGCAGGCCAGACAGAGACCAGGGTGGAAATCTGAGTCCTTTGTGTAGTTGGGGAGGGAAACAGGCTCTGTCTACAAGGAGAACACAATGGAGTCGGTGGGGTTTCCTTCAGGTCTGCTGGGTAGATGGGTTGGGGAGATGGGGAGGGAGTGGCTGTGCTGGGACCCACATCCCGCTCTAGATAGACAATGCCATCCAATCCATTCGGACTTCCAGAGAGGGCTGTGCATTGGGCGCTGGAGAGTTGCCGGCTAAAAAGGTGAACAAAGGCAGCCTTGACTAGGGACAGCATGGCTATACTCCTAAGCAATAGTTTTGCTTTATCCTGAAGAACACAACCCATCAGCCATCCCAGTGTTGTTGGTGACTGCAGACCCATGGGGATGCGTGGGAGATCTAGGCCAGAGCTTTGTTTCATGATATGTTTTCTCTTTTTCTGGGTTCTTTTCAGTGGTAATTTTTCAAAAGTTTTTGTTTTGTTTTGTTTGTAACAAGTTGAAAGATAAATCTGCTCTGTTGAATTATTAATTTAAAATTGAGGCTGGGTGCAGTGGCTCATGGCTGTAATCCTAGCACTTTGGGAGGCCAAGGCGGGTGGAACACAAGGTCAGGAGATCGAGACCATCTTGGCTAACACGGTGAAACCCTATCTCTGCTAAAAATACCAAAAAAAAAAAAAAAAAAAAAAAAAATTAGCTAGGCGTGGTGGCAAACGCCTGTAGTCCCAGCTACTTGGGAGGCTGAGGCAGGAGAATGGTGTGAACCCGGGAGGCAGAGCTTGCAGTGAGCCGAGATTGCACCACTGCACTCCAGCCTGGGTGACAGAGCGAGATTCTGTCTCAAAATAAATAAATAAATAAAAAGGAAATAAAATTGAAAGATATTTTCATCCTCTAAAACTTGAGATTTTTAAATCCGCAGTTTTCAGCCTACAGGGTCCTCAAACAGACTTAGAGCTCTTTGCAGCTTCTTTTTCTCTAAAAGAAAATCGGCTCAAGTTGGGGAAATGCTGATGGAATGGATCCGACTGTGCCATAATGACTGAGAGAAAACGGACGGCTTTCTCCATCCACATTCTCCACCTCAGTGTCCCAGAGGCACAGGGAAAAAGCCGAGCTCCTGCGGGAAGTCTGGGATGCGCAGAGGGAACGCACCATGGAGTGGTGCGAAGTCCCAACATTTTTGTTATTTCTTCAAAATGCATTCAGAGCTTGTATCCCACTAAATAACACAACTGCATTTATTTAAATGGAACATTTGTTTGATTTCATATAAAACAAGTTTCTCAAAGAAATCCTGCCAGCACAGCAGTGTATGTATTGATTAAGAGCCCTGGTTTAGGAGATGCACTTCCGGAGTTCAAGCCCTGGCTCTGTGTTTCATTAGTTCTATTTTTTAAAGCCATAAGGAAGAGTCCTTAACCTCATTGTGCCTCAGCCTACCCACCCTGGTAACATCAGGATAATAGCCGTATCTATATCACAGGACCGTTGTTAGAATGAAAAGCAATCATTCATGTAAAATGCATAGGCCCGTGCTTGGACAGTGTGAGCCCCGTGCACAACCATTAGTGATGTCTGTGTCCTTGGAAGAGGCACCACTTCATCCTGCAGCTTTCTCAGCCCTTGGCACGCGGCCCGGGGTTCCCTACAGGACAAACTCCAGGTTGACGAGAATGAGTTTATAAGCAAATCAGTGGTCGCTTCTAGCAAGTATGTATTTCTCATTCATGGTTTCTGTTTATGGTACTTTCTATTTTTTTCCTTTGCTTCATTTTTAATTTTTTATCCCCACCTCTAATTTTTGTTCTGTTGCTGTATTATATATTTTCCTATGATTCCAATTTAGCCAGCTTTATTTTTTATTTTTTATTTTTTGAGACGGGGTTTCACTCTTGTTGCCCAGGCTGGAGTGCAGTGGTGCGACCTTGGCTCACTGCAACCTCTGCCTCCCGGGTTCAAACAATTCTGCCTCAGCCACTGAGTAGCTGGGACTACAGGCATGCGCTGCCACACCTGGCTAATTTTTGTATTTTTAGTAGAGATGGCGTTTCATGTTGGCCAGGCTGGTCTCAAACTCCTGACCTCAGGTGATCCACCCACCTCGGCCTTTCGAAGTGCTGGGATTACAGGCTTGAGCCACCATGCCCGGCCTTTAGCCAGCTTTAAAACAATTACAGCTTGCCTTTGTTGAAGGTCTACCCAGCATCACGTTAGGTACATTCCATTCATTCTCTCATAGATCCGACACAAGAGCCTCATGTAGAAGTCACTGCCCTTATTTTATAACAGTGATCAGAAAGGCCCAAAGCATTTATGTAATCTACCCACAGTCATACCAGTGATAAGTAGCAGAGGTAAAAAGTCAGAAAAAAATCTATTAAATCACATTTTAAAAACCAAAATATTGTGAATTAAAACCTAGAGAAGTAGCAGACATCAGGCATCAATCAGAGAGAGAGAAAGCACAAATATCCAATATCAGGAATAAAAATTAGAACATTTTTATCATACAGATATTAAAAAGATGAGAGCATATTATGAAAAACTTTCTGCTAAGAAGCTTGAACACTTTGATAATGAACAATTTTTTTAAATACACATATGTTATTAAAACGGACTCAAAAAGAATGAAAAATGTGAATACTCCTACACTCTTTCTAAAAAGAAAATCCTAGCCCCAGGTGGCATCACTAATGAAGTTTACCAAGTTCAGCAAGAGGAAATAATGCCAATATTGCCTACGCCTTTGGAGAGAATTAAAAAGGACTGTTTCCTGCCGTGTTTGATGAGGTCAGCGTAACATGGGCACTAAAGCCTGACACAGACCTTCAAGATGGCTGAATCTCACTTAGCAACAGAGATACCAGAACCACAGACACAATAATCTGAATCCGATGATATATGAAAGGAGACACAATGACCTGAATCCAATGATACATGAAAGGAGACACAATGACCTGAATCCAATGATACATGAAAGGAGACTATCACACCGTGTGGAAAAGTCAACACAGCAGGCCTACACGGCTGTGCTTAAAAAGGCCTGCTTGCAAGGTAGGCCTTTGGCTGGTACCTGGGGACTTGGATTTCAGAAGAGTCCCCACCATTAACTGCTAAGACTGGCTCACTGCACCCAACTTCTTTATGCAAACAGTATGGTATATGCTGGATACCTGCTTTCCTCCTGGGACTCGGAAATTTGGTATGTGCTAAGAGCATGCCTACAGCACCAGCCCCCAACAAAACCCAGACTTTTACTTCATGCACATTTTCCCTTTGCTGATTGTGCTCTGCATCCTTTTGCTGTAATAAATCATAGCTGTGAGTATCACTGTATGCTGAGTAGATCCCTAGCAAATCCCTGGCAAATCGCCAAACCTTGGGGTGGTCTTGGCTGCAGGATGAAGTGGTGCCTCTTCCAAGGACACAGACATCACTAATGGTTGTGCACGGGGCTCACACTGTCCAAGCACGGGCCTATGCATTTTACATGAATGATTGCTTTCCATTCTAACAACGGTCCTGTGATATAGATACGGCTATTATCCTGATGTTACCAGGGTGGGTAGGCTGAGGCACAATGAGGTTAAGGACTCTTCCTTATGGCTTTAAAAAATAGAACTAATGAAACACAGAGCCAGGGCTTGAACTCCGGAAGTGCATCTCCTAAACCAGGACTCTTAATCAATACATACACTGCTGTGCTGGCAGGATTTCTTTGAGAAACTTGTTTTATATGAAATCAAACAAATGTTCCATTTAAATAAATGCAGTTGTGTTACATACACACCTGTTGGTTTATTCCAGGAATACAAGGCTGGCATACCATCTGAAAATTAAATTCACAGACTTCACCACATTTTCGGGGGGAAAAATCACATGATTCTTTCAATAAAGTAGAAAAACTTTTGATGCAAATAAAAATCTGGTCATCATAAAAATCCTTAGAAAACTAAGAATAGAAAGAAATCTTTATGTAATAAAGAGTGGACACACACACACACACACACACAGACACACGAACACACACAGAAACAAGTTTAGAGCAATCACTGCATTTGTGCATGAAATATTTGAAAGCTTTCCTTTTGACATTGGGAATGAGACAAGAATGCCCAAATTATCACCATTTCTGTTCAACACTGTCCTGGGGGTGCTAGCCAGGGAACAAACACACAGTAAATCAATATGGAATAAGAAAAGGTAGAAATAAAGACAATTTTTCTCCAGTAACATGATCATGGGCAAGCTGACTCCAGTGTATGGCATGCAGAGAGCCATGAATGGTCAAATCATTTATGAAAAAGAACAATCATGGAGGAGGGCTGCTGTGCTGGACCCTGAGACTAATGATAAGGCTGCAGGAATTCAGACAGTGTCGTATTGATGTGAGAAATAAACGGGTCCACGGAAGAAAAAAGAGAAACCAGAAACAAACCCACACATGTATGGACACATGATTTATAATAAGAGTGATACTGAAAGCTGCCAGTAATGATCTTCTTCTCCATAAATGGTGCCATCCCAATTGGATATTCACATTAAAAAGAAAAACAAATCTCCAGCACTGCTTCACACCATAGGCGAACATCAATTCCAGCAAAAAGGTGTGGACAAGTGCACCAAGAGACACACTCTGTAAACTAAAACAAAGTTTCTAAAAGCTAATATAGGAGACATTCTTCATGACCTTAAAGTAGGAAAGGGTTTCTAAAAGTCAGGATGCAAAAAGCACTAAGCAGAGAAGAAAGAGATTGATAAAGTTTTCTACGTGAATTAGGAACTTCTGATCATTCACAGGAAGCATTGAGAGGGTACAACGTGAGGTCTAGAGTGAGAGAAGATATTTGGAACACATGTAAATGATGACAAGCTCACACTCAAAATGTGCGATGACTACTATAAACCATTGATTAAAAATTAACAGAGCAGCCGGGCACGGTGGTTCACGCCTGTAATCCCAGCACTTTGGGAGGCCCAGATGGGCCGATCACGAGGTCAGGAGATCGAGGCTATCCTGGCTAACACCGTGAAACCCCATCTCTACTAAAAATAAATAAATAAATAAATAAATAAGCAAGCTGAAAAGAAGGGGTGGAGGCTTTGCTAGAGACTTGACCAGGTGATTTATAAAAGATCTCTAAGGAGCCAATACACTTATGTAAATATACTTAACCTTATTAGTATAGTGGATTACAAGGGGTTTCAGGGGGTCCATGCACAGTCTTGTAAGATGGGCAGAGACAGCGGCCCGGAGCCAGGCACAGCAACAGGTCCCGAGTGCAGGGCGAATGCCTGCCAGAGGGGTTTGTCTGTTTCTTTTTCATTCTTTTGCTGAATTTATCTTTTGTGAACAAATCACATGGTAATGCAAATGAAATCAGAGAAATGCCAACGAAAACCAGAATGAGATAATAAACATTATATACCCATTAGCAATATTGAAATTGGAAATATGGCAGGCCACGAGTTGGGTGTGGAGCAACTGGAATTCTGATACACACAGGTGGGAGTGTGAATTGCTATGAACATGTCAGGAGACTGTGTGGCCTTATCCCCTAAAGGTGGAGATACCATAACCCTACGATCCAGCAGTTCTATCCCTAGGTATGTACCCAGCAGACACACACAACTGTATCCCAAGAGACATGCTCCATGCTGCCCATAACAGCATTTTTCATAACAGCCAAATCTGCCAACAGCCCCAATATCCTTCAACAGTAGAATAAATTTGTATATTCATAAAATGGAAATATACCATGATAATGAATCAACTAGAGCAGGAAGTCAACACATGCTACAGCCTGGGGCCTGCTTTTGCATAGCTTTCAAACTAAGGATAGTTAAAGGATTATAAAAGTAAAAAAAAAAAAAGAAAAAGAAAAGAAAAGAAAGAAAGCAAACTGTGCAGCAGAGATGACAGGTGGCTCGCAAAGCCTCAAACATTTGCCATGTGGCCCTCTACCAAAAAGGTCTGCCAACCCCTGCTACAGACCAGGCGCACTATGAATGACATCACAGTGTTGACTGCATCCTAAACAGACACATCCCATTTATATAAAGTTTAAAAATAACAGGCAAAACTAGGCTGAGTGTTTGGGGGTGCAAATGAACCAGCCCTGATGTGTGCAAATGTTTGTCCAGGCACAGGTATCTCACACTCGGTCAATCATCAGACTCGCCTGAGGTTTCAAATCACCCTTGAGCACAGGTTCATCCCCATCCGATGACATCCAAATCCCTGGCGGTGACTCCCAGTCAGCAGCATGTCCTCAGAGCATCCCAGGAACTTCCAACAAGCAATCAGGTATGGGACCATTGGTGAGGGAAGAGGTAGCCCTTCTCAAGGGGAGAAAGTAATGGGGGCTATCGTTTCAGAGCCCCTGAAATATGGTGGAGACAGCAAATTGGTGGGACTGAGGAGCAAGAAGACAATTACAACAACAATATTAATTTTTTCTTAAAGATAACCAGAAATTGGTCGGGTGCAGTGGTTCATGCCTGTAATCCCAGCACTTTGGGAGGCCGATGTGGGCAGATCACCTGAGGTCAGGAGTTCAAGACCAGCCTGGCCAACCTGTCTCTACTAAAAATACAAAAATTAGCCATGTGTGGTGATGGACGCCTGTAATCCCAGCTACTTGGGAGGCTGAGGCAGGAGAATCACTTGAACCCGGGAGGCAGAGGTTGCAATAAGCCCAGATCACGCCACTGCACTGCAGCCTGGGCAACAGAGCAAGACTCCGTCTCAAAAAAAAAGAGAACCAGAAATTATTCAACATCCGAGCAGCTGCTGTGCTTCTTCTCCCAGCCATGGTGAAGCTCAGAAATGATGGCGTCTCCTTCTAGTGGCTGCTAGTGGATTACAAGGGGTTTCAGGGGGTCCATGCACAGTCTTGTAAGATGGGCAGAGACAGCGGCCCGGAGCCAGGCACAGCAACAGGTCCCGAGTGCAGGGCGAATGCCTGCCAGTGGGGTTTGTCTGTTTCTTTTTCATTCTTTTGCTGAATTTATCTTTTGTGAACAAATCACATAGTAAATGCTGATAGTTTAAAATATATATGTGTGCGTGTGTGGTTAATAAATTTTCAAAAGTTAAATTGTCAAATAGTATTGTCTTTATTAAGTACAACTAGTTTGTTCATATAAAAAGTAATCGTAACGTTTTCCTTTGGCAAAGATATATTTTTTTTATTCATTAGAGAAAGATGCCGTATTAGTGGAGACGTGAAGATTGGTTAAGCATTTTCCTGGGATTGAAATACATGTATTTTATTTTCTACTTCACTTAAAAAAAAATGAGATTTAAAACTGCATTCCCCGATATGAGGCTGCTTCTTTCAAAGTTAGAGAACCAGTGTTTTTCTTTTCCAAATTTTTGAATGGGAAGACACACCAGCTGTGCTGGCTTCTGCCCTCCACACATGGCTGAGTGCCCTGTGGGTGAGTGACCTCTGTCCAGGAGGCCTCGACAAGGAGAGAATTGCCACTTGTCCCACCAATCCCAGACCAGGGTCATGCCAGTTCCCTGCTCACTCTGAGGCCTCATCCAGATCCCCCAGATGGAAGAGAACATGCCTGCGACTGGGCGATGCATTCACACTGCCTTGGGTCTGGGACGTGAGTGAGCCCCAAAGGATGGGTGAACACACTGGCCTGGAGGGTAGTCACCAGCTTCCAGCTTCACCCCACAGGCCCATCTCACCCAGGGCTACCCTACATGGGGCAGACCACGAGCCTCATCCAAGACACTGGTGGTCAACTGGTGACATCTGACAAGAGCCGAGGGCAGTGGCCCAGCAGCCGCTCCTTCCCACACTTCCACTTAGGAAATTGATTCTCTGGCTGCAGAGAAGCTTTTTTTTTTTTTTTTTTGAGACAGTCTCACTTGGTCGCCAGGCTGGAGTGCAGTGGCATGATCTCGGCTCACTACAACCTCCACCTCCCGGGTTCAAGCGATTCTCCTGCCTCAGCCTCCCAAGTAGCTGGGTCTACAGGCGAGCACCACAATGCCCATCTAATTTTTTGGGTTTTTTTGTTTTTGTATTTTTAGTAGAGACGGGGTTTCACCATGTTGGCCAGAATGGTCTCGATCTCTTGACCTCATGATCCGCCCGCTTCGGCTTCTCAAAGTGCTGGGATTACAGGTGTGAGCCACTACGCCCAGCCAAGAAGCATATTTTTTTAAAGTGAAAAAGCAGCCCAGGCCCTTCTGCAGAGCTATTAAATCAGGCTCCCTAGGTTCGGGGCTAAATTAGCACCTGTGTTTCCAGAATCTTCCTGGTGAGTTCTCTGGCACAGTCAGGGCTGAGAACCCTGGGCCTCAGGGGCAGCCCTGCCCCATCAGAGGACGGCACGTGCATGTGCCTCACAAGCAGGGTGACCACCCTCCAAGCTTGCCCAGGACTGAGGATGTCCTGGGACAAGAGATGTTCCAACTGGAACTGGGGAAGTCCTGGGCAGACCAGGATGAGTTGGTCACCCTACTTACAGCACAGCAGCACTATTACAGAGGCAATCACCTGGGAGGGCACCACGGCCACCAGCTCTCCTCAGTTAACATCGGCCACCTTAACAATTGTCACACGTACACTTCTGTGGTGTTAAGTCCATGCACAAATCACCGCCCTCCAGCTGCAGAACTGTTTCATCTTGCAAAACTGAAAGTCTGTCCCCATTGAACATGTTAATAAGTCCCCCTTCCCACTTTCTCCCCAGCCCCTGGAACCCCCATTCCACTTTCTGTCCCTGAACTGACTCCTCTAGGGACATCGTAGAAGTGGATTCATACAGTCTTGGTTTTTTTGTGATTGGCATATTTCACTTAGTATAATGTCCTAAAGGTTGCATCTTTTAATATAAATAAGTTTTTCATAAATAAGTTTTTCATCCTTAATGAAGAGATGCCCTGGTTTGCCCTGTGGTTTTACATAAGGCCCAGCACACAGACTCGGATCCCTGGGAGTCAGTGGCCCAGGTGTAGGCTCCGGGCCCAGCGTGTATCCTGTAGCCCCGGGCGCATCCCAGCCTGGGGGTGACGTCCTGTGCACCAGCCCCGCCTGGGCCCTGCTCCTGTTCTCACTTCCTGTTCATTTCCCAGCCTGTCCTTTTCTTTCCTCCTCCAAACTGCAGTTCCGATCCTGCCACTCTAACTGATGAGCCATTGTGAGCCCAAGGAACCCTCTTTGAAATGAGAAGAGGATGTGAATAAACCCGTGACAATGGGGCTTTGATTAAAACACGAGCTCCCAGTTATCGAGGCTCCTTTATATGCCTCGTGAGGGGCTGCACACCCCCTCCCACTCCATCTCACGCCAACGCACAAGGTGAAGCTTTATTACTGTCATTTGATAGAGGCCATTGTGGTCCAAAAAGGTTAATTAATTTTCACAAGGGCACACCACTGGGTTGAGATGAATCATCCTGGCCCTATCTGGGGCGGAAAGATACAGGCATTCCCCAGGTTTGGATGTAAATCATCCCCCCCAGCCTCTGGCGTACTTGTCAACTGGCCACAGCAGGATGAGGGTTGCATCCTGCTTCTAGGCTATGCTTTAATGAGCCTTCAGGACCCTAGCAGGGTGACCAGCCATGCTGGTTTGCCCAGGACTGAGGGGCTTCTGGGGTGCAGTTGGCGCCCCTAGATGTCCTCATCCTAATCCCCAGAACCTATGAATGTGTGACCTTACATGGCAAAAGGGACTTTGCAGATGGGATTGAGTCAATGGTCTTGAGATGGGGAGGTTATCCTGTGATTCAGTTTATAATCACAAGGATCCCTGCAAGAGCTAGCAGGAGGGCCAGAGTCAGAGAGAGACTGGAAGATGCTAGGTCACTGGCTTTGAAGATGGAGGAAGAGACCCAGACCCCAGGAAACCAGGAGATTTCCAGAAACTAGAAAAGGCAAGGAAGCAAATTATCCTCTAAAGCTTTCAGATGAAATACAGTCCTCTGACACCAAGATTTAAGCCTGATTTGAGGACTTCTGAAGTCCAGAACTACAAGAGGATGAATCTGTGTTGTTTGAAACCACTACATTTATTACAGCAACAATAAGGAACAAACACAGCGACACCTGGGGCACTCAGTGCTAAAGCCGGTGAAGGACCAGGCAAACTGGGACCAGTGGTCAGCCTAGATCCCAGGGACCCTCTGTAAGCTGAGGCTGATCTACAGGAAGGGCGGCCATTGTCCTTCCCGGGTGGTTTAGGGGGAGGCTGCATATGTGGGCTGGAGCAGGGAAGGGTGGGTGCAGCAGAGGAGTGATGATGAAAATGCTGGGAACAGTATGGAATCTGAAGCGCTGCCCCCCCCTCCTTTTCCTGAGCCTGTGTTGACCTCATGCCTATTGCAAACCACGTGGTTTGGTGTTGCCCACACCGGCCACTTGGACCCCTGAGGATGGGTAGGCTTTTCTGGAGGGAGTGACCACGAGCTATTTAATCTGTGGGGTTTTTTTTTGCCGTCGTCATATCTTTTAAAAGGGTTGCAGAAAACCTCTGTTGTTGGTGTTCATTCACAATGGAAACCCTTTGCAGTCTCAGCTTTAGATTCTGAAATCGGTGTTTTTTAAGCCGAGTCCTCTAAGGACTCACGTGCTAGCCATCCTAAATAACCAGTTTCCTGCAGGTACAATTGGCACAGGTTTACGAAACACAGTTGTAGCTGCTCAGGTTCCCCCGTGGCCGCCACAAACCTCAGGGCTGTGGTTTTCCACATTTTCTCCTATCCCTTCCCAGAGACACTCAAAGCTGAGGACTTCCTGTGAGCCCTGGCGGGGTTGGGGTGGTAACGTGCTGGTGAATGTCAACAGATGGCTTTTCAGAAAATAAAAATATGCGCACATATGCATACACATGTGTGCTTGGTCTACATACCACTGATACGAAGGGTGTGTAGCACAGAACCCATAGACAATAAGACTTACAATGCTCTATTGTAAGTTTCACACACCTATAACTTCAGCATAACTTTCTATTTCTTGCAAAGTCCATTATCAGCTCTTAAAATTCTATCACCAACAATAGAGTGACATTATCACGCTGTGAATAAATGCTTGAATGATATCCAATTCAGCAAAGAAACTGGCTTGTATCATTGACAAACAATTATAGTTCCAACCTGAACATTTGGTTGATATTTTCATATCCGTCAATTACTAAGACAAAAGTGAAATAACAAAGACATGTCTCAATTTCACTCATTTGATAATGATGGGAGCAACTGTCTTGCTAAATTAGACAAGTTTTCAAATGCTGGAAGAATATTTCCTCAAACTTTTTGATACCATTCGCAATACAACAGCCACAGATAGACCATGCATTTAAGGTAATCTCCATTCTTAACATTTTCCATCACTATTGTGATGAAAAAATCACAAAAAGTCTAGACGATCAACAAAACCATATATCAAGGACTGATTTCCATAGCGTAAAGCCCCCTGCACAGCTGCCTGTAAGATCCTCACATGTCACTACCGAAAACAGCGTTGGTGGCCGGGCGCAGTGGCTCACGCCTGTAATCCCAGCATTTTGGGAGGCCGAGGTGGGTGGATCACCTGAGGTCAGGAGTTCGAGACCAGCCTGACCAACATGATGAAACCCTGTCTCTACTAAAAATACAACTAGCCGGGTGTGGTGGCGTTTGTCTAGTGGTGTTTGCCTGTAGTCCCAGCTACTCGGGAGGCTGAGACAGAATTGCTTGAACTGGGAGGCGGAGGTCGCAGTGAGCCCAGATGACACGACTGCACTCCAACCTGGGTGGCAGAGTGAGATTCTGGAAAAAAAAAAAAAAAAGCAAGAAAGCAAGAAAGCAAGAAAAAGAAAGAAAGAAAGAAAGAGAAAGAAAGAAAAAGAAAGAAAGAAAAGAAAGAAAGAAAGAAAGAAAGAAAGAAAGAAAGAAAGAAAGAAAGAAAGAAAGAAAGAAAGAAAGAAAGAAAACAGCCAGCATTGGGGAGAGGTGAGCACAGTGTCTCACAGGATTCCCACCAAGCTGATACAGTAGGCACAGATAATTAGAATAGATCACTGTAAAATGTAGTTAACTAATTAGGAAGTGATGACTTTTAAGTAATTATTTGCATTTTAAATATAATTTAACTATAACTTTGTTATTTAATTTTTAATAATGGCTGTGGTTAACAAGTAGCTTACGAAATTCCTGAAAATGTAACCATCAGCTCTGATAAGACATTGCAGTCAGGCATTGCTTCATGATGAGGACACATTCTGCGAAATGCATTGTTAGGTCATTTTGTCATTGTGTGAGCATCGTAGAGCATATTCACACAAACCTAGATGGTACAGCCTACTATACACCTGGGCTGCATGGTAGAGCCCATTGCTCCGAGGCTACAAACCTATACAACATGGGACTGTACTGAATAGGGTAGGCAACTGTCAGACAATGGTGAGAATCTGTGTATCTAGACATAGCTCAACATAGAAAAGGTACAATGGAAATACAGTATTATAATCTTATGGCACCATCGTCATATGCATGGTCCGCCATCAGCCAGAACTTCCCCATGTGGTGTGTGGCTGTGCTAACCAGCTCTTTAAAACACTAGAAGAGGTGGCCTTGAAGTAGTTTGACTTAAGCAATTTTTTGAAGTGCTTGCATTCCCGTAAAACACACTTAAGGTTTGTGACTATTAAATGATACAATCATTTGTTTTAATCAAAGGATTACTTTTCCAAATCTTTGGTGAAATTGAACCTCAGTAAAATGGAGTAGCAAAGTACTCTGGTGAAGAATACCATCTTAATCTTCTACTTCTCAGAAGCTACAAAAATTAAAATTAAATCAAACCCACCACAATGAGACAGCTGCACGCCCGTTGGGGCGGCTATTATAAAAACAACAACAACAAAACAGAAAACCATTAGCGAGGAGGCGGAGCAATTGGAACACTTGTGCATTGCAGAGAAATTGGAACGCTTGTGCATTGCTGGCAGGATATAAAATGGCGTCGTTGCTGTGGAAAATGAACGGTGAGTCCTCAAAATATTAAACGTAGAATGTTACCATATGATCTATCAATTCCACTTTTGGATATATACCCAAAAGAGGTGAAAGCAGGGACTTGAGTAGATATTTGCACACCCATGTTCATAGCAGCATCATTCATGACAGTTAAAATGTGGAAAGAACCCGGGTGTCCATCACTGAATGAATGAATAATCACAATGTGGTATCTACTCAGACTTCATAAGAAAGGAAGCTCTGACACATGCTACATGGATGAACCTTGAAGATGTTAGGCTAAGTGAAATAAGCCCGTCACAAAAGAACAAATGCTATATTATTCCATTCATATGAAGTCCTAAAGTAGTCAGACTCAGGAGAATGGCGGTTGCCAGGGGTTGTGGGGAGGGAAAATGGGAAGTTATTGTTTAATGGGGACAGCGTTTCAGTTGGGGACGATGAAAAAGTTCTGGAGGTGGATGGTGGGGCTGACCGCACACTAGTATGGATGTACTTAGTGCCACAGCTATGCAGCTTACTACCAGAGCTACACACTTAAAAATAGTTAACATGATGAATTTTATGTCATGTACATTTTACTAAAACAAATAAATTAAACCCAAAGTAAGTAAACGGAAAGAAATAATAACAATAACAGTGGAAATCAAGAAAAATAGAAAACCTAAAAAAAGAGAGAAACCAATTAACCAAAAAATAGTTATTTGAAAAGATCAATAAAGGTGGTAAATCTTTAGCTATTTGTAGACTGATCATGAAAAAGATAACACACCAATTACCAGTATCAGGAATGAAAAAGAGACAGCATTGCAGATATCATAGACATCAAAGAGACGGTCAGGAAATGTGGAAACAATTGTATGTCAATAAATTTGAAAAATTAGATGAAATGAAGACATTTCTTGAAAGGCAAAAAGTTACCAACACTGATTAAAGGAAAATAGAGATCGGTTTATATCATCTAAGAAATTGAATTCATAGTTGAAAACCATACCACAAAGGTAACATGATTGGTGTATGTTAGAAGACTCCAGAGAATCAGAGGCTCTATTATATTTAGAGAAAAACTCCACATCAGTTTTAGTAACTAATAAATAAGTCTATCACCATGGCTATTTTTTACCAAAAAATCTACTGGAACTTTGATTGGGATTGGTTTGAATCAATATACAAAACCAGTTATATTTCTTAGCTGTGTTTTTTTTTTTTTTTTTTTGAAATAGTCTCACTCTATCATCCAGGCTGGAGTACAGTGGCGTGATCTTGGCTCACTGCAACCTCCGCCTCCCAGGTTCAAGCAATTCTCCTGCCTCAGCCTCCTGAGTAGCTGGGACTACAGGCGCACGCCACCACACCCAGCTAATCTTTGCATTTTTTAGTAGAGATGGGGTTTCACCATATTGGTCAGGCTGGTCTTGAACTCCTGACCTCGTGATCTGCCTGCCTCGGCCTCCCAAAGTGCTGGGATTATAGGCATAGGCCACCACACCTGACCTGTATTTCTATATATTAGCAAACGATTGAAAAAAGAAATTTTAAAATATTTTCAATAGCATCAAAAAGCATGGAATAGTGATAAATTGAACAGAATGGATTTAAGATCAATACATTGAAAACTATAAAACCTTGTTGAGAGAAATTTTTAAAGGCCTCAATAAGTGCAGAGAGAGAGAGACCTTTCTCATAGTGTAAACCTAGAAGTATCTGAGACAGGTCTCAATCAATTCAGAAAGTTTATTTTGCCAAGGTTAGGATGTGCCCAAGACACAGTGTCAGGAGGCCCTGATGACATACATGTGCCCAAGGTGATCAGGGCACAGCTTGGTTTTATACATTTTAGGCAAACATGAGCCATCAATCAATATATATAAGATGTACATCAGTTTGGTCCGCAAAGGCAGGACAACTTGAAGTGAGGAGGGGGCTTCCAGGTCATAGGTATGCAACCGGTTGCATTCCTTTGAGTTTCTGATTAAGCTTTCGCTGAATGCACAATTTAGTGTATGCAGTGAACGCACTAAATGAATGAATGCACAATTTAGACTATTTAGGAATAGTCACTTATGCCTTAGTCTGGCTTAGTGAAACAACAGGGCAAAGGAAACAATCAGATATGGATTTGTCTCACCTGAGCAGAGGGATGACTGAGTTCTGTCTGTCTTTCCTCCACAAGGAATTTCCTTGTGGGCAAACTGTGAGGGAGGTATGTAGCTTTTCTATCTTTCATAGTTGGAAACCGTACCACAAAGGTAACATGATTGGTGTATGTTAGAAAACTCCAGGGAATCAGAGGCTTTACTATATTTAGAGAAAAGCTCTATATCAGTTTTAGTACCTAATAAATAAATCTATCACCATGGCTAATTTTTACCAAAAAAGTCTACTGGAACTTTTAATTGGGTATAGAATGGGAGGCAGTTCCCACCTTGACTTTTCCCTTGGGCTCAGTGATTTTGGGGTCCTGAGATTTATTTTCTTTTCACAATAGATTAAAGACTTGATATTTATCTGTAGATTTAAAGCAACCCCAATCCAAACCTCAGCAGACTCTTTTTGTAAATGTAATAAGCTAAGTCTAAAATTTATGTGGAAATACAAAAGACCTAGAATAGGCAAAACAACTTTGAAACACAAGAACAAATGGGTGAACTTAAACTACCTGACTTCACCAGTTTTTGAAAGGCAGTAATCAAGACAATGCGGTATTGCAATGAAGACAGACAAATAGATCAAAGGACTAGAAGTGTGAGCTCAGAACTAGATCCTTACATACATGGTCAACTGATTTTTTGTAAGGAACAAAGGGAATTCCATAGGGAAGGATAATCTTTTAGAAAATCAGAGCTGGAAAAACTGAATATTCATATAAAAAAAATGGAAACTTGGCCCCTTACCATAAAATCTATGGAGAAATAAACTCAAATTTGACCATAGACCTAAATATAAAAGCCAATGTTACCAAGTGTCTAAAAGAAACCAAGGGCCAGGCGCGATGGCTCTCGCCTGTAATCCCAATACTTTGGGAGGCCAAGGTGGGTTTATTGCTCGCAGCCAGGAGTTCAAGACCAGCCTGGCCAACCTGGTGAAACGCTGTCTCTACTAAAAACACACACACAAAAAAAATTAGCCAGGCCTGGTGGCACACAGCTGTGGATCCCAGCTACTTGGGAGGCTGAGACATGAGAATCACTTGAACTCAGGAGGTAGAGGTTGCAGTGAGTTGAGATCGCACCGCTGCAGCTGCGTGATGACAGAGCGAGACCCTGTCTCAAAATAAATAAATAAAAGAAACCAAGGAGAACATCTTTACCTCTGTTAAAGCAAACTAAATATGGCCTGAGAAGGACTTTGGATTTCTATATTTGAGTCCTTGTGGGTGAACTGTAACCCAGCTTAATAGTCAGACAAGATTGACAACCTAAATTAGGAGTATGTGCCTGTAACAATAACTGAGTCTTGGCCAATCCCAGCAGCCATACTTCAACCACTCATAGAGTGCTGAGTGTTCAAACTGTGTTCAAATAAGGCAAACGCCAACCTGTAACCAACCCAGCTGTTTCTGTACCTCAGTGCCGATTTCTGGATGTCATTTCCCTTTTTCTGTCTATAAATCTTCTTCTACCACCTGCCTGCGGGAGTCCGTGTGAATCTGCTGTGATTCTGGAGGTGCCTGATTCACAAATCATTCATTGCTCAATTAAACTATTTTAAATTTAATTCAGCTGAAGCTTTTCTTTATCACCTCTTTAGCATAGGTCTTAGATCTGATCCAAAATACACGGACCACAAATAAAAAATGAATAAGTTTTTAATTTTCATGAGGCTTCGTTTAAGTGTTGTCACAAGAAAAATGAAGCATAAGTCAACAAAAAAGATAAGCAGCCAGGCACGGTGGCTCACGCCTGTCATCCCAGCATTTTGGGAGGCTGAGGTGGGTGGATTACTAGGTCAGGGGATCGAGACCATCCTGGCTAACACGGTGAAACCCCGTCTCTACTAAAAATACAAAAAAATTAGCCGGGAGTGGTGGTGGGTGCCTGTGGCCCCAGCTACTCAGGAGGCTGAAGCAATAGAATGGCGTGAATCCGGGAGGCGGAGGTTGCAGCGAGCTGAGATCGTGCCACTGCACTCCAGCCTGGGCGACAGGATGAGATTCCGTCTCAAAAAAAAAAAAAAAAAAAAAAAGCACATGAATGTTCACAACAACTTTATTTATAATAGCCCAAACTGGAAACAAAGGAAAGTAGAGATCAATAGGTGAGGTTTATATCAACTAAGAAATTGAATTCATAGTTGAAAACCAGACCATCAACAGATGAGTGAATAAGTACCCATATCTCCATACAGAACACAGCTCAGCAATAAAAAGCTAACCAGTTACAGATACACTCAAAACATGAATGGATCTCAAAAAACACTTTTCAGGGTGAAAGAAGGCAGACATCAAAAGTCCATATAATTCCACTTGCGTGAAAAATCAAGAAAAAACAAAATTTATCTATAGTGACAAAAAGCGTATCATTGTCTGCCTCAAAAAGGCAAGAGGAAATATTTTGGAGGAGATGGAAATGTTTGTTCTTCTGACTGTGGTGGTGGTTATAGGTGCATTATTTGTTACATAGGTGGGTACATGCATTACAACTCAGAGAACTGGACGCTGTAAACAGAAGCTGTTTGTCATAAGGCACTTCCAGGCAAGGATAGAGACCGTCCATGGGCAGGGAGGGGGCAGTTAAGGGCTCTGCTGTTTCAATGGAAAATCAAGCTTTTGCTTATGATTCCATTCATACGAAAAGTCCAGAATAAGTATCTATGGAGACAGAAGGTAGATTCGTGGTTGCTTAGGCCTGGCACAGCAGGGAGGCAGGAGTGACTCTAACACATGTGATTTCTTTCGGGGAAGGATAAAAATGTTCTAAAATTAAATTGTATGATGGCAACACAACTGTGAATATACTAGAAAACCCTGAATTGTACACTTTAGGTGGGTGAATTGTATATGTGAATTACATTTCAATACATATTTTAAGGAAAAACAACCCTCTTGCTCCATCTCACTGAGATACTGAATATACAAATGGACCATGGCCTGACCATATGTAAATACAAAACTCTGGCCCATAATTGGTGGCAACTGGTGCAGGAAGCCAGGCTACTACATACAAGTCAGACTTGTAGAAAGTCGAATCATTATCTCTAGCAGATAATCTAGGAAGTCAAACAATAACCCAGGTAACAATCAGTCCCCAACTGATTTTAGGACTTGACTAATAGCCGACAGCTTCCCTAATTTCTGTCCCCAGTTGCAACTTAGGACCAACCAGAGAAAGCCAAATACGCATCCCTAGTCAATCACAGGAGACGCATGGCCTTCTAGTTAGCTGTCTCAGCTTCCTTGTGCGCACAGCCTCCAATCAGGGCACACGTGAAGCTTTCCCTTGTCTCCACTCCCCTGCCTGCCTTTGAGTCTCTGCCAAACCAATGTGATGGTGGTGATCCCCTAGCTATAGCAAGCTCTGAATAAATTGCCTTAGCTTGTTCTCCTTTGGTTGGTCTTTGTGTATCTCCACACCACTCAGGTAAAAGTAAATGTCTTTAGATGGTCTACAAAGCTGTATGTGATCTAACCCAGGGGTCCCCAACCCCCAGGCCGTGTGGGGGTTAGGAAACGGGACACACAGCTGGAGATGAGTGAGCATTACCGCCTGGGCTCGGCCTCCTATTAGATCAGCAGTGGCATTAGATTCTCACGGAAGCGTGAACACTGCTGTGAACTGCACGTGCAAGTTATCAGGCCTCTGAGCCCAAGCTAAGCCATCATATCCCCTGTGATCTGCACGTATACATCCAGATGGCCTGAAGCTAGTGAAGAATCACAGAAGAAGTGAAAATGGCCAGTTCCTGCCTTAACTGATGACACTACCTTGTGAAATTCCTTCTCCTGGCTCAGAAGCCCCCCACTGAGCACCTTGTGACCCCCCGCCCCCGCCCCGCCCCTGCCCACCAGAGAACAACCCTCTTTGACTGTAATTTTCCACTACCTACTCAAATCCTATAAAACGGCCCCACCCCTATCTCCCTTCGCTGACTCTCTTTTCGGACTCAGCCTGCCTGCACCCAGGTGATTAAAAAAGCTTTATTGCTCACACAAAGCCTGTTTGGTTGTCTCTTCACAGGACACGTGTGACACAAGGGATCTAGGTTGTGTACTCCTTATGAGAATCTAATGCCTGATGATCTGAGGTGGAGCCGTTTCATCCCAAAACCACCCCTGCATCCCCCTTACCCCACTTCCCACTGTCTATGGAAAAATTGTCTTTCAGGAGACTGTTCCCTGGTGCCAAAAAGGTTGGGGACTGCTGATCTAATGGCCTGCTAGCTGTGTGCCCTTAGTGAGGGAGGGATGAATGAATGAAGAAAGGAAGGGAGGAGAGAATTCTGACTGTAGGTCAGACTGGATGTGGGTTGGAAATAGAAGGACATCATCTGAATTTGTGTGATGCCTTTGCTGGTCCCTGGATTGTGGGGTTGAGAGCTACAGGACTGCATCCAGGCTTAAGGGAAGGATGGTCGTGATTGATTCATTAGCAATGCTGGCAGGAGCAAGAGGTGTGAGGGTGCAGCACACCTACTGTATCCGCTGACTGTTAGAGATCTTCACTCACAAGGAACACCTGCCAAGCGCTCATCCTGCAGTGGGTCTTGGGACTACCTCAGTGAACAAAACAAAGATCCCTCCCCTCGAGGAGTTGCCCGGGCTGTGGCTCCTGCCCTCCCTGTCGGTCGGGGGGTGGTGTTGCATGGGCCAGAGCGACAGTGACAACAGCAGGAAAAACAGGAACAGTTTGGCTTTACAATAGGGACCCGGCGGCTCATCTGAATAGACATTTCACAAAGGAGTCTTTACAGACACTTGGGGCTGCTTGGAAGTTTTCCAGGAGGATGGCAGGGAACAGCAGGTATTTTTAAATTTTCGATTTTAGTGTTCTCATTCACACAATAACCTTAAAAAACTGTTTTAATGACAAAGCTTCTCTATATCGATGTTAAAGTGTAATTGTAATAGGCACTTTAATAGCCTAAAATTTCTCCTTTTCCTATCTAGAATCCTCAGTCATGCTCTATGCATCTTTGAAAAACTTTTTAAGTGGAACTGGGCTGGGTTTGAAGGCTGTGGGTGTAATTAATCAGATGTCCTGGGGTGTAGCAGTTTCAAATTTAGCTGAACATTCAAATCAACTGGGCAGCTTTTAACAAGCTGTACCCCCAAGATCAATGACATCAGAATCTCTCCGGGAATTTTGTAAAGCTTCCTGGTGGATTCTGATGTGTAGGTGGGGGTCAAGAACCTCTGTCCTGTGGGGTGTGGGGTGGGAGAAAGGGATCTCACACTATCCCAGTGCCTGGAACAGTGCCTGGCACACACAAAAAAGGTGCTTGGTAAGTTTCTGTTGACTGAAGAGTAATCAGGCTGGGAGGTAAAGGATTTGATTTTAGAACTCTCTTCTAAAAGATCATGAAGCTGGATCTGTTCTGCAGGAACAAGTGTTGTCATTAATTGGCTGTACCTAGAAGGGAGCAGAAGACCATTATGGCATCTGCCCCCAGCCCCATCTCCAGCTCAAGGTACCCTAAAGGCCCAAGCATTCATCCCTTGAGCATCTCTCACAGGTGTTCAGAAGTGCTCTGGGGCTTGTGAATATCCTAGGTGTGTCCTCTCTCAGCCAGGAGCCCATGAACAGGTGAAGCCAACAAACACAATCAAAGAAGGGATTCCACTAACTCGCTGGGGTAGCCAGCTCAGGCGGGCTGTCCCGTGCCCCCTCCAACACGACAGTGCAGGAAATGGGCCCTCACTGCAGCTGCTGCTTCCCGGCACTCCTGGACACACCCCACCCCTGCACACTTGCACATCCCAACACACACCACCCCCCAGAGTGTTCCTGTCCCACAGTGCATTTGCAAGGGCACTTTCTAGGCCCCAGTGCACCCCTAACACCATGTCAGGAGGGATCAACCTCTGCCCCTCCGACCAGACTCCTCTCCTTCCCTTCACCTCCCCCATTCAGTTCCCTTCTCTTTTTATCCCACAATAGCCCTGAGTGTGGGCTAGGGATAAACGGGCATCCTGGGGCCCAGACCCCGGCCTTACCTGCAGCACAGTTCTGTGTTGATTACTCCTGTCCCTCAGATTGATGAGACGGTGGGGAGACATTTTACTTGTGCATTGAAAAGAAAAACCACGAGGTTACCTGGTGGACCCGTTTGCGGCCACAGTGCCGCCGTGGGGATTGGAGGCCAGAAGGGAGGCGCGTCGGTAAGGAGGCAAGGCGGGAACCGGCACAGGACACACGCGGGACACGCACTCCAAGGCCAGGCGCACAGGGAGTCTGCTGGGGCCTGGAGGGACCTTCGTCCTAGCCTGGCGTGGCAGGAGTGTGCCCACAGGGCAAGATCCATCTAGCAGCCCACTAGGGATGGCCACCCTGTGCTATATAGGGCGGTTTGTGGTGAGCAGAACGGCCCCCTCGGGATGCCACCCCCTAATCCCCAGAACCATGACTGTGTTACCCTACTAGTGGCACAGGGGACTTCGCAGATGTGATTAGGGTTCTTGACAATACAAGAAAGGATGATCCTGGGTTATCTGGGTGGCCCAGTCTAATCCCATGAGCCCTTAAAAGCAGAAAACATTCTCCAGCTGCAGGCGGAGGGATTCGAAGCGTGAGGAGGGCTTGACCTGCTGTTGCTGGAGGGGCAGTGTGGAGAGTTCAGGCAGAAACGCGGCAGGCCCCAGGAGCGCAGAACAGCCGGGGCTCACGGCCATCGAGGATTGGGAACCTCAGCCCTGTAAGCCCAAGGAACTGGATTCAGCCGACCACCAAGTGAGCGGGGCAGGGTTCTGCTTCAGAGCCTACAGGAAGCAGCTCCGCCCCGCCGACACTGCCCGCTCAACCTTGTGAGGCACGAGGCTGGGACCTCCCTGCGCCCACCTGGACTCCTGGCTACAGCACTGTGAGATAACAAGGCCCTGTTGTTTGAAACGGCTAAGTTTACGGTGACTTGTTACCGCAGCAACGGAAGATACAAGGTGATGCCACAACACAAAAGAAGGGACAAAGTCAATAAAAATCAAACAAAGAACCCAAGCAGAAGCGTAATCTTGCAACAGGCGAGAGCTGCACCCGGAAGCAAGGATGGAACGGGAGCGGCCCCATTGATCAATGGCCTCCCGGTAGGCCCGGCCCTGTCCTCCACAGCGACCACCAGCGGCTGCTGCATTGGAAGGCGCTGGCATTTAGAGGGGAGGGTCCAAGCGCCTTGCATGGGGCCTTCGAACAGCCTGCTGGGGAGAGGGCGCTCTCTACTCTCCCCATTGTTTAGAATCCCCACCCCCGGTCCCGCACGGAGGCCTCTTTCCCCAAGTAAACCCAGGGCTGCAGTCCTCACAGAAAAATGGAAAGAAACACATCTGCCCAGCAGGGCTGGAACTCCACCATGCAAGAGTAACAGCTGGGGCTGTAGGTTGCAGAGGGTCCCTGGGCCTCCATCTCACCTGCCCCTCAGCCTGGGCCTGCTGAGCAGAGATCCAGTCTCCCTGCCCTGCCACACACCACGGCTCCTAACGCTTGATCAAATGAATGAGAATACACCTTCAGCTGCTGGTGCTGGGGGCTGGGACCTCTGCCCCTACATTGAGCAGATACAATCCAGGATGCTCAGTTCAGTTGGAATTTAAGATAATTGTTTTAATTTTAAGTATGTCCCAAGTAATATTTAGGGCATACTAAAGAAATTATTCTCTGTTCATTTGAAATTTAAGTTTACCTGGATACTCTGTATTTTACCTGACAACCCCAGTCAAGGCCTCTCCCCGACTGCCTCCAGGGAGGACAGTCACCCTTTCCTGGGTCACCCAGGGCCCCCTCCAGGGTGCAGCTGACCATGCAGGTGCCTGCCACCTGCAGCACCCACCCCACCCCAGACTTGCTGCTAAGGCCACTCTGGATCTCCCGAAGCCCAGAGTCCCAAATATAGCCCCTGTGCCGTGAAATCACCTGGAAACGTAAAGAAGTCCTGCCAACCTGGTGGGCGCCACCCCAGGGACTCAGATTTCAGTGGTCTGGAGGCAGCCCCAGCACTGGAAATTTTAGAAGCTTCTCAGGGGCTCCAATGTGCAGTCAAGTTCCAGCCCCTGTCTCCAAAGAGGCTGCCCTGACTCAGACTGTCTAGGGGGAAAGTTTAAAGTGAGAAGAGGGTACCTTGTGGTTAGTGGGCTCCAGGATCTCTGAGCTTGAGTTCGAATCCTGCATCTGTCAGTTGCTAGTTGTGTGGCCTCAGGCATGTTAGCTCTCAGCTCTAAGCTTTGGTCTCTTCCTCCGCCCTCAGAGAACTGCCGAGAACATCAATTGAGACAGAAGCGCTTCAGGTGTGGCCCCTGGACCAGCAGCATCCACCTCACCTGGGAACATGTTGGAAATGCAAGTTCTCCCCCTCCCCAGATCTCCTAAATCAGATCCTCAGGGGCGAGGCCAGCACGCTGTGTTTGAACAAACCCTCGCACTGATTCAGACGCATGCTCTGCCACAGGCACAAGGTGACAGGTGTCAAGGGAACACAGAAAGACAGAGAGACGAAGGGGAGCTACTGGCAGTACCAACAGCCAAGACCTGGGGCCCTCTCCTCCTGCCTCCAGGAGGCCTGATTTTCCCTTCCCTGCCTCCCTGCAGAAGTTCAAGGCTGTTCTTTATGAAAGAACTTACAGGTGGCCTCAGGCCCCCTGTTGAAGGTCATGGTATCTTCCCTCTTGTCCTTTCCCAGTCCAGGAGCACTCGGCCGTGACCCCCGAGAGATCCATGCCCTGTCATGCGCCTGCCTCTCAGCCTCTCCCCAGGCTAACTGCTGCAGTGCCAAGGAGGGCCCTGCCCTTTGCCTCTGTGCCCCCATTGCCAGGGTTTCCTGTTCAGCTGTGAAGGGCTCCCTCGATTGCTCCAGAGTCTGGAATTTGGGAACACTTCAAGCAGAAAGTTTATAATTCACCTCCCAATTCTTTCAGCCCTGTGAACTGCCTACTGCTTGAAAAACAAAAAACATCAAGTGACTGCTGATTATGGACTAGAACAGAAATCATGCAAATATTCTTACTTTGGCTAAGTTAAAATAGATTCCAAGGCACAGGCTTTGGCATGGCAGAAGCCAGGGCCCTCCATCCAGATTGGCTGTACCAGGTGACTTCCCTGAGCCCGCAGTTTTCTCACTGAAAATAATAATAATTGCTATTACTGTTATCAGCATAATAGCAGAATTTGTAAGCCCTTTGTCCTTCCAGCCTCTCTCAGAGGTAGGGTGGGGCAGCAGTTCTCTCACTGCTCATTAGAATCCCCTGGGGAGGTTTTAAAATGCAGATTCCCAGGCTACACTGGGACCAAGAGAGCCCCAGGATGGCCCAGCCGTCTGCATTTCTTCAAGCCCTCCTCTGTCCTTGGGTGGGACTATTGCCCACTGGCCTGTGTTTTCGTTCCTTGGAAATGGCCCCTCAGTTTTTTTTATGGGGACCCTACCCACTTCCCTCAGACACACGCACCTCAGGGTGTGACACAGGCCAGGTGGTCAGAGTCAACTCCAGGGGCTTGCAGGCCTTGGCCCTCACACTTGGGTTACATAAACCACTGCAAAGAACTTAACCGAAGCCAACATATGGCAAATTTTAAAACTATTAACTTCATTTAAGGAAAATAAACAACAACAATAGAGCCAGGTTGTCATGAATTGGAAGCAGATGCGTGGGGCTCTTTGTAGACTGCCTGCTCCCAACAAGATCATCCCTCTTCCCTCCCCATTCCCCTTCCCTGGTGCAAGCAGAGCTGCATCCTTAAGGAGGCTGGGCTCAGCCTGCCAGAGGTGGAGAGCCTCTGGACTCAGGAACCTCCGCCTGCCTCAATTTCCTCGTAATCACAGAACATCTGCTGCATGGAGCCTGCCCTGCATCCCTGGGGCCTGGCAGGGCCGTTAGTTACCATCTCATCTGGCAATGTCACAAACATCCTCATTCTCACTGTTGCAGCTGGTGTGAAGGGCTTGGGGACCTGGTGAGGGCTGGGCTGGCACCCAGGCCCCCTCCTGCCCCTGCAGCCCCAGCCGCTTGGGTCTGAAGCTGCAACTCTGAGTGGTGACATTTTGGCACCAGCCAGGGCCAAGAGCAGACACTTTGGTGACAGAGGAAAGGTTACGGCTCTGATGTTGGCTTTTTGAATTTTCTTTCTGGGCTCTCTTAGCTCTTGTCTGGTTTCTGGCTTTGGCGATTGGTTCTTCATGAGGTCTCTGGAGATGGCTTCTCTTCCTTCCCATGTGGCCTGTAAAATAGGCCTGGGCAGCCTCTTCATCCCAGCCCCTTCCCCTCCTTTCTCTTGATGTTGCCAGTCCTTACCCCCCAGGAGATGAGGCCTGCAGGTTGTGCGGGGTGGGCAGCCCCCGTGGTTGTGCAGCCTGCTGTGCTCAGACAGCCCATGCTTAGTTTAATGCTCTGCTGTCCTGTCTTCAAAATCTTCATACTTTGGGAGGAAGGGGGCAGGCATTTTCACGTGGCCCCGGGCGTGCAAATTCTGCAGCTGCCCTGAGAGATGAATCCATAAGCGAGGATAGAACGGGGGCGGCCCTATTGACTGAGGAGGAAGATTTCTTCTCCTCCCCTGGAGGGCAGAGGTCAGGGTGCACCACAGCCTGATGAAGCCATGCGAAGATGACCAGGACTGCTTGGAGTAGGGTGTCAGCCTCGGGTCCCCAAAACCCACTCCCGCCCCCTCCGAGGACTGACTAGTCAGGAGCGCAGGGGCTCGGATGGCCTTCATGGGGAAGACAGGTCAAATCCTCCTTCTTTCTCTTCATTGATCACTTTTCAAAATCATAAGTTGGTTCCCTGACATCCTCCAGCAGTGACCGATAGTGTCACTATGAACTCCTAAATGTAAACATATTGGATGAGTTTTGATCTATTTCGGTGAATCCATGGCAACGTATAGACCTATTATATATCCTCTTTCAAACATATAGATAAAATAACAATTCAAAACTTAAATACTGATTGGATATTTCATGATATTAATAATTTTTAATATTTTAGCTGTTAATAGTAACATGTGTGACCACCCTTATTTGGCAGATTTCTTATTTTTTAGTGCCATGTATTGGAATATTTATGGGTTAAATAAAAACAAAAAACAAAACTGCAACACATCTCCTGGGACCCCAGCCTCGGCCTCGGGAACCGGGTATTCTTGTGAGATGTTGGCCTTGGCACAGGGAGGCTGTAAGGTCCCTTCCTTGAAACCCTGGGGATTTGGGGGACATGTGACTTTTGAGCACTCAAGGCTCATCTCCTGCCAAAGCACAGGTGGGTGGGGGCTGTAGAGGATGGGAGACTTGGGGACACCGGGTCCCAGCACCCCTTTAGTGGCAGAGAAGAAGCTGGGCAGGCCTTGCTGGCAAAGCAGATAGGAACCTTGAAGGCCCTGGGCTGTGTCAGATGGGGCAGAAGGAGGAAGAAGGAGGAGGGAGACAGAGGAAGGGAGCAGGGCCATCATGCTGGGCCCAGTGTGGGGTTGAGTTCCAGAAGATAAAGTCAGCGGGGTAATACAAGAGCCAGGGGTAGAGGGCTAAGGACAACCTAGGCTGAGACAGTCACACCAGGGCTCTGGGGTCCCAGGGTCTTCCAGGTCTGGAGAAGGTGGATTTGGAACAGCAGAAGAAGGTGTTCTTTGAAATTCCCACATGGTTTGAGCACAGACCCCTGTGGAGTAAGCTGGCCTTCATTCAGAGGTCCACTAAGACACCAGGGTGTCATCTTTTCTTTCATTCCTTCATTCGTTCAACCAAGCAACAGATATTTATTGGATGCTGTATTAGTCCCTCCACACACTGCTATAAAGGAATACCTGAAACTGGGTACTTTATAAAGAAAAGAGGTTTAACCGGCTCATAGTTCTGTGGGCTGTATAGGCTTCTGCTTCTGGGGAGGCCTCAGGAAACTGACAGTCATGGCAGAAGGTGAGGAGGAAGCAGGCATGGTCTTCACATGGCCAGGGCAAGGCAGGAGAGAGAGAGAGAGAAAGGGAGAGCACAAGAGAGCACAGGGGGAGAGGCTACACACTTTCAAACAACCAAATCTTCTGAGAACTCTATCATGAGAACAGCAAGGGGGAAGTCTCCCAATGTTTCAATCACCCCCACCAGGTCCTCCCTCCAATACTGGGAATTACAATTCAACACAAGATTTGGGTGGGGACACAGAACCAAGCCATATCAGATGCATATTGTATGCCAGGCACTACCTTTGGCCCAATGGATATAGATGTGAACTAGGCTACCATTGCACCTGTCATGATATTTACATGGCTTTTGGGAAGCCAGACATTAACTGAGGAGTCACAAAAGTAAATGCATGCTCAGAACCATGCATCTAAGAAACGGAAAGAACAGAGAGATCCTGTGCACTTCCAGAGGCCATGGGGAGCATGGCCTCTGTGAAGAAGCTGCAGGTGGCTGGTTTGGCTGGTCTCAAGGCCATGCCTAGGGGTCACAAGGTGTTGCTGTTGATCTGCCCCAGGGCCAGATACTGGGACTTGGGTACAATTAAAGCTGGCCCTTGAGGAGCTCCCAGTCTGGAAGGGGAGACAGATGGACAGTCCCAGATGATGGTCTGAGACATGGATCTGCAGAGGGTGGCACAAGAGCAATCGGTGATGGGTTAGGAGAGACCTCCAGGACAAGATGATACCAGAATAGTTGTAGAGGGAAGATCACAGGAAGGGTTCATGGCAGAGGCCAGCTCTGGGTGTATTAGTCCATTTTCCCCTGCTATAAAGAACTGCCCAAGACTAGGTAATTTATAAGGGAAAGAGGTTTAATTGACTCACAGTTCAGCATGGCTGGGGAAGCCTCAGGAAACTTGCAATCGTGGCAGAAGGCAAAGGGGAAGCAAGGCACCTTCTTCACAAGGCAGCAGGAAGGAGAAGTACAGGTTGAAGGGGGAAGAGCCCCTTATAAAACCATCAGATCTCATAAGAACTCACTCACTATCATGAGAACAGCATGGGGAAAGCTGCCCCATGACTCAATTACCTTCACCTACTCTCTTCCTTGACATGTGGGGATTATGGGGATTACAATTCAAGATGAGATCTGGGTGGGGACACAGAGTGTAACCATATCACGAGGCAATAAAGAGGCCAGACAACAAACACTAGCCAGTCCAAGGGCCACCTCCTCAGGTAGAGGGAGGACCAGGTGCCTCCACTAGTGCTGGGGGTGGGGGACACCAAATGGGGCCTGAGCTGGGAGTGGCCAAGCTCCCAAGGTGGAAGACACACCCCTCCCAATGAGACTAGTCTTGCACGGGCTGACTCTGGGACTCTGAATCCCAGACAGGTGTGAACTGCCATGTCCCTGCCTGGAGATTTCTTGCTAAAAATCCCCTGGCTTTTGAGAGGTCCCTGATCATGGCCAGGTGGCCCTAGGAGAGAGAACAATGGCTCTGAGATTAGGCTGACCTAATGCAAATCCCAGCCTAGACCCTTGGTAGCTGTGCGACCTTGAACAAGTTACTTCAAGGAGAGGGACTTCATCTTTCTCATTTACTCTTGTATCTTTAGGGCCAGGAATGTAATAGATACTCAATAAACATTTATGAAATCAATGGTGATCTCTCCCAGTCTTGTTTCCCCATCTGCAAAAAATAAAACCAGGACCTTTCTCAACCAGAAGGCCATCTCCAGGCCTGGCCTTCGGAGGCAACAGGCAACAGTGGATGCTAACACAACCACTCTTCTCTGGATTAGGGGCAAAGAAGACACACTCGATTTGGCTCCATGGGAAAGATGCTTGTGGTGAGGCTGCTTTGGGCATCAGTTTCCATAAGAAATGGGATCTGTGAAGATGGCTTGTTCTTTTGTTTTTTGAGACAGTCGTGCTCTGTCATCCAGGCTGGAGTGCAGTGGTGTAATCCTAGCTCACTGCAGCCTCAAACTCCTGGACTCAAACAATCCCCTCACCTTAGCCTCCTGAATAGCTGAGAGTCCAGGCACACACCACCATGCCCAGCTAATTTTTTACTTTTTTGTAGAGATGGGGTCTTGCTATGTTGTCCAGGTTGGTCTCAAACTCCTGACCTCAGGTGATCCTCCTGCCTTGGCCTCCCAAAGTGCTGGAATTACAGACATGAGCCACCACGACTGGCCCAGATGGCATCTTTGGCTGCCTTTGTCATTATCATTCATGATAAATCTTCAATCATCATCAATTACAATGTCACGAGGTCACTGTACATTTAGCTACATCTGTATGCACATCTCTATCTGCACCCATATCCATATCAGTGTCTGCATCTCTACACATGTTCATATCCATTTTGTGGGGGGTGGATAGTGGCCTCCCAAAAGATACGTCCACGTTTTGAGCCCTGGAACCTAGGAACCTGGCCCACAGTGGTGAAGATGCCTGGGCTTTGAAAAGCAGCACCCTGTTCTCCTCTGGCTTGTGCCATCTCAGCACACTCAGTTCACTCACGTCCCTCAGCACGGTGCACAGAGCCTGGCCCGCCGTGCCCTCCTGTTCATGCCTCAGCTTGTTCCTTCCTCAGCACCTTTGCACGTGCTTTGCCCTCTGCCTGAGAGGCTCCTCCCAGACCCTCGTGAGGCACTCACTCTGGGGACTTGGGCCTCAGACCGTCTTTGACATGCACCCCCCGCTCCCTCCCAGAGATTTTTAATATCACATTGACTTGTTTTGTTATTTTTTTCCAGAGCATTAACACTCTGGGCTGTCTCCTTCTTTGTTTTGGTATTGATTGTCTCCCCATCTGCATGCCAGTGCCCCATGAGCAGTGACACTGTGGTCTTATTTCCCCGTTGTGGCCCAAGCTTCTAGCATGGAACCAAGCACACAGTAGGTGCTCAAGGAATATTCAAAATGCTGCCTGGCTGGAGTGGCTCCACTTCTAATTCCTCCATGTTTCCTTCTGTAGGATGGGGACACAGGCGCCCTTGCCACCTTGGCAGTGTGGGAAGGCAGGGAGATGGCAAAGGAGAAGGGCCTGGGGCGGTGTCCGGCTCTGCGTATGGGACGGTGCACTCTGCACCTCCCTGGGGACCACGTGTCTCAGGTTGATCTTGAACATTTGCCAGCAGCGCCGACCCACCCTCCCTGGGGCTCCCATCCACTGCGCTTGCGTTTACACCCCGTTGTTTCTTTTAATGAGCATCCTGCTTCAACTCACCTGTGCTGGGAGATGAAGCAGACTCTGTGACTAAGAAATTGATTTGCGGGCCTTGCAGTAATAGCAAAAACTATTTTAAACGTACATGAGGCACGGTTAGTTAGCTGGAAACTGTTAAGGCTCCCAGCAGGGGCTTGCATTGAGCTTCCCATTGACGCATCTCGGTGTTAACGCAAAATAGGCTGTCAGATGCGTGTGGGGGTGGAGGGCAGGCTGAAGCCCAGCCTTCAGGATCAGACACAGCCCACGACCACGATGGGAGCCACAGATGCTGCCAGCTTTCAGGGGGTGGATGAAGAAAGTCCATGAGCTTGAGGGGGGTCTGCATCCTGTTTCCCAGGAGCTGAAGCCAAGGCTGACTCCAAGATGCTCTGTGCATCTCAAAACCCAGCCCTCAGAGCCATGAGCTGTACCAGCACCTCCATATCTGTTCCCGTCGAAGGGGAGGGTATCACCATCGCCCGAGTCACCCACATCACAAGCCCAGGCCCCATCTCGGACCCCTCCACCATGTTCTGCCAGTGTGGTGTCCACTGCTCTTCCTTTGCACCCCACTGCCTCATCTCAGACCTGGATGATGGCCACAGCCTTTTAGTTCCAGATGCCAGGGTCTTTCCCTGCAGCCCAGCATCCCCACCTTAACCCGAGCCTTTGTTCTAAACCATGGATCAAAGCCTGTCACTACATTGCCTTTGGAACACAGCTGAAAAGCTCTGGACTCACACTGCCTGGCTACCCTGGCTCTGCCACTTTCTCGCTGTGTGACAATGCATAGTTGCTTCACTTCTCTGTGCCTTAGCTTCCTCCCCTGCAAAACAGATATGACAACGACAGTCGATCACTGTATCAGCCAGGGCATGGGCAGGAGATGGTGAAAATGGAGGGGAATTGAGAACAGGGACAGTTTATAAAGGTGTGGGCCGAGGGGGTCACACTGGTCACGGGCAAGTCCATGTGCAGCTTCTTCAGCGAGATCTCACACTCCATCACACTGGAGGAGCTGCCATGCAGGGACCACATCCTCAAGCTCTGCCAGGACATCTTCCTGGCGTGCGAGACCCATGAGCTGGAGCTGGAGGAGGAGCTGTCTGCCAAGCTCATCTTCCTCTATCGCTCACTGGAGACCATGATCAAGTGGACTCGTGAGGAGTAGGAGCTGCTGCTGGCACCCTAGAGGGAAGGGAGCCGGCCTGCTGGGCAGCACGGCCACACAGGGGGTGGCACTCCTCAGGCTGGAGGAGCTGCTGCCCCGTCCAAGGCCACCAGCTCTGATATGTCCTCCCGGCCTGCCTGAACCCTGATGCTGCTGTCAGAGGACACTGTGTCCCCACGGCCTGATTGGTGCTATAGTCCCTGCCCTCCCCCATGCAAACTGTAGAGTTTTTAAAATTACAAATGTTTTATTTATATAATTGGAAAGAAAAATTGTGTGTGCCCAGATCAGGTGGGAGGACATGACCACCTTCGTGCCAGATGGGGCAAAAGGAAGGAATGCTTACTGGAATCTGATGTCAGCACCAGTGACCTGAGGGCTAGCAGAGGGCTGCCATTGACACTTAGATCCTTATTTGGGGGGACCAGGGGGATAAACAACCAACCTCAGTCTCTTCTCCCTGGCTGAGCTCCTGCTGAGGGTCCCTATAGGCTGAACCCCCGGAGAAGCCTGAGTGTAGGGGAGCCTGTGGCGAAGGTGAAGGTGAAGCCACAAAGAAGCTGGAACAACAAGAAAGCAGGAAGCGTGAGTCAGGGAGGAGAAGGACAAGGAGAAGATGGGAATCCGGGTGAGGCTGTGTGTGAGGAGGAAGGAGGTCCTGCAGCAGGGGCTGTGGCATCCTCAGGCAGACATTAGTGTAAAGGGGGTGAGACTGTGAGTGAGGAGGAAGGTCCTGCAGCAAGGGCTGCGGCGTCCTCAGGCAGACATTAGAGTAAAGGGCCTCCACCACCTGCTGCCTCCACCCCCAAGTCCTCTCCTGTGGTTCCTGCCCTTCCTGGGATCTGGTGGTTGAGATTTTTCTTGGCTCCTGGGGCACACATTTTCGTGACAACCTCTGTATTGGCGAGGGCTCTTTAGTTGCAAAGAAATCCACACTGGCTTGAGCCAAAGGAGGAATGGTTGGCTCATGTAACCGGCAAACCAAAGCGTGCTGACTTGAGGCATGGCTGGATCTAGGTGGTTGAAATATGAGGAATCTGACATTCATTCTCCACCTCTCAGTGCTGTGTTCTGTATTTGTGTCTGTATTTGCTACCTAATGCTTTGCAACAAATAACCACAAAATTGAGCTGCCTAAAACAACAATAAACATGTATTATCTCACAGTGTTTGTGGGTCAGGAGTTTAGAAGTGGTGTAGTGGTTTGAGGTTTCTTATGAGACTGTAGTCAAGATAGTAACCAGGCCTGCAGTTATCTAAAGATTTTGCTGGAGCTGAGGAATCTGTTTCCAAAAGGGCTCACTCCCATGGCTATTGGCAGGAGGCCCCAGTTCCTTTCCATGTGGATATCGCCACACAGCTGCTTGAGTGACCTCCCAACATGGCCACAGGGTTTTCCCAGACAGACAGAGAGATCCAAGACATCAGGGTAAAGGCTGCAAGTCTTTAATGAACTAGCCTGAAAGTCACACTCCGTCATTCCTGCAACCTTCTATGGTAACACAGGCCAGCCTTATCCAAGGTGGGAGGGGACTACATAAGGACATGAATACTAGGAGGTGAGACTCATGAGGGGACATCTTGAAGACTATAACCACAGCTTCTTTCTCAGGCCTTGCAGAAAAGCAGTTCCAGACTGCCATCCCAGCAGGAGAAAAGGAGAACCTTCCCAATAATCTCAGCAAAATTCCCAGACCTGATCTCACTGGCCTGAATTTGGTCACATGCCCATCACTAACCAAATGACTGTGACTCTGATTGGCCAGGCTGAGTCACATGCTTACCCACTAGGTCAGGGAGGAGGAAGGGTAAACCCCATGGCAGTCATGTGGACTGAGAGTGAGTGTGGGCTCTTCCCCGAGGTGGAATAAGTTGCTGCTACCAGTGAAGGGTGCCTAGATGCTGAGCAGACAAGGAAATAGAGGGGTTTCTCCACAAATGCAAAAGCCTCTGTCCTCTGGGGAGGTGTCGCTGGAGGAGTAGGCAGAGGACCTAAGATATGAAAGATGAAGGATGGGAGTCTAGAAAGAAGGACAGGATTGCCAGCAGACTCGGGGAAAGCAATAAGAATTTGCATTTTGGGCTGGGTGCGGTGGTTCACACCTGTAATGCTAGCACTTTGGGAAGCCAAGGAGGGTAGATCATTTGAAGTCAGGAGTTCAAGACCAGCCTGGCCAACACGGTGAAACCCCATCTCTACTAAAAAGACAAACATTAGCCAGGCATGGTGGGGGGTGCCCGTAATCCCTGCTACTCGGGAGGCTGAGGCAGGAGAATTGCTTGAACCCAGGAGACAGAGGTTGCAGTGAGCCAAGATCACACCACTGCACTCCAGCCTAGGCGACAGAGAGAGACTCTGTTTCAAAAAAAAAAAAATGTACATCCTGGGTTTTCTTACCACCAGTTCCATGAGCCAATCACCTCCCAGCGCCCCAGTCCCAGGCAACTACATGTCCAGCACATCCCTCTTCTCAGAGCAAAGGCCAGTGAAGAAGTAGTGTGTTCTTAGTACCCTACTGCCCATCCTGAAGGAACAATAATTTAGAATTCATTTTCTGGCCAAAGCACATTCCTAAACAGAGGTCAGGCCGTGTGTGGTGATATTAATCCTGGTAACTGATAGAGTGACAGCTAAGAGCTTAGGCTGTGGTTTTAGCAACCTTATGTCCTGGTTCTGCTACACACCAGCTGTGGAACCTTCACAAAGTCTTTCCCCCAGTTCCTCTTACCCTCAGTTTCCTCATCTGTGAAAGGGGGGATAATAATTGGACCAATCCCACAAAGGTGATGTGGGCATTGAATGATCCAAGGGAAGTGCCTGGACGGAGCAGGTGCTGAATGAGCATTAGCTCTGATGGGGTCTTACACTTTCTATTTCTGGACAAAGGCAAACCTTTCCACAGTACTGCCTCCTAGCTAAGAGTACGTGCTAAGAGGCTTGTCAAGCCATAGAAAACCATCTCTGCCACTTCCAGCTAGCTAGATCTTTCTGTGCCTCAGTTTCTGTATCTGTACGATGGGCATAATACCACCTCCACTTGGTAGTGAGGATTAGGAAAGATGATGCGTACAAATCATCTATCTCTGTGGTTAACTAACAACATAAGCCACTAAATAAACAGCAGTTGTAGTCACTAACTAAACTGCATAGAGGTTAGGAGCTGGGACTCTGGAGCTGGACTGCCTGAGCTCCAGTCCCAGCTGTGTGACTTCCCAGCTGTGTGACTTTGGCAAATTACCCACTCTTTCTGAACCTCAGTTTTCCAACCTGTGAGACAAACACTTGTCAGGGCCATTGTGAGCATCCCGTGAGCTGCCAGGCAGCCTGGACGCAGGAGCCATGGCATTGTTCACCGCCCGTTGGAGGGTTATTGGGTTTGCCACTATATGTGTTGATTGGGTGCCGGGTGGTGTAGTCGAGATGGAATCACCATAATTTTCATTCACAAAATTCAGGTAACTGCTTGAAATAGACTCCATTTGGGGCCTGCCCTGGGATAATTACATAACGTGCCACTTAATAGTAATCAGTGAAGAACTAATTAAAGCAGGCGTTTCTCTGACAGCCATCACAGATTGCTCAAGAGAGCAGGTGAGAGCAAAGCTGAACCGCTCCTGAAGCTTCTCTGTGCTGTCAGCCCGCGGGCGGAGGCCCAGGGAGCCGGGCTGGGAGTGGCCGGGAAGGGCCCCCGAGCTTTTGTTCTCTCCAACTTGTATCTCCAAGCTTCCATGGAGACAGAGAAAAGGGGTCGTGAGGAGCAGCGGGTGTGGGGCCTGGAAGCCCCCAGGGTTCTGTTGGGCCATGGGGGGCCTGGGTGAGAGTCTCGCTCTAGACTGGAGGGACACCCCCAGCAGGCTGGGCCCGCTCCTCTCTCTGAGCTGCATCTCTCAGGGTAGGTTGGCAACGAGAAGGGGAGCTCGCAGAGATGTCACAAGGCTGAATGGGACAACACCCGGACCACAGGTGGGGGAAGCCCCCGAGACAGGACCACGCAGCCACTTGCTGGCAGTGTGAAGGGGCGTGTCGGCATGGCAGGCACAGCCTGTGGGCTTGCTGGAGCCAGGTATGACCACAGATTACTTTGTGAATGCCCCACCACTGCCCCTCCGGGGCTGAGGCTCTAGGAGCTCAGAGAGGCAGCTTGGCCTGCCTGAGACCTCAGAGCTGGGACTTGGTCAGGGGTGACACAGACCCACAGGAGAGTCGGGCCTTCTGGAATTTTCCAAACCAAATAGCATGCAAGTTTCTGTAGTGGTGGTGGAGAAGGGTGCTGGGGAGAGGTCAGTGTGAGTGGAGGTCCAGTCACAGTTCCCAGGACTGTAAAAGGCCAGGACAAACCAAAACTCGGATATGCCGAGTAAGTGCTGGCCCCGAGGGTGGAACTGGAGCAGGCAGCCAGTGTGGCTAAGCCTGAGAGGGGGTACTGCGGGCTCCTCAGACACAGATACTTCCCTCCCCACTGTCCCCACTGTCCCCACTGTCAGCAGTTCAGAAGCAATGAAAGCTGGGAAGAATGAGGGGGAAGAAATGGATGCAGTCGCCCACAGATAAGGGGGAGATGCTGAGGTTGCCCTGACCTCCTTGGATAAAGACCACACCACACTCATTTACACACCTGTTCACTTTTTGGGTGTAGGTGCCCTGAAGCCCCCAGAGAAAATTCTAGAGAAAATGCTGCTTTCCGACCAGAGAGGGTGCTGTTGCCTCACAAATGAGCTACCCAAGGATTTGGAAAAAAATTTCCTTGCCGTGATCCAAAGACTGAGAAGTTTCTGTCCATAAACAGCCCTGAAATGGCCTGAATCCTGCCAAACCCTGGGCTTTTTTTCCTGCTAGTACCCATTTTCTATACTCCCACAGGTTGGGGTGAGGAGAGAGAATTATCAGAGCTAGGGAATATTGATGATAACTGCAATGGCTACAATGTCTCACTGCCCTGTAATACTTGCAGCAGTCTGAGACCTGACCTTGTGCCAGCTACCATGTATCACAGCCAGCCCAGTGCACTGTGTGCCAAAGCCTCACCCTGTGCTAGTGCTTTGCACACATTTCCTCTGATCTCACAGTCACCCCCGGGGGAGATAGGGTTGCCCACATGTTGCAGGACCTCAGTGCTACCAGTCACTTGCCTAAGGTCCCAGGTAAGTGAGTGAAAGTCAGTCAGAAAGCTGTCATTTGGACCTGGGTCCACTTGGCTCCAGAACAAGTGCCCTTTAACCACTTCACTATGTTATTTGGGAGCTACATGGCAGGTGGGCCCCAAGCTAGACAGTGGCACGTCTCCTCCCCAGCTGCACACCTTGTTCTGTTCCGGGGGACATGTGTCTGACTCCCGCAATTGGGGAGGAGATAGGCTGACATGGGCTGGATCTTAAGGCCTAAATACGAAAAGAAAACACATCTCTCCTCTCCTATCTTCCCCGGCCTGCTTTCAGTTGTTTCTGGTCTGCCTCTCCGGGCTGGGCTTCGAGGCTCTTCTCTCTGAAATGCCCTGGACGGGTCTGCAAGAGAGAGAACCCTTGGAGAGGATTCCATTAAACAATGATCTCTGGCCAGATGTTCTGTTTTTATGCCACATTTTTTCTTTTTCTTTTTTTTTCTTTTTTCTTTTTTTTTTTTTGAGACGGAGTCTCACTCTGTCGCCCAGGCTGGAGTGCAGTGGTGCCATCTCAGCTCACTGCAACCTCCATCTCCCAGGTTCAACCGATTCTCCTGCCTCAGCCTCCCAAGTAGCTGGGATTGCAGACATGTGCCACCATGCCCAACTAATTTTGTATTTTTAGTAGAGATGGGGTTTTACCATGTTGGCCAGGCTGGTCTCGAACTCCTGACCTCAGGTGATCCACCCACTCAGCCTCCCAAAGTGCTGGGATTACAGACATGAGCCACCACACCAGGCTTAAGCCACATTTTTGATGACCTGTGGAGGCCCCATTTCCCATTTTTAGGGAAAGGAAGGACTCACATTACTGAGAAAACTTGGTGTAGGCCACTGATTTACATGGCAGTCTTCCAAAGGAGGCTAAGGTCTGGGCCCCCTGGTTCAGCTGGGCCAGCAATGAGCAGCGTTCAAATCCCTGAGTCGGGCCGGGGAAGATAGGAGAGGAGAGATTTGTTTTCTTTTCACATTTATGCCTTAAAAAGAGAGAGAGACTGAGGGATGGAAAGTAGACAAGGAGGCCATGAGCACGACTCCTTGCAAGCCTGGGTTTATGGAAAAGCATATGTCAATTCAGTGTTCACAAAAACAGACTTTTTCCCCACTGTGGACTGCTCTGCCAGCTATCTAGTTCATTTCTTGGGGCTACTCTGAGTTCTTGTAAATGAAACCGATGGCGACCACCTGCAAAAATGAATGTAATTAGGCAAAATATGCTGATTTGACACCAGCTGGAATCAATTGGGCATACTGAAATCCCAAGAAGCTTAAGATGACTCTCAGGATGGAGTTTTTCTCATGACTTGACGTCTGTCCAGCGGTGTTCACTTAACCCCAAACAGGGTTGGTCAGCGGGGAGCCTGAGGCCAACATCCTGGAGCCCAAGAAGGCAGGCAAAATGGCAGCTGGGACCTCAACACAGCAGGGCCTCTCTGCGTCCCATAGGGCCTCCGCCGGCCTCTGCCCGGCACATTTGAAATGTGTACAGGAAACACATCTGTTCTGGATCCTTTTCCCCACTTCATCAGCTTTTCTCGATGTTTCTTATTGCAGCTGCAGAGCCAGCCCGCATAGAGGAAAACTGTGCACAGGTGGTTTCCATTTCTACTCTCTGCTGGTGATTTTTCAAGTCCTCACCCTCCTCTGTCCCCAGGCCTGACAAGGGCTGTCTGGGAGCTCTTCACACTGAGCTGCTGGCTTCAAGGGAGGGCTGCTCATGCTGGGTCTGCTTGGGATTCCTAATCAGAAAAGGGACCCTCCCTTCTTTTCTTGAGCTGAGCAACAAGACAATAGCGTATATGAATCTTAATCCAGTGGTTCTTAACTGGGGGGTGATTCTGCCCTCCAGGATGCTACTAAATATCCTGCAATGCACAGGACAGGCCACACCACAGGGAATTCCCCACCCCCCAAATGTCAATAATGCCAGAGTTAAGGAGTCCTGCTGTGAGCTGTTCAACCCATTCCCTACTGATGGACATGACACAGGGTTTTCAATCTTTTACTTTATAAACATTGCTGCAAAAACTAATTTTCAACCTAGGTTGTCCTGCCATCAGTAAAATGTACTCCAGTGTCTGCAGTGCGGTACCACTGAGGTGACCAGGAAGGAGCAGAACACAGTCACATACATAAGATGCCCCTGGAAGGGAATCCCGGGGGCAGTACCTTTAGGGCAGCAAACTAAGGTGGAAGTCACCTCCAACTTGGGCTCCCAACTCGCTGGGCTGGGCCCCCTTCGGTCCTTCCCGACCCAGGGAAGACAAGGAGGGGTAAGATGGGAAACGGAGCAAAAGAGACTAGAGAACGACTCTGCCTGCCTTCTGAGGGCAGATGCACCTCCCCCGATGCTCGGGTCACTCATGCGCTGCTTGGCACCCGGGCCGCCTCCTGCGATCTGCAGAACCATGCTGCGTTGTTAGCCTGGCCCAGTCCTGGGCAGCCAGCCTGGCCAGGCTTTCCCACAAGGCTCTCCTACACCTGCACCTCCTCCAGCTGCACCCTGCCCTCGGCCTCCTTTCAGGGCCTTCACTGCCCTACACCCCAGGCACTCCACTGCCCTACACCCCAGGCACTCCTGGCCTAGTAGTTCCCTCTGCCCTGGCCGTACTCCACCTTTAGGGCTCAGCTCGAACACAGTTGCTTCAGGGCCATGTTCCCAGACCCTTTAATGGGCCAAATCCCCCTAACATAGGCCGTCTTGGCACCGAGCCCCTCCTTTTGCCCACACCAATCTCATCATTTTCTACTTCTTTGTGTGATTCTTTGGGTAACAGCCATATCCCCCACTAGATCGTGAACTTCATGAGGGTGGCAGCCAGGGATGTTCTTTTTAATCAATGTTGTTTTCAGAGGCTGGCAGGGTGTCTGGTACAGATGGGGTGCTCAAAAAGATGCCCTTGCAGGGGTGTTAACACTACTGTCCCCTCTCTCCCACCCCACAGCGGCCGGCCTTGACTACTTCCGGCTCTCCTGCCCAGTGCTCTCTGAAGCATCGCTGCTTTGCTCTCTTCCCAGCAAAGTCTGGAAAAGTTCTCTCTCCTCTTCAGTCTGTGAGTTGCACATGGCCAGAGACAATCTCTCTTGTTGACAGCTCTGTGCCCAGTGACAGCATGGTGTCTGGTATATGACCGGGAGTCCATGATGGATGGATGGATGAGTGAACAAATAAGAAAGGGAGGTCTGGAGAGAGACAGGAAGGCTGGACACCATGCTGGAAACTTGCATGTTCATGCTTTCGTGTGATCTTGACACCACATGTAAACCGTGTTAATTCCTTCTGTAAATGAGGAAAGTGAGGCCTCAAGATGGCTTAGCTTGCCCTCTGAATAATAGAGCCAATAAATAGTGGAGGCTTTTTCCAACTGGGGCATTCCAGCTTCACATCCAGCTGTCTTTTGGAAGTTTTTTGAGGACCCAAGGGTGAATCTGGACATCCGCTTGAGAAGCCCAATGCTAATTGGCTATGTGCAAATGTATCACATCTTGTATGAGCTAAAGTCATAAATTTATCCCTGGCTGAATGTTTGCTCCAGCTCAGTCTGAGGATAACTATATCCTCGGGAGAGAAAGGAGATCCAAGTGTCTCCATGCCAAGAGCAATCATCATTTCCTATGAAATTCAAAAAACACTCAACTTCTAAGTGTCATTCCATCATCCGTCACCCTATATCATGGCATAGCTTCTCCCATTCCCCAGCTGCCCCAGGGTCCACGTCTGTGGTGGGAATGCTTTAGTGTCTCATAAATAGGGACTGACAGGGACACTCTGTAACTATTAGTGCTTTTTGTGGTTGTTGTTTTAGAAGCAGTGGATTTGTTTTATATTTCAGATATTGTTGACATTTTAAATCTTAGCTATGTCAGAGGGCAAATGACAAGTGTTTGTTTGGGCTTTGATTGCTCGGGGAGAGAGAAGGTGGAGAGAGGGAAAAAAGCAATATCAGGTATTCAGCTGAGCAGGTGTTGGAGGCGATGTCTAAGAAGCGCCAGAAGACTGAATCTGAGAGCAAGCTAATAGTCCTCTGTGCATACTGGTGGAAGAAACCTTTACTTAGCACTTACTTTTAAGAACCTGGATAATAAAACACCGTGTCTGACAACTGTGGTATCTACGGCCAACTTTTTAATCTCACTTCGCCAGGTTACTCACTCTTGAAATGTGTGTTCTTTATACCCAGGAGAGTATTTTCTATTTTCCAAACTTCAAGAAAGCTGCTTGAATAGAAAAGCAGGGATTTTTGAGCCAGGCCATCAATAACTTTTTAAAATTAAAGTAGAAGCAGCAGCAGCAGCAAGGGGAAAGGGGATTAGAACGTTTCCTAAGGCTACCTCTGGATTTGCTCGTGCCTCATGATTACCTGGGGGCTGCTGAAGATGCTCACACAATCTTTTTCCATATTAGTTCTTGGTTTCCAATGACGCATATCAATGAGGAATGTATGCATCCTGCCATGTGCTCTCCATCAATTAATTTATTCAGTGTGAATTGAAGAGCGTCATGTTCATTACAGGCAGCCACTCTATCCAGGGCGATGAAATGATTTTCCTAAGACCTCCATCTCCACTATCAACACTGGTCTTGCAGGGATCCTACCTATTCTTGCAGCTCATCCCCTGAGAAATCACACCAGGGCTTCTTCACCCTTCTCTTCATTTCCAGAGAGCCAATCCCAGAGGATGGAGAGAAGGGATTCCAGGCCCTCTCTTCCTGGGTTTCCTCCATGTAGAGAGGCCTCATCCCCCCCTCTCCACTTCCCATGCTATTTCTCTGGATTTCCCAGATAGGGTGGGGTCAGAAATGCTGCTGATGGGGAGATGCCCCTTCCCTGCACCTCTCTTCTGTTGCCTCTCATTAGAAGATGAGAGATGTGTGCTGACATGTGTCAAAGTCAGGAAATCAGGGAGTTTCATCTGGGCCAGTTTCATCTTGGCAACTGTCTCTTGCTAAAGCCTCTATCTGACTTCCCAGGGCCTGGTCTCTTCCCTTTCTGGTCCAATTTTTGCCCCGCCTGGAGTGAACACTAAAAAATGAAGAACAGCTCACATTCTACATGAGTTTATGGGCTTCGTTAACCGCTTGCTGCCTCCATAGTGAAGCCTAAAGTTCCAGCATGGTTTCCAAGGCTCCTCGTGAGTTTGTCCCAGCTCTTCCATCCTTCTGCTCCCACACAGGGTTGACCTGGCATCCCTTCCCCACGTCCAATGTGGCCATGCGTCTGTGCTGCTTGCTCTGCCCAGAAGGGGAGACTCCTTCTCCATCCAATTCAAGCTTCTCCCCAGTTCTGAGTCTCTCCAAACCCCTTCCCCTGCACCCCAAAGAACCCACCACCCATTCCTTTTTATTCCTCTCTTGGCACATGGGCACCTCACTTCATCATCCTTCTCCTCAGCGCTGTGCTGTGAGCTCTGAGAAGGTCAAGGTGTCTCCCTCACAGCCACATCCCTGGAACTCAGCAAGGACTTGACACGCAGTAGATGCTCAACACATGTCAGCTTCTAGGTGAGTGAACAAGTGTTCTGCTATTTGTTTATTGCATGAACCCTCATAGATAAACATGTACATTGGACATCTGTTTATCTGAGAGCAAAATCTCCTTTGTTTCCATTTTGTGGGTATTACATGTTTGTTTGTTGTTGTTGTTGTTTTTTAGATGGAGTCTCGCTCTGTCACCACACTGGAGTGCAGAGGCACGATCTTGGCTCACTGAAACCTCCCACTCCTGGGTTCAAGCGACTCCCCTGCCTCAGCCTCCCGAGTAGCTGGGATTACAGGCACTTGCCACCAGGCCCAGCTAATTTTTGTATTGTTAGTAGAGACAGGGTTTCACCATGTTGTCCAGGAGTGTCTCGATCTCCTGACCTTGTGATCCGCCCGCCTCAGCCTCCTAAAGTGCTGGGATTACAGGCGTGAGCCACCACGCCTGGTGCACATGTTGCTTTTAAAATTATATCATTGACTCCATTTTTTAATGGCTTTGTTGTCCAGGATTTATTTCAGGGGACCTCCCAGGAAGTTCTATAAACGTCTCATGCCTTCATAGACAAAAACGGGGTCCTTCTTGGAGGAAAAAGAACAATCTGTTTTTCACTTTTCTTTTCAATAAAACATGAATATTAACGGTAAGAATGAGAAACGTGTATAGCTCTGTGTCTGGAAATGGCTTTGTCATGAGTCATTTTCCCGTGGGATGCCATAGAGAACCCCTGCTTCTGTAATTCTGAGCCTGGGGGCTTCTACAGCTTCACCCAGACACGTAGCCTCCTTTGCTCACAGGAGATGGGAACAACTCTTAGGCTCTCTCCAAAGAAGCCAGAAATGAGTGATAAGAAGCACCAAGAGTGTCTTCCCTCCACACTCAGAGAAGCAAGGGCATCCGTGTCCTGTAGATGGTATCATTCTAATAGTATGCCTTGATTCATTTCAGAATCCTCTAAAAAATTCCTAACTCCAAGGGAAGGAAAGGATCTGGTTAGGAAACAGGCAAATTAAAAAGGCCGCCTTCCCATGCGGTCTTCCTACATTCACAAATTCTCACGGCGCCTCCTCTGTTTCACCCCATGCCCTGAGTCCGTCCTCTGAGTCCCTACAATCTGCTCAGACCTCTGCTGAGTTAGTTTCCCTGACAGTCACTTGCCACCCTGTGCCTGGCTAAGCTGAAAAGCTCCTCATGAATCCCCTTCTCCAAATTACGGCAGCCTTGAGGAATATTTCATTTACAATAAGAGGCGAACGCTCATTACGTTTCAACAAAATATCTGAGCTAAAGAGACACATGTTGAATTTAATTGTTTGATCCATTACAGGACTGTCTCAAAGCACTTTTAAATGCCTTTTCCTTCTTGCAAAAAAACGACAGTGGTAAGCAGGGCAGTACGAGGAACTTCTCCCTCCTAGGAACTTCTGTGTTCTCTCTCCAGGCAGGGAGCCTCACCACCAGAGCCTCGCCACCCCCTCCAGGCCATCTCCTGCTTCCCTCTTTAAATCTGTATCCTACGCAGCCTTGAGAGCCCCAGGGGAAGATTTGCCATGAATCCCAGGTGATCAAGACTTGCATGCAAGTGTAGTTTCCTGTCTTTATTTCTGTGCTTATTTCCCTCATTTGCCAAAGAGTGTGCTGAATCATGGATGTTTCATCCTAATTAAACTCATGCAGACATATGTGAGCTGGTAAGCGAAGTAGAAATGGGTCCAAAAATGGAAGAAATTTCACCCAAGGAGGAGAAAAGGCAAGGTTATTTTGTCATCTTCTAAATCTTATGATATTATATTCTACGTCTTTCTCTTCCGTAATTGGGAGGGAAAGTGATTGGCGTGGGAATCTTCTTTAACCCTTATCTCTAGAATTTTTTTTTCATTATTTCTTATCAGCAGGACCATCAGAGTCCACTAGAATTCTGAGCTCTGAGGTCACCAACTGACCTACACTCTTACATTCTTAGCCTTGTTGCCTTCCGGAGAAAGACACAAAAGCTCTCTTGCAGCCTGTGTTGTTCTGAGCTGCCCAGTCCAGGGAGAAGGCTGAGTTTCCATAAAGAAAGCTGACCTCTCTTACTTAGTATGAAATTCCCCCAAGTAGGAGTCAAGACAAGCCCAGCTCCCAAGAGGGGTCTTCCCACCCACACTCTCTTCTCTGAGGTGAAGACCAGAAACTGAAATGTCAATACCCTCTGATAAGAAAGCTCCAGAAAATACATGTGAAATAAACTCCCTCCAGGAAGGAGGACCCTTCTTCAAGGACTTTGCCTTTGAGCCCTATGGGAACCTTAGGCCAGTATATTGTCATTAACAATAATGATAGCTAATGTGTATTAGGCATTTACTCTGTACACTTAATTGTCATAGCAATGCTATAAGATTTATATTATTTTTCCCATTTTACAGAGGAGGAAATTGAGGCTTAGAGTTTAAATGAATTATCCAAAATCCACAGCCAATAAGTGGCAGCACTGGGATTTTGAATTCAGGTCCATCCGAACTCCCAACTCATGGTCTACCTACTGAGCTGTTTCCAACACCACTTCCAATCTATCTGTGCTACAAACGGGAAGCCAGGGGCAACCCAGACCTAATTCCGGCCTTTTACAAGGAAGAGCATGTACTGTAACATTCTTACTCTCCTAATCATTGTCAGATTTAATTTGGCTACTTCCAGGGCATTGAGACATCTGAGGCTTTGAAGATGCATAAGCTGAAGCCAGAGGCTTCTCTCAGCTGTTGAGACACAGACACAAGCCTAGTGTATCATAAAAGGTAAGAGTAAGTCTTTCAATAGCTGGGCGTGGTGATGCGTGCCTGTAGTCCCGGCTACTCGGGAGTCTGAGGCAGGAGAATCACTTGAACCCAGGAGGCGGAGGTGGCAGTGAGCCGAGATTGTGCCACCGAACTCCAGCCTGGTGACAGAGCAAGACTCCGTCTCAAAAACAAAACAAAACAAAACAAAACAAAACAAAACAAAAAACAGTAAGTCTTTCAAAACATTTCCTTTCTTTCTGGTCTGGCAAGAAAAGAATTCTTTTCAACCTCCCCGACCACCTTACCTTGTTAGAAGGAAACACTTTGACTAATGAGAAAAGTATCACATGTATAAGGCAAAAGTTTTAAATGGGAATCTTAAATGGGGAGGTTGCATCAAGCCAAATGCAATGTCTATTTAGAGACATTTAAATACCAAGGCTTTGCAAAACATGTTGGTGAACTGGGCAATTGGGTATGTCTTTCCTGTTTCCATTCGGCCAAATGTTCTACCACAGCCTCATGCTGAATGAAAATATTCCTAATTAATGCAGGCCCCTTTGAGATGGATTGTTCCAGAACATGCAATGATACACTTTGTTAATGAGGCGACTTTCCACTGTGCTCTGTGCTGGCTGAAACCTTTGAGCTGTCATTTATCATGGCACAGCTAGCTGGGGACAAAACCAGATGGTTTCATTTCTTCCCGGGGAGGAGATATAACTGCTATTTGAGGGACCGCAATAAACAGTGGAAGGAATGAAAATGTACCTCTACTTGAAAAAAGGCAAAGCAAAAGCAAGAACCTGGACTGAGAGAAGTTCAAACAGAAATCAAATGCCCTTTCCTTGCCTTTCAACAATAGAATAATTGTGAAAACAAAGATGCTAGAACTGTGTAGGGGAAGCTATGGGTGTCTGCCCAAAGCCCCATTACGTGCCTGATACACTCGCTCCCTCCCCACAACAACTCATGGCTCACACAGGCACCAATCTTTGGAAGACTGCTATTGGCCAGTGGAAGCCACCTCGCCTGGGGGTGCCTGAGAAGCTGTATCTCCTCCTCTACAGGGGTGGGGAATATTGAGATATGGAGTGAATGAATGAGCAGAGTCAGTGACTGCCTGATAGGGGGAGTCTACCAGCCTAGGTCTCTCGCCTCTGGGACTCAGGAGTGGAGAGACTTTGAGGAGCAACCCAGGCTCCAGACTTTGCTATGGGGTGGGGCTGAGTGGATCCTCCTGAACCCACCTCTTTGATTGGCTCTTTTTCCAGCCCTCTCTTTCATTCCCCTACAGGTGGCTCCTGAGAGCATTTCTTCTTAAACAAGAATCCCTGGCTCCTACTCTACTCCCAGGGACACTGAACCCTAAGGCGAACTCAGTGGCTCACCCAGGTTATCATTCACCCACAAGCACCTCACACTTGGCCGGCTTGGAGAACTTGGAGGACAGGTAGGCATCTCAACAGCATTGAATGAGTGGGTCATGTTGTCAACAGCGTGGGATGAGTGGGTCATGCTGTCTTGTTCATGCTCTGAGCTCTGCCCTCACCTCACACAAATAATGAGTGACCGAGAAAAGGCATGGAAGGGGATGTGTAGGGTGCTGCAGGGCTACCCAGCCTTCTCATCTACAGATGGGGAGGTGGAGGCATAGAAAGTCAAAGGCTCAAGGTCACACAGCAAGTTGGTGGTCAAGCCAGGACCAGAAGCCAAGTGGGGAGAGAGGTGGGAGTCTACAGATGGAACATTCCAGACTCACTATTGACCTGCTCTGTGAGGCTGGGCATCCCATTTTTGCAGCTGAATTCCAGTCGGAGGAAAATGCTGAGGAGGTGACCTGGAACCTGCTGGCCTGAGGGTGTCCCCTTCAGAGGAGGACTCTGCTCCATCTGCATTTTGGACCCTTGTCATGAAAAAGCATCTCCCAATATTCGAAGATGTTCTCCAGAGCCTCATCACCAATTCTCTCCCCTCTCCCTGAACAGCCTCTTCTGTCAAGCAGTTAATGATCTGGAAATAGACTTTTCAATCCTCTGGTTAACAGAAGTCATTTGGGCAACTCCTTTTGGGAGTCTACAATTCTTTTTTCACACGTGAATAATCACTACCAAATTTACCCTGTTTTATAAGCCCTCTGTCCCTGGGTTGGGATTTAAATGGAAGGACTCGTGCAGTTCCGTGGAACTTTCCGCAGTGATGGAGATGGTCCACATCAGCGCTAACCAGTATGGGAGCCATGGGCTTTGTGTGGCTTTTGAGCACTTGAAATGTGGCTGTTGTGATGAAGGAATGGAATTTTAAATTAAATGTTAGTTCATTTACGTGTAAGTAGCTCCTAGGGCTGGCAGCTACTGTGGGGACCACAGAGTCGGGCATGATGGTGCACAACGGAGACAGACCCCTTTCTCGAGGTGTGGTCTTCCAACTTCTTTGTGACTTAGTTTCTTCACTCAAAACTTGAAGACAGCACGCTCCCTGTTTTGCAGTGAGGATTCCCTAAGTTACTCCCTGTGTGGTGCTCAGCACGGGAATCAACAGCCATGCCCCCCGTCAACCTCAGCAATGCTTAGGGTGGCTCATGAAAACGCTGCCTTCTAGAAGTGACCTGGTCAATACACAAGAGACAAGTGATTCTAGGTGTTGGAGAATGAGGGGTTATTCAAAGGTCCACAGTAATCACCAAGCAAACCAATTTCTTAAAAAGCTCACTGCACAGGCTTGCTCTGTAAACCTCACCACAAGCTGGAAAAGCGGCCATCGTTTCCCCATTTATAGTGAAGGCAAATAAATAGACTCCAAGAAGTTGAAGGAACCGTAGTGAGAGAGGAAGGAAGACATGGTCTGGAGCCAGGCTGCTGACCCCTGGGCCTTTCCCCACACCACCCATTCTCTTCTGCCCTGGGCTCGCCCACCCCCAACTAGGTTGGGTCAGCCTGAATTTCCAAATGCATGCCCATGGAGGGTCTCCCTCCTGATTTGTGTCCAGGCCAAACTTTACAAACCGCTATTCCCTCCCTTGTGGCTGCAAACATCCCACAAGACTGACCTTGGCACGGGGAATTGGAAGGCAAAGCCTCCTAGCACAGTCAGGGTCACCTGGACATGGAATTATCAAGATTTGATTTTTTAAAAACCTACAAAGCAACGTTGCAGAATTTCAAAAAAGTTCTGCTCTCCCCGACTTAATTGATTCAAATACTTCTGGATCCTGTCATTCCGGGCAGTTGCAGTCCTTCATTTAGGAACACCACCCCGCTCCAACCCATGTATACAGGCATGAATCCCCTTCTGAGCTGTCCCAGACTAAAGCTGTCCTAGGTCTCCTAGGTTTGACATTTTCCAAATTTCATCTAATTGTCTTCATTGTATATTTCAGTTTCCACTTTAGAAGTTCTGAAGAAAACACATTTCTGCATAGGCTCTCTGGGGTGACATTTTTGTGGTTTATGAAATCTGGATTCAATATATTGAATAAACTGTGGCTCCAGGGGCCTTTTTTTTCTCCCCTACCCATCACCATTTTTTTTTTGTCACATCTTGAAACTTTCATTCTAAAGGGGCCAAGTCTACAGAATTGTCATAACATTGCCCTCAGCTGTGAAGTTACTTTTCTAGCATTTATTTACAAGCAGAACTTCGAAAGTGCAGTTTGATGTGAAGAAGATTTGGTACCAATTTCTCTCTCTCTCTCTCTGTGTGTGTGTGTGTGTGTGTGTGTGTGTGTGTGTGTGTGTATTTAAAGTGTTTTTATCTATCATGTAAGTTTCAAGTGAAATACTTTTATCATATAAGTTTCAAGTCAAATTGAAAAGGGAGCAATTAACATTCTCTTTTTTTTTTTAATCCTATATACCCAAGGCATCCCAAGTCATGCCAGTTCACAGGAAGATTGGCAATAAAGAGCTGTTTGGTTTTTCATTGTCTGTTTGTTTTGAACTTTTTTATTATTTCCCTGAGAAGTTTCCAGAGATGGCACTGATGGAGTTGGTGAAATCACAGCTGAGGCAAATGAAAGTCAATTTAAAAGACAAAATGCACAGCAGCTGTAACACAACACAAAGCATTTACCTTCTCAGAAGGTAGAACTAATAGCAGAAAAATCACATCTGCAACAAGAGGCAATTAAAACCTCATCCCAGAATAGAAAAGACAGGGGTTTTGCCCCTCTGCCTCCTTGAAAGTGAGGGATCCATGCCTGGATGCAGGGTTGTGGATCTGGAGCTGAGGGGGAGTCGGGGGAGGGAGGGATTCTCCTTAGAAAATGACTCGGAGCAGGTGGCTTCCCAATGCATTGGAGGTGAGACGGCAGGAGGAATCATGCAGCAGCATTTTCTGGTAATCTTTTCTGTACGGAAGATAAGGAGCTCTCTCTTCCCCTTTATGTGCACTTGTGTCTTGCTTGTATTTAGTGGGGTAATTAATTCATGTCTAACATTCCTTGACTGTAAATCTGGTTTGAAGGTTAGGCAAGGCAAAGAGTCCCTGGGGCTTTCACAAAACTATTATTAAAGTTGGAGGAAAGGTGGATAGGCTGTGTTTGCATTCAAGAGGCAGAAAGTCTCTTCAAAGGCAAAGCGAACCACTCCTCCAGTGGCCCTTTGATGTGCAGGGCTCCCCAGGACCACAGTGTCACCACACCACAGACACACATGCACGGGCACACACAGGCACAGGCACGTATTCACAGACGCACATGAACACAGAGATCATTTCCACTTGCACGTGTGCATTTTTCCTGAATGACAACAACAACAAAAAACAGTATTTGGAGATGCCTTGTTTACAAATAAAATGTGTATTTAAAAAATTCACGGAAAGGTCATGGGTATCCCCTCAGTTCTATGGAATTTACCATTGGCTTCAACCTAACTCTTCTGTCATTCTGTATCAAACAGGAATTTCTGAGGGCTGGTCCTGAGCCTCCTGCACTGCTACAATCTGGGTAGTTGGCACAGTGCCTGGAACATAGTGCTTTGAAAGGAAGGAAGAAGGAAGGAAGGAAGGGAGGGAGGGAGGGAAGGGAAGGAGTGGGGAGAAAGGGAAGGAGGAACGGGGTGGGGAAGGAAGGAAGAAAGGAAGGAAGGAAGGAAGGAGGGAGGGAGGGAAGGAGGGAGGAAGGAAGAGAAGGAGGGAGGGAGGCAGGGAAGGAAGGAGCCCAAATACTTCAAAAAGTAAATCCATTTTTAAGTGAGTACCTTCGAAGAACAATATTAAGTAGGTAATATTGGGCTAACTGTCCACCAAAATTTATCTTCCCTTCCATACTAAGGGTGCGAGGCTGATGCGGCGGTTTCCTCCCTGCACTTGCACCCACAGGCTGAGGGCTGCCGGCTGAGTCACTGCCACTCTCCACACAGAGAACACCCAAAGGACCAGAGAGTTGATGCTGCTGGGGTCAGCCTCAAGTGACCACGAGCAGAGGGTCGGTGGGTGATGCGGTTACCTCCTTCCTGGTGGGCTGACTTCAGGCATGGTCTACCCTGCCTCCTCCCCGAGTTATGCTGGTGTGAGCTCTGCTTGTACAAGGTGGCAACTTGCTTGAAAACACACCTGTTATGGGTCTTCTCCCTCCCTCCTTGTCATTCTCCATCCTCTCCTAGTGTTTCCTAGGATCGTCTCCCAAACATACAGCTTACATTCACTTGCTAGCATCAATGTCAGCTTCTGCCAGGACCCACATGAGACCAAGGGGAGACCATGTGGGCAGCAGGTGGCACCCAACCAGGGCTGCCCCACCCCCTGTGCAGTGAATGTGGCCCTGTGCAGTATGTCACTTTGAGGCCAAAGCATTTAAGAAGCAGATGCGTCTCCTTTTCACATTCTCCACCCCTACCCGCATGGACTGGCAGAGAAATGAGCAGGATACCCTTGGAACCCAAGTATTGCAGATGGCAGAGCCATCACCAGCCTGGAAATGAAACCATCTCACCAAACGATTCAGCTACACAGACCTGTTATTTGAGCAAGGAGAACATTTGTGGAGATTTACATCACTGATCTATTGCTGGGTCTCTGGGAAGGTTGTTTTCCAGAAGCAGATGCTGAAGAGGAATGTGAAGTGGGAGATGATGATCCAAGATCAGCACTTGTTAAAGGAGGAGGGTGGTGGCAGCCTTGGGCAAAGGGAAGAGGTGAACTATGCAGGCCCCCAACACCCTGGCGCATCCAGCGAAGTGCATGAGACACCGCATGGTGGTCAGGGTGATCCTCGTCAGTCTGACATGGCCAGGCCTCGCCTAGTCACCTCATGTCATTGGCTCCCAGAAAGGAGAGACTAGGGGGTGCAGCTCTCCACAGCTGAGGCCGACCCTGGAGGAAATGTCAGCTCAAGGCTCTCTACAGACTGCCCTGCCGGCAGCCAGGCAGCAAGGCCTCCCTCAAAGGGGGATCTAGGGGACTTTCATTAGAAAATGGGAGTGGCACAGCAGAGGCAGAGGCAAGGGGCTTTGAGCCACCTGCTCATGAGGCTTGCTGGTAGCCTGTGGTCCTGCTTGCACTTTATCCTGTGACACCTCCGTTTTATGATGGACCACTGCTGGGCCCACTCAACCTCATGACTCAGTGAGGACAGAACACACCCCAGGATGGGCAGGCATGACCTCTGACCTCTAGTCACATGGTGTTCCTAGTCACACGGTGTCCCATGGTTGGGCATTCCACCTCTACCAAGGCACACCAGGAATCCGTTTTTTTTTTTTTGTTTTTTTTTTTTCTTTTTGAGATGGAGTTTCACTCTGTCGCCCAGGCTGGAGGGCAATGGTACGATCTCAGCTCACTGCAACCTCCGCCTCCCGTGTTCAAGCGATTCTCCTGCCTCAGCCAGCTGAGTAGCTGGGATTACAGGCACCTGCCACCGTGCCCGGATAAGTTTTGTATTTTTAGTAGAGATGGGTTTCCCCATGCTGGCCAGGCTGGTCTCAAACTCCTGACCTCAGGTGATCCTCCCACCTCAGCCTCCCAAAGTGCTGGGATTACAGGCATGAACTACTGTGCCTGGCCGAGTCGGTTCTTACTAGGTGCAGACAGAGATGCTGTTCTCTGTCTTTTACTTTGATGATAATGTTTTGGCATGCCTCTGACCACCGGACCCGTAAAAGTTTTAGGGATGTAACAGGCCCCTGTATGTTCATAAGGTTTATCTCCAACCCTCTGAAGCGTGTGCGTGTGTGGCTTTCCAAGGGCCGCAGCATGTCAGCCACCACCTTTTGCTTTTCTGGCCTGATCAAGATCATGTCATCAGCGTGACAGATCAAGGTGATATCCTAGGGATAACCTAATGGCCCGGATTTTTATTATGACAGAGGGCAGGATGGTTAACTGGCAAACTTATGGGTAAAACTGTAAAGGCATACTGTTGTCCATCTCAGGATAATGCGGACTATTTCCGGTCTTCTTTTCTGATTGGGATTGAAAAGAACTCATTGGCTCCATCAGTGACTGCAGACCACGTACCGAAGGCCAAATTCATTTGTTCTCGCAAGAGTAACGCCCCAGGCACAGAAACTGAGTCAGGGATACTATACTACCTGGGCGAGCTTATGGTGGTCTATGGTCATCCTGCAGGACTCAGTCCCTTTCTGCAGGGGCTAGATAGGTGAAGCACACAGAGATATGAAGCGGACCCTCATCCCTGAATCTTTTAGATTTTTAAGGTTGGTACTCATCACGACCTGCCTCCTGAGATGGGATATCTGGACCAGAGAGGCTGAAGCTGCTGAGGGAACACTTGACCTTCCCCACTGAGAGTGCTCTTACACAGAACACAGAGCTGATGTGGGATGGCTCCACCTGCCGGGCATGGCAGCCCAAAATATGCACCCGGACCAGACCAGGCAGTGACCCTGGGGAGTCTCGGGGCCCAGTGGGCCATGGTAAGCCAGAGTTTGACCAGGACTCCATTTACGAGACTCTCATCCCTTCCCTGTCTAAGAAGGAGAGAGTCCTGGTGGGTTTCCCGTTTCTGTGCATCAACTTGAACCTTGATAGAACAGAAGAATCGAAGTGCTTCCTGCAGCTCCACCGTCCTTTGCCACATGCAGAGGAAACCGATAAAATAATTAGCTTGTTGTAAAGCAAGTGCCTAGGCCGCGAGACCTGACTGGCACTCGATATTTTCACTGTGCTGTACCACGCCAGGTTCTCGCAGCCCCTGCCCCTCTTTGGGCATCTGACACCTGAGTCCAGCCATTGTGCTCTGTGCTGGTGGCCTAAAATTCAACCAGCAGATCTGGAGCAACTGATTAACATGCTCAAGGCTTGGAAAATTGCAGGCAGAAGTACTTTCCAACCCTGGAAGGGAAAAAGGACCTGGCTGGACAGCTGGGGCCAGGACAGAGGTATAGGAAGAAACAACCATCTGTTGGAAGTCGTGGCAGTGGCGCTGGGTGGCCCTGAGAACAGGAGTCGCCAGGGCATTCAGGAAGACATGAATGTCAACAGGTAGAAAATTCCCCTGACTCAGAGATAAAGAACACTGAGATAACCATAGATGGGTGTTCAGGACTGTTAAACCTGCTATTTCTCTCTCTGCATGAAAGACAAATGAAATTGTTTGTGTGATTATCTCTGAAGAGGAAAGGGAAAATGAGAGCAAAACTTGACAACCAGAAGGTCCATAAAACTGGGTTCTAGCTACAGACATGTGCGGTACCTGCAATGAATCCCTTCACGGGAGCCCCTAATCTCCAGGTTGGCTGTTTAATTACAGAGCAGGGCTGCTGGAAGGCACAAGACAGTTCAGAGTGCTGGAAAACCAGCTCCTGGAATGACAGCTCACCCGCTCCATAGGTATTTGACAAAGCCTATTGTTTAGGTAAACCAAGCATCCTTACAGCTCTCTTTCTTAAACCAAGCCCTGCACTGCCTGGGGCAATGGTCTCTCAATCTTATAATTAGGCAAGAGATAAGCACAGTGAAGATGACAGCTGGAGGTGTTTTTTTTTTTTTTCTTTCTTTCCATTTTCCTGTGAAATTCCTTCTTCCTCGTATAGGCCCCAAAATCACAGAAGGAATTTTACTTCTCCACTCCACCCACTTTGAAAGCCGAGATGAATTTCTTTTTCCAGGCAAGCTTCTTAGGAAACTTTGCATTTGCCAGTATTAAAAGAAATGGAAATACACAAACATTTCATTTTCATTTAATTGTCTTATAATCTGGATAAATGAAATTGCCTGGGCCGCCTGTCAAAGGCCGCAACAGTGGCCCCGGCCAACAAAAGCCATTTTACCTGAACAAAGCCCCGTTCTGCACCAACTGGAAAATGACAAGCTCAGGGCCAGCTGTCTAATATCTCATCTACCTTGTCATCCCCACTCCCCTTCCCTTCATTTATATGTCAGAATCTATTACGGTGCTCAACCGTTGTACTAAGCTGTTCTTTTTCCACTTAATTACCGAGCTCGAATTACTGACCCCTTGTCTGTTTTATTAAGATGCTGTAGCGATAATGAATCATTTGAGAGGAGAGAAATTCCAATTTCCTGTTTAGCCGCCTCTAGATGAAATCTCTTCCAGGACGGTAACCAGATTGGCCCGTATCTTGTGCCCATCCGGTTTAATGGAATCACTCCAGGCTGAGCCTCACCTCTTGTTTTGTCAGCTAAGATAGAACACTGCACCGGAAATACATTGGTTATTTCTGTAAAAACATTCAGGAAACAACTGGAACCAAGTCACCACTATCAGGTCAAAAACCATCACACCAGCTCCTTGGAAAATGGGGCTGTCCCAGTCACATGCTTGGAAGTAGGAGTTACTGGGTCTGCCTAGTACTGGAAAGGAGCGTCATTCCTTCATGGACTCTCAGGACAGCGTCTGTCTCAGGGCATCTTCTCTTGGTGGGACCCAGGCTTCTGTTGTGAAGATTATGTTAGAACCACTCCAACCCCTTTCCCAACCACCAGACCAAAGGAAGGCCCTCTAGACATCATAAATATTATTAACATTATTGTATATCCCTAACCGGGCACGTGGGCTCCATTTTCACACTAATAATCCGATTATGAGAGGGGGCAGATGAGATGTGTTTCATGAGGTGAGTCTGCAATGGTCCATTTCAGCTGGGAATGATTGCGTCTTCCTGTGCATCTTCAAATAGTTTACCAAAATGTATTCATTTCTACAGGAGGAAGGAGGCAGGCATGATTGCCTTTATGTCTCCAGTTAAGAAACTGGAAGACCTGCTTCTGGGCTCTAGGGAGCTTGTGCATCGGAGACTTTTGTTTTCTTCTTGGTGCCAGTGTTTGGGAAAGCAGGTAGAAGGATGAAGGAGTAGAAAGAAGGAAACCAAATAGACCCACTTCTGAATTCCAGTGAAATTTCTACCACATGTGACTTCAGAGAATTTTCTCTAGGGCTTTGGAGTAGTTGTGCCTTGGTAGAAACCTGGTGTTCTTGGGGGCCGGGGCTCATGGAAGACCTTCCTGACCCTGCCTCTCCCTTTCTCTCCCTCCTCAGCTCCTCTGAGTCTCACCCCTATTAGCTCCTCGCTGGTCTCCTTCTGACATTGTACTTTTTACTTGGCCTGAACCTCTTCTCTCCCAGTTCCCCCCAACCTAACAGTAACTCTGTGGTGGCTAACAGAGTAGACACTCAATAAAAATCCATCAAAGGCAGCTGAACTGTTCGAGTGAGAAAGGTTAGCATTTTCTTCAGGCCAGTGGCTGGCCAAAGCAGGAAAAGCCTGTGCACACCTAATCCATATTTCGATACAGTTCGCCCAAGGTGAGGGTTTAAACTTTCATTAAAAAAAATAAATTGGTTGGTTGGTTGCCTAAAATAGACCCGAAAAATACTAACTAATGAACTCTCAGTGGGCATAACCCTTCCTAAGGCAAAGAGGGACAAAACCAAGACATCCAGCTTCACTTATAGCAAATCTGTACTTTTAATGCTAAAAATCCCTCCCCCCAACTTCTTCTATTTTTCTAGTGTGTTTGGTTTATTATGATTGATTGTGAAAAATTGTACTGGCTTAAAGCCATAGAGCAGAATTTCTGTCTTTTTTTAAATTATTATACTTTAAGTTTTAGGGTACATGTGCACAATGTGCAGGTTTGTTACATATGTATACATGTGAGCAGCATTTCTTAGCCTGGGTCAGCTCATTCTCTGTGGTGAAGGTCTGTGCATTGCAGGATGTATAGCAGCATCCCTGATCCCCATCCACTCAATATCAGCAACCTCCCCACCCCCTGCTTGTGACAACCAAAAACGTCCCCAGACATTTTCCAATGTACCCACAGTGGGGGGCGGGGGGAGGCCAAAATCACCCCAGATGAGAACCACTTTAACAGAGACAGCCACAAATGCCAAGAAATTAAACCTTCAAATTAATGTGGCCCATTCTCTTAAACTTGACAAATGTCTACAAATAGCAAAGCACATTTGTTGTGCTTCCGTTTGCATTTCTATTCTCAGGAGCAATTATCTACTTAATGAAAACCTTCTGTCTTCATCAGACTCATTGGCGACACCAAGGTATCAACAAACCCTGACCACCTGGGAGGTGAGGCCTAGAGCAGGTGACGCTCCGCTGGGTGGTGACGCTGTGCGCAGAATTTCATTCACGAGGGGCTATTTCACGACAGCAGGGACAGAAAGCTAAACAGAACCTCCATGTTTCCCAGCCTTTCTAGGGGTGTCAGAGCTGCTGTGTTTGAGCAGAACCATCCAAGTTCTGGTTCTTGTTAAAGGAAATAAACAGCACCAGGTGGGGAAGGGGTGGGGAAGGAGGTGAAGAGGTGGGGAGGTGGGACCCCACCCTCAGCAAACACATGCACCCGGCAAGTCCCTCCTCATCCTGCTGCTGTTTCCTTGTCCCCAGAATACTGACATCCCTACTATTATTTGGCCTATTTCATAGGTTATGACCAGGCTCTCTTTGTTTATATGAATACGCCTTGAAAAATAAGAATAATTGTTTTAAAAGTTGAGCAAAGAAAAGGCTTTTTATTTTTTATCTGGTCCCAACCTTTGCAGACCCTGGAAGGATACCAGACTCTACAGATGGCATTTCCTGTTTAATCAGTGAAACTCTGATTCAGACAGCGTAATGGTCTATTAGTAAAGAAGGTGTCACATTGCAGAAGAGAGTTTATCATCTGCCACTATTGATATCTAACAGAGGAGTGATTCTAGCAACATCACTGAGTACAGATCTCCATGGGTGGATTTTAAAGTGATTTGTATGCATTGGACTTATTGGCATGGGACAGGATATATACAGTTTAAACTTCATATTTATTTAAACAATGCAATTCTTATGAAAATGAGTTCACTTTGAGCCTGTTGAAAGAAAGGAGCCAATGCTAGTTAAGGTCATCTTGGTTTTATGTAAGAACAAGGATATTTCCCCTTGGCCTAATTGCTTTAAAATGCAATCGAGCTGTGGTTCTCAAACTTGAGCATATATTAGAATTCTCTGGGAGGCTTGTCAAAATCCACATGGTTGGGCTTCCACCCTCACAGGTTCTGCTTTGGTAGGTCTGGAGTGGGGCCTGTGAATTTGCGTTTCTAACAAGTTCCCAGGTGATGCTGGCACTACCAGCCCAGGTGCCACACTTTGAGAACCATGGCGATGGAGCTGAGAGGAATCAAGACTTTCAGTTAGCAGTTGCTGTTGCCGCCCCGTCCACATTCCCTTAGCACTCACCTCTACCCCGAAAGGCTGCTTCCAGCATTCCTCGCAACTCTCAACTGCGGGGCTGTTTGGCTGCAGGAACCCCCGGCCTACCTAGCACACATGGAATTGCCCCTGGAAACAGCCCCTAATCGTGTGCAAGCAGGACGGGGTGGATAAATATCCCAGGTTCCTCCACCCTCAGATGGGATAGTCATGAGCTATCTGCACCCGTCCCAGTACTCCAAGCATGGGTCCGCATCAGTGTGGGCTGGTTTTCTCAGCTGTTTATTACCAGCCTGTGATGGGCTAAGTACTGAAATTGAGCACAAGCATTTAGAAATTTTTACAGCAGTTTGGAACATTAATTTACAACTGTTGAAGCAAATTAATAATTTTTAAATGGGGCTTATATTTTCTATGGCTTTGTTCCTTTTTTTTTTTTTTTTTTTGACGGGGAGCGGGGGACAGAATCTCGCTCTGTCACCCAGGCTAGAGTGGAGTGGCATGGTCTCGGCTCACTGCAACCTCCGCCTCCTGGGTTCAAGCAATTCTCCTGCCTCAGCCTCCCAAGTAGCTGGCACCACAGACACCTGCCACCACACTCGGCTAATTTTTGTATTTTAGCAGAGACGGGATTTCACCATATTGGCCAGGCTGGTCTCAAACTCCCGACCTTGTGATCCTCCCGCCTTGGCCTCCCAAAGTGCTGGGATTACAGGTGTGAGCCACCATGCCCGGCCTGTTCCCATTTCTTATTTTACAAAAATATCAACCCTCCATGGCTTGGCAACAGAAACAAATCTTTCACCATAGACCATTTGGAAAGCACTGTTCTATACCATCTCTGACCAATCTGAACCTTTGCTGCTTCCAGAAGTTACTGTTCGAGAGCATATCTGTTCTTCTTCTCCTCCCCGACTCTCCCTTCCCACTCTCCCAGGGGTATTTCCTGAGATTGTCTCCCAAATAGACCATTTGTCTTTGAGTCCTTGTCTCATGGTCTGTTTCTGGGGAAACCCAAACCAAGACACTTAACTGATATAATTTCTTGAAATTCTTCAAAATGAGACTCTCTCTTTCAATATACTTCAAAATTGCGAAATTTCTCATATTTGGGTCTCCAGCTTCTTCTTGAAAATAGGAAAACATAACAACATAGGGTCTTCTTTTTCACATGGCAGCTATCAGTTGTAACTGAGCTCCCTTTGGATAAAATGTGAACACTCCAATTTTGCCACAATCCCCACCATTCTCTATTGTTTCCCTGAGTCTATTTTTTCTTGCCAATTATCAGTTGGTTGCATGGTGCTTTTCTTAAATTAGATGAATATCTCTCTTTATCTCAGGCTTTGTAAATAATGGGAACAGATAAATCAAAAGAGTTTCATGTTTTGAGTAAAAAATTAGGGAATAGACCTTTCTATGAGAGAGTAAAGAGGATTCCTATGTATTTAATATGAGAACAGGGACTGTCATCCCTAGCTCTGACTCCTGTAGGAATTTGAGTTTGTGATCTCCTGACTTCAAATTGGGATTTCGTCTCCTACCTGCAAGAGGTAGTCCGGTCAAATAGTCAGCAGGCATTTTGAGGGATGCCATGGGGATTGAGTGAAACCAATTTTGAACAAAATTGGGAAACCTATGGGGAGGGAGTGTAGACAAGAGAGCCTCCCTGTGTCAGAGGATAGAACAGACTGGTATCTGGTGGCTCACGCCTGTAATTCCAGCACTTTGGGAGGCCGAGGCGGGCGGATCACGAGGTCATGAGATCGAGACCATCCTGGCCAACATGGTGAAACCCCGTCTCTACTAAAAATACAAAAATTAGCTGGGCATGGTGGCGCGTGCCTGTAATCCCAGCTATTCGGGAGGCTGAGGCAGGAGAATCGCTTGAACCCGGGAGGCGAAGGTTGCAGTGAGCCGAGATTGTGCCACTGCACTCCAGCCTGGGCGACAGAGCGAGACTCCGTCTCAAAAAAAAAAAAAAAAAAAAAAACGAACAGACTGGTATCTTCTCAAGTCCTTTTCCCCCTGAATGAGGCCTCAGATGGGGAGACAGGCTACTTACTTGGGGTCCCATCCTGTTGCTGTGAACCCTCAGTAACATCATCTAGGGCCTTCCCAGCATCCCTTATCCCCCCCTGTCATGTAGAGATAGGAGCAATAGCCTCTCTGGGTTGCACTGGATGGGGTGAGTTATTTTGCAGGAATATTTTCTGTAAACTCCACAAATGCTATTTATTACTATTAGTAAGTAATGTAAGGAAACATACGCTTCCAAACACACAGTGTCTTCTCCAGCCAAGGTTACCTTAAGAGATTATGATATATTCTGAGACAGCATCTAAAGACAGCATCACCGGCCCAAACTTTGTCATTTCTCCTTCAGAAATACATTGCACAGGAGCCTGCTTTTTATAGAACTTTTTACATGCTTCTCTTTGTTCTTTGGATTTTGGTTTTCATTAAGACACAGTTTTAGGTGAAAACAAGAGGAAAAGTCCCCCAATCCCAACACCCTGACACAGCAGCTCTTTTTATTTTTGCAGCTGTCGTGTGTACTTACAGTTTGATTCTTGGGATCCCCCAACCCGACATTCTCTCAGAAATGTTTTCATATCTCTCAGTGTCTTTATAGTGAAAATCTCTTGTGGGGCACAGGTGGCAGGAGCCTCCGCAAGGCCCAATCCGAGGCATTTAGGTAGTTTTCTAGTTTGTTTCCTTGTTTGTTTATGCAGCTATTTGCAAAAAGGTGCTTGAACATCTTCATGCGTGCATGGCCCGGAGGAAGGGGACCCTCAGGACGAAAGTCCAGGGGCTTTTGAAGCCATGTGAGAAGATCAGCCTTGGCTTTGGGGACTTGACTCATTGTCTGGAATATTATCTCAGAGTGATATTTCCCTGCGTATCATGACCTAGTCTTAGCTCCAAACGACTTCTTTCGAAAAATGCAACCTTCCTCAAATAACGAAAATCTGACACTGCCAAGAAGATTTTTAAAAATATGCCAAGGTCTTACTCCAGAAAGAAAAGGCAGCATCCAGGGAGGAAGGTTGAGGTCACCGAGGACCCAGAGTTGGGGTGCATTCCTTAAAGAGCTTTGGCAGAGCGCCCCCTCCTTATCCCCTCACACCTGCACCGCCACCTACAAAGGTCACAGCCACCTTCCCTACCACAAGGTTGGCTCTGAACTAAAATACCGTAAATATAAATCCTTTTGTTTTTATGTTTCTTTTTCCCAGGAACACCAGTGGTCACCTGAAATCAACATTAAAAGGGCAGAAGGCTCCAGAAACCCAACTCTTTCTGCAGTAAAAGCCTGAAAATTACGTTTTGATGCAATTAAGAAGATAGCATTTTAAATATAATTCTATCAATTCAGCTAAATGCTCTCAAACTATAAGATCTGCTCTCTGAAACAAAGAAATCCATCTTTCCAATCAATATAATTACATTTTTAAATGAAATTTTTAGAGTACTCTCTCCATGAGGCATGTCAGTTGTTTCCAAATGCTTGATTAGGTTATTAATCTCTTTTCCCTCCTTACAATGCACTTCAAGAGGCTACTTTATATCAAGTTCATGTTAATGAAACAATTAAGATAATTTAAGATAATCTATCATCTCAAAATATATGATTCCAGATCCCTGAAAGCACCGCCTAAAAGACCCAAGAATCTCATTGCAGAAATGCACCTCCAAAATGGAATTATGTCTTACATTATTTGAAAGACTTAGAACATCTTTCAACTTTAGGTGCTTTTGCCATAGTGAGAGTTACTTGAAGTTCTATGTTTTATTTCTCCCCTTAGGATTTCCTGGATTCCCAGGGGCCTGAATAACCCACAAGAGTAGTTGGGAAATTATATAAAACAATCTTGGCCGGGCACAGTGGCTCATGCCATAATCCCAGCACTTTGGGAGGGCGAGACAGGTGGATCACCTGAGGTCAGGAGTTCGAGACCAGCCTGGCCGTCTTTACTAAAACTACAAAAATTAGTCAGGCGTGGTGGCGGGCATCTATAGTCCCAGCTACTCAGGAGGCTAAGGCAGGAGAATCACTTGAACCTGGGAGGCAAAGGCTGCAGTGAGCTGAGATCATGCCACTGCACTCCAGCCTGGGCTACAAGAGTGAATCTGCCAAAAAAAAAAAAAAAAAAAAAAAAAGATAAGAAAATCTTTGACCAGGCACGGTGGCTCATGCCTGTAATCTCAGTGCTTTGGGAGGCCAAGGCAGGCAGATCACAAGTTCGAGACCAGCCTGGCCAACATGGCGAAACCCCATCTCTACTAAAAATACAAAAAATTAGCTGGGCGTGGTGGCAGGCACTTGTAATCCCAGCTACTCGGGAAGCTGAGGCAGGAGAATCATTTGAATCCAGGAGGCGGAGGTTGCAGTGAGCTGAGATCACGCCACTGCACTCCAGCCTGGAGACAGAGTGAGACTCAGTCTCCAAAAAAAAAAAAAAAAAAGAAAAGAAAGAAAGAAAAAGAAGAAAAAAAGAAAAGAAAATCTTTCTGAGGTGAAATAGTGCCACAAAATGTACCCATGGTGATAGTGATCAGGTTGGTGGATTCCTGGCCAGGTGACTCCAAATATGTGCCAGGAACCTTCTGTGGGGGACGGAAGTTTTAATACTTTTACAAGAGTTGGACCATATATTAAAAAGTCATCTCATACGATTTGTAAACTTTGCTGATCACATGCTATACCATACTTTAAAAGGCTGGGTAAATAAGAAAAAAAAAGAAAATGCTGCCACAAAATCATCTGAGAAATAGGATGGAATACATTTGTATGACAGAGGGAAGGACAATTTCATGGAGGCACAAACCAGATATGGCAGCCAGATTCTGTATTTGGGCCCAGCCGCATCATGTGTTGGCCCCGTTGTTCAACATCGCTAAGAATTTCAGGACGGTGACAGCCTTGAATTCAACCAAGTGTGAGTTCTTGTGAGCCAGAGCTCTGTCTGTCATCCTCCCTCTATCCCCATGACCAAGAAGGAAATGGCTGAATTTCTTATGTGTTCCTTCTTTTACTTTCATTTTTAATTTCAGCCGAATATAATTGCTTGTCACCACGGTTAGTTGTTGTTGCAATTTGTGCCCCTATTAAATGCAAATCAACCTACTTATTGAGCCACTCCTTGCTTTTCAAGGACCTGCGGGGGTCCGTCTCCACTGAGCGCCCTGGGGGTTGTGGGCAGGAGACAGGAGAGTCTGGACTGCACTGAATTCATCTCATTTTTGCTCTTGTGCCTCAATCCATAGCTTCCAGATGCTTCCACCATAACATTTGGCACCCCCGGCTTTGAGAAACAGGGGCTCCCCTACACTCATGCTGCTTTAATTTAGGTATCTCCAGAATCTTCCTGGGCTATGCTGTTGACACTTCGCCAAACCATTGCTTTTCCAGAGGGACAGGTCTGTGGGGCTGTTGGGACGTGATGGGGGCCTGGGTCCCCCGACTGGTACCCAAGTGGGTCTTGTGGGAGCCTCCTTTCCCCAGGGCCATGCTCCTGCTCTTTGCAGCATTCCTGAGGGGGATGACCTACCTTCAGTTCCTGTAGGGCTTGCAGCTCTCAGGAATGCAAGAGTTACACGTCCAAGCATGAGAGAAGCAATTGGAGATGGCTCGCGATACCGCAGCACTGACACTATGGCAAGGATCCTGCGCTCCCTTGGCTCCCTCCCATGTTCCCACTTCACTGCTGCTTTCCGTTTCTGGAACCCACGTCCAGCTGCCCTTTGCCCCTGTTGTACCCTCTGCCTGGAACATGAACACTTCTCTCCATTCCCTCCAACCTCACTCCCCTTGCCTTGGTAACTCCTTTCCTCGGTAACTCCTTTCCTCCACAGGGCGATCTCTTCCTGTGATGCCCAGAAAGGCAGGTCCTGCTGGAACTACTGCCAGGGCACCCCTCACCCTCTTCTGGTGCCACCGTTAGCATTGCTTATTTGTCTGCAGGTCCAGTGCCCCCTGTGGGCATTTAGTTCTATGACAACAGGGACCTACCTTGTTCAACATCATGTTCTACAGTGCCCACAACTGTAATGAACATGTGGAGCTGCTCTATAAAATATCTGAATACATGAGGGGGTGAATGAATGAGTGACTGAGTGAATGAATGCCTGAGTGAGAGAATGAATATATTGAGTGAGTGAATGAATGAATGTCTGTGTGAATGAGTGATTGAATGAATGAGTCAGTCAGTGACTGAATGAGGGAATAAATTAGTGAATGAGGGAATAAATTAGTGAATGAGGGAATAAATTAGTGAATGGGTGAATGAATGAATGACTTAGTGAATGAATGAATAAGTGAATGGGAGAATGAATGAGTGAAGGAATGAATGAATGAGTGGGTGAATGAGTGAAGGAATGAATGAATGAGTGAAGGAATGAGTGAATGAGTGAGGGAATAAGTGAGTGAATAAATGAGTAAGTGAGTGAATAAATGAGTGAATGAGTGAGTGAATGAATAAGTGAATATGTGAATGGGTGAATGAATGAATGAATGAGTGAAGGAATGAATGAGTGAGGGAATGAGTGAATGAGTGAGTGAAGGAATGAGTGAATAAGTGAGTAAAGGAATGAATGAGTCAGCCAAGTCAAGTGACTGCAGTCAGGCATATCTATTTACTAATTGGGGAAAGGGCTCCTATAGATGCAAGAATTACAGTGTTTAATAACTAGGGGTTTGCAAGAAGTGGGACGCAGACAGAAACCAATTCTAAGGCTCATCAGCATTCCTTCATAGTTTGGTCCCTCTCAATTCAAAGAATTCCTGGAAAATGGACCTGGGGTCATCCTGTAATTACAAAAACAGGGAAGAACTGAACTTCTTAACTCCCAAAGATGACAGCAGGGTTCTTTGGAGGAATGCTAAACATTGTCCTACTTGAGAGAAATGAAGTGTACAAAGAGCATGAGCCATGGACCCAGGCAGACCTGCAGTCAGTCATTCAGTCAGGAAACACTTGCTGAACACCTACTGTGTGCATTACTGCATCTGTGTTTAAAAGGGTGGCTGTGTACAGAAGATGGCTCGGTGGAGAGATGGGTTTGTCCCACAGGCTTTGGAGTCAGATTTTCTGGCTTTACCACTAGCTAACTGGGCCTCCACTTTCTCATAGATAAAGGGAGGGTTGTAATAGCATCCACTTCCTGGGTTGCTATGAAGCCATTAATACACTCAACAGAGCACACAGTGAGCACTCAAAGTAAAATGTGCTTCGGACCAGCTCGTTTGGTGAGTTTCAGGCTTACACCTGAGCCTTTCTGTGTCTGAACTCCTTCATGGAAGGTGGATAAAAGAGGAGCCCTTCTGAGTGAATTGGAAGCTCACCCATCTCCTTCCCTTTCCCTTCAGCCCCTTCCTCTGGGATGACCCTGAGGTCTGGGAAGCACAGTTTAGAAATGGCTTATTTCATCACCCCTCCTCGCCTTTTGAGTAATCACAAAGTAGTCTGTCCCTCCCCAGAGTCTCAGCACCAGGACTCAGTCCCATCCCTCTTGCTCTGGGATTTTCCTATGATGTCCTGTGCAGTAGAGAGAGCCATTTGCAAGTGACAAATGTTGGGACAACATGCAAATGCCCTGGCTGACTTTATAAGAGGTTGAACAACAAGATTGAAAGAAAGTGGGTCCTTGGTGCCACTGCTGTGTGTCCTTGGATCTAGCTAAACTGAAGTTAGATCCACTTTGGGACTTTTCAGGCTTTACAGGAACCAATAACTTGCCTTAATTGTTTAAGTCAACTTGAGTTTGGTTTTCCATTACTTGCAACCAAAGTAATCTAATGGCAGCAGGCCAACACACCTTTGACAACCCTCCTCAGGTTTCTCCAGCTTTACAGTCCCAAGGGCCCTCACACAACTACAGCCAGCTCCCTCCCATCCTCCATAAAGCTGCAGGCATCCTTTTCCCCAGGCCCCAGCATGGCAGAGGTTGAGTAACATGTTCCCATTTTCACCGGCCCGGCCTTACCTCGGCCTCCCTTCCCAGCAACTTCTCTCCATCCTGTACCTCTCCTAGCTCTGGCCCCGCTCCCAATTTGCCTTTTCCATCCTGAGCTGGGATTTGGGGGTCACATGAGCTAAGGGTTGGTGTGCTCATTCAGCAAACCACCTCTGAGAGGTTACTCTGTGCCACACTCTTTGCTGAGTGCTGGAAACATGCTGGCAAAGGTAACTGACTCAGCCCCGTCCCCCAGCAGAGGAGATGGGAAACCAGCTGTGCAGTGCCACGTGCACCGACATGCCCTATCATAAAAGGTGTGCTGGACACGCTTCTGGGCATTTAGCACACATTGAATTCCTCACAGTAACTACAGAGATGAAGAGACTCAGAGATGGGAGATCCCCATGCAGGGTCACAGAGCTCACACATGAGGTACCGGCATAGGCCAGGTACATGGGGTACCCAGGCATATCTGGCCAAGTCCTGAGCCACATGTCTGCTGGGAACCATGGCACCCACTCTTCGAATGCATGGCAACTCAGACGTGTTGGTCTGAGCAAAGGGCAGGGCAGACTTGCAACCCTGGAGGCTCACATATCCCCCCCTAAACCCTCTCGCCTGCAGCTGGGTTAATACAGAGTGCCCATCTCCCCTCCTCCATTGCTGCAGACTCCACCACCTGGGGCCCTCAGAACCAGGCTGGGCTGCAGAGCAACTCCAGCTCCTCCTGAAACGGGCCCCAACTCAGCCAATTTACTTTATGATAGCCTTAATCAGTACTGACTCAGGGGACAAAATCAAATTAAGTTTCCTCTGTCTGGAGCTTGACAATCCACTGTTTCCAGGGAAAAGCAAGGACTCCATCAGCAATCCCCTCCAGGAGGAATTATTGAGCAGCTACTACGTGACACAGAGCACGAGTCCCCCATGACAGGTGCTGCAGGGCCTCTTGGGTCTGGCCACACCGAGCCCTGCAACAACTCTTACCAGGTCACATGAGATTTTTTTTTTGCTGCAAGAATCTCTGAAAAGATTTTGATCATCTTTCTTTCTCGATTATTCAGGATTTTACTCACATGCAAAGTCACAAATTACTGTAATTTGTCCTTACCATTTTCTTATAATGTTTTAGTTTGCATTTTAAGATACATCTGTTTTGCTCATTTTATTCTGATGACTTACACTTTATTACGAGGAAAGCGACTACAGTTTACTATACTTGAAGTCATCGAAACTTCTAGATGTGTACTCAAACATTTACTCATTCTACTTTCGCTGTTTTGTTTTTATCTTTTAGAGCCCAAACACTTTTTGAGGACTTTGGGGAAAGCAGGAAGGCCGGACAGCAGTACCTACAGGGGCCAATGGATCCAAGGAGAAGGCCCAGCGAAAGGAAGGACCCAGCAGCTCCCCCTTGCCAGCGCTGGAGACCCTGGCTCTGGGGCCCAGTCCCAGCCCTAGTCCAGCAGCGACGGACAGTGCATCAGTCAAGGGCACTGCTCACCTCCCTCCGGACCCAACCGCCATGAAGGCCAAAGCCGAGCCCCCATGCAGGCCAGCTCACGTCCCATTCTGCCATGTCTCGGGCTGGAGCGAATTGTATTGATAGAAAATAAAATGTCGACATAAAAAAGAATGCCCTGACTTTTTTCATTTGACCCTTTCGCCAAAGCAACTAATAGGAATGATATAACAATATAATGATTTAATAATTAGACCCAGGACACATGTGGTCTTCATTATTACAATGATTACTTTTCAGTAACATGAGGAAAAACATGAATCTTAAAGTAATTCTCAATAATTAAAGTCAACCATTCCCTAAAGAGCGGCAGCTGTGTTTGGAAGAGATTTCTGAGAAATCCTGATAATACAGTCCTAGGTATTCAGAGCAGTTCTGGGGGCCAGGGTGCCTTTCAATAGGAACCAGGGTGGCACATTCCATTGTTTCGTTTTGACGAAGCGAAATACAACAGAGTTCCCAAATGTGTTCATTTATTACAACCCAGCTGTGACTGAGCAGGTTGGGGCCCAGAAGCATCTTCCATTATGCCCTCGGTGCAGAGGGCTTTTTGATTCTCTTATTTCAGCCACTTTGGGGTCACTGGGCCATCCATTCATTCTTAGGTTCCATGAAGCTAAATTAGTTTAATTTAGCCTGAGCTGAAATGAGAAAGCGTGCCCCATAGTAAAGGGCAGGAGAGACTGAGTGCAGACTCATTCCTGGACTTGAGTCATGCGGTCCGTCTCCTTCCTTCCAGGTCTCCCACCCCGGACCAAGCCATCACCCTCTCTCCCCTCTTACTCTCCCCCTCCCACTGCAGGTCATTCTCCACCCAGTTGGGGGGGTGGGGTGAGCTTTCTAAAGTGGAACTCAGACCTTCCAACAACCCCCAGCACTCTGGCCGCTTAGTGGTGGATCCTGACTCCTCCCCCAAAATTCAGGGACCTGACCTGGGCTTGCCCACACCCCCTCCCCAACCCTCCACTGGGTCTTCGCAGCGGCTGTTCCCCAGGCCCGAAACCCATGCCCTCCTTTCCTGGCCAGGTGCCTCCTTCTGCCCAGCCAGGTTTAAGCCCGCGCGCCCCCTCCTCCCCAGACAGCCTTCCCTGAGCAGCCTGCCTGAAGCATGGCCTAGCCACCCCGACACTGTCCTGTGCTATTTCAGCTGAGGTCCTAACCCCTGCCTGCACGCCCTTTCCATTCCTTCTGTGGTCCTCCCCCCAAATGCCTTCTCCTTAACATCCCGGCCTCCTTGGCCAATGCCATTTCCAGCCCATAGGACGGTGTCAGCACAGAGGAAGGCTCCACATATGAGTGAGCGGAGCCATGCGGGGCGTGCAAGAGAGGGTCCCTGGGTGAAAAGGGAATTGTCTACGAGACTGGGGGAGGGAGGAGGGAGCCGTGCCACCGGCCAGGACCCCCAGGTAGGCTGTGGTGTTGGAACTCACCCCTGTCAGCTGGGGTCGGTAGGGAAGGCCGGGACCCTGACCTTGCCTGTGCCTGGCAGCCTCCCCGGTTGGGAAGGGCAGAGGCTAAGGGGGGCTCTGCAGAGGCCAACAGAGGGCATCAGCAAAAGTGCCTCTCCCCAGTAGAGAAGGACTGGAACCATCTCTGGTCTCAGGAGGCATCCTAGGTTGAGTGCTACAGGCCAGCCATGGGCCCAGAACTCTGGTCCTCATGTCCCTGAGTCTTTGTCACACCCCTAGAAGGCGGTAACTGAGATCATCCCTGTTTCCTGGGTGATGAATGTGTGCTTTGGAGAAGTTGAGTACTTGTTGAGGTCACCGAGCTAGCAAGTGGCAGGCAGGACTCGAGCCCAGGTTTATGTCTGACCCGAGTCCCTTCTCCTGAAGACTTCTCTGTGGGGGATTGGGCAGGCAGCTGTGACGGGTCTGGGGGATGGTGTGGAAAGCTGGGTTCTGAGGACTTTGCAGACAGATTAGAACTGGAGAAGGACACTTCATGCTGCCAGACGAATGAACACTCCCAGCCAGGCTAGATGGCTGTGAGGTCATGGAACTATACGGCTGCAGAGAGTCTTGGGAGAGGCCTTCATAGGGCCCCCGGTTGGAGGCCACACCCACACAGGGAAAGGGGCCCCTCCTGCCCCGCTCTGGGTCTCAGAGCCAGTTGCTCATTCTCCCTGTCTCCTTCATTCTCCATCCAGGCCTCTCAGAAGCTGGCAGCCAACCTGGCAACATCTGCAGTGATCACAAACCACGTCCAAGATCATCTGACTTGTAGGAAATCTAAGGACAAAGGCTGGGGCCCCTGACACTCCCAGCCCCCCCACCCCTCAGGCAGAGACCCCTGGAGGGGCCCAATCTCCCCAGATCACCGAGTTCATTGCCACACAGCCTGGCCAAGAGCAGAGGTCTTCCCGGCCAGGCACACCCTGTCAAGTCATAAAGACTTTACTGTATATATTCCAGACATAGTAGGAAGAAATTCAGGTTTTTCCACCCCAACAAAGTACTGTGGATTATTTGCAAGAAGTCTGGGAAATTCCAGAAGTCTGTTTTCGAAAGACACCCACTTGGCTGCCCAGCAGTTTGAGAATAATCCTTCATTCAGGTATAGAAGAAGATATACTCTGTTGAAATTGCCAGACTCCACGCTCAATTCCTTGAAAGAGCTGGAGATGGAGCAACTGCCGACCCCAGATCCCGCTGCTCGGCCACTGTCCCCTAAGCTGCCCAAAGGCTGGCCCAGGTTGGGGAGCCCACTCTTCCCAAGTCACCTGGCCCCACCCAGCACCTGCCTTGCATTGGCACCCACTAGTCCCGGCATCTGCTTTGCATGACTTTAATTCCAGTTCTTCTTAGCTTCAGCAGCTCCCTTTCCTCCCCACTATAATGTGCCTTGGCCCCCGCAAGTAAACTCTGAGATCAAATTGAAATTCCAATTCATGGACGTAAATTGTCCATGTGATTTGAGTAAGTGAGACGAGACTCAGGGCTGGTTATTTTTCCTGGATTTCTAGACGGGGTTATTTACATGCTGGAAGGCACTGGTTGCATAACTGACTGTTGTTCTTGGATGGGCCTATTAGTTGCTTCTGTGTTGAGGGCAAGTGAAACAGGACCACGAGGGAAAATTGGTGCCTGAATTAAGATAATTTGTCGGTTGTACCTAGAAACTATTTATAAAGATATAGAAGAGAATTTGTAAAATATACACGTATAAGAAAATCTGAAAAAGAAATCCTGTCTTCCCATATAATGTAGACTAAAACTAGGGATAATACACCGAATAGTTAAGAAGATCCCTATGGTAGATCATTTTAAACATGTAATTATAAACGTCACTCTAAGAATTTTATAATTTAGATGTAATTGTTCCAGTCCTAAAACTTTTTTGTTCTATGAAATAATTTTTTATTTAAAACATTTTAAACACAGAAAAGTTAAAAGATAATAAAACAAACACCTGTGAATCCTTAACTGAAATTTGACAGCTGTTAACATTTCTTCATATTGTTCCAAGTATTATTTTAAACTAGAGAAATAGAATTTTCAGATCAAGAAAAGTTGATGCTATTTATGATCTAACTTTGGACCACCACTCAAAATCAACCTCTGCCATGAACTTAAATATCTCTCTGTGTGTGTATACACACACATACATATGTATATATAATGTGTATATATACATACATATGTACGTATGTAGTCCAAATAACACAGGGTAGTGGAGAGCAAATATTTTTCTGTAAATGGCCCACTGAGAAACATTTTCAGCTTTGCGGACCATATGGTCTCTGTTGCAGCTACTCAGCTCTGCCACTGTGTGTGAAAGCAGCCACATACGATATGTAAACAAATGGGTATGGATGTGTGCCAATAAAACTTTATTTACAAAAACGAGCACCGGATGGTACTTTGCCAGCTCCCATTATAGAACATCATTTTGTGTGTGTGTTTAAATTTATATCAACAGAGCTGCAGTTCATTCATCTTAACTGCGAATTAGAGTTCCCTCTATGCAATATCTCATTTAGCCAGTCCTTTATTGATGAGCATTTAGTTTCCACTGATATTTTTAAAAGACCCTTAACATAACCAAACAGGTGAGCTGAACTTGACATAGTCTAGCTGGATTGGAACTACACCCATAAACTCTTAAGTTGTTTCATGTAAATTCAAGCTGTGGAGGACTTGGTGGGAATGTGATGAGCTTGAACTTGAATGTGGACATCATTGCATATTGTCCACCAAATTCTGGCAAGAACTAAAACTTCCCCCTTTAGTTATCCAGATCATTCTCTCCATCTCTGTTTCTTCATTTGCCTTGAAGATTTGGCAGAGTGCTTGCCCCAGATAGGTGGGTTATAGGTGGGTTCTGGCCAAGAATCTGAGGTTACAGACTCCAACACCTTAGAGCGGCAGGCAGGAGGAAATGAGGATGGATGTGGGCTGGGGTTGACTGTCAATGGAAAAGCACCTGCTCTATCCAGCCATGTCTTACTATGAGCACCACAGCCATTGTTGACAGATTTAACTTTTCCAGAGAAGCTGTGTATCTGGATTGTAACATGAATTCTCTCCATTTTCAAATGCAACTAATTCAGTGCAAGGAAGGAAGGGGGGAAGGAAGGAAGGAAGAGAAGAAGGAAGGAAGGAGCTGGAGGTAGGGAGGTAGGGAGGGAGGGATCACTTTGGCATCCTATGGAACATATCTGGCCCTGGTTTTCAAACTCCAGAGGAGAATAGGAACAAGGAATTGTCATGTAGAAGTCACAGAAAAGCTACTTCTTCTGGAAGGGATCTCAGGGAAGGAAGCCTTGGTTCGGCACCTGTTCCCACCCCGTCTACCTGGGCAGGCCTATAAGCCTCACAGCTGAGCCACCAGCTTCCTGTCCATCAAGCGTGGCTGAGGATCCTCATGATGCTGTCCGATTGACAAAGATGGGGAAGCTTTGGACAAAGCAGAAAATAGGTGTTATTATCATTATCCTATAATACCTCTGAAACCTAATGTAAGGCTTTTTCTTCCAACAAAGCCCCATCTGCTTCGTTTTAGGGTGTGAGCTCGTTAGTGCCTGCTACCACATGTTGACAGGACGCAGATTCCTTCGTTAATTCCACTAGGCCGTATTCCTGGAGCATGTTGAGTGCACGACTTGTTATGGATCCAAGAAAGACGCTCCTTGGCTTTCTTGTAAGATGTTTATTAAAGCAAGTCCTGCCCTTTCCCCAACCTCCAATAAGTTACTTCTTCTCATCTCCCTACTGCCCTCCTCAATTCGGAGAAAATATTTTTGCAATAATTTCCCACCATTTGTCCTTGTTTATTTTTAATTTCATTGCGGTCCCGGCCGGCTGTGCAGTCCAGCCGTCTTCCCAGCCTTTTACGAGCATCGTTTTACGTATTTCTACCAACATCCAAAAAATGAAACAAATCCTCGTATAGAATGCCGGGCTTCCCAACAGCTGGGAGGAGGTGTTTTCCTGCATGATTTCTCGCTGCTCTGAAGGCTTCTTGAAGAAGCTGGGGCTGTCTGGGGGTGACCACGAGCAGAAAAAGCCTAGGATATGTCCCTTTCCTCACAGCTGACCAGAACAGTTTCTTCCAAGGATCCTGGATACATAGCCCAAGCAGGAAGGACAGCAACCTTCCAGAAAGACCCAGGTGGACTCACCACAAGGCTAATCACAACCTAATGCTAGAAAAGCAGAGAGCTGGAACATGTCACAGCCTCGATGGGCAGACTAAAATCTTCCTGTCCCACCACTGCGACCATCTCCTTCCAGAACCCCAGGCCCTGCCTCCCTCCTCTTGTTTCTCTGTCAGCTGCTCCTCTCAGAGTCCTTATAGACCAACTGGATAGATCAGGATGAAAAGTAAACTCACAGAGAAATAAACTTGCCAGAATAGTTATCCCAGTGTCAAAAACTAAGGAGATGCCACTTTCCAGTTACAGGCCTGGCTCTGGCTTAGGAAGGGCAAGAGAGAAGTGAATCACGTAGGACAGAAAGAGTGGTGGAATAGCCATGCCAACCTCTTTCTCTCACAGTTTCGCTGTTTGTGGCTCTCCAGGGCTGGGAAGCTACCAGGGAAGAGCATGATGTGAAAGCCAGCCAGGTGGGGCTTTTCATTCCGTCTGCAGTGTCATCCCGAGTCATGTCAAACGGGAGAGGACGGTCACAGACTCCGAACTGGCATTTCACCCAGCACATGCCAACCCTTTAGTTGAGGTGGTGCAAGGCTGCAGGACTTGACAACCCCAGATCTAAGCCCCATCTGTGACATCGGCTGGGTGGCCATGGGGCAAGTGACTTCTTTCACCTCTTGAGTCTTCAGTTTCCTCCTCTGTAAAACAAGAATATTAATAGTGTCCACTTCAAAGGTGATCGTGAGCAGGGGGCTGACCCAGCGATGAAAGAGAAAGGAATGAATGAGTCTGAACACTGCCCTGGTGAGAGCTGCTGCTGCTGCTGCTGCTACTGTTAGAATCCAGGGCACTAAATGACTTGCTCTGTCATGGGGGGAGCTGGAGGCAAAGCCTGGACTCTAACCTGGATCTGCAGACGTCCAAAGCAGGCTCATGGGGCTAGGATGTTCATGGAGCCCCTCCTGCACAAATCAAGGTCCATCCAGGGGATGGTCTGGATAGACGGTCTCCACGCCTACTCCAAGGAACCCATCCTGAGTTGGGATGAGACAGGGAGACGAAGAATTCTTCCCCACAAAGATAACACCAGATGTGAGGTCAGGAAACATGACCGGGTGAAGGGAAGAAGTGTGCCTGGAGCGTCTCTCTAGAACCCAGAGTCACCTTGGCCCTCCGTCACTCATCAGCTCTCCATGGCTCTGCCTACAGAACAAAGCCTGAATGGCCCAAGGCAGGGTTTGCTCTCTGCCCTGCACAGTGCTTGGCATATAGTGGGTGCCCAGTGGATGTGGGTGGAAGGAATGAACAAATGACATTCTCTGGGTGGCTTTCAAGACCCCCAGCATCTACTCAAACTTGTCTCCACTTCACCTTGGCTACAACCACAGGACACTCCTCCCCAGTGCCTGCTCTTTTGGGGAGCATCTCCCCTACCTAAGACCTTCAGCCACTCTTTGCACTGGACCACACCAGTGGCTGCCATCTCTCTCCTTCCCTGAAATCTACAAGTGGTGTTGTCCAGCGCCTTTATTTGGGATTATACTCTCCATGATTCTGCACGATCCCAGGGCCCCAAATATGTAGACACCCTGTCCCAGATTGCTATGACTACCACGACCCCAGGCACAGTAAAGAACCCTCTTCTCCAGAATCCAAGTGTACTTTTCCCTCTTTGAACATATTTTGGGAGGATTCTGTCATTGGGACCCTCTTTAACCTACACTGTCATTCTTTCTCTCATTTTCTCACCATCTTCGGCATTTCTATTTACAAGATTTTCTTCTCTTCTCTCATCAGTTACCCAATTCCTGGCGGTTCTGGCAATATCTTGACTGTACTGGAAGCCCGCTGGTCAAGATCAAGCTACCTTTAGGAACCCTGTTGGCTCCTAGTTCCTACCACACAATAAGCATGCTCTGAAACACAAACAGGAGGCTGCAAGAGCAACAGGGAACAGCAAGGAATGAGGCGCAATCATTCCATGGACAACTTCATGGTTATCCTTGGACTGAGTTCTGCCACGTCTCAGCATCTGAGGCCATCTGCAGAGCATTTGATGGAAAAAGGATAGGCGGTCTCTGAAACCTTCAGACAAGAGGCGCCGTCCAAATCATTTGTGACTTTTATTCTTCAATGTTTAATTGTACCTCCTCTGGGATAATATGGCCAATTTTTGAAAAACAACCATAGCAATAAATTTCCCATAATTTACTGCCAGATTAATAGTTTTGTAGTCAAGCTATTATTGTTTTAATAAGAAGAGAAAAAGAAAAACATGTGAAGAGGCTCTGTATGTTCCAGGGTGAGCTCATCAAGGCAGCCCGCTGGACATGCTGGGCAGGGAAAGCAGCCAGCGTGCCCCAGATGGTGGGGCCCTGGGGTCTCACGGGGAGGGGAGACAGGACCCTCGGCTGGGTGTTTGCCATCTACCCCTCACCCCACCAGGAGCAGCCTGAGCACAGGGGTCTCTGAGCTGCCTGGGTAAGACTCTCTAGATAGGTAAAGGAGAAATTTATTCTGCCCATGAAGGCAGGTAACATGGTCTTCCGGGAAACTCTACCTGCCTTTGTGTCACTCTTGGACAAGGACATTAGCCAGTGACACATCCATGATTTTGCCTCCTCTAGAACTGGGCAAGGGTTCCTAGTGGCAGGGTGGGGACAGGGTGGGCTCTGAGCCATTGGTTGGCAAAACATTGCTCCTCTGATGGCTTTATCTGGTGTCTCATGGCTTCTTCTCATCTCAGGCTTCACAACCATCATACTAACACAGCACCTTGAAAATTCAAAGACACAGCAATCCACAGAAAGACATACACGGAACCGTAAAAGCATCTTGCTGGCCTGGCGCAGTGACTCACACCTGTAATCCCAGCACTTTGGGAGGCTGAGACAGGTGGATCATCTGAGGTTGGGAGCTTGAGACCAACCTGGCCAACAGGGTGAAACCCCGTCTCTACTAAAAATACAAAAATTAGCAGGGCATGGTGGCATGCATCTGTAATCCCAGCTACTCAGGAAGCTGAGGCAGGGAAATTGTTTGAAGCTGGGAGGTGGAGGTTGCAGTGAGCCAAGATCGTGCCACTGCACTCCAGCCTGGGTGACAGAGTGAGACTCCATAAAAAAAAAAAAACAAAAAAAAAACACCTCTTGCTAAGTAAAAGAAGCCAGTTTGAAAAGTCCACATGCTGTGTGAGTCCAACTAGATGACATTCTGGAAAATTCAAAACTATAGAGACGTCAAAAGATCGGTGGTTGTTAGGAGTTCAAGGGGGAGGGAGGGACGAACAGGTGGAGCTCAGGAGATGTTTAGGGCAGTGAAATGACTCTGTATGATCCTGTAATTGAGGGCACGTGACATTATACATTTGTCAAAACCCATAGAATGTACACCACCAAGAGTCAACCCTCTTATGAACTTTAACTGATAATAATGCATCAATATTGGTTCATCAACTGTAACAAGTGTAGCATGCTAAGGCAAGATGTTAATGAAAATAGGATTATTGGGGGAGGGGTATGGGGCATGTGTGGGAACTCTCTGTGCTTTCTGTTCAATTTTTCCCTAAATGTAAAACTGCTCTAAAAAACCCAATCCTAGGGAATGTGCTTTGAAGCAAGATTCATCGCTGTCCCTTCCACTTCCCTGTGAGTAGCTCTTGTCTGGATCACCATCACCCCAACATCCCAGCCATGGGCCTCACTGGCTCTGCAGAATGCAATCATTCCCCAACCCTCTGAATCCATCTCCACCTGCTCTCTCCATCCTGTGACTTCTCCAGTTCAGGCACCACCCTCTCCTATCAGGCATTGTATTTTACCTCCTAGTGGGCCTTCAACTTTCCTGCTTTGGTCTAGAACAGTAGGAGCCTGCTCAGAACCCACCAAGCACAGGCCTTGCCAACTACTTGCCAGGCACACGGGGCTCTTCATGGTGGGGCCGCATGTGCCCACCCGCGCCTCTCCCTGGGGTGCCCAGCTCTGCTTCTCTCCTATGGCCCTCACAGATGCCCCTGCCCTCCCAGCCCGAAGCTCTGGCACCAAGCATGACGTATCACACACCATTTAGGTGACCACCTCTCTCCACAGATAGTGAGCTCCGATAATGCCTAGGTCTGGTCACTTTCACATTCCGGCCCTGACCCCCTACTCCCTGAACCTTGGGGATTGGCAATAAGTCCCACTGCAGTATTTGTTGGATGAAGTGCAATTGGCCATCATCAAACCTAACATTCTAGACCCATGGAGTAGCCGAATCTCCGTGCTCCTCACCCAGAGGACAATTTGTACACTGGCGCCAGTGGCTTAGAAAGCTACGTTAAGCATCTTTGCAATTCCGCCACGGTTTGCTCCTCTGAGAACATATTTAATTACTGGAATGTACATCTCATCTCTCATTCCTCCTTCCCCGGCCCTCCCATCCCATGATTAATGTGAATCTGTCTCGCTGTAAAATAACCACGTCTCACTCTAATTAAGTTCTGGTTGTTTCTAACCTGGGTTTGAATGTTCAGCTTAAGAATTTCTCTGTAGCTTTCTAGCGATCCAATGGTGGGATCTCTTCATAATTGTATTAATGTTTCAAATGTAGGCTTTAATAAAGAGAGATTTGTTTTTAAAAATCATTCACCCTAAGAACAGGCAAAGTGTTCTATGGTGATACAGGTCAGAATGGTGCTGGGGAGGTTCTGGTGGAAAGGAGGCACACAGGAGCCTCTGGATCACAGACGTACTGTTCACTTTGATTGGAGTCTATGTGGAGGGCTGAATAACAGCCCCAAAGATGTCCATGTCTTAAATCTAAACCCTGAACCTGTAGGCATGTCACCTTACATGACAACAGGGACTTTTCAGATGTGATTAGGTTAAGGATCTTGATATGGGGAGATCCTCCTGGATTATCCGGGTGGGCCCAATGTCATCACAAGGAGCCTTATAAGATGGACACAGGAGGATCAGAGAGAGAGGAGCATTTAAGGATGCTACACTGCTGGCTTGGAAGATGGAGGATGGGACCATGAGCCAAGGAATGCAGGTGGCCCCTGGATCCTGGAAAAGGCAGGGAAACAGATTCATCCCTAAAGCCTCTGCAGGCATGCACTCCTGCTGACACCTTGATTTTAAGACTTCTGACGCCAGAACTAACAACAAATACATTTGTGTTGCTTCAAGCCACTAAGTTTGTAATTTTTAACAGCAGCATTAGGAAACTAACCCAGAGTATCTATATGTAAAAACACACTGACATACACACTTAAGATTCTCACAATTTGCTGCATGTCAGGTCAGATCTTGACTTCAGCGCTACTGGCCCTACAGGCCAGGTGACTCTGTTGTAGGGGGCTGTCCCATGCATTGGACGGTGTTTAGCAGCGTCCTGGGCCTATATCCACTAGATGCCAGGAGCACCCAACTTCCCACCCAATTGTGACAACCAAAAATGTCTCCCGATGTTGCCACGTGTTTTCTGGAGGGCAAACCACCTCCCTTGGTTGTGAACCAGTGCCATATGAGTATTATTCTTCATTATAAAGCAATGTTTAATAAATGCCATGTAAAATAAACAAAATAAAAACTTTAATCCTACCCTAATCAGAGCACCACAGAATATGCTTACTTTTACCCAAGACACAGATCACCCTGCTCCTTCGAGGAAAGCTTTGAGAGGAGTCTCTTGGCATTATCTTACAGCAGCATCCGGAAAACACCCTGGTTTCCCATGTGTGGGGCAAGGGCAGAGAGTGGCATGCAATGAGGATGTGCCAGCCTCTATAAGGGACTCGGGGTACCCTGGGCGCACTGAGGCACTGCAGGTGTGGGAGCTGGCCAAGGACAGGCTGCAGAGGCCCCACTCGCCCTGGGTTCTGCCGTGTTAAACGGAATTGCATAAATTAGACAGAACTCTGCCTGGGGCTGCTGAAACTGGAGCCCTGCTGAGTGGGGCACCTGGGCCTGGACAATGTGAGGCCCATACAAGATGCTGAAAGCTCCCAGGCAGTGACTTGGAGATGGAGTGTGGGTGGCTGATTAGCTGGAAGGAAAACAGAGTAGAAGGGACAGCTTTTGTTCACAAGAAGTCTCTGCCTGGCCATTTCCCTTCTATTCCACATACAAGGCCTCTTAACCCCAATCCTGGACTAATTCTCAGGAAATCTACCTTCCCCAATTACCTAATTGCTGTTAAATGATGTTTGAAGAGCTCAAAGAGGGCAGGGCCAGGGCTGACCCCTGAGTTAATTCTGCCTGCTCCCATCAGGGGCTACCTCCTTTGCTAGAGTGAGTCGTGCCTCCAGGGCCTCAGGGAGGGTGGGAGGAGGGAGGTGAGCGTGGCTGGCTTCTCTCAAACGGCCACCTCCAAAGGTCTCAGCGCATTCCCACTTGATGTGGGGTCAATAAGGTCACCTGAGAATTCAAAGGGGAGTAGATGCCAAGGGTCTGGAAACCTGGAGACAGACAGCAGCTTGATGCCTTGGGTGACAGCCTTGCAAACAAGGTCCAGCAGTTTCTGGATCATTCGGGTCCCTTCCACAAAGCAGCTCAAGATGGCACTAGAACACTTTCCCAGGCTGCAGGTGAACTGCGTTGCAGGAAGAGATTCAATCTCATCTGAATTTTGAGGACAAAAGAACTGTTTATCACAGTTTAGGGTGTAAGCCAAGTGCTGAAAACAGGATTGTGGCCCCAGATCTTGCCTGTATGAGAGGAGTCCATTTCTCCCTTTTGTTTAAAAATGAGTGGGGTCTATCTTCATGCACCTTAGCAAGTCAGCAAAATGCTGCAAAGAGAGTAACCCTTTCATTTGTGTTCCCAGGCACTTTACTCCTGAGTGCTAACTGGTAAAGAAAACATTCTATCCCTCTGAAAGGGGCTTCAGGAAGGAGGGGCTCCAGGGAGAGGAATTTGGGGTCGGACTCTTGCAGGACACGGTGGTAGCAGCTGGTGGCTTGCTGGTGTTTACTGATGAGGCTGTTTCTCCCTCCTCCTTCCAGGCAGAGATGAAATGTACAGAATGGCCCAGCTGTTGAGAAGGCTTTTTGCAAGGTATTTAACAGATGGTGGTCACTGCCCAACATAGCAGGATCAAGGGAAAAAAAACAGACTCTTGCAATTATGAAACCTACAGCACCCTTGGTAACCTGGCATGAAATTTTGCCATCTGTGCCTTACTCTGCGAAGCAGCTAGACGCCCTGCTGGGCTCCTCGGTGCCATTCCTCCTTCTTGAAAGAGGTCCCTGGCACGGTCATGAGAGCTCCAGCATCTGGAAGCTTCTGACCGAGTCCTGTCTGGTGGGAGAAGGGAAGAAATCGGCCCTATCCAAGTGTTTATTATTCACACTTCTTGGATTATTAAACGTTAAAATATATGAAAATGCAGATGTTCTTTTTATGATCCAAGAGTGTGAGGTTTAGACAAAAAGCCTCTATTGAGTTTGGCCCGTGCTCCCCCGACACCGAATCGGTAGGGTGGGGTTTTCTCTGACTGCTGCTTTGGAAAGTTCTCCCAAATCATTTAATTCGGGGAACCAAGAGGTCCCAACACCGTGTGCTGTGCATGCAGCCTTCTTACAAGGGATCTCTCGAGCATTCAACAGGATGGTCTCTGCCCAGGTGGAGAGATGAGTGTGGGGGCTGGCAGGGATGCACCCAGGTCAGTGGGGCACACAGTGGGCCACGGAGAAGCAGAGGTTCCTGCACAGAGAGTCCCGGGTGCCCCTAAGTGGGGCCCTGAATCTCTCTCTGTCAGTCTTTCCATCTGTAAAATGGGGCTAATGATACCAATATCTGCCTCAGGGATCCTCAACCTCTGTCCCCAGAGGCCAGCAACTCCCTCCAGCTGTGACAACCAAAGATGTCTCTAGACATCGTCAGACACCCCTGCCCTACCTGGAAAGGTGTTCACGGGGATTCCATAGGTGAATACACGCAAAACCCTCACAACAGTACCTCGCACGGGAGGTGCTTTTAGAAAATGTTCTCAGAATTGAAGTGCAAAGGAGGCCTCGCTCAGAAGATGGACGAGACTCGAAAGCTCCCTGCTGCTCCTCCCACTCCGCAGGGCCCATGGCTCGCTACTTCCAGATGGTGGTGGAGTTGCACAGCCCCAGCTGTTCCCGGGACCCTTATTTTTGCTCGGTGTCCACCGTGTCTGACGGTCACAGTGCCAGGTGGCAGGCTATGCTCTCATTTTTCCCAGGTGCCCAGGGCAAAGTTGTTCCCCCTCAGCAGACGTCAGGTTTCGGATGATCTGCCAGGGGCTGTGCGCCACCGGCCCTGTTCTCTCTCCGGCTAGTTCACATTCAGGGGGAGGGACGTTCTTTCCTGACACTTACTGGCCTCTTCTGGGAAGCTGAGGACGCCCTTGTTCTGGGCCTGGTGATGGCACTGCAGAAACACTGGCGTCTCCTTAACAAGGCCCGGCTTCCGCCCGAGGGCACACAATGACACTGTGCAAAGTCTCTGCCATTCTAAGTGCAATGGAAATTCCTTCTGCAATAACAAAAACCCAGGAACAAAATGCTCCCCTAATTAGAAACACCAAGCCATTCTCTACATGGCCTTGGAAGAAGAAATGTTGGAGGCAACGGGGCCTAGAAATACCTCAACGGGCCCAGAAATCCCTCAACGGAAAGGGTCTGAAATGGCAACTGGAGATGGGGCCCGAGGCCAGCTACAGCCTGGCGACAAGGACGGGAAGGAGGAGGCCGGCAAGGGAGGAGAGGGTGGGAGAAGACACCTGGCTGGGCCAGACGGCCCTCACATCTGCTTAGGAGGCTACGTCGGCATGTTTGGTAAATACTGTCTGTGGGCAAAGACGTGGGCCCTTCCAGAAGAGGGCCGTGGCATTTGCCACCCTTTGGCAATGCAACTTAGGAGTTGAATTATGAAGCCCCAGATGGAGCTACAATTTGTCATCTGCAGCTTCTCTGGAAAAGTCAAAAGATCTGGCAATGCTGGCTGTGTTCCCATGCGGTGGAAGGTGGGCGTAGGGGGCTTGGGGGAGCTGAGAGCGCTGGTGCAGCTCTGGCCCTGGGGCCAGGGCCCAAGGAGAGGCCCTTGATCCGGGCAACAGTGAATGTGTACCTGATGGCTCCAGACACAAGAGGAAGTTGGTGTCCAAAAGGCAGACACTTCGAGGCATCAACTTCCCATCGTAATTTCAAAGTGAATCCATGAAATGGGGTAATAGAGTGACAGCTGGAGATGGTGTGTCTCTCATGAGGGGGCCCTGCATGCTTATCTCGGGTGGCCTCCTTCAGTCCCCAGAGCCCGAACACTGGGGTGGGTGGAAATTAAACATTAATCAGCTTCTTCAGGGGTAGTTTACTTGCTGAGCCAACATGAATTTCTTGGCAATTTTTTCTCACTCTCAACAGAGACTCTCATTGCCTCTCAAACAGCTGCCTTTTAAAACTACTTTCTTTTTTTAAATTTTATTTTATTTTAGGTTCCAGGATATAAGTGCAGGACATGCAGGTTTGTTACATAGGTAAACGTGTGACATGGTGGTTTGCTGCACCTACCAACCCATCACCTAGCTTAAATCTACTTTCCAAAGTGTCTCTCTCTCTCTCTCTCCTCTGTCTGCCCCTTACCCCATCTCTGTCTATTCCTCATTTTTTCTGCAGTAACCTCATTAAAAGAACTTGAAAATAGATGTCAAGTTTTTTTTAAAAAAATTAATAATGGCTATATCTCGATGACAACTGTTTATGAAATAAAAATTAATATTACTAATAATATAAACCTCCCTATCGTTTCATACAGGTGCCATTTGGGGTTTATAACCCAAAGCAGCAGTCCTCAACCTTTTTGGCACCAGGGACTGGTTTCATGAAAGACACTTTTTCCCCAGACTGTGGAGGGGGATGCTTTCTGGATGATTCAAGTGCATTATATTTATTGAGCACTTTATTTCTATTATTATTACATTGTAATATATAATGAAATAATTCTCCAACTCACCATGATGTAGAATCAGTGGGAGCCCTGAGCTAGTTTTCCTGCAACTAGATGGTCCCATCTGGGGATGATGGGAGACAGTGACAGATCATCAGGCATTAGATTCTCATAAGGAGTGTGCAGCCTAGATCCCTCGCCTATGCAGTTTACAATAGGGTTCGTTCTCCTATGAGAATCTAATGCTACTGCGGATCCGACAGGAGGCAGAGCTCAGGCAGTAATACCCGCTCCGCTGCCACTCACCTCCTGCTGTGCAGCCTGGTTCCTAACACATCAGGGACCAGTATAGGTCAATGGCCCGGGGATTGGGGACCCCGACCCAAAGGGACCTTCCTCCCTTGATTCATTCTGTCACCTATTATCAGTCAGACATTTTCCTTCCTGGTTTATCATGTGGCTGAGTTGCTTGTTGCTTCCAAGGTGAGGAGACCATGCATCCACTTCTTGTTTCCTCCTATGTCTGCTTGGTCCTCCTCACGGTGTGCACGATCAGAGAAAGTTCTGCCTGTTGCTCCCAAACTTCCCATGCTAATGAGGACTTAGACCGCATGTACCTAGCAGGTACCTAGCAGTCAACAGGGTCTGGGAAATCTCTTCTTGCCATCTGAATGTGCTCCCCCACAGTGAGTTATGCCTGATGAAGCGCAGAGGAGAATTCAGCTGCAAAATATAGGGTTGTTTGTTGTGTGAGTGAACTTCCTGCATCGCCATTTTTAAAGATGCCTATTAAGCACGTCATGGAGCATGGAAAATACTCCAGTTTGTTATAAATGTGTGTCAAGGCCAGGCGCAGTGGCTCACGCCTGTAATCCCAGCACTTTGGGAGGCTGAGGCAGGTGGATGACTTGAGGTCAGGAGTTCAAGAACAGCCTGACCGACATGGTGAAACCCCATCTCTACTAAAAATACAAAATTAGCCAGGTGTGGTGGCGCATGTCTGTAATCCCAGCTACCCAGGAGGCTGAGACAGGAGATTCACTTGAATCCGGGAGGCGGAGGTTGCAGTGAGCCGAGATCGCACCCCTGCACTCCAGCCTGGGTGACACAGCAAGACTCTGCCTCAAAAAAATAAACAAACGAATACATAAATAAAATAAACGTGTTTCAAGGAAATCTGCTCAAGAAATACAGATTGTGGTTCCTTGGGTGAGTGCAATTCTGGTTTTCCTCTTCTCGTGGGGGGCCTCCATCTTCTATTTTATCCCTGCTTCCTTTGCCCCCCTTCCTTTCAAAGAAACAATGCTTGAAGGTCACAAAGATATGAAAAATGAGAAGGCCTCACCTCTGGGGGCAGGGCAGGGGGTCCTCAATAGGCCCATGGGGACCAGGAAGCAATACATGAGGGCCAGCTCTCGTTTTCTTGTTTTTCCCACCCTGGCTCCTGTTTTCCAGGCTGCAGCCCTAATTCATTTGCTCTTTGTTTCTTGTTGACAGTGAAAAATTGTGACCTTTTTTGGTTTCGTTCTTATCGACAGCAAAGGGATGGATTTGCCTAAATAGAAAATAAGACTTGCCATGCATATTTCACACTGCTTGAGAAAGGTGAAGCTAGAAAGACCTTTTCCAATCACCAAACCTTTCAGCAAGCTACTGTCACTCTATCATTCATTTAAAGTCAACTTTGAGCACCATAATGCCCCCGAATCTAAACAACTTGTGTTCTCACCCGAGCACTAGCCTAGGAGCCCTGAAAAAAACATCCTACTTTTCTGGGTGTCTTGCTGAACCTATATGTTTATGACTAAAATCAGTCCTCCAAAAATGTGGCCAATAGAACTTTCAATCTTATTATAGGAGGCATGATAGAAGTGCTCCTGAATTCAAGGACAAGAAATTTTTTCCATCCAGAGTCCCACACGCCAAAAAAAGCAAATGAATCCTGTGTGTGGAGAGAGGTTCCATGAATCAGAGTCATTCATTTCTAAAGTAAAGGACATGTGAGATAAAACTCAACGTAATACACTCAGTGAATAAAAGTATTACTGTACGTGGTGGTCAAAGAGGGATGGAGAGAGCAGAGCTAGGAAGGAAAGAGCAAGGTACAGAAACAGGCCTAGGGAAATGGAAAAGGGAAAAAGAAAAAAAGAAAAGAAACAAGTAAGCAAAAGCTAAACTCCTTGACATTATCTCCCTAACTTGAGTGTAGAAAGTAGGGGTTTACTGAAGACACAGCCAGGTCCTGCCACTCTTTGTAACCTCAGGCTGCAGCATAGCCCCCAGAACATAGGAGACACTCAATAATTGCTTAAACAGTTGGACAAGAGGCAGAAAGAATATGAACTTTACGGAAGTCATCCCTCATTTTATGACTGAGATAAACCCAACGTAGCTCAATTTGCCTCTCCTCTTTTTACCCTTCTTTTATTGTTTTTCCTTCTTTCGTTATTTTCTTCTCTTCTTGAGGAGAAGATACAAAATACATTTTCACTCCTTGGATTGCAGCAAGCAGAGAAGCCACACCTCGCAAGAAACCTTACATCCAGGAATAAGGCTCTGGGATCTGGATGCACCTGCCTAAGTTTATGCAACTCTGCACCCAGGTTTACCCGTTTCTGATGAAACTCAATGGAGGTATGTCCAGCTAGAGGCTTGCTAGTGCTCTAGGAAACCGTTTCTCCAGCTGTCTCTGTCCACAGATGACTTGGGAGTCAGAAGGAAGGCTTGGCCTGCTCACGTGACTGTGAGGAAGACACCCCCTGTGGGTTTACACTGAGGCTCAGAAAGGACAACTTTTGCACTGGCAACCTGGCAGTGCCCTCTTTCAGTAAGCCCCCGTTTCCTAGCTGAGAAGTGAAAGGTTTGGATTGGGGATTCAGACTCTTTCCTCTATGGGCCTAGAGCTTGGCTGTTGTCACACAGGGAGAGCGGGAGCCAAGACTCAAGCTTAGTACTCCTGCTTCCTCAGCAGGGCTTCTTTCGCAACTTTGGGAAATTCTTGTTTGTGAGGATCAACACTTGCCTTGCTCTGGATGGCTTTCCAGCTCCCAAGTGTGGACTTCTCAAAGATTCTTAGAAACCCTGGAGCCCCCATCATCACCCAGAACCTCCAAAGCCATCTTGAGACTTCGGTGGCTACACATCCACTGCTCCTCCATTGGTCCACTGTGAAATTGGGACAAAAGATATCTTATTTTTTAGGATTCACATGGATTCATGATGGAGAGCAGGAACAAGTGCCTCATGTTTAGACTAAAGTGTGAATGGCTGATATAATTCTATTTCCAGCACATAAACATTGCAGGTGAGGTTCCACAATGAGGGCACATCCACAATGGATGGTTTCATGGCAAGGACGTCAGTGTTCCCCAAAATTTGACTTCTATTTCCATTTCATCTAATGTAATCCAGTCTCCTCTTGGGGAAGTTCAGTTCAACATGGGTTCTAAACATTTCTCATTTGCAAATTATCACGGAGCTGAAACTTCTAAAAATAAACATGGTAAGATTTATGGCAAATTGAAAAAGTCTCCTCCTTGAAAGTGATTCTCAAGTGAAACTGAGTGAGAACAACTGTTTCGGGCCATCCAGGAAACAACGGAGTCTGCAGCTGTTTCACATCCACGCTTCTTCCTTGGGAACTCTGTAGACTGGTAATTTGGGAATTAGGCATTTTGTTTCAATGACTATTGCAGAATACTTTTCAGACTATTGTTTTGAATATCATGAGATGGGCTGTTTAAATATTTTATTTCAAAGTTGGAGTCAAGAGTCCAGAGTGTGGATCCAGCTCCTCTCCCTCAGATGCTCATAAGGAGTTTGAATAGCTTTAAGTCAACGTGCAAGAATGCTGAGAACACAACAGCAATGCCCACAAGGAGACGGCTTTTCAGGGTTCATCCCCACCCTCACAGGAGCACGGAGAGGGGCTCTGAAGCAAGAAGTCTTTGAGAGCTGACACCACTAAGTAGAGAAAATGGACAGAAGCTGACTCGGCAAACCTTCGCCACCTGGTCAACTGTACATGGATAGATCAAATTATGCATTCACTCACTTGACAAATATTTATTAAGTACTCCAATCCCTTACCTTCTCTTTGCATCCAGCACAAGCCAGCTCTGGCCGCTTCCCTGACCACTGCGCACCTGCCCCAGGGCCCTTCCTGCCATTCCTCAAACGGGCAGAGCTCATTCTCCCCTGACCCCGGGCCTCAACCTGCTATTCACTCTGCCTAGAATACCCTTCCTGCTGTTCTGCACTCAGCCAGCTCCTTCTTCTTATCCCCGCCCCCCGCCCCTTGTGTAAAGGAGCCCTCTCCAATTACTGTCTATCCTATTTTGCTTCATTCACAGCCTTTGTCTTCTGAAATTGTCTTGTTTACTTATTAATACATGGTTTTTGTCCTCTCTCCACCAGAATGTCAGTTCCCTGAGAGAAGAGGGACCTATCTTGTTCAGGCTGTGTCCCTAGCGGCCAGCACGGCTCCCGAAATATAACAGGTCCTCAATAAACATCTGTTGAAGAAACGATGTTCTCTTTAGCCTATCTCAGCCGGCGGGTTGAGAGGGAGAAGTAAGTAGGACACCGGGAAGGGCTTTAAAGCAGCACAAATACTCCCTGTGAGACCGGACTGGGATAAAGACAGGTTTTGAGCACTGACCTCACCGGGATGGTGGATGGGCAGGTGAGGACGACGGTGGCTTTGCCTCATCTCCCAGCTGTGACTGAGAGGCCCCCGTGGACCTGGCCCAGTGTGGCTCCATTAGTGGCCTCCCCAGGATCTGGCTAAGGTGGTATATTTTATGGTCCTGTCTATACTGCTGAGCTAATCCTTGTTAACAGGAGACAAGAGGGCATCAGAAAGATTGCCCCGGCCCAGAACTTCTTAGCTGGGATACAGTGAACACAAATCATTTGAATTCCCCACCCAGCAACAGCAGACATTCCCGGCATCCTCCTGAGCCTCTCCACTTGAACGTCTGCAGAGGTATTTATCCCATAACCATCCTGGGGTGGTCGATGCCAGGGAGATCCAGCTCCCCCTCGGCTGGGAGCTGTGCCTGCTTAGTCATAATGATCCCTCCACCGTTTGGACTGCTGCCTCCTGAGAGCCTGTCGGGTACAAAAGCTCTCAAAGCTTCATACTTCATGTGATCTTCCCAGAAGCTCTACCGGGGGGTGTTCTTTTAGACCAGTTCCAGATGGGGAAACTGAGGCACAGAAAGGCAACGTGAGTTGTTCAAGTTCCCCAGACAGTGAGTGGATGGGCAGAGAGTTGAGCCCACGTCTGTGTGCTCAGCCTGTCTCTGCTGCCTCTGGTGAACGAGGCGGGGCTGGACAGATGTGCGGGACCCAGGAGTACAGGAGAGCCCCCTAAGTCTGCACATTCTAGGACAGGAGATTGGAGACAAGTCCCTTTTCTTGGGGTCCTAAGTGGGGTTCACTGTGTCCCTGAAATCAAGGTCTCTTGGGCCCCTAAAAGGAAAGTTTTCTGGAAGCTTCTGGAAAAGTCCCTTGGAATCTGAACATCTACGAGAAGAGGAGAAAGGAAGGGAACATTGTATACAAAGACACCACAGCTGCCCAGTGGGTCAGGGGCGTGCGTCTCTGAGGGTCGGCTTAGACCTGGCAGCTCCGAGCCAAGCAGGGATTCGGGATCCGCACAGCCGGCGGGGGGCCCGGGGGGTGCGACCGCTGTGCTGCCGGCAGTTCCGCCCGCGGCCTCGTGGTGGCGCTGTTGTGCAGCGAGTGAGCGCGGCGCGTGGGGGAGGCTTCGGCAGCGCCGGGGCCCAGAGATCTGCAGACTTCGCTGCGCCAGAGTGGGGGTGCAGCGTGGGGAACAGCCCGCTGGCCCCTTCTTCCTCGGGCCCCGTGCCCCCCACTCAGGTTCCTGGGGCAAAGTCATGGTTGTTGTCATCGCCCCTGATTGAGCCTAGATGAGACGTGGTCCCAGAGACAAGGGATTCAGGGGACTGGAGGAGGGACCCCCGCTGGGGTGGCTCGTTGGGGACCAACTTGCCTGGCACCGAGATACCCTGCCCCGCTCCAGGCCTGGGAGCATCCTAGGAGACTGTGGCCCGGTGTCCTCGGGGGCCTGGCACGGGCTGGGTTCAGTGAAGTGGAGGGTCCCCTCTTTCTGGGCAGGGGCGTCTGGCCGCGAGGGCGTCACGGGGTACATTGAACTCCTGCTGCGACACCTGTGTATCCAGGCCCGGGAGAAGACAGAGCGCCTCCCTGCAAGGGGAGACCGGTTCCCACCTGGACTAGGTGCGGGGACAGGGGGAAGGTCCCTGAGAGGACCCTGGGGACGGAGCAGTGGGAGAAACTTCCTTCTTTCCTAGTGAAAGGCACTGCCTGCCCAGGGTGCAGAGTAAATGGACAGTGACATTGGGCCCAGACAGTGACACAAACACCCTTTTCAGACATGGAAAGGGGGTGCGTGTGACAAAGACAGAGAGCTCTCCTAGCTAAAGAGAGAATAACACAGGCACTCTCTTCTCGTGATAAGAAAATGGGTGACAGTGACCCATGCCCCTTTTTCTAAAGAGCAGGAGGGAGAGCGCCGGGTTTTCAGATTTGCAGGGCGAGTGCGTGCAGGTCCCCAGCCCCTGTAAGGGGTTAAGGTAGGAGATATTTCTGCTGGTGGGAAAAAGCAATAAACTATGATTTTTCCACCAGAGGGAGAGAGAGACAGAGGCAGAGAGAGAGAAAGATTGATTTTTCTTCTTGGAGAAAGCACACACAAGCACGTGTTTTCCTGTGTGCGGGGAGAGACAGAGCAACAGGCAGGGCCGTGTGCACACACCCGTAACATGTGCTACCTGGGGAGTGAGCAGGTACTTATGTTTTCCTAATGTGGTGTGTGTTTCTTGGCTGTGGCAGGGGAAACGTTTCCAAGAGGGAAAGAGAGAAAGAAGAAGAGAAAGAAAAAAAGAGGGAGGGCATTTTCTGCCTGTAACATACACGTATACATAATTTTCTGCAAGCTACAAAATAGTGTTTTTCAAGTGGTGCACACACACTTCCCTAGAGAATGGGAGACATATTTGCTTAGCAGGGGAGCCCGGTGAAGAGACGTGTGTGTGTGTGTGTGTGTGTGTGTGTGCGCGCGCGTGTGTGTCTGTACTGTGTGTGTGAGAGAGAGAGAGGGGAGACAGTGAGAGGGAAAGACAGTGAGAGAAAGAGAAGAATTTTGTTCCCACTTGGAAAAATCACATACGTATTTTTCTGCTTACAGGGAGACAAATCCACACAGAGAGACATTTTTGCTTATAACCACACACCTATGAATGCACACAGAGTTTTCTTCTTTTCCAACGTGTGTTTTTCATATTTTGTGTGTGCTTTCTTGGGGAGAGGGGAGTTATGTTGCCCGGTGATGAAAAGCTTTAGAGAGAGACTTTTCTGAGAGGGAAAAAGAACATTTTCTGCCTGGAGACACATGTATTTCTGTGAGCCGAGAATTTCAAAAGTGTTGGTATTTCAGGTGGTGCATACTTAGTGAGAAAACAGACATTCTGCCTGAGATTGTGTGTGTGTGTGTGTGTGTGTGTGTGTGCCAGTGCACCTCACGTACATGTTTTCCCGCAGAGAAAAAGATGCGTATATTTTTCTGCCTGCAGGAAGAGATAGACTAACAAAGTGAGGGTTTTTTTCCCACTACACACGTGCACACAAACACACACACACACTTTTCTAAGTGTGGAAAGACGGTGAGAGTAGGTTGTTATTTTTTAGGGAAGAATGTATTTCTGCCCAGTGAGTTTTGAAAAGTGACTTTTCTGAGTGAAGATTAAGAATATTGTTATTTGCCTGGAAACAAGCAAGCACATAATTTTCTGCAAGCCCAGAAATAGTGTTTGTTTGCTTGTTTTTCAGGTAGTACATAGAGAAGAGCCACATGTCTGTGTGTGTGTGTGTGTGTGTGTGTGTGTGTGTGTGTGTGTGTTGGCGTATTTTTTCTTTCTGGAAAAAAAAGAACATGTATTTTTTTGCTTGCAGGGAGGCAGCTCAACATGGAGAGACTTTCATCGGCTTGTACCCACAAACACACACACACAAAAACAAACACACAACCACAACCACAAACACACATTTTCCTTCTTGTTGTGTGTGTGTATGTGAGAGAGAAAGAGAGATTTCTGCCCAGTGACAAACCTTTAGAGAGAGACTTTTCTGAGAGACAGAGAATATTTTCTACCTGGAAACATATTTTTCTGAGGGCTGGGGATTGGAAAGTGCTGGTTATTTCAGATGGTAAATACTTAGAAAACAAAGACATTCTGCGTGTGTGTGTGTGTGTGTGCACATGTGTGTACATCTGTGTATATAAGAGAGAGATAGACAGAAAAACAGACAGTAGTTTTTCTGCCTGGAAAAAAAAGATACGTGGTTTTTTGGCTTGCAAAAAAAAAAAACAGACCAAAAGGGAACAGTTTTTCTCACACACACACACACAATTTTCCAATATGAAAAGGAAGTCAGAGTGGGAGTGATCGTCTTCTCTAAAGTGTTTTTCTTGGGGAGGGGAATCATTTCTCCCAGTGAGAAAGTGCTCTGGAGGAAGCAATTTAGGAGGAAAAAAAATCATTTTCTGTCTGGAGACACACACACACAGATTTTCATAAGCTGAGAATTAGAAGAAAAAGAAGTGATTTTTAAGTGGTGACACTTGATGGGCAGGGGGAAGGTTTCTGCCTACGCACGCGCGTGTGTGTGTGTGTGCGCAGACATGGAAAGGCTGACAGGATGTGTACTGACGTGCACACAGTGCTCTTCTGGTTGTGAGTGTGTGCGCGCCTGCTGACTGGTGTGAGTGTGTGTGTGTGCAGGGGAGGGCACGGCAGGTTGTTCAGCCTAGTGACAGAGCACTTTAGACATTTCTCAGGGAGCAACAGTATTTTCTAACTGGAGATAAAGGATTTCTCAAGAGCCAAGAATTGGATAATGACCTTTCAGGTGGTGCAAAGTTATTGAGAGAAGGGGAAACACGTGTGTGTGTGTGTGTGTGTGTGTGTGTGTGTGTGTGTGTGTGTGTGATTTTTCTACCTAGAAAAAGACACATTTGTTTGCAGAAAGAGATGAACCAACGGACATTTTTTTGGCCACGTACATGAGAGTGTGTGCAGGTGCACACACACAGACTTTGCTCAGTGTGAAAAGGGCGGGCGAGTGTGAGTGGGCTTTTCTCTGGTGCGGGAGAGAGTAGAGGGCAGCTTCAGGGACAGACATTTGAGTGAGACAGATCATTTTCTGCCCGTAAACAGACACAAAATATTCCAAGAACTGAGAAATCATGTTCTAGGTGGTGAAGCCTTAGTGAGAATTGGAGAAAGGTGTGTGTGTGTGTGTGTGTGTGTATGTGTGTGTTATCTGAATTGTGTTTTCTTGGGGGCCCTTTCTGGGTGAGAGAATGTCTTGTGCCTGAAGACAGACACAAATTGGCAATTGCTCATGAGCCAAGAACTGCAGGGAATGAGCATCGTGTGCTGGAGGCGGTGCACCCTGGGGCCGGCAAGGGGGACATTTCTGTCCCAAGTGCCGTGTATTCGTGTGTGTGTGTGTGTGTGCGTGTGTGTGTGTGTGTGTGTTGGAAAGACAGGGTTTTTTTTCTATCTGGAAAAAGATAGGTCTCTTTGAGCTCACAGAAAGCCTCAAACCAGACACGTTTTGGTTTTTTGCACAAGCAGGCACACATGCAGGATTCTCTCAGTGTGGAAAGAGTAACATGTGCGTGTGAGTTACTCAGTTGCGCCTTTTACTAATGGTGGAGGTCGTTTCTGCCTCATTACAGGTAGCTTAGGATGGAGCCTTTTCTGAGTGAAAGGGAAAAAACATTTTCTATCTGGAGGTGCACACAGACTGTTCTGAGGGCCAGGTACCAAGAGGAAATAGAGCTTGTTTTTCTGGTGCAAACTGAGGCCTTTCTGCATGAGTGTGTGCGTATCCGAGTGAGCTTGCACGTGTCCAAAATCGTTTTTTCTGCCTGGAAAATGGCACACACGTTCTCCTGTGTACGGAGAGATCACGGGCCAGAGCACAGAGGTTTGGTTTTGGTTTGTTTTGCTTGTTTTTCCTGCGCAGTGCATACACACACACGGATTTCTGAGTGTGGGAAGAGGGAGAGTGAGTTTCTCTCATTGTGTGTTTTTCTCTCCTAGAGATAAGGGCCTCCGAGAGAGACTTTCCTCATTGACAGACACGTTGTCTCTGAAGACAAGCAATGCCGGCAGGTTTCTGGAAACTGAGAAAGAGTGCCTGGGCTTTCCAGGGGTGCACCTTTCCTGAAGGAAGGAAAGACATTTTGCCTGTGTGTGCATGCATGTGGTATGTGTGTGGTACGTATGTGTGTTGTGTGCATGAATGTGCATGCGTGTTTTCAAAACAGATTTTTCTGCCTGATACAGATTTTCCTGCCCTCGGGAAGAGCAAACAACTCACAGACAGCGACTCTCTGCTGCCCATACCCAGACACACACGAGTCTCCGAGGTGGAAA